>NC_000008.11:100714222-101339222 GCF_000001405.40 Homo sapiens
AGGTAGTTAACATCAACTTTTACAAACAGCTTCTAATTATAAGACATTAAGAAGCATGACAGTTGAAATATATAAAAGGCAGTAGCTAAATTTGGGGGTTGAGATGTAAACATGATGTCACTTTCTATGTTTTATATCATCTATCTTTGTGCAAAATGGTACTTTTTTGCTCTAGTGGAGGGCTTGATGTGACATGCTAGCATGGCAGTAAGATATTAGATTTCCTGGCCAGGCACAGTGGCTCACACCTGTAATCCCAGCACTTTGGGAGGCCGAGGTGGCTGGATCACTTGAGGTCAGGAGTTGGAGACCAGCCTGGCCATCACGGTGAAACCCCGTCTCTAATAAAAATACAAAAATTAGCTGGGCATGGTGGCGCACACCTGTAATCCCAGCTACTCAAGGTAGAGATAGGAGAACTGCTTGAACCCGGGAGGCGGAGGCTACAATGAGCCGAGATCACGTGACTGCACTCCAGCCCGGGTGACAGAGCAAGAGTCAAAAAAAAAAGTATTAGATTTCCTAATTCTTTATTATTTGACATATTAAAAAAAGCAAGACACCTCTAAGTTCAACACAAAATGCAAAGGGTGGGGTCAAGCAAATCATCTGCACATGAACACTTAAAAGTTATTTTATCTGTTATACCCCTACCTAAACTAAGGCTGGTTTGTGCTTCATCAATTTCAAGTTTTATGAAGTTATTTTTAAATGCAGGAAATAAGTACTTTGAATCACTGGAAAATCTGAATTTTTGGTTTCATCGCTGAAAGTCATTGTTTTAAACTGCTCAAACATGATGTTACTTAGACTGACCAGCTTTATTGTTCTATGAGACTGCATTCCACTGTAGGCTGGCTGTGTCAAATATATGCTTCTGATGACATGGGATCTCTAATTACACACACACACACACACACACACACACACACACACATATATATCTCCAGCCTCTTAATGTAGTAAAATATTTTAAAATCTGTTCTAATTACTTAGTCATACCTTACTGTGCTAATCTAATGCTATTAACCTTTAACCTGGATAGAATTCTATTTATTTGCATTATACTACTTTGTAGTGTAATAGATGGCCAGCAGCTTAATTCAAATAACCACAAATATTTTAAAGTACCATGTAAGTCTAATTTTATTGACTTTTTTAGTATAAAGTAATAGCTAAAATTAACACTGAGCACTAATTCAGAGCTTTGTGTGTAAAAATTTAATTAAGACACATTACCAAACTTGCCAAAGAGATCCTTAAGGCGCTCATCATCCATGTCTTCTCCAAAATTCTTGATGTAAACATTGGTGAATTCTTTTGCCCTAGCTCCAAGTTCAGCTTCTCGTTCTTTACGAGACTTAAATCGTCCAACAAATCTAATAAGATATACAAGGACTATAACATTAGATTCTATTTTATAAAGTTCAGATTAAGTAAGCCTGATGGTTGGTTTTGTTACTGTTAATGAGAATATTCAGAATCCCTAATAAAAAGCACACTACAAAATAGAAATAGGGCCATAATTTAAGATATGACACCATGAAATATATGAATAAGCCTCTAACTACAATCACAAAAAAAAAACCACTTCTTTTAATACACACTTCTCTTCTCTAGCTAACCTAGGGTTAAAGGGATCACTCCCATCAATACAAATGAGTGGAAGTGCATGTGTACCATGCCAATAAAAAGACCTCTATCAAATTAAAAAGCTTTCATCGTCATTTTAAAGTGGCGCTTGCGCTTTCTTTGCCATCTCCTAGAATAAAAATTTAAACTTCCCAATCGTGTACTCTAACACACAACAGCCTGACATAACTGCAGCATTTTCAACAAAATGACACTAAAACTTAATTTTTTCTGAATATAACAGTAGTAATTCAGAACAAGGATCACTGGGCTAGGCAGTGGCTCACACCTGTAATCCCAGCACTTTGCAAGGCCAAGGTGGGATGATCACTGGAGGCCAGGAATTCGAGTTCAGCCTAGCCAACATGGTGAAACTGTCTCTACTAAAGTACAAAAATTAGTTGGGTGTGGTGGTGTACACCTGTAATCCCACCTACTTGGGAGGCTGAAGCACGACAATTGCTAGAACCCGGGAGGCAGAGGTGGCAGTGAGTAGATTGCACCACTGCACTCCAGCCTGGGCAAGAGAGCAAGACCATGTCTCAAAAATATAAAAAGAACAACGATCACTGAAGAAAAAAAGGTAGCACATGTGTCATAGCATATTATAATACACAGCAAAGCAGAAGGAAAAACCATCTTACATAATCTCACCCTAGTCATCTAAATTTCCTTATCTCTAACCCAGCTTTAGAATAAAAAGTAAAATAAAAATAATTTCCTTATCTCTCCACAAAATATGGTTGGTCTTCGCTATGCTATTAGTTTCATAAATGTTCTCAAAGGGAGCGTATTTCATTGTGACCATCACTTTCTGCTTTGTAAATAATGCTGCAACTTTTTTAAGAGACAAGGTCTTGCTATTCTGCCCTGGCTGGAGTGTAATAGCTGTTCACAGGCACAATCACAACACACTACAGCCTTGGCTCAAGCATCCTGCCTCAGCTTCCCAGTGGCTGGGAATAAAGGCACACTGCAGTAAAGCTGAAACTTTATGAAAGACACTTTGTGTATTTCTTCTTAGGACAGTTACAAATTTCCAAAAGAGTTATATCACTTTTACTCAAAACAGCAACATATCATTCTTTTCTGGATCCTGCCAGTGTTGGGCTTGCTTTTTTTTCCTCCTAAAGCCCTGGTAACAGGCATTTGTGAGTATTTATTTATTTTTTTTAAAGACAGTTTCAATCTTGTCGCCCAGACTGGAGTACAATGGCGAAATCTCGGTTCACTGCAACCTCCGCCTCCCGGGTTTAAGTGATTCTCCTGCCTCAGCCTCCCGAGTAGCTAGGATTACAGGCATGCGCCACCATGCCCAGCTAATTTTGTATTTTTAGTAGAGACGGTTTCTCCATGTTGGTCAGGCTGGTCTCAAACTCCCAACCTCAGGTGATCCGCCCACCTCGGCCTCCCAAAGTGCTGGGATTTACAGGCATGAGCCACCGCGCCCGGACTTGTGAGTAATGTATGTCTCTCATTTTACAGTACATAAAAGCAAATTACTTTGAGTTTCCTCACCTATAAAATGGGTTAATTTAACCAGTACCTCAAGAATTATGAATATTAGGTTTGTCTGAATTCCTGATTTTTCACTAATGCACTCATTTTGAAAAAGCTACATTTTTCTGTTTACTTATCTTCTGTTTTCCTTTTGGCATGAATGTTAATTATATTAAACCTGTTATTTGTATGTTACACTTACTGTGTAGAAAATTCAATTGTAAAAATCAAGATTAGCTTATTAATTTTCACTCCAGTACAACTACATGAATTTTTGTTATTCATCTTTAAAATGTTTTTATTCTTTTATCTTATGTGCATCTAACTTCTCCCTGACAAATATTAACTTAAAATGAATGGATTTGGAATTATTAAAAATAAGATTCAAAATATGATTAGCTAGATATTTATAACTTACACTTTGCGATCATTTAGGAGCATTCCATTCATTTTTTCAATAGCTCTTTCAGCTGCTTCCTGCGTCTCAAAGTGTACAAATCCATAGCCCTTGGAACCATTTTCATCACAAACCACCTAGGGAAAAACATATACCCATTTTTCTTTATTTGCTATTGATTTAACATTTGTTCAGTGTTGAGAGACAATCTGTTAGCCATCTAACCTGGATATTTGTGAAATAAAGATATCCATTACTGCACAGTTCCTATTTCAAGCACTAAACTAAATGTAGCTCAACAATGTAAACATGTGTATCGGACATTTTTGGCTTACCTTACATGAAAGGATGTTACCAAAAGCAGAAAATGTATCATACAGTGCTTTATTATCAATGGATTTGTCCAGATTTTTAATGAATATGTTGCCTACTCCACTTTTGCGAAGTGATGGATCACGCTGAGACCACATGATGCGTACTGGCTTGCCCTTTATAACATCAAAATTCATGGTGTCCAAAGCACGCTCCGCTGCAGGAAGGACATTTTCAGAGTCAATATTACTTCAAAATTTTTGCTGGCTACTTAAGATTATATAAACTATGGTGACTGGAGTGGGAGGACACATGGTCTCACAGTTGAACGCTTCCTCTTTAAGCTTCAAGATGGCTAGACCTTTCAAGTATCACACACTAGTGTGGGACCTAAGTTGTATAAAGCAAAGACAAATACCAGAAGCCCCCGAAATTTCTCACATATAAAAGAATTCCATATTGCTAATAATTAATAAATTCTTGACGCAATCTCTCGCCTTAATTGCCATTAAATCTAAAGCACTTTTTTTCCTAGTTATCAAAATCCAAATTCCTTCACATACAATCTGTTTAATAAGCAGTATAAAAGACATTACGCAACAGATTTATCTACAAGCTGGAAGTAGTTTATAGATTTAAATATTTTAACTTCTTCCCAACTACTTGCTAAAATTGGTCATTTCATTGCTAATAACTAACAATATTATATGAAAACTAGTCCATTTCCTAAAAAATGAAAGTTTCTTAATTATTGGGGGGAGGGAGGGTTTCAGTGATTCATGGCACAACTTCCATTTAAGAAAATGAAAGGCTAGACCAAGATTTGAATCATGCTTTCAAAAGCTAATGTGAAGTTAGACATATTTGGTTTCATAATCACAGAATTTTAAAAACACCAGGTCTGCAATATTCAGAAATCACCATTAACGCTCTCTTGACACATACAATCAATTTCACTTTAGATCGCTGATTTTCTTAACAACTGATTTAGTTATTTCTGAATACTGCTAGAAAATTTCAAAATCTACAATTAATTTCAGGATCTATAAAGGATTGAATTATGTATACCTGTACCATTAAAGGCTCTAAATGAAATAACACATCCTTAAATAAAAAGACTAGTCCCCGAAGAGAGGGAAAACGGTCCCTTTTAAGCCCTGAAACAATTCCTACAAATTCCATGCCAATGTAAATTTAAAAGTTATTGACAGGATGAATTTTCCGGCCACCTCTTTTTTTATAAATGAAAGTTCCAGTTTCTAGAATATAGTGATAATCAGCTGTTAGCTCATTATCAATTGACCACACCTACTCAGCTTCCCTAGTTTTTTTTTTTTTTTAGCTGACTTTGCTTGAGCTATTTTTCAATGAGTCACCTCTTCCTATGAAATTGAAAACTGGTCACTTTCAGAAGCTATTCTGCCTATCAATGTAGCAATAAGTTTTTAAAAAAGAACAAGAAATCCACTTAAGTAATTAATTGGATAGTAAATTGTACATACAGAAACTAGACAAATGGAAAACTGCCATATTCTTTTCAGTAGTTAGGGTACTGGTCTACTGGTACAGACTGATAATATATACTGTACACTGTAACCACGGCAACCTGAAGTTCAACTCTTCGAATCCCAAGAAATGTAAAAATTGTTTTTTGGATTTAAAAACGTTAAGCTGAGAAAGAGTAACACTTTCAAGTTTTCATTTTGTGGTCTCTAGAATTCATTCCCATGTTTTCTCCACCAACTCTTAGGTTGTGATAACCTGCCCCAAAGTTATCTACCCCCATCTGACATGCATTGATACATCCTGCCTAAGGTTGACAAGAACTGTTATGAAGTGACATTTGGAGTTACTGCTTACAGAGCAAAAGGGCAGGAAACCTGCAGTGCAGTTTTACAACTTCTGGCTCTGTGTCACTCAATATTCTGCTTCCAAAATCAGTATCAACTTTACACAGTGAAGAGCTGATCAGTAACCTAAGTTCTACTGAATGAATGTTAATAGGAGCTTAAATTCCACCCTTAAGGCCTTTTCTAATAAAAATGAATTCTTCATATTTCGATTATTTGACATGTATTCAAGTGGCCAGCCTGTAGGGGGGGAAAAAGGCAAAATTGGGCCGTAAAATGGAATTAAGCTGACTTCTCAAAGCCAATTGATCTAAAGACAAATCCTAGCAACTCAACAGACCACAGATATTATCTGTTTACAAAATTGTGTTTCTGTTAACTGTTTAGCTTCAAAATAAAAGCACAAAGTTAGCTGCATTTCCCCCATAAATTTCAAGCTCAATTTAATCTCCGTTATTTTGTACTCAGTCATTTCCCAAGATTTACAGGTATCATGGGCCACTTTTAAAAATAAAAGAGAAACTTGAACTTCTTGCATGCTACAGATAAGACTGGTCCAGTTGGAATTACACTAAAGTAACATTTTATAGCCAAAGTTGACTATTTTATAAAGAAAAGCCCCTCAAAACGACAGGAACTATTTCAGAAGGTAACATAATATACTCGAAAACCACCAGTACTGTGAATCTAAGATAAAATTTGACTAAAAATGGTCTAAGTTGCCTGAGAAAACTGGCCTTCAAAGTGGTCGGCTGCCACATCCCCTCCTCCCACTCTGCCCTTTTAATGTTAGAGAAATGCTTGATCTAGGGGAAACCCCAAATGCATGTCTCCGGTAAATTCCATTCCTAGATCCATCAGTCACTGATGAGTTCTGGGAAGTGGACTCACAAGCCTGAGGACCACCACCACACCACACATCGCCACAGGAACTTTATCCTAAGGCCTGGTGGCTCCCCCAGGCGACTGGGCCAGGAGCAGGAGCAGAAGCAGGCCTCGGGCCTGCGAGGTTACAGGGTTCAACACGTGGTATTTTTCGAGCACAGAACTGCACTTCCTCCCCAGGCTGGGGCGCCGGCAGGAGCTCCGGGTGGTGGGAGCGCCTCCACCTCTTACCCACGGAAGGAGCTCAGCGTTCAACGCCCCAGAATCCCGGGGCCACTGGCGGGAGCGCCGCGGAGGAACCGAATCTCACCCACCCTCCCGGCGCGTCATCACCCTAAAGTTTGAGAGCGTCTGAGGCCGAGAAAATGGTCGCAAAGGAGGAAGTAGCCGGGCGTGTGGCTGCCGGCAGCGCGGGTCCCCGCCGGCTCGGGAAACGCGGCTCCAGGGACCCCGGCGCCTTCCCGCCGGCCGTCGCGGGGTGACATGCCCTCCCGCCCCCCTCCCCGGGCCCGCCGGCCTACCCCGCCCGCCGCCGCCGCCCGAGCCTCATGGCCGCCCGCCCGCCCGGCCGACCGCGGAGCCCGGCGCTCACCGTCCGCCGGCTGCTGGAAGTTCACATACGCGTAGCCCAAGGAGCGGCGGGTGATCATGTCCCTGCAGACCCGGATGGAGAGGATGGGCCCGGCCGGGCTGAACTTCTCGTAGAGCATCGCCTCGGTCACGTCGGGGTGGAGGTCCCCCACGTAGAGCGAGGCCATGGGGTAGCTGGGGGCACTGGGGTTCATCTCGGCACGGCTGCCCGCAGGGCCACAGGCCGCGACCTTTCCGTGAGAGGAGGAGAGCGAGTGCCGGGGCTGGGGGCCGGAGCCGGGGGGAGGGGAGCGGGGAGCAAGCGCAGAGGGACAAAAATCAACCGGAATTGAAAACTACTCAACGGCCGCAGAACGGGGTCGATCCACTGCCGCTGGCTGCCGGCTGCCGGCGGGGAGCGAGGGTGGCGGTGTCGGGTCCGGGCAGCGGGAAGGCCTCGGTCTCTTGGTTCCTTCTTGGAGCTGCTGCGGGGCCGCGGGCGGGCGGGTCGGTCTCGGCTGCTTCACCGGGTTATTTTATAAAAGAGGAAGAAAAAAAATAAAAGTCTCCGGCGGGGGAGACGCGGATTTTTTGTAAATTTTTTTGGGGTTTTTTAAAAGATTTTTTTAGATTTTTTTTGGATTTTTTAATAATAAATGTGTGTTCCGAGCCCGGAGCACACACTCCGCACTCTCAGCACTAACCGCCGGGGAGAAGGGGAAGCACCGCCTCCTGCACCCTCTACTTATACCCCGCGCCGCACTCGCCCCGCCCCCGCGCGTCTGACGCCAGGGCCCCTACGCGAGCGTCAGCGCCGGAGTAGGAGGAGACGCGGAGGCCAGGGGGAGGAGGGAAGAGAAAACAGGAGGAAAGAGCAGAGAGGAAGGGAGAGGTGGCGGCGGTGGAGGCTGCGGTGTGGGGGTGGGGCTCGGGCGAAGGGGCGGGGCTTTTGCGCAGGCGCCGCGGCCGGGGAAGCGGAGCCCGCGCTGCGTCGCGTCCGTGGGGGTGGGGAGGACGGCTCGCGGGCGGTCCTCGGGGGTGTTGGCTGAGGCGTCCCCGCCTTCCGCCCCGCCCGCCCCTGCCTCCACCAGGAGGAGCGTTAACCCGTCACCGCGGCGGTGGGCGGTGCAAAGGGCTTCCGGGTTCCTCCGCGCTAACCACCCCCCACGTGCGCGGCCGCCTGTGGCCTCTTCCCGCTGCGGCCGGCCCGGCTCCTCTAGCCCCAGCTCCGGGGGACGCCGGGCACGGGTGAGCGGGCGTGGTCCCCTCCGGGCCCGGTTTCCGAAACGTGCGTAGATGGAGCCAGCGTGGCCCCCTGCTCTCTCCTACCCGGACCGCACTACGAGTCCCAGCCGGCACCGCCGCCACGCGCGTCGGCCGCAGAAGCGGTGCCTGCTGGGAGCTGGAGTCCCCAACGGCCGCGGCGCTCGCTGACACCAACTGGCTGCGCGGGTCCTGGCCGCCCGCTCCGGGACCCCCCAACCGTCCTGCGCGCTGGACCCCGGCACCGCTGGAGCTCCCGGCGCGGGGTTGGGGGGCAGGGAGAGAGAGGGGAGGGCCCCTCGGGTTCCTCGTCCTCTTCTTTTCCAGCCCGACCCTCCTCCGTGTCTTCACTGGACGTTGTCGTTGGTCAAAGTGGCTTTAATTTGGGATAGCTGTGTTGGGGGTCTTTGGTCACTTCTTACCTTAAGGTGCTAGGCTGGAATCATTGATTTGTGCTGCTTCTGCCAGACATTTCTTGGCGATAGAAACCAGGAGTGGAGAAAAGTGAATGTTTTTCCTGAAAGTACGGGTTTGTCACAATCACTACTATATGGCACCACAGCCCTGCAACCAGACAAAATTAGGAATAGTCTAAAACAACGTCCTTATAAATAACTAAAACAATTCTGCACATTAGTAGTGGGTTTTAATAGGAATGCTAAATTTAACGAATTGATAGTAATAAAAACCGGCTCTAGGAATGACATTAAATCAACATACAAATTCCACTCGAAAGTAGTAAAGTGCTTTTACAGTTTTTAAAGCACTCGCGTAAACATACTATCATTTGTTCCTGAGAGCAATCTGGTGTGGGAGGTGGAGCAAGTAGTAATAATTTTACTTTACTGTTACAGGAACAGTCTCAAAGAAGTTAAATGATTGCCCAATTTATTCCTTAATTCAATAAACTTTAATGGATGTCAACTGTATTGCTAGGTGTGGAATTAAGTACTTTATATCTTGTCTCATTTAATTAGAATTTAAACCAGTGGAATCCCACATAAATACTATTTTGCTCCTATTAAAAAGAGGATAAAATGTGACCGGGCGCGGTGGCTCACTCCTGTAATTCCAGCACTTTGGGAGGCTGACGCACGCTGATCACTTGAGGTCAGGAGTTCGAGACCAGCCTGGCCAACATGGTGAAACCCCGTCTCTACTAAAAATACAAAAAGTAGCCAGGCGCGGTGGCTCACGCCTGTAATCCCAGCACTTTGAGAAGCCAAGGGGGGCAGATCACGAGGTCAAGAGATCGAGACCATCCTGGCCAACATGGTGAAACCCCGTCTCTACTAAAAATACAAAAATTAGCTGGGCGTGGTGGCGCGCGCCTATAGTCCCAGCTACTCGGGAGCCTGAGGCAGGAGAATCGCTTGAACCCGGGAGGCGGAGGTTGCAGTGAGCCAGGATTGCGTCACTGCACTCCAGCCTGGTGACAGAACGAGACTCAAATAAATAAAAAATAAACAGTTGTTAGGCTTCCAGGGCAGCTTGACAGGCAGTGATGCCCTGGATGGTAAATGGAAGCATTCTCATCACTAGAAAAGTATATTAGTGCTTTGTAGGTGAATACATAGTTTGGGAAGGGAGCCAGTCATCAGGACGTCTATGCAGCTGTGGCTCTTGCACTTAGTAGATGTCATTGTCATATTTTATGGAGGTACAGTTGAGTATGTGCAAGGGAAAGTAGAAGCAAAGTCCATACCTGAGGACAAGGAGCTGCTATTTAATAGAATAGGAGAGAGAGTCAGAGCCCAGGAGGAAACAGGAGTGGGATCTGGAACTGAAACCAAGAACCTGTTCCCTTGATCCATCAATCACCTCTTTTTATTTCCAGCCAGCTGCTTTCGCTCAGATCAGAAACTGGTCAATTCAGATCAAAAAGAAAACAAACCAATCTTCTCTTAATGACATATTCCTCTCTCATTCACTTTTTTTTCATAGCCAAGCTTTTCATTTCTGCTTTCTCTCTCCTTAGTTCCTCAACACTACCGTATGACTTCCAGCTGCACTCAAATTGCCCCATCAACAGTTGCCAATGATCCCTGTTCTATTTGACAAATCCAATGGACTTTCTTCAGGTCCATTTTACTGGACATCTGCAGAGTTTGACACTGTTTTCCTCCCTCTCTTTTGTCACACACTCTCTTGGCGTCTGGGCTACACTTTCCTGGTTCTGCCTCTCAGATTCTTCCTCCTCTCCGCCAGTAACTTACCATTCCCTGACCACCAGGTAGGATTGGGCACCCTTCCTTTGGTTTTTCCCCTGCCCCCCGCCAACCCTGCCACTACATTTACTACGTTATATCAAAATAGTGTGTTTATGAGCGATCTCCCAAAATAAGTTGTAAGCGCCAAAAGAAGGCTTATGTCATGTTTATCTGCATCCCAACCATCTACCGTGAAGCCTGGCACACTGAGGGTGTATTTTTTCTTTTTAAACCTAACTTCAGGGAGAGGGCCAGCTAGGCCTTGTAGACTGACCATATAGGATGAGGGTTAGTTGGGAGGTCTCAACCTGATGGTCACATGGGCACCTAGGGCCGTGTTCACCTCCAGACTGCTTGGCCTGCTGCAGCATGTTACCTCTCAGCTCCACAAGCTGTTTCGGGGAGCGCTTCCTGACATGCTGGTTGGGCTCTCATTTCTAGTGCTGGAAGTAGTGGACTTTTAGTACCCCAAATCAGGCAAGCAGGGACAAGCAAGGACTCCTGGACAACAGGAGTTTCTGGACCTCCAAAGCTGAGGACGCTGTATGGTGGTAATCCCACTAATGTTCTGAGACCCCTTTTTGATGTTAGCAGTCTGATTGCTTGTGATAGAGGTAATTAAGGCTACGAATAAAAGGCAGAAGATGAAATATTTGTTGATTCCTTTTGCCTTTTTGATTCACTACTCTCATTTTTCTCTCCTATCATTTTTTTTTGTCTTAAAAAATGTGCTGTCTATGTTTATCTGGCTTGCCTGTGTTTATCTAATTTTAGATTGCAAGCTGTGGGACAGAATAATGTCTTTATATGTGCAGCATCTCACTGTGGGTGCCTAAGAATATCTAATGACATTAAAGTCATTCAATTAACCTGTTTTTATTTAATGAGTAAACTGTAAAGTTCTCCAGAGAGCTTATTCACTTGAACTTCACTAGCAATTTATAAGTAATTTTCAGGTTATATCCAGGATACATTCAGAATATATCCAGGATAATTTATAGTATCTTGTGTAATGTATGTAAGATAACCTGGCCTTTTAAGATCTTTAGGTAATATAGAGAGATTTATTTGAAATGGATAATAAGTGTATTCGTTGAGAACAGATCCCTCTCAATTGAAGGGGTATACTTTCTGTAGATCCTTGAAATAGAAAAAATATTATATGATGTCTGTGATAAAATCAAAACTATGCAATGTTTCAGAAGATGAGCTTCCCACTTAATTGGTTTGCCAGGTTGGTGAGGAACATAACACCTACTCAGATTTGCAAATTGTCATGCCCATGATCAGAGGAATTCCTATAATGAGACTCACTTAGAGTTTATGTTTTCTTCCATACGCATTGCATATTTTTCTCATACCAACCAAGAATGAAGAAAGGAATTTATATGAGTTTGAAATGGGGTCCTGTTTCTAGATTGTGTGTCAGATGTTGTAAGCTGACATTAGTTCTGAGAAAATGGCGAGCAATCAGACTGCTAACATCAAAGAGGGGATCTCAGAACATTAGTAGGATCACTGCCATACAGCGTCCTCAGCTTTGGAGGTCCAGAACCTCCTGTTGTCCAGAAGTCCTTGCTTGTCCCTGCTTGCCTGACTTTGGGTACCAAAAGTCCGCTACTTCCAAGCTCAGCACTAGAAATGAGAACCCAGCCAGCGTGTCAGGAAACGCTCCCTGAAAGAGCTCCTGGAGTTTAGAGCTAACATGCTGTGGCAGGATCAAGGGTCATAAGGTCAAGGGTCATAAACACAGACTCAGAAACACAGAAACAATAATGGGAAAAAAATGTAGTTAGTGATTTTGTTGTAGAAGACAATAAGAGAAATCTCAAAATACTAAGGTTTGTTACAAGGTGCTTTTCTAATGGCATAGCCATCTATGTTAAACCAGTGTAGTTGTTATAATGATTGTTCAATATAACAGGGATACTACGACCAGGCACGGTGGCTCACGCCTGTAATTCCAGCACTTTGGGAGGCCAAGATCGGCAGATCACAAGGTCAGGAGTTCGAGACCAGCCTGGCCAACATGGTGAAACCCTGTCTCTACTAAAAATACAAAAAATTAGCCAAGCGTGGTGGCGTGCGCCTGTAATCCCAGCTACTCAGAAGGCTGAGGCATGAAAATCGCTTGAACCCGGAAGGTGGAGGTTGCAGTGAGCTGAGATTGCACCACTGTGCTTCAGCCTGGGACAGAGCAAGACTCTGTCTCAAAACAAAAACAAAAACAAAAAAAAAAACAAAACAAAACAGGGATACTACTACCTTCCTAATAGGATTCTTGTAAGACTTGAGTAAAATATTATGTGTAAACTTCTTTTTTTTTTTTTTTGAGACAGTCTTGCCCCATCCCCCAGGCTGAAGTGCAGTGGCACGATCTCTGCTCACTGCAACCTCCGCCTCCTGGGTTCAGGTGATTCTCCTGCTTCACCCTCCCAAATAGCTGGGATTACAGGCACATACCACCAAGCCTGGCTCATTTTTGTATTTTTAGTAGAGACGGGGTTTCTCCATGTTGGCCAGGCTGGTCTTGAACTCCTGACCTCAGGTGATCCACTAGCCTCGGCCCTCAAAAGTGCTGGGATTACAGGCGTGAACCACCACACCTAGCCTATATGTAAATTTTAATAGCATAATGTACAGCGCTACCACTTATCGAATACCTCTTATCTCTCTCTATTACCACACATCAATTGATTTGGTAGATACCAAGTTCAAATGTGTGACAGAAGTATTAAGCAGAGACATACACAGGAGGCTGGGGAGGGGCAAAAATAAAAATAAAAGAGACATACACATGCAGACACATGAAAGAGATACAACTGTTACTGTCCTAAACTAATTTAGAGAACAGAAAAATGCAATGACCCCATTGAGACAATATTAAATATTAGATGCATAACAAAAAAACTCCCAAGAGGGGTCACAGTGAGAATATTCTTGCAATGGGTCATATTCTAGGACCACTGTTCTTAAGGCACAAATACTTTAAGAACATAGGTTAAGATGTAAAGTATTTGGGGCTGGGCACGGTCACTCATGCCTGTAATTCCAGCACTTTGGGAGGCCGAGGCGGGCAGATCACTTGAGGTCAGGAGTTTGAGACCAGCCTGGCCAGCATGGTAAAACCCCATCTCTACTAAAAATACAAAACTTAATTGGGCATGGTGGTGCATACCTGTAATCCCAGCTACTTGGGAGGCTGAGGCAGGAGAATTGCTTAAACCTGGGAGGCGGAGGTTGCAGTGAGCTGAGATCACGCCACTGTGCTCCAGCCTAGGCGACAAAGGCAGTGAGCTGAGATCACGCCGCTGTGCTCCAGCCTGGGTGACGAAGCTAGACTCCATCTCAAAAAAAAAAAAAAGATATAAAGTATTTGGCCAGGCACGGGCATGGTGGCTGGCTCACACCTGTGAACCCAGCACTTTGGGAGGCCGAGGTGGCACAATTGCTTGAGGCCAGGAGCTTAAGACCAGCCTGGGTAGCACAGTGAGACCTCATCTCTACAAAGTTAAAACAAAACAAAACAAAACAAAGCCAGGTGCGGTGGTGTGCATTTGTGGTCCCCACTACTGGGAGGCTGAGGCAAGAGGATCACTTGAGCCAGGGAGGTTGAGGCTGCGGTGAGCTGTGATTGTACCACTACACTCCAGCCTGGGTGACAGAGGGAGACCCTGTCTCTAAACAAACAACAAAAAGATATAAAGAAGGACAAAAATACTTTTCAGGTAAATAGAAGAAATTTTAATTTTATTAAGAGCTAATATTAATGGAGCATGGATATTTATTGAACCTGGATAATTTTCTTTTTTCTTTCTTTTTTTTTTTTTTTTGAGACGGAGTCTCACTCTAGTTGCCCAGGCTGGAGTGCAATGGCACAATCTCAGCTCACTGCAACCTCTGCCTCCTGGGTTCATGCGATTCTCCTGCCTTAGCCTCCTGAGTAGCTGGTATTACAGGTGGCCACCACCATGCCCAGCTATATTTTTTGTATTTTTAGTAGAGATGGGGTTTCACCATATTGACCAGGTCGGTCTCAAACTCGTGACCTCAGGTAATCCACCCGCCTCAGCCTCCCAAAGTGCTGGGATTACAGGCGTGAGCCACTGCTCCTGGCTGAACCTGGGTAATTTTATTGCCTCCTCACGGAATCCTATCAGGCAGGAAACTACAGTATTGCCAGTGAGGAAACTGAGGCTAAAGTAGTAGAACAACTTTGATTCAAACACAGGCAGTGCAAATTTCAAAGGATCTCTTTGATGTGGGAATGACAGGGGGCAGAACAGTACTTGGAATAAGGAAAGGAAAGGGCATTGTAAGGTGGAAGAAATAACATCAGGAATGTGGTGGAGGTGGGCATAAGCAGCATGTGTTGAAGGGATGATGATCCCTTGGCTGAAACAGGGTGAATAGGAGGGCATAAAGGCAGGCGGGAGAGGAGGCAAGTATGGTAAACAATAGATTAGGGCTCGAATGAAAAGGGAACACAGGATCTAAACTTTTGGCTTTCAGGTTTCTTCCAAAAGGTAATTCCAGTGGTGGTGTAAAAGTACTGGATTTGAAAGATGAGAGCCAAAGGAAGACCAATTGAGATATTCTTGGAAATGGCCTCACTTTCATCTTCCTGGAAGTCGAAGAAACAAGTTCCTAACTGTCTAATGAAAAGCAGCACAACAGTTTTATTCAGGAAGACTAATTTTTTTCCTATAGTAAATCTTTAAAAGAATTTATTGTGTAGCTCTTTAAAGACATTGAATTATATAAGTCAATTATTCATTCACTACAAATCAAATGCTTTTTAGGCCTACAGTGTGAGTTGTTATAAATGTTGTTATAAAACATTAAAACCACTGAAGTGTCTGCCCTTATGGAGCTTACTTTCTAGAGAAATTGTCTAGGGCAGTTGTCTTAAATAGTGATTTTTATTTTTATTTGTTTTTATATTCTATTTTTTTCTGCAACAAAAGCCACATTCAAGTGATTGTTTTTAATGCAAGAACAATTTTTTTGTCAACTCTTTCCTTTTTCTCTCTCCCCTTTCCTTTCCTTTCCTCTTCTTTCCTCTCCTCTCCCTTCCTTTCGAGACAGGGTCTCACTCTGTTGCCCAGGCTGGAAATGCAGTGGCACAATCTTGGCTCACTGCAGCCTCCACCTTCCAGACTCAAATGATCCTCCCAATTCAGCCTTCTGAATAGCTGAGATTACAGTTGAGTGCCACTACGCCCAGCATAATGTTTTATGTTTTGTAGAGGCAGGGTTTTTTATGTTGCTCAGACTGGTCTCAAACTCCTGGGCTCAAGCAATCCACCCTCCTCAGCCTCCCAAAGTGTTGGGATTACAGTCATGAGCCACCATGCCCAGCCTCTTTTGTCAACTCTTATTAATGGCAAATTGCCAGCCTGGCTAACATGGTGAAACCCCATCTCTACTGAAAATACAAAAATTAGCCGAGCATGGTGATTGTCACCTGTAGTCCCACCTGCTTGGGAGGCTGAGGCACGAAAATCACTTGAACCTGGGAGGCAGAGGTTGCAGTGAGCCGAGATCACACCACTGCACTCCAGCCTGGGTGACAGAGTGAGACTCTGTCTCTGAAGAAAAATAAATAACGGCAAATCGTAATGCACTAATGGCATTCCTGTTGAGAACTAAATTTAACATAAAGCTTACGAAATCTACAGAAACTGATGGTGGTGCACCCTTTAGGCAACATATCTCAAATGTCAGTGATTTTATCTGGGCTTTTTAAAAGAGCTGGGGCTGGGCACTGTCGCTCACACCTGTAATCCCAGCAGTCTGGGAGGCCGAGGTGAGTGGATTGCTTGAACCCAGAAGTTCCAGACTGGCCTGGGCAATATGGTGAAACCCCATCTCTACAAAAAATACAAAAATTAGCCAGGTGTGGTCGTGCATACCTGTAGTCCCAGCTACTTGGGAGGCTGAGGTGGGAGGGTTGCTTGAGCCCAGGAGGTGGAGGCTGCAGTGAGCCATGATCGCACCACTGCACTCCAACCTGGGAGATGCAGCGAGACCCTGTCTCAAAATAAAAAATAAAGCCGGGTGCGGTGGCTCACGCCTGTAATCCCAGCACTTTGGGAGGCCAAGGTGGGCGGATCACTTGAGGTCAGGAGTTGGAGACCAGACTGGCCATCATGGTGAAACCCCATCTCTATTAAAAATACAAAAATTAGCCAGGCACAGCAGCAGGCACCTGTAATCCCAGCTACTCGGATGGCTGAGGCAGGAGAATCGCTTGAAACCAGAAGGCGGAGGTTGCAGTGAGCTGAGATCATGCCACTGCACTCCAGCCTGGGCAAAAGAGTGAAACTGTCTCGAAAAAATAAAATAAAATAAAATAAAATGAAAAATAGAAAAATGATAATAGCCACCATTTAAGGAGCCCTTTTGCTTAAAACAACAGCTCAGGGGAGCCAAGTGAGGCCCAAATAAGGTCAGCACACAGCGAGACCCCAGGTCCAGGCTCACTAGCGGTGTGCTGAGTGGTAGCACTGCCTTCTCTGGGGTAGGCCATGACAGAGGTGCCAGGCAGCTCTTGTGAATCATAAATGACCTACCTGTCAGATTAAATGATGAAATCAGTTCCAGTTTTGTATTACTAATTAGGGGACAGCTCCTGTAACTATGGTTCATTGGTTTGTTTTCTCTTCTAGGAAACCAACCAGGTATGAACAACTCCCTTCTAGTAATCTTTCTTTTGGCTCCACAGGCTGAGCAAGAAAATATTTTTATGCTGAATGGTGGTAATGGCTTATGTCCTGACAAGTGTGTGTCAAATGATTGTCGTGACAGAATGATGTGTGTAGGTACCTGTCCAGTGTGTCTCTGTCTTGCAAATCTATAGTTGTATTGTCTGAATGATAAACCTACTGTTCATCAGAATTACCTCAAGTTACCTACATTATACCATTTCCTTGTCATGAATAATTTTGGAACATTGTTCATTTCCTTTCATATGAAAATCTATTTTTAAAAGATAATGTGAAGGTAGCCTATCTGCCATTTAACTATTGATAAGATAATTTGCATTTTTTAAAAATCCTAGCCTCTCAAGAGAAAAATGGAGAAGCTGAAAGCCATTCCCATCTAAGAACTCAGAGGTGTCAGTTGTTTGCCTGCCGACGCTCTCATGTGAACTAAGAGAATGGAACCGGACATTCGTGAAGTGCTCAGTAAGCAAACAAAACGAAGACTTCTTGTGAGGGACAAAATCATTGGTTTGGTCACCTTAGTGAGATGCATTTTAAGAGAAAAGCAAAGAATTTTAATGTTATTCAGTAGTTTTATTGTTAGTATTAATAATTGCATTACTATTTCATGCTTTTTTCTATTGCCAAATAAAAGAAATAAGGGATTATGCTAACTTTGTTAAGAATTTAACATTTTTTAGAGTGATAATTCAGTGTTTCATTGAGTTATAAAGAAAGAGAAATATAATTATAACTTGGAAGAAGAATAAAAAATTGGAGTAGACATGCAGTAATGAAAGAACTAAGTTGAAAATGTTCATACAAACTAACAACACTTAATAAAATATGTCTTTTCTAACTTTGTTCAATGAAATTGCCAAGGAGCAATATTACACCACCAAAATGAGCCTGATCATATGCACTCCTGCTGGCTAAATTTTGAGGTCTAAAACCATTTTTCACTTAAAGGAACCAACACACCTCAGAAAAATGGCTGATTCCATGTCTGGGTCTAGGGAAGCACAGGTGAGTCTTGGAACATTTTGTTTGGGCCAGAAGGCAAGTACTTTCTAAAAGTAATGGTGTTGGGGCCTGGCATGGTGGTTCACACCTGTAATCCCAGCATTTTACAGCTCGCCTGTAATCCCAATCCCAGGCCAAGGCAGGAGGATCACTTGAGGTCAGTAGTTCGAGACCAGTTTAGCCAACATGGCAAAACACTGTCCTACTAAAAATACAAAAATTAGCCAGTTGTGATGGTGTGTGCCTGTAGTCCCAGCTACTCGGGAGGCTGAGGTGGGAGGATCACTTGAACTCAGGAAGTGGAGATTGCAGTGAGCCAAGATCATGCCACTGCACTCCAGCCTGGGTGACAGAGCGAGACTCCATCTCAAAAAAATATATATATATAAAAATAAAAATAACAGTGTTGAAAATAATGGGAGAATACAGAAGCCAGTTTAATGGGACACGCATTGACTAGATTCTGTTAAACTGTGTATCAAAAGGAAAATGATGACTATAGTTAGTTGAAATGCCTTAAGTAAGGAGGTGATGAATTCATAATGATAGCAAAAATGAGATAAGTCGATGAATTGTACTAAAGAAATTGAATATATCAATCTCATTATTTACCCTGTTATCATGTTAGTACTACTGACTCATTTATTGAGTCAGTGCAGATACCAAATTCAGTAAATAACAAGTATGTTAATTTTAAGTTTACATTGAGAAAAATAGTTCTTTAACTCTTAGGCTATAATACCTGTGTCTACTAGTGCAAACCGCTTTTTTTGTAGTGACGAAATTATTTGTGTATGTAGGCACCTTCCCAGTGTATCCCTGCCTGCCTTAGAAATTGAATACCGAGGGTTTTGATTGCACCTCAAAATGTCATTTTAGTGAATCATCTCAGGAAAACTGGCGTTGGAATATATTCGAATTTGTTTCAGTCAACTAAGTTTTGTTTTATTTATGTATTTATTCTGAGATGGAGTCTTGCTCTGTTATGCAGGCTGGAGTGCAGTGACTCACTGTAACCTTTGCCTCCTGGGTTCAAGTGATTCTCCTGCCTCAGCCTCTTGAGTAGCTGGAATTACAGGTGCATGCCACCATACCTGGCTAATTTTTGTATTTTTAGAGACTAGGTTTCACTATGTTGGCCAGGCTGGTCTGAAACTCCTGACCTCAGTTGATCTATCTGCCTCAGCCTGTCAAAGTGCTGGGATTACAGGTGTGAGCCACCGCGCTCGGCCTATCAAATAAATTTTAAGAGGCAGTTTATAACTCTGGTGGTATTTTGTTTAAGTATATAGCAGGCTGTTCAATAGAACTTTCCATGATGATGAAAATATTGTATATCTGTGCTGACCAATATGGTAGCCATTAGTCACATGTAGCTAACGGTTACTGAACACTGAAATGTGGCTACTGTGACCAAGAAACTGAATTTTTAGTTTAATTTCATTTAATTTAGATTTAAAGTAAAATAGACACATGTGGCTAATGACTAATGTATTGAACAGTATAGGTCTAGATTTTCAGCCACTTTTAATTTTTTTTTAGAGACAGGGTCTCAATCTGTTGTCCAGGCTGGAGTGCTGTGGTGTGATAATAGTTCACTGCAGCCTCAAACTCCTGGCTCCAGCAATCCTCCCACTTCAGCCTCCCAAGTAGCTGGGACTACAGGCTTGTGCCACCATGCCCGGCTAATTTTAAAGTTTATTTGTAGAGATAGGAGGTCTTCCTATGTTGCCCAGGCTACTCTAGAGCACTTGGCCTCAAGAGATGCCCCTAAAGCTCTGGGAATATATGCCTGAGCCACTGCACTGTTCTATTAAGCCTCCTTCAAATTAGATGGTTTTTCCTCAGTGTGACCTCTTGAGAAAAAAAAAGAAAAAGAAAAAGAAAACATAAAAACAAAAAAATAGATGGTTTACCCATTGATGCAAATTTCTTCTCACCAATTCTGGAAGACTGTCCATTTTCTTTCAGATAAGGATCTATATTGAAAAAATTTAGAATTTATTGTTTGAATAGGTAAATTCATATTGTTTCAGAACACTAAAATGACAAAAAGATGTATGGTAAGAATTATCTCCCATCCTATCCCTCAGCTACCCAGGTCTCTTCAGCATAGGTGTGACCGATGTTACCGGTTTCTTACATATCCCAAAGACACTTTATGCATTTACAAGTAATGTTAGTACTTCACTGTTGTTCACGAGGCATTTTTAATTCCTCTTAACATATTTTAAGGGTCACTTTATATCAGTTCATCAACTGTCTCCTTCCTATGACTGTGTAGTCTTAAGAATCTGTTTTAAAAGATACCTGAAGGTGGCTTGTCTGCCATTTTGACAGTCAACGAGATAACTTGCATTTGAAATGTTAAAAATCCTAATTTTGACCAGGCACAGTAGCTCACCCCTATAATCCCAGCACTTTGGGAGGCCAAGGCAGGAGGATGGCTTAAAGCTAGAAGTTTGAGACCAGCCTGGACAACATAGTGAGACCCTGTCTCTACAAAAAATAATTTTTAAAAAATCATAATTTCATAAGACAGGTAATGATAACAGCAAGTAGAGCCTGTGACAGCCCCTACTTGGTGCACCCTGCCCATATGCAGGAAGCTCGCATTTCAAAATACCTAGTCCTTTTTCTTTTCAAAACTTGTATTTTGGGGGCCGGGCTTGGTGGCTCACACCTACAGTCCCAGCACTTTGGGAGGCCAAGGTGGGCAGATGACGTGAGGTCAGGAGTTCAAGACCAGCCCGGCCAACATGGTGAAACCCCATTTCTACTAAAAACACAAAAATTAGCTGGGTCTGGTGGCAATGCCTGTAATCCCAGCTACTCAGGAGGCTAATGCAGGAGAATCACTTGAACTCAGGAGATGGAGATTGCAGTGAGCCGAGATCGCACTGCTGCACCAAAACAAACAAACAAACAAACAAACAAACAAACAAAAAACTTGTATTTTGAACAAAATCTAGTCAAGTTTTGTGAAGTGATCCAAGATATTATAATGATAAATATGACTGTTTAAAAAATAACACAATTTAAATTTCAGTAATATGTAATTTCCTTTAGTGGTTTTCCATTGCACAAAGAATAACATCCAAACTCCTCCCCAAGGCTCACCAAGCTTTGTGTGATCTGACTCCAGACTTCTTAATCAGGAGGCTCCAGCCACATAGACCTCTTAGCACAGCCAGCTCTTTGCTGCCCTAGGGCCCTTATACTCACTCTTCTCTCAGCTGGCATGCTCCCTCCTGGGCTCCTGTGCCTCTCTACTTCATCCTCCATCCTGGCTGGCACAGTGGCTCATACCTGTAGACCCAGCACTCTGGGAGACCAAGGAGGGAGGATTGCTTGAGCTCAGGACTTTGAGACCCACCTGGGCAACACAGCAAGACCTTGTCCTTACTAAAATTTGGAAAAATTAGGCTGGGCACAGTGGCTCACACCTGTAATTCTAGCCAAGATGGGCAGATCACTTGAGGCCAGGATTTTGAGACCAGCCTGGCCAACATGGTGAAACCCCATCTCTACTTAAAATACTAAAATTAGCTGGGTGTGGTGGCACACACCTGTAGTCCCAGCTACTCAGAGGCTGAGGTGGGAGGCTCACTTGAGCCCAGGAGGTGGAGGTTGCAGTGAGCCGAGATCGCACCACTGCATTCCAGCCTGGGTGACAGAGTGACTCCACCTCAAAAAATTTAAAAATTTTCTTAAAAATTTAAAAAAGTTAGCTGATTGTGGTGGCATATGCCTTTAGTCCCACCTACTTGGGGGATTGAAGCAGGAGGATCACTTGACCTTGGGAAGTTGAGGCTGCAGTGAGCCTTGATCATGCATGCCACTGCACTCCAGCCTGGACGACAGAGACCCTGTCTCAACAAAAAAGACACCCTCATTGATGTCTTCCCTAAATATGCCCTCCATAGTCCTCCCCACCCAGTCCCTATACTGCTTTCTTCATAGTACTTAACTATAATCTGTAATTATTTTGTTTATTTAATGCTACTTATCTGATTGAAATACAAGATCCCTGAGAACAGGAACTTGAACTGTCTTCACTGGTATGTCTCCAGGGCCTAAAACAGAGCTTGGTATATAGTTGGTATACAGCTAATATTTGCTAAACCAAAAAAGGTTGAATAAGCAAATTTGAATGCATTTCAAATATAGGATCAGAACTTGGGGGAATTTGGACAAATGTTATGCTTTTCAAATATTCCCTCATAATTAAACAAACATAATGAATTTCATAGAAACAGTGATTTATGTGAGGTTTTTGATTCATTAGCATCTATCTGGAGTCCTATTAACTTGTTTTGTAAGTCAGAGACATTCAGTATGTTTGAATCACTAGGCTGCTTGCTCTGCTGTGATTGCTGTTTATGAAGTGATGCTGCTTATGCCATAATGTATGTGCTCTTCATCTTATAATCTTGTTGAATCACTAAGCTGACACGCATTGGTCTCTTAGTCAACATTTATTAGTCAAGTGCTTACCTTGTCATTACTAAGAAATACGTGGTGGCTCATGCCTGGAATCCCAGCACTTTGGGAGGCTGAGGCAGGAGGATCGCTAGAGTCCGGGAGTTGGAGACCAGTCTGGGCAACAGAGTGAGACCTTGTCTTTACAAAAAATAGACAAAATTAGCTGGGCATGGGTGACATGAGCCTGTAGTTCCAGCTCCTCAGGAGGCTGAGGTGGGAGGATTGTTTGAGCCCGAGAGGTTGAGGCTGCAGTGGGCTGAGATCATGCCGCTGCATCCCGACCTGGGTAACAGAGCAAGACCCTGTCTCAAAAAAAAAAGAAAAGAAAAAAGAAAAAAAAAAAGAAAAGAAAAAGGGGGAATATGCATTTGTTGGTGCTTTAAACTTTGTAAAACATTTTTCTTTTTCTTTTTAGGAGACCTAAGTTGCCTAGGCTCGTCTCAAACTCCTGGCCTCAAGTGATCCTTCTATCTCAGCCTCTCAAAATTCTGGGATTACAGGTATGAGCCACTGTGCCCATTCTGCAAAGTTTCTATTGTCAATTTATTTGATCTTCCCAGGCCCCCTACTGTGTAAAGCATTTTATGGCCATTTTACTGGTGCGGTTACTGGAACTTAGGAGGGATTAAATTTTGGTGGTAAAACTCTTCTCTAAAAACTTTATATAGCCTTATTTTTTTTCCTTTTCGAGACAGAGTCTTGCTCTGTCGTGCAGGCTGGAGTGCAATGGCATGATCTCAGCTCACTGCAACCTCTGCCTCTTGGGCTCAAGCAATCCTCATGCATCAGTCAACAGAGTAGCTGAGACTACAGGCACTTTTGTATTTTTAGTAGAGATGGGGTTTCACCATGTTGGCCAGGCTGGTCTTGAACTCCTAGCCTCCAGTAATCCACCTGCCTCGGCATCCCAAAATGCTGCGATTACAGGCATGAGCCACCGTGCCCAGCCAAAAACTTTATATAGTCTTTTAAGGAAACAATACATATGCAAAACCAAAGACATTGTTGCAGAATAATATAAACACGTGGACATTAATTACCGAAATGTATACTGATGCCAAGGAGATTGTGAATTGTTTATAGCCAAACGAGATCTAGTATAAAGTGTGGGAAGAGGTGAGTGTTTAACAGGGTTTGGAAGAAAAGGAAGAAACCAGAGTTGAGGGGTGGGAAACAAGAGGGGTCAGAGCTTTCCAGACAGAGGAAATGGACTATAGAAAGATATGTGTGTAGGCACAACGGCATTGGAGAATGGGACCAGCAAATTAGCTTGACAAAAACAGAGGGGTCCCATCAAGAAATAATAAAAGATGAAGATTAAGAGTACCCCTATTGGTGAAAACGTTTGGATAGCAAAAGGAGCTTGGGTTTTATTTGACAGACATTGGGGAGCCCATAAACGTCTATGCAAATACAAATTAGAGGCGAAAACAAAGTTTGATGGCTCTTGTGGGAGCTCTGTGTGGAATGAACTGCAGCAGGAGAAATTGACAGAAGACTGCTGCAGTAATCCTGGCATAAGGTAACATGGCCATAGCTGATGGTGGTGACTGAGGAAATTGGAGCAAAGTGGACCCAGCATGAAAGGCTCGTCAGGACTGACTGATGGATTTAGAGTAAAAGAGAAGGAGAGGAAAGAGTGAAAAAATGACTGGAAGGTGACCAGCCTGTTGTATTGGGCTGATTATGGTGCAATAAACACATTATTTATGACAGGAAGCCTTTTGGCTGAGGCCAAGAATAGAGAGATGGGGATGAGGAAGTGATGAGCTAAGTTTTTGAAATGCAAAGTTGAAGATGAGGCAAGGATGTTCAATTGCAGGTCTGTAGGCAACTGGAGAAACAAGTCTGGAGAGAAGGTAAGAAGTCAGAGTTTGTATTGTGTCATTCTGATTAGCCTCTGGCTCGCCTTCCCAACTCTGCACACTTGCCGCCTATTCACCCAACTCAAATGCACTTTTCTTGGACATTTACTATTAGGAAGAATTTACATTTATAGATTTGGATATTTCCTGGTGAACTTTCTCTATGGTAGCATTAAAAAGAAAGATAAAAATAAAAGACTTTAAAAACTCATTAGAACTTTTCACGCTGAAATGATTATTTAGAAGTTACTTAGGGGCCAGGTACGGTGGTTCATGCCTGTAATCCTAATATTTTAGGAGGCCGAGGTGGGCAGATACCTTGAGGTCAGGAGTTCGAGACCAGCCTGGCCAATGTGGTGAAACCCCATCTCTACTAAAAATACAAAAGTTTAGCTGGGCATGGTAGCGTAATCCCAGCTACTCGGGAGGCTGAGGCAGGAGAATCGCTCTGAACCTGGGAGGAGGAGGTTGCAGTGAGCCAAGACTGTGCCACTGCACTCCAGCCTGGGCGACAGAGCAAGACTCCATCAAAAAAAAAAAAAAAGTTACTTGGGGCTGGGCACAGTGGCTCATGCCTGTAATCCCAGCACTTTAAGAGGCCCAGGCAGGTGGATCACTTGAGCTCAGAGTTTGAGACCAGCCTGGGCAACATGGAGAAACCCTGTTTCTGCCAAAAAGAAAAAGAAAAAAAAAAGCAGGTGTGGTGGCGAGTGCCTTCTGTCCCAACTACTCAGGAGGCTGAGGTGGGAGAATCACTTGAGCCTGGGAGGTGGAAGTTGCAGTGATCCGAGGTCCACTCCAGCCTGGGTGACAGAGTGAGACCCTGTCTCAAAAAAAAAAAAAAAAAGTTAAAAAGTTACGTTGTTTTTTTTTAATTATTTTTTAAGGATGGTCAGATGCCACGAAGTAGGTGGCAATGCCTTAACTGTATGTGTGTTGTCAGGCTTGAGGGCCTCTTTCATCCTTGTCAAGAGTTGTGCCAATTTTCTCTCCTTTCATACAACACTACTTGGGTTTTTAAAAATTAATATTCACTACTTTCACATTTAAAATCTCAAGCTTTTACATTAAACATTTCCATTTTATTATGCTATTTATAAATCTAACAAACAATGTCTGAGCCACTTGGTTAATCATTTTAAACATTTTACATTGCATTTATTAATTTAAAAATTTGATTATTTTTTCAAATACATCAATTTTCTGATTAACACACTTTTCCAAATTCTTAAGGAATTCTCATTAAACAAATACATTAAACTAATACATACAGTAAGTTGTAATTTATCTTAAAAGTTCTAAAATAGGGCCGGGTGCGGTGGCTCAAGCCTGTAATCCCAGCACTTTGGGAGGCCGAGGCGGGCGGATCACAAGGTCAGGAGATCGAGACCATCCTGGCTAACATGGTGAAACCCGGTCTTTACTAAAAATACAAAAAATTAGCCGGGCATGTTGGTGGGCGCCTGTAGTCCCAGCCATTCAGGAGGCTGAGGCAGTAGAATGGCGTGAACCCAGGAGGCGGAGCTTGCAGTGAGCCGAGATCGCGCCACTGCACTCCAGTGTGGGCAACAGAGTGAGACTCCGTCTCTAAAATAAAATAAAATAATACAATAAAATAAAAAATAAAAAAGTTCCAAAATAGTATATAAACTTTTAAAAGATTTTAAAATTATAATAAAAAATCTACATCAGCAAGTTATATACTTTAAACCAGCATTGCAAAGTTAATTTTAATTTTTTTTTAAAGATGGGGTCTTGCTATGTTTCCCAGGTTGGTCTCAAACTCCTGGGCTCAAGCAATCCCCCTGCCTCAGCCTCCCAAGTAGTAGGGACTACAGGTGTGTACCATCATGCCTGTGCAAGGTTAATTTTTAGACACTTTAGTAAACATTAAAAGTATGTCTAGGCAGGAAAAGACACTTCTCAAAAGAAGACATTAATGCAGCCAACAAACATATGAAAAAAAGCTCAACATCATTGAGCATTAGAGAAATGCAAATTAGGCCGGGTATGGTGGCTCACACCTGTAATCCTAGCACTTCTGGAGGCCAAGGCAGGTGTATCACTTGAGGTCAGGAGTTCGAAACCAGCCTGGCTAACCTGGTGAAACCCCATCTCTACTAAAAATACAAAAAATTAGCTGGATGTGGTAGCGCGCGCCTGTAATCCCAGCTACTCAGGAATCTGAGGCAGGAGAATTGCCTGAACCCAGGAGGCGGAGGTTGCAGTGAGCCAAGATAGCGCCTTTGCACTCCAGCCTGGGCAACAGAGTGAGACTCCATCTCAAAACAAAAAAGAAAAACAAAAAACACCATGAGGTTTGATTGCCTTCGTTATATCTCTATGTAATTCTAAATCTTCCCAGGATTAAGAGATGCATATCCACTAAAAAAAAAATTATGTCATCCCAAGCAAATCTAGGAATACCTTCCCAAGGAATGATTTGGTTTACCTTCTTGGCTGGAGGTTTCTATATGGTCAGAGTTCCTTGGCCTCTGTGTCTCTGATTCTAGCTTCCTCTCTACTGGGCATCCCAAGGGAAGGGGGCTCAGCTTTCTCTACTCGAGTGGAATTGGCCAGACTCCAGTTCTGCACCTTCTTTCTCACCACCCCCTTAGAGACTGTTCCTTCCCTCAGGATTCCAGTATGCTCAGGAAGCCTCTGGAGGCCCTGACCTCCTGCCTAAGGACCTGTTCTAGGTCAAGTGTAGTTGATGACCCATTACAACCTGAACCTCTTCCACCCTTCATCACCTGTAGTGGGGAGAAAAAGTATATTGTTAAGATTAAAATCTGCCAACAGAACTCCTCTTAGGAGAAAGAACTGTCTTTACCTGAAGAACTAGATTTAGCAAAGCACTCTCACAGGCCATTTTGGTTGTCCAAAGGCAGTCCTGACGGGATGGCAGGAATAAGTTAGGAGTAAAATAGTGGACGCAATAAATTTTCAATTCCAGAGGACAGTCTGAGAGGAAAAAGGAGAAAAATTAGAGTGAATGGGGAGGGAGAGAAGTCAAGCTCTGAGGATAAGGTAGGTGGGTGGACTCCATGGGACGGGCACACGCCAATTCTCTGGCGACAGGCTTGGTGCCTGTGCATTATAGTTTGTTCTGCAGTGTGCCCTTCCCTGTCATGACCATAGTGGTGTCTGATGAAAGTTAATCTGACAGTGATGTGCTATGGTTTGGATCAGAGCCAGGAGATATTTAAGATTAGAACAGTTAGGAGACACTCACAGTTGACCAGGATGAAGACTTTAGTTATCATGGTGTCAACTGGAATGGAAGGGAATAGAGGTGACAGAGGGAGGGCAGACTCAGGGATATCAGTAAAAGTAGTAAGAGTAGGAGCCACAGTAAAAGAAAATAGTGGGACCAATCACAGAAGGAATGAAGTGAAAACATTGGGGGCAGGTGGGCAGGAAGAATGATGGGGTAGAGAGAGTGGGGTAGTGACGTTGAATGCTGTACGCTGGGATCTTTGAGTGGATTCTGTGGCTGGAAGATAGGCCATGGCAGTGATATTTGGGACAGCGAATGGAGTACATTTCCAAAGGACTGAATTTAGAGAGGAAAGCATGGACTCTGCACAGCAGGACGGTTTGAGAGCTCTGCACGTCGGAATTAAGGAGATGGGGAAGCGGGGAAAGAAACCCTGGGGAAAACTGAAAGAAATGATGTGTGGCCAGGTGCAGTGGCTCACACCTGTAATCCCAGCACTTTAGAAGGCCGGGATGGGAGGATCACTTGAGGTCAGGAGTTCGAGACCAGCCTGAGCAACATAACAAAAATAAAATAAAATAAAAATAGCCGGGTGTGGTAGTGCACACCTGTAGTCCCAGCTACTTGGGAGGCTGAGGCAGGAGGATTGCTTGAGCCTAGGAGGTTGAGGCTGCATTGAGCCAAGATCACACCACTGCACTCCAGCCTGGTCAACAGAGTGAGAGTCTGTACCCCCGCCCCCCCGCCCACAAAAAAAAGAAGAAGAAGAAGAAAGAAATGGTGTAAGAGAGAGGAGAATTTGGGTATTGCTGAATCATAGAGAGCTAAGGAATGGAATAAATGAACTGATCCCAAGCATATATAAAATATGCACTTCAGTTTAGTTCATTAGCCATTCTTTTTTTTTTTTTAAAGACAGATTCTCATTCTGTCATCCAGGCTGGAGTGCAGCAGTGCAATCTCGGCTCACTGCAACCTCCCTCTGCCTCCTGGGTTCAAGTGATTCCCCTGCCTCAGACTCCTGAGTAGCTGGGACAACAGGCACGTGCTACCACGCCCAGCTTTAGTTGTCTTTAGTAGAGACGGGGTTTCACCATGTTGCTCAGGCTGGTCTTGAACTCCTAAACTCAGGCAATCCACTTGCCTTGGCCTCCCAGAGTGCTAGAATTACAGGTGGGAGCCACCAAGCTCGGCCCATTAGCCATTCTTAAATACTTCCTGTGTGCTAGACCCAGAGAATACATAAAACAAGGCTCCTGACATTGTCCAAGTTAAAGCCACTTTCTAACATCAGGAGGAACCCATCCAGGAAGGAGGTCTGCCTGGGTATGGGTCAGGGTGTGTGTTGTGAGGAGGGCCCTGGACTCTGCCCTAGATCAGTGATTCTCAAATCCAATCACACTCACCTTGAGGGTTTGTTAAAACAGATTGCTGGGCCCAACCACCAGAGTTTCTGATTCAGTAGGTCGGAGGTGGGGCCCTGAATTTCTACCAAGTCCCCTGCAGTGCTGATGCCACTGATGTAGAGACTGCACTTGAGATCCACTGAGGTTGAGTTGGCGGGGTGGGGCTAGGTGTGGATGCACAGAATAAACCATGCTGGCCAGGCGTGGTGGCCTGTAATCCCAACACTTTGGGAGGCCCAGACGGGTGGATCACTTGAGGCCAGGAGTTCCAGACCAGCCTAGGCGATATGGCAAAACCCCGTTTCTACAAAAAATACAAAAAAAAAAAAAAAAATCAGTGAGACTCTGTCTCAAACAAAAACACCAAAACAGTGCTATTCCTCACCTTCCTTCCTTACAGGTCTCAGGGTCTGATCACTGAGCTTCCATCACTTCCCTATGTTCTTTTCACCACAGTTTTACTGCTGTGGCAACTTCTAACCCTAACAAGTTGTTAAAAGAGCTGCAGCTCTTGAAAATTGTGCTGGAGTGGAGATAGAGGAGAGGAATCATCGCCTAAAATTTTCCCCAAGAGCTGGGTGCAACGGTTCATACCTGTAATCTCAGAACTTTGGGAGTCTTAGATGGAAGGATTGCTTGAGCCCACAGTTCAAGGCCAGCCTGGGCAACATACTGAGACCCCATCACTACAAAAATGTTTTTAAAAACTAGCCAGGTACAGTGCTTGGAGCCTGTAGTCCCAGCTACTTGGGAGGCTGAGGTGGGAGGATTGCTTGAGCTCAAGAGTTTGAGGCTGCAGTGAGCCATGATTGCACCACTGCACTCTAGCCTAGGTGACAGACACCATGAAAAAGAAAGAGAGAGAGAGAGAGAGAGAGAGAGAAGGAAAGAAAGAAAGAGAAAGAAGAAAAGAGAGAAAGAGAGAGAGAGAGAAAGAGAAAGGAAGAAAGAGGAAGAAAGAAAGAAAAAAATTCATCTCTTAGTGGTGGGCTCAAATTAACTGTTTTCTTGAAAAATGTATAAAGTCACCAGGGATGGTGGCTCACGTCTGTAATCCCAGCACTTTAGGAGGCCAAGGTGGGCGGATCACTTGAGGTCAGGAGTTCGAGACCAGCCTGACCAACATGGAGAAACCCTGTCTCTACTAAAAATACAACATTAGCTGGGCGTGATGGCACATGCCTGTAATCCCATCTACTTGTGAGGTTGAGGCAGGAGACTCCCTTGAACCCAGGAGGTAGAGGTTATGGTGAGCCAAGATTGGGCCATTGCACTCTAGCCTGGGCAACAAGAGCAAAACTCTGTCTCAAAAAAAAAAAAAAGAAAGAAAGAAAGAAAAAGAAAAAAATGTATGAGGTCAGGATATGAACAGATTAATTTCAAAAAGAATGATAATTTTCTTTTTTTTTTTTGAGACAGAGTCTTGCTCTGTCGCCTAGGCTGGAGTGCAGTGGCACGATCTTGGCTCACTGCAAGCTCCGCCTCCTGGGTTCACGCCATTCTCCTGCCTCAGCCTCCCGAGTAGCTGGGACTACAGGCACCCGCCACCATGCCCAGCTAATTTTTTGTATTTTTAGTAGAGACGGGGTTTCACCATGTTAGCCAGGATGGTCTCGATCTCCTGACCTCGTGATCCACCTGCCTCGGCCTCCCTAAGTGCTGGGATTACAAGCATGAGCCACCGCACCCGGCCAAAGAATGATAATTTTCTTAAAACTGTAATACTGGAATATGAGAGACTAATGCACTCTTTCCTTGCAAACAGACTTACCCTTTTACTGAAGTCAATGCAGTTGGCAAAATAGTAATAGTCATTATTGTTATAAACAGCAAACAGACCTACCCATGGAGATGAATGAAAATCAGAACAATGGAAGCTGAGTAAATCAAACATTTGGTGGAATCAGGGTGAAAGTTTGATGCCTCTATCTCCAGATCAGGAATGGGCTCGCCAATGGGACCATGATATCAGAAGACAGTTCATTTGTTTCCCCTCATCCCGGCTGAAGTCTGGATAATCACTACCCATGATTATCTGTGACTCCCTTTTTACTTGCCTGGCCAACCAAAAGTCACTGCCCAACCCCTGGCCTGAGTGCCTCTTGCTCATTAATCCTTTAATGTAGTTACTGAAGAGCCTGTTAGTAAAAGCCATCCTCTCAGCTTGTACTTTGATCCTTAAAGTCATCAAGATCCTTAAAGTCATCATTCAAGAGCTGCACCGTATTTCCAAGTTCTTGTTGAAGGCCTGCCTGTCTGTAACAGCCAAATAGAAACTAGAGGCCGGGTGTGGTGGCTCATGCCTGAAATCCCAGCATTTCGGGACGCCGAAGCAGGCAGATCTCCTGAGGTCAGAAGTTTGAGATCAGCCTGACCAACATGGAGAAACCCTGTCTCTACTAAAAATACAAAATTAGCTGGGCATGGTGGCACATGCTTATAATCCCAGCTACTTGGGAGGCTGAGGCAGGAGAATCGCTTGAACCTGGGAGGTGGAGGTTGCGATGTGCTGAGATTGCGCCATTGCACTCCAGCCTGGGCAACAGGAGCAAAACTCTGTCTCAAAAAAAAAAAAAAAAAGAGAAAGAAAGAAACTAGAAACTTTCACATGTATCTGTTATTATCAGAAGCATGGGGTGAGAGCTGTGCAGGGAAAGTGGGGTGAGGAGTGGAGAGATTGGGGAAAACTTTATTTCCTGAGAAATACCTCCCAGGCTAATGGGATCCTCCTACCTCAGCCTCCTGAGTAGCTGGGACTACAGGCACGCATCACCATGCCTGGCTAATTTGTTCTTAAAATGCTGATAAAATCAGATTTCTGAGTCAGCTAGTAAATGTCTCAACAGACAGGCTGCCAGTCTTCTTGGAACACATTATCACAGGGTAAGATGACAGGTAGCCAAAATCCTGCCTGAGGGCTCAGGGGAGGATTCTTGGAGATGATAACATTTGAATTTTATCTTAAAAGGTGATAAGGTTTTCAGGTAAAGAGAGGTAGGCAGGGCATTCCCAGCATAATCCAGGGCACAGAGAAGAGAATTAGGACAGCAAAGTGGGAGGACAACTAGTGAAATTTGAGGTGTGGCTGAGAGATAGAGAGGGGTCAAATCAAGGAGATCCACAAGTCTCGAGGGGAAGAAAGAGTCATTCAAGTTTGTGTTTGTTTGAGACAGAGTCTTGCTCTGTCATCCATGCTGGAATGCAATGGCATGATCTCGGCTCACTGCAACCTCTGCAGCATCCCAGGTTCAAGCGATTCCCCTGGCTTGGCCTCCCGAGTAGCTGGGATTACAGGTGCACGCCACCATGCCTGGCTAATTTTTTGTATTTTTAGTAGAGGTGGGGTTTTGCCATGTTGGCCAGGCTGCTCTCAGACTTATGGTCTCAAGTGATCCTCCCATCTCAGCCTCCCAAAGTGCTGGGATTACAGGTGTGAGCCACCGCCCCAGCCTTCCCCAGGCTCTTAAAAGCAGAGAAGAGTTGTGGAAGAATTGGGCTCCTTCCCTTTGTCACTGTTCAGTCCTTCCCACTCTGCTCCAGACCTCAGCCAGGATCCATTTATCACCAATATGTAAGCCAGCTCTTCCGTGAGAAGGGAGGTATACTTAGCCTTCAGGCTTGAGCTGATCTTGGAAGTCCTGTCCCAGCCTGAGGGGTCTGACCAGTCACTCAGGCTCTTTTTAAGTTTAGTGATTAAAGCTTTTCATACTTAAAAAACACAAGATTCACTGATGGGCTTTTTGTTTCAAGTATGAAAGATGTGGCTGGGCACGGCGGCTCATGTCTGTTATCCCAGCACTCTGGGAGGCCAAGGTGGGCAGATCGCTTGAGCCCAGGAGTTCAAGACCAGCCTGGGCAATATAGCAAGACCCCATCTCTACAGAAAATAAAAAATTAGTCAGGTGTGCTGGTGCATGTCTTTGGTCCCAGCTACTCAGGAGGCTGAAGTGGGAGGATGGCTGGAGCCTGGGAGTTTGAGGTTGCAGCGAGTCATGACGGCACCACTGCATTCCATTCCGGGTGGCCGAGTGAGTCTGTCAAAAAAAACAAACAAAAAAAAACAACAACAAAAAAACCAAAAACGACTTCAGCAAGTCTGAAAGAGAAGAGAGAGCCAATGGACAAAGAGAGATTCAAGATAGAAGACAGAAGAAACTAACGATGAAAGCAGATCCTGGAGGAGCAGGAGGAGGGTTGCAGTGGAGATCAACCCCAGACGGGCTGACTCCAGACAGGAGGAGAGAGACTCCTTGGGGACCTGCAGATGCTGATGCCACAGAGTCGGGTGTGGTCAGTCATGGAAGACACCCCCGGGGAGGTCATCTGAATTTTACATAAATCCAAAGTAATTTAACAAACCATGAGATGACTACTTGGTGAGAGCCATTCACGTATATCATTACATTTAATCTTCACAACAACACTATGAGGTAGATATTCTTTGATTTTATACTAGAGAAAAGAGCTCAGAGAAGTTAAACAACATGTCCTAGGTCACACAGTTTTCAAGAGGTAAACCTGGGGTTTGAATCCAGCCCATGTTCTTTGAATGACCCATATGACACCACGCTGCGTTACAGCAAAGGAGATGGAGTTGTGCCTGTCACAGAAAGCCCATGTGGGTGATATCAGAGGACAGTGCATCTCTTAATCTCTGAAACCACCGCCAGGGTGTTGTCTGTCTAGACGTTGAGCTTGTCCTGAAATCCAGATTTTCTAGTTTGTCTAGAAAGCTGTCCAACTGCAGCAAATGGCATAGGCCTTTCTAGGGCTTGAAAGTGTTCGGGAATAGCCTGGTAAGAATTTGAATTAAAACTGCTAAACAATCTTCTGATTTTGTATCTTGTATTCATTACACAAGTCTTTGTGATAGTTGAACACGTGGGAAGGGCTGGAGAAAATATTTGCAACCTGAAGATTCTGATCCAGTAAGCATGAGTAAATCCCATGAATGATGTGATCATTTATCAGGTTGGTAGTAGTAGCTGCCTCTAGGAAAAGGAACCTAGGGGATCATCTAGGGAATGCTGACCTATGTATATATGTTATTGAATCAAATACATTTAAAATCATATCTTTACATGATGGCATAAACTTACTTGTTAAATGCAAAGTCCAGGTCGAGCACGGTGGCTCAAGCCTGTAATCCCAGTGCTTTGGGAGGCTGAGGTGGGAAAATCATTTGAGGCCAGGAGTTCAAGACCAGCCTGGGCAGTATAGTGAGACCCTGTCTCTATAAAAAATAGAAACAATTAGCTGGGCATGGTGGCATGCACCTGTAGTCCCAGCTACTTGGGAGGCGGAGATGGGAGGATCACTTGAGCTCAGGAAGTCAAGGCTGCAGTGAGCTGTGATCTTACCACTGCACTCCAGCCTGGGTGACAGAGTGAGACCCTGTCTCAAAAAAAAAAAAAAAAAAAATTTGTCAGAGGAAAGGATTTTGCTTTCCTTTCTCTTGATGAATGTAGACTTGTAATTCGAATCAGCCACCTTTCCCCGATCTTAAGTTTATTTAAAAATAGTTGGTGCTTTCTTTGTGCTGGGCTCTGTTCTAAGTTCTAGGAAAATGGGTGAATAAGAAGGATAAAGTAGCTTCTCTTTACTTTGGCGATGCAAGCAGTTAGAAAATAGAAAGTATTGGGAGTTATAATGAGAGTGACCAGCTGGAGAGAACTGCTGGGCCCCTTCACATGCTCAGCAAAGGCCCCTCTGCAGAGAGGAGGTTCAAGCTGAGACCTGAATGAGAAGGAACAGGCAGCTAAAGATCTGTGGGATGAAGGCTCGAAGGCTGAGGGAACAGCAAATGCAAGCTCTCCCTAAAGTGTGAAAGGACCTGGCATGTTTGAGAAACAAAAAGAAGGAGCGAGTGGGAGAGGTGTCGAGGGGGAGAGGTGTCGACGGGGAGAGGTGTCGGGAGAGGAGGTTGAAGCATGAGTTCCAGCTGGGGTGAGGAGTGTGGGTTTTATTGTAAGGGTAATTGGGAGCCATTGGAGATTCTAAGGCAAGGGACCAACGTGATCCTCTTTATGTGTCAGAAGCTCTCTTTGGCCATGACGTGGAGAAGCGATTGTATAGGGCAGAGAATGGAATCAGAGAGATCAGTTAGAAGGTTATTGTCTTATAATCCAGGTGATAGGCTTGAACCAGGGTGGCAATGGAGGAAGAGGAGGAGAACGGGTGAGATCCTGGATACATTTCAGAGGTAAGGTTAACAGAGCTTGCTGATAAGTTGGGTGTAGGAAGTAAAAGAGAAAGGATTGTTTCTAGATTTAGAACTGGGCAACTGTGCGGCCAGGTGCGGTGGCCAGGATGGTCTAGATCTCCTGACCTCAAGATCTGCCTGCTGTGGCCTCCCAAAGTTACAGGGATGAGCCACCACGCCTGGCCTTTTTTTTTTTTTTTTTTTTTTTTTAAGAGATGGAGTCTTGCTTTGTTGCCCAGGTTGGAGTGCAGTGGCGCGATCTCGGCTCACTGCAACCTCCATCTCCCGGGTTCAAGTGATTCTCCTGCCTCAGTCTCCAGAGTAGCTGGGACTACAGGCGGCCGCCACCACACCCAGCTAATTTTTGTATTTTTAGTAGAGACAGGGTTTCACCATCTTGGCCAGGCTGTTCTGGAACTCCTGACCTCATGATCCACCCGCCTCAGCCTCCCAAAGTGCTGGGATTACAGACATGAACCACCATGCCCGGCGAATCTCCCCACTTTCATCTTGGCCTTGCCTTTTGGATTTGACTCTGAAGCAGCAATTCTGGCTTCCCAGAACCTGGCCACCTCTCTGGACTAGACTTGGCCTTGGAAACTTTTGAATCCAGAACTGGCGCTGGGGTGGGGCTTTGGACCATGTAAAACCACAGTGAGAACAGACCGAACCTATAAACTATACACCAAATGGAATGATTCCTAGTGGAGTCTAAAAGTCCTTCTTCTTGTTTTTTGTTTGTTTGTGCATGTGTGTGTGCGTGTGTGTGTGTGTGTGTGTGTGTCTTGGCACAGAACTCACCACTTTAGGAAGAGGAGGGAAGAGGGAGAAGAAAGGAATAGGCTGGGGATGGGTGGTGCTGGCAATTCTGGTGGAGCTGGAATCAAGGGGCCTCCCCTGAAGTCTTCCTTTCCTAGTGAGGACTTCCATCAATAATCCTTTTATAATCTCAGCTCAGTAGCCTGAGCATTCTCTCCACGGCCAGCCTTTCCCACTTCCCATTCTGCCCTCCTTCCTCTCAGCACTGCAGGATGTACAAGTCACATGGCTGGTTTATCAGAAAAGAGGATAAATTCTGGCCTTAGTGCCGTCTGAAAAATTCTAAGGGCCCTAAAGTCAGAAGTCAAGCAGCAGTGCATTTGCTCAGAAGAGGGACAGAGACCAAGAGAAGGCTTGTAGCCTGGAGCCAAGGAGGGCAAGGGCGGGAGTTCAGCACTCACATGCTGAGCACCCCTGGGCATTCTTTTTTTTTTTTTTTTTCTGTAGAGATGGGATCTGTTATGTTGACCAGGCTGGTCTGGAACTCCTGGCCTCAAGGGATCCTCGTGTCATGGCCATCGTGTTGCTTGGCACCCCCAGGTATTCTTTTTGTTGTAAGGGTTCAGAACAGACTCTTACAAGGGCCTTTTTTATGTTAGTGAAAACTTTTTGCATGCCCATTTTTATAGTTTATTATTATTATTTATTTATAATTATTGCCAATTTTTGAGGACTTTTAGTTCCCTTATATATATTTCCTTGAATCCTTAGAATAGCTGTTCTCCCTTTTTATTTTTATTTATTTATTTATTTTTGAGACAAAGTCTCCCTCTGTCACCCAGGCTGGGGTGCAGTGGCGCATATCAGCTCACTGCAGTCTTCACCTCCTGGGTTCAAGCGATTCTCCTGCCTTGGCCTCCTGAGTAGCTGGGATTACAGGTGCCTACCACCATGCCTGACTAATTTTTGTTGTATTTTTAGTAGAGATGGGGTTTCACCATGTTGGCCAGGCTGGTTTCAAACACCTAACCTCAAGTGATCCCACCCGCCTTGGCCTCCCAAAGTGCTAGGATTACAGGCGTGAGCCACCACGCCTGGCCTGTTTCCATTTTTATAAATAAGGAAACTGAGGCCGAGAGGGTCAAGGAATTTTTACAAGATCAAACAACTAGTGTGGTGGAGGTTGGATTTGCAGGTGGGTCTGTCAGACACCACACATACTGGCTGTACAGAAACAAGTATCCGAGGCTGGATGCCGTGGCTCATACCTGTAATCCCAGCACTTTGGGAGGCCAAGGCGGGCAGATCACTTGAGGTCAGGAGTTGGAGACCAGCCTGGCCAACATAGTGAAACCCAGGAGGGTTTCAACATGGTGAACCCAGGAGGCGGAGGTTGCAGTGAGCGGAGATCACACCACTGCACTCCAGCCTGGGTGACAAAGCGGGACACCATCTCGAAAAAAAAAAAAAAGAGAGAGAAGCCAGTTGTTAGGTATACATGGCTCTACCAGCCATTCACTATGTGAATGTGAGTTTAAAACTTCATGTTCATCTTTTATAGAAAAAGTATAATAATAATACTTACCCTATAGGAGTATTGTATGTGCTTTCTGTTAACTCTTGCTATTATCCCTTTTGTGTTTGGCTGTGAATTCTTTTCTTTCTTTCTTTTTTTTGCTGGTTCACCATAATGCATCTTCAATCTGTCCACACCTATTTGCACTAGTACATCTTGCTTATACTATAAACGACAGAGGACAGGTCCAGGATTATATCATTCTTTTGTGTGGCTTTTTTTTATAGTCACTTTGATGAAGACAACGATGAACATGTTGCTAAAAAAGAAAACTTTCATCCTGGCATTTGGCCAGTTCCTTTTTCAGTCCAAACAGCAGACTGCTGGACTGCTGACTGTGCAGAGGTCCCTTTTTGGAGAGGAGAGGCTCTCTTCCAGTTAGGGTGAACTCCTGGCCTCTCTGGATTTATGCACATCCAATATGAATTTATAAGCATGGAGGAACTGTTTGCAAAACATCCTGCTCCCACTTGGATGCTACTTTTATTTTTGTGTGGTTTACATATACTTTTGCACAATTAATTGAAAAGTAATATTTGGTTAAGTAAATTTGTTTCTTAGCCCTGAGCTACTCGACATTACAGTTTGGTGGACTACAAAGATTTTTATCTCTAGTGATTGATGCAGAATTGATGGTTGTTTCTTAGTCTCTCAGGTTCTAATTGGAACTGGGTGGTCTTGGATTATACTGGTTTACATTACATAACTAGAGGATTTGCTCCAGTTATGAGCAGTTTTGTGAAGACTGGAAGAGTCAGAAAGACCAGGCACCTAGAAAATGTGGGGAAAAGGATAGTCAGGGACTAATGTCACCAGGATTAGGGCAATTGAGGGAAGAGCTCAAGGTTGTCTCTGAACTGACTGAGTGCCCAACTCTATCCCAACTCCCAGCTGATCCTTTCCTTCCTTCCTTCCTTTCCTCCCTCCCTCCTTCCCTCCCTCACATCTATCTTTCTTTCTTTCTTTCTTTCTTTCTTTCTTTCTTTCTTTCTTTCTTTCCTTCCTTCCTTCCTTCCTTCTTTCTTTCTTTCTTTCTTTCTTTCTTTCTTTCTTTCTTTCTTTCCTTTTTCTTTCTTCCTTCCTTCCTTCCTTCCTTTCTCTCTCCCTTCCTTTCTCTCTCCCTTCCTTCCTTCCTTCCTTTCTCTCTCCCTTCCTTCCTTCCTTCCTTTCTCTCTTTCTCTCTCTTTCTTTCTGTCTTTCTTTCTCAGTCTCACTCTGTTGCCCAGGCTGGAGTGCAATGGCGTAATCTCAGCTCACTGCAACAACTGCTTCCAGGGTTCAAGCGATTCTCCTGCCTCAGCCTCCCAAATAGCTGGGATTATACGCACATGCCAGGATGCCTGGCTAATTTTTGTATTTTTAGTAGAGATGGGGTTTCCCCATGTTGGCTAGGCTGGTTTCGAACTCCTGACCTCAGATGATCTACCTGCCTCAGCTTCCCAAAGTGCTGGGATTACAGGTGTGAGCCACTGTACCAGCCTTCTTTTTTTTTTTTTTAAGAGAGAGACAGGGTCTCACTTTGTCACTCCAGTGGCACTGGAGTACAGTGGTGCAATCATAGCTCACTGAAACCTGAATTCTGGACTCAAGTGATCCCCCCACCTCAGCCTCCAGAGTAGCTGGAAGTACTACAGTTGTCAGTTGTGCACCACCACCACACCCACTAATTTCTTTTTTTTTTTTTTTTTTTTTTGAGACAGAGTTTCGCTCTTGTTGCCCAGGCTGGAGTACAATGGCGCAATCTCGGCTCAGTGCAACCACCTCTTCCCGGGTTCAAGCAATTCTCTTGCCTCAGCCTCCCGAATAGCTGAGATTACAGGCAGGCTCCACCACGCCCGGCTAATTTTTTTTATTTTTAGTAGAGACAGGGTTTCACCATGTTGGTCAGGCTGGTCTTGAACTCCTGACTTCAGGTAATCCACCCGCCTCGGCCTCCCAAAGTGCTAGGATTACAGGCATGAGCCACCGTGCCCGGCTTTTTTTTTTTTTCATAGAGACGTGGTCTCACTATGTTACCCAGGCTGGCCTTGAACTCCTGGCCTCAAGCGATCCGCCTCAGCCTCTCTAATTGCTGAATTACAGGTGGGAGCCACAGTGCCCAGCCCACTAACTGATTCATTTTCTGCCCTTCTCTGCCTCGTTTTGTGCCTGGAAGGCTGATGTCTATGTGGTGCACCACCCAGGCTCCCTTGCTGGAAGGCTTGGGTTAAGTCAATGGGAGGCACCAGTGGGTGATAAGAGGCTGGAAACAGACAAAGGTCAGAATATGTATTACTTCCACTCTCTCCCTATGGTTCTCCATTATGAATCATAGTGACTGTGTCCCTTTGTGGTCACAGCTTCCATGGGACAGACACTTTTCCAGGGCTCCAGTTTTTTACTTTTTTAATTATTATTTATTTATTTTGAGACAGCATCTTGCTCTGTTGCCCAGGCTGGAGTGCAGTGGCATGATCTCGGTTCACTGCAGCCTCCGCCTCCTGGGTTCAAGCAATTCTCTGCCTCAGACTCCCCAGTAGCTGGGATCACAGGTGTGTGCCACGACGCCCAGCTAATTTTTGTATTTTTAGTAGAGATGGGGTTTCATCATCTTGGCCAGGCTGGTCTTGAACTCCTGACCCCGTGATCCGCTCGCCTCAGCCTCCCAAAGTGCTGGGATTACATGCATGGGCTACCGCGCCTGGCCTATTTATTTATTTTGAGATGGAGTCTTGCACTGTCGCCCGGGCAAGAATGCAATGGTGCAATCTCAGCTCACTGCAACCTCCCCCTCCTGGGTTCAAGTGATTCTCCTGCCTCAGCCTCCCGAGTAGCTGGGATTACAGGCACCTGCCACAACACCCGGCTAATTTTTTGTATTTTTAGTAGAGACGGGGTTTCACTATGTTGGCCAGGCTAGTCTCGAACTCCTGACTTCGTGATCTGCCCACCTCAGCCTCCCAAAGTGCTGGGATTACAGGCTTGAGCCAATGCACCCGGCCTATTTTTATTTTTTATTTATTTATTTTTTTAAGGCTAGTCAAGCAAAGCAGTGGGAGTGGAGAAGGAACAAAGGAATCAGTAGCTGGTTGTGATAAATTAGTTGTAAACACCACTGCACTTGGTGTTTACACCAGGGCTCCAGTTTTTAAGCTCTGGTAATAGCAATTTTTGCCCCTGACTCTTGGCATTGGTGGTGATGTCTTCCACTGTTCTTGGTCCCTAGGTGCCTCGCTTGGTTATCTTGACTCTGCCCTCACTCAATGAGTCATCTTTTCATTAAAAATTTCTTTTTCTTTTTTTTTTTGGCCAGGCACAGTGGCACATGCCTGTAATCCCAGCACTTTGGGAGACCAAGGCAGGTGGATCACTTGAGGTCAGGAGTTCGAGACCAGCTTGGCCAACATGGTGAAACCCTGTCTCCACTAAAAATACAAAAATTAGCCAAGCGTGGTGGCACCTATGGTCCCAGCTATTTGGAAGGCTGAGGCAGAAGAATCACTGGAACCCAGGAGGCAGAGACTGCTGTGAGCTGAAATCACACCACTGCACCCCAGTCTGGGTGACAGAGTAAGACTCCATCTCAAAAAAAAAAAAAAAAAAAAGGAAAGAAAGAAAAAAAAAAATCACTGTTTTTTTTTTTTTTTTTGCAAGTTTTGTTTTTTAAGAGATAGAGTCTCATTATGTTGCTCAGGCTAGACTCTAACTCTTAGGCTCAGGGGATCCTCCTGCCTCAGCCTCCTGAGTAGCTGGGACTACAGGCACACACCACCACATGCGGCTCAAAATTATTTCTCTATTGTAGCTGTGTGGACCATCTGCCTCCCCCATGTCTGAGACTTACAGTACCCACATAAATCCAGAAAGCATACCTGGTATCAAGCTGCGTGAGAGGAATACTCATTGACTTGTTATAGTCTACATTTTGTGATATTTCTCTCTCTTTCGCCTCATCTGGATGTCTCTTTGAATGTTACACCCTTCAAACAGGCATGAGATGACAAGGCTGATATCTGCTGCTCATTTGGGGGAGGTCGATAAGCAAATGTCTTTTGTAAGCCCGGTGCCTCCTGGAGAGAGGTACTCTGTGCCTGCTTCATGATTGATTGATTGTTTGCCTATTGATTGAAAGACACATCCTTTTCATTGAAATCATTATAATTACTTTCTTATAATTGGCAAAGAGTGCCACAGTTGTTATCCTGAAGAGGATATGGTTTATTTTTAAACTATAGATGAATCTGAATTTTTAAAATCGCTAGCGTCTGAGCAAATGCCATGAGTAAACACACTTCAGCTGCATCCGTCTGAACTGCTGCTGGGTGGAAGGCTGACGGGTAAAAATACTTTATATTTGTAGCACTCGATACGTGTTTCTACGCTCTCTCTCCCAAATTATCGCATTTGCTCATTACAACAACTTGTCGAGACAAGCAGAGTTGATATTTTTATTTCCATTTTAAAGGCTTCATTCATCAAACATTTATTGATCCTCTTTTATATACCTGTCCCTCTGCTGGGCACTGGTGATACTGAGAAGATGATAACATAATTTCTGTCCTCAATACAGTGCAGTGGGAGATGCAAATAGTAACCAACTAAAGTATGGTGTGGTGAGCAGTGTGCAAGTGGTAAGAGTGAAATGCTATGGGTGCCAGGAGGAGGGAGTAATGAAAGGGGTGGGGAGAGTACATGTCATTGAGTGCTTGCCAAGTGCCAGGTATTGGGCTAGAGCCCTGCCCTGCTACTCCAAGTGTGGTCCACGGACCCCCAGCAGCTGCATCACCTGGGAGCTTGTTAGAAATGCAGAATCTCAGGCCGCACCCCAGACCCCACTGATTTGAGAATCTGCATCTGGCTGGGCGCGGTGGCTCATGCCTGTAATCCCAGGACTTGGGAGGTAGAGGTGGGTGGATCACCTGAGGTCAGGAGTTTGAGACCAGCCTGGCCAACATAGTGAAACTCTGTCTCTACTAAAAATACAAAAAATTAGCTGGGCGTGGTGGCAGGCACCTGTAATCTCAGCTACTTGGGAGGCTGAGGCAGAATTGCTTGAACCCGGGAGACGGAGGTTGCAGTGAGCCAAGATTGCACCACTGCACTCCAGCCCAGGTGACAGTGCGAGACTCTGTCTCAAAAAAAAGAAGAAAGAAAGAAAAGAAAGAAAAAAAAGAGAGAAGCTGCATCTGAGCAAAATGTTCAGGACATATCTATGCACATTAAAGTTTGAGAAGCACTGGGCTAGGTGGTGGACAGATTTATTTTATTATCGTTATTATTTTTAGAGATAGGGTCTTGCTGTCATCCATGCTGGAGTGCAGTGGTGCCATCATAGCTCACTGTAGCCTCCAACTCTGGGGCTCAAGCAATTCTCCTGCCTCAGCCTCCTGAATAGTTGGGACCACAGGCACGTGCCACCATGCCCACCTAATTTTTAAAAGGAAAGTTTTTGTAGAGACAGGGTCTCTCTATGTTGCCCAGGCTGGTCTCAAACTTCTGGCCTCGAGTGATCCTCCTGCCTTGGCCTCCCAAAGTGCTGAGATTATAGATCTGAGTCATGGTGCCCAGCCGACGTATAGATTTCGTTTAATTCAAAACCTGGTGAGGGAGTTGCTATTATCGTCGTGTAGGATAGGAGATGGAGTTAGGGACTTCTCTCCATGTCACATACCTATGTCATGAAGCTGGAATTTGAACTCAGGCCTGACAGACTCCCAGGCTCCAATCACTACCCCAGGCAACTCCTTCCTCGCTGGGGACCGCAGGGAAGCTTCACAGAGGAGAAGGTGTCTGAGCTAGGCTTGGAAGGACCTTGTCGCGAGGAAGGAGGGCGTTCCTGTCAATATACCACCTGAGCAAATGGTTGGAATGGGAATGGAGTAGGGCCTGTCTTGGGGAGTGGTGGGAAATAAGGTGAGTGAAGAATATTGCAATCACATTATAAAGGGCCTGGAATGCCATGCTAAGGAAGGTGAATTTCTCCTGTGAGTGGATTTCGCAACGTGCTGTGGAATTGTGATCGTGGGCAGACTGTTTGTGTTTGAAGCCCAGCTTCCCCTACTCATGGGCTGTGCTGCAGGTTGGGTTCTTTGCAGGCAGACACTGAAACGGATTTGGAGTGTAAGATGTTTATTAGGAATTAACAGCTGTGAGAGGAAGAAGGAAGAAGCAGCGTTGGGCAGATGAAATCAAACAGCAGGCCCAACAAAGTCTTGGCCAACCTGATGGGAAATTCTGGAACGAGTACGGCCTGCCAGGGTTGACCTGTATCAGGCTGAAATGGCCAGGCCTTTATAACCCTACCTTGCTCCATCACCAGACACAGAGTGCCCCAGGTGGGGCCAGGCCTCAGGTGATGTCTGCAGCAGTGGAGGCCCTGCAGGAGGAAGCTGTCTGCTCACTGCACTCCCCATAGCTGGGTGGAGTGCATGGGGGCTCTGAGCAGTGCATCTTGGTATCTACCACAGATGGTCTACTTACTTCTGCGTCTCTGTCTCTTCAGTGGCAAAATGGAAATATTAGTAGTAGATCCCTTGCAGGGCAATTGGAAGATTATATGCCTGGTATGTAACCCAAAGGATACCAGGTATTATTATTCTCTGCCCTGATGAAGAAGTCACTATATACTTTCTACTTTGAGAGCACTTGGATTTTGAAAATCCCTCAGCGTGGCCCAAGGAATAGAAGAGGGTCATGCCCGTCCCTCCCACCCCAGCTGGCTGCCTGGGATTCCTTCCCTTCCTCACAATGCTTCAGGTTAATGTTTGTCAGGATATATTGGTTGTGTCAAGCTGTGCTGGACAATAGGAAAGATTTGAAGAATTTAATGAAGGAGAATGACATGTCAGATCAGTGGCTTAAAAGATAGCGTAAGCTGGCCTGGGCATGGTGGCATGCACCTGTAGTCCCAGCTAATCAGGAGGCTGAGGCAGGAGGATGGCTTGAGCCCAGGAGTTCAAGGCTATAGCTATGATTACACCTGTGAATACCCACTGCACTTGAGCCTGGGCAACACAGTAAGACCCCATCTCAAAACAAAACAAAAAGATAGTGTAAGTTGAATCATGAAGGATGATCTGAGGGGTGTATTATTTGGGTATAGGCTAAACTTTTATAACATTGAGACTCAAAATAAGGCCCAAACAAGAGTTTCATGTTACAGTGTAAAAGTGAGTGGTCAAGAGCCACAGAAGGGATACTGCTCTGTGAGGCCACTCAGGGGCCCAGGTTTCTTTTACCTTGTTACTTTGCTATCTCTTAAGAGAGTGGTTCTCAAAATGCAGCTGCTGGGGCAGCAGCATCAGTATCATCTGGGAACTTATCAGTAATGAAAAATTTCAGGCCTCACCCAAGCCCTAGCAAATCAGAAACTCCAGGGGTGGGGCGCAGCAATCTATATTTTTTCCCCTGGTTGTTGCCATGGCAATGGTAAACTGACATGAGCAATCTGTATTTCAACAAGCCCTCCAGTTGATTTTATTTATTTATTTATTTATTGATTGAGACAGAGTCTCGCTCTGTCACCCATGCTGGAGTGCAGTGGTGCAATCTCAGCTCACTGCAACCTCCACCTCCTGGGTTCAAGCGATTCTCCTGACTTTGCCTCCTGCGTAGCTGGGACTACAGGTATGTGCCACCAAGCCCGGATAATTTTTTGTATTTTTAGTAGAGACAGGGTTTCACCACGTTGGCCAAGGTGGTCTCAAACTCCTGACCTCAGGTGATCACGCCTCGGCCTCCCAAAGTGCTGGGATTTCATGCGTGAGCCACGGCGCCCAGCCGCCTCCAGGTGATTTTGATGCGCACTCAAGTTTGAGAAACACTAACCTAGGATTTTGTCCTCATCTATCATGTTAGAACTATGGGAGCAGCCTGTGGAGAGGCAGAAAGAAAGGAAGACGAGAAAGGAAGAAGGAAACCATTTCCTTTTTACAGAAAGTACCTGGAAGTTGAGTGTATCACTTCTGCTCACATCCTTCTGGTTAGAATTTAGTTATGTGGCCATGTGGTCCTGTGGCTTAACTAGCTGTAAGGAACCTTTGGAAATCTTATCATCTCTAGCTGGGAAGCCTTGTATACAGCTAAAACTGGGCTTCTGTACTAAAAGAAAAATCAAAGGAATGTATACTGGCAGAAAATTAACAGCCTCTGCCACCATTGTAATAGAATAAGACAGACAAAGAGTGAAGGACAGAACTAAAGCAGCAGGTGTGTGTCGGAGAGGAAGGGATGTACTTCAGAAATAAATTCTGTTCTGATGACTGCTTTGATCTTGTGGTGAGGGAGAAGGAGAAGTGGACAACTCCTAGGTTTCTAGACAATTGGATGGTGATGGTGTTAACTGTGGTAGATAGTCTATATTTTTATTTTATTTGTTTATTTATTTATGGTAAGGTCTTGCTCTGTCGCCCAAGCTGGTGTGCAGTGGTGTGATTATAGCTCACTGTAGTTTTGAACTCCTGGGTTCAAGCGATCTTCCCACCTCACCCTCCCGAGTAGCTGGGACTATAGGTGTGTGCCATCACACCTGGCTAGTTTTTATTTTTTATTTTTAGTAGAGATGAAGTCGCTATGTTGCCCCAGGCTGGTCTCAAGTTCCTGGCCTCAAATGATCCTTTTGCCTTGGTGTCCCAAAGTGCTGGGATTACAGGTGTGAGCCATCACACCTGGCCTGTGGTAGAGATTCTAGAGGAAGAGAGAATAATATGAGCTTAGTACTAGACTTAATAAATCTGAGTTGACTGCAGAATATCCAGGTAGGGCCAGGCGTGGTAGCTCACGCCTGTAATCTCAGTGCTTTGGGAGGCCGAGGCAGGAGGATCACCTGAGGTCAGGAGTTTGAGACCAGCCTGGCCCAGCCTGGCCAACATGGTAAAACCCCGTCTCTACTAAAAGTCCAAAAAAAAAAAAAAAAAAAAAACCAGGCATGATGGTGTGTGCCTGTAATCCCAGCTACTCAGGAGGCTGAGGCAAGAGAATCGCTTGAACACCAGAGGCAGAGGTTGCAGTGAGCCGGGATCTCGCCCACTGCGCTCCAGCCTGGGCAACAGAGCAGGACTCCATCTCAAACAAAACAAAACAAAGCAAAACAAAACAAAACAAAAAAAACCCAGAATATCCAGGTAGAAATGTCCAATCCTGTCGGTAGTTGCAATACCTGTCCAAGGACCCTGAAAATGGTTGAAGTTGGAGACAGAGATTTAGAAAACGTCATGGTAGTCAGAGCTTGGATATGAACAGGATTGCCCAGAGTATGAGATGGGAAGAGGGAGTACTGCCACACAAGAGGTGAGCACTGGAAGAGAAACGAATGAAGAAGATGAGAATGAGGGGTCGGAGTAGTTGGGAGAGTCAGAGAACACAGGGTGAAAGAAGTCAATGGAAGAGACAAGGCACTTAAGGCTGGGGGAGGGTACAAGTGTCAAATGCTGCAGAGATGACACATAGGACAAGCACTCAGGAAGGTCTTTGGCAACAAATGAGAAAAACTGAGACCCAGACAGCTTAAGGAATACGCCTAAGGTTCCACAGCTAGTAGGTGGCAAAGCCAGGACTAGCCCTGTCTTCTGGCTTTAGTCTTCTCTTCCCATGAGAAGCTGCCAAGGAGCCCCTTGTTGCTCTTCTGATACCTCTGTGCCTATGCAGGAGCCCTTAGCACTGTCTCCCACACCAGGCTGGGATAGAACTGCTTCCTGGTTAGTGTCTGTCTGTTTGTAGGACTTGTTTCTAAAATTATCAGGGATCTGTCTTCCTCCTATTTGCTTGAGCAGACCCGCCCTGAGTCTAATTGACACACCAGGTGGGTTTATGGGCTTCTCCTTCCTCCCAAGCATCCCACAGCCGCGTTGCCTATTGTCTTTGTGGCAAGTCTTGCCCGGCAGCCTAGCTTCAGAGCAATGTAAGTGGTTGCTGTTATACCCTTCTACCCACCATGTGCTGGAAAGAGGAGCATCATGACTAAAAGGCATGACTCATGTTCTAATCCATGGCACTACTGATCCTACTTTTCTGCATTTTAAAGTACAAACAGCTGGATATTGCTGAAGATGGCTCAGGGGGTCAAGGACAAATTTCACAAATGTGACCTCATTCTCCAGGCTGCCTGTTTATCCTGGAGGTTGATCTTGGACTTGGGACCATTTAAGGTTGCCTATCTTCAAAGTGCTCAGCTTGGCTTTTTAATTCTATACTCCTAAATCTTTGACAGCTGTGCATCAACAAGCTTTCAAGGTAACTGAAGCCTAGGGCAGCTTTCTGCCCTCTGTTACTGGTGAATGTTTTTGCCTGTTGGAAGGACGTTGCAGCTACAGGCAGACTCCCACCATCCACCAACGGCCTTATTGTCAATCCATAGTCGTGTGCTGACTGCAAAGTGGCCTGAGTTTTTTGCATATCTTGTGAGATCACTATGGGAACGCAGTCATTATAATACAGCAGTTCCTGTCTTGAGGACTTTTGATAGTTTTATTTCTTACAGTTTCATTTCCTATTGATACAAAAGAGACTCTTGGTAACCAAAAATAAATGTAACCAGAAATGTCGGATTCTTTGTTTCATATATGAACATGATTTTGTAATGTAAATTGAATAAGCCCAGATCTATTATGCAACTATATACTCTCGTAACAAGTGAGTCACAGAAGCCTCCGTCAACACTGACATATTGATGACCTTAAGAAGTTAGTGATTACCTATGATGTACAACAAACAAGGCTGGTAGCTGCCAGCAGAAACTAGGCATAACTACTTCTAGTAAGTACTACTACTAGTTCTAAAATTTAAATTAAATCAGCTCACACCTTATTTTGTGCTGCTACCACTAAAATCCAAGCCACCATGACATTATCACTAACCTGGACTACTAACTCATCTTTCCGCTTTCACTCTGACCCCCTCCATTCATTTTCCCTGGTGAAGCTAGTGTCATCTTATAAGTAAATCAGATCATGTCATTCATCTCACAACTCATCTGCTTTCCATCTCACCGCAGGATAGAATCCAAACTCATCACCATGGTCTGTGAGACCCCCTGTGATCTGGCCTGCCTGACTCTCCGATCTCATGGCATTACCACTCCCTTCCCTCTTGTGATGATCTGTCCGCAACGACTTTGCTGTTTCTCATGCCTGGCCCACTATGTGCAGACATGCAGGTTGTACAATGCATAACTCCAAGAGAGGCATTCAGTAGGCTGCAGGGTGAATGATGCCCTTGGAAGTATGTAGTGTGGTGACCCTGGTCACACGCACAGCTCTTTCCTACCACAAAGCCTTGGCACTTGCTGGCCTTTCTGCCTGGACATCCATCTGAAGATTTTTTGCACAGCTGGCTCCTTCTTGTCATTCCCTTGACAAATATTCCACCAAACACTACTCCATACCAGGGAGGCTCCATACCAGGCAGGACCAGCTATATACTTTGCAGGTCCCAGTGCAAAATGAAAACCAGGGCCCCTTGTTCAAAAAGTATTAAGAATTTCAAGACGGTGACAGCAGAACATTAAACTAAGCATGGGGCCCTTCTCAGTGCGGGGCCCTGTGGGACAACATAGGTCACACCTCCATCAAGATGGTAAGGGTTTCACATGTATTCATGAACTCAATTGTATTTTAAAGTTTAGTAGAAATTGCACAATTAATAACTGGTTAGTGTATATTTACCTCTGCCTTTGGAAGTTAAAGTTTTTTTTTTTTTGAACTAAAAATTCCTTAAGTGTAATTTCATCCTTGAAAAGTCAAAGATTTGTTGTTTTGGCATATTGTCAAGTTTTTAAAATTTAAAATACAGTTAGTTCAAAATATATTCACAGCTTTCATTCATGAGACATTTATAAATATTGGGTTATAAAGTTCCACATTTAGTATTTAACTCAAAAAAAAAAAAAAGGATGCCTGTAACAACTTCTTTACATATAAGACCTTCTCACTTAGTTATGGGTTTCCCATCCTCCTAGGAATCCAACATTCTCAGTCTAAATAACAACAGGAGAGGCAAAAAGTTTAAGGCTCTGTGACAGTGAGATAAGGCAAGAACATGTCTTTCTCCAAGGGAGTACCATCGCTGCCAGCTCTCCTGAAGCCATCTGGGGGATCAGATACTATTTCTGTAGTGGGTTACTCTTGGGTTAGTGCCAGGAGCTAAGTAGTTGTAAAAATGCGAACACTCCGAAAGCACTTGTAACCAACCAAGGAAGAAAACATGTTTCTGCCCCAATTTTTGCTAATTTTGTAAGTGACCATTAAAAAGAAGAAAGAAGAAAGAAACAATCCAAGGAATGATGTGCATTTATATTTGTGTAATGTAAAGAACAAAAGCAAAAGGTAAATGCCCAAGACTAATTTACGATGTAAGCAAACTCTGACTTCCTGCTTACCCACCCCACTTGCTCTCTGAAAAGTAGCTGATAAACTCATTTATATTAAGGTATAAATGCCCAATAAGTATTAATCGCTTATCTTCTACAGGAGTATTTGCTTTAGAGCAGGGAAAAAGCATCTTTGCCAAAGGGTTGAAAGTTTTAGTGGCAGAATTTCTGCAAAGCTCAAAAATCAACCACAGATAAATTATTCTACCTTGAGAAAATTGTGATACTTCCTGCTCCCTTTTCATCTCCTCCCATTCTCTTTCTCAATGTTTTGTTTTGGAATAATTTTTGATTTATAGAAAAGTTGCAAGGGTAATTCAGGGAACACCCATATACTCCTGACTGAGTTTCTCCCAATGTTAACATTTTATATTACTATGCCACATTTATTTGTTAAAACCAAGAAACTACGATGGAGACATTGTCAGAGGCATTTGAACCAGAGCAACTCCATCTTTTTTTTTTTTTTTTTTTTTTTTTTGTGACGGAGTCTCACTGTATCACCTAGGCTGGAGTGCAGTGGCGTGATCTCGCTCACTGCAACCTCCGCCTCCCGGGTTCAAGCGATTCTCCTGCCTCAGCCTCCTGAGTAGCTGGGACTACAAGCGCCCGCCACCACGCCCAGCTAATGTTTGTTATTTTTAGTACAGACGGTGTTTCACCATCTTGGCCAGGCTGGTCTTGAACTCCTGACTTCGTGATCCACCTGCCTTGGCCTCCCAAAGTGCTGGGATTACAGGCATGAGCCACCGTGCCCAGCCACGCAACTCCATCTTGAATGGGGGCTGGGTAAAATGAGGCTGAGACCTACTGGGCTACATTCCCAGGAGGTTAAGGCATAGATAGGAGATCGGCACAAGGTACAGGTCATAAAGACCTTGCTGATAAAACAGGTTGCAGTAAAGAACCTGGCTAAAACCCACCAAAACCAAGATGATGATGAGAGTGACCTCTGGTCGTCCTCACTGCTACCCTCCCACCAGCGCCATGACAGTTTACAAATGCCATGGCAATGTTAGGAAGTTACCCTACATGATCTAAAAAGGGGAGGCATGAATAATCCACCCCTTGTTTAGTATATAATAATAATAATAATAATAATAAAATGGGCAACAAGCCCAGCCTGGCCAACATGGTAAAATCCCATCTCTACTAAAAATACAAAAATTAGCTGGGCGTGGTGGCAGGTGCCTGTAATCCCAGCTACTCGGGAGGCTGAGGCATGTGAATTGCTTGAATCCCGGAGGCTGAGGTTGCAGTGAGCCGAGATCTCACCACTGCATTCCAGCCTGGGTGACAGAGCAAGACTCTGTCTCAAAAAAAAAAAAAAAGAAAAGAAAAAGAAAAAGCAACAAGCAGCCCTTGGGGATTCTCTGCCTATGGAGCAGCCACTCATTTATTCCTTTACGTTCTCTTATTTTTATTTTTATTTTTTTTAAATGGAGTTTGGCTCAGGCTGGAGTGCAGTGGCATGATCTCGGCTTACTGCAACCTCCGCCTCCCAGGTTCAAGCGATTCTCCTGCCTCAGCCTCCCGAGTATCTGGGATTACAGGTGAGTGCCACCACGCCCGGCTAATTTTTGTATTTTTAGAGAGACAGGGTTTTGCCATGTTGGCCAGGCTGGTCTTGAACTCCTGAGCTCAGGTGATCCACCCACCTCGGCCTCCCAAAGTGCTGGAGGCATGAGCCACCCTGCCCGGTCTATTCCTTTACTCTCTTAATAAACTTGCTTTCACTTTACTCTGCGGACTTACCCTGAAGTCTTTCTTGCTCGAGATCCAAGAACCCTCTCTTGGGGTCTGGGTCAGGACCCCTTTCTGGTGACGACATGACTATTCACTAAGCTCCAGATTGTATTTGTGTTTCACCAGTTTTCTCATTGTTTTGATCCAGTCCAGGGTACTGCATTGTATTTGGCCTATTCTCTTTTAAAGCCAATCTAATTGTGCTTTCATCTTCAGAACTCTGCAAAAACAGCTCCTGTCAAGGGCATCCATGACCATCATGCTGTCAAGGGCAATGGCCTTTTCTCAGCAAGGTAGGGTGACTGACTTTTCCAAGTTTTTCAGGGACTCTCCGGTTTGAAAACTGAAAATCCCTTTATCCTGGCCCCACTCTGTTCCTGGCAAACCAGCACAACTGGTCATCCTTGCTTTGGGTGAGGATGTGGGTGTATGGGGATTTGCAACATTTAATATAAAGGTCAGAGAAGGCCCAAAGAAGACATTTGGACAAAGGCTTGAAGGAGGCGAGGGATTGAATTTGTCACACCTTAATGTTGTGTGATTCCTTGGGGGCCTGGCTGCAGAATCCACTGAGCACAGATAAAGGAAACTTCAGTGGTTATATAAACATACACTTTTAGACATTGTTTTAATAATCAAACTCTCAGATTTTAAGAGATCTACAAAGAATATGAGTCAAGGAGACTTTAGAGTCAGACAAATTCATAGTCTTGACTCAGCTGTGTGACCCCACAAGTTACTTAATTTCTCAAAGCCTGAGTTTCCTCATCTGAAAAAAAGAAATTATAATAACCAGCAAGGCATGTTGGCTCACGCCTGTAATTCCAGAACTTTGGGAGGCCGAGGTGGGCAGATCACGAGGTCAGGAGTTCAAGACCAGCCTGACCAACATGGTGAAACCCTGTCTCTACTAAAAATATAAAAATTAGCCGGGCGTGGTGGCATGTGCCTGTAATCCCAGCTACTCAGGAGACTGAGGCAGGAGAATTGCTTGAACCCAGGAGGCGGAGGTTGCAGTGAGCCGAGATCCCACCACTGCACTCCAGCTTGGGCGACAGAGCAAGACTCCGTCTCAAAAAAAAAAAAAAAAAAAAAGAAAAAGAAAAAAATTTAAAAACTTCAGTGGTTATTGTGAAGATCAGAAGAATTAATATGGTTAAAATGACCATACTACCCAAAGCAATCTACAGAGTCAATGCAAAGTCAAAATACCAATGACATTCCTCACAGAAACAGAAAAAAGAAAAAAAAAAATCCTAAAATTTGTATGGAACCACAAAAGACCCAAAATAGCCAAAGAACTCCTGAGCGAAAACAACAAAAGCTGGAGGCATCACACTACCAAACTTCAAAATATACTACAAAGTGGTAGTAAACTAAAACAGCATGGTACTGGCATAAAAATAGACATATAGACCATTGGAACAGAATAGAGAACCCAGAAATCAATCCATGTATCTATAGCCAACTGATTTTTTTTTTTTTTTTTTTGAGACAGAGTCTCAGAGTCTCATTCTGTTGCCCAGGCTGGAGTGCAGTGGTGCAATCTCGGCTCACTGCAGCCTCCACCCCCCGGATACAAGTGGTTCTCCTGCCTCAACCTCCCGTGTAGCTGGGACTACAGGCATGTGCCACCACACCCAGCTAACTTTTGTATTTTTAGTAGAGACAGGGTTTCACTGTGTTGGACAAGCTGGTCTCGAACTCCTGACCTCAAGTGATCTGCCTGCTCGGCCTCCCAAAATGCTAGGATTACAGGCGTGAGCCACTACATCCAGTCACCAGCTGATTTTTGATAAAGATGCCAAGAACATACATTTGGGAAAGGACAGTCTCTGACAAGTGGTGCTGGGAAAATTGGACATCCATATGCAGAAGAATGAAACTAGACCCCCACCTCTCACCCTCTATAAAAATCAACTCCAAATTGATCAAATATTCAAAATGTAAGACCCAAAACTATAAAATTTTTAGAAGAAAATATAGGGGAAATAATTCAGAAAATTGGTCTGGGAAAAGATCTTATGAATATGGCCTCAAAACCAAACAACAAAAGATAAAATAAGCAAATGTGATTATATTAAACTAGAAAGCTTCCACATAGCAAAGGAAATAATCAACAGTAAAAAGATGACCTACTGAATGGGAGAAAATATTTGCAAACCATTCGTCTGACAGGGGATTAACATCCAGAATAGATAATGAATTTAATCATTTCAACATAAAAAAAATCTGATTTAAAAATGGGCAAATGATCTGAACAGACATTTCTCAAAAGAAGACATACAAATGGTCAAGAAATGTATGAAAAAATGCTCAACGTCGGGCCAGGTGCAGTGGCTCATGCCTGTAATCTCTGCACTTTGGGAGGCTGAGGTGGATAGATCACCTGATGTGAGGAGTTTGAGACCAGCGTGACCAACATGGTGAAACCCTATCTCTACTAAATACAAAAAATTAGCCAGGCATGGTGGTGGGCACCTGTAATCACAGCTACTTGGGAGTCTAAGGAAGGAGAATCACTTGAACCTGAGAGGCAGAAGTTGCAGTGAGCTGAGATTGTGTTACTGCACTTCAGCCTGGGCAACAAGAACAAAACTCTGTCTCAAAAAAAAAAATGCTCAACATCAATAATCATCAGGGAAATGCAAACCAAAACCACAATGAGGTGTCATCTGACCCCAGTTAGGATGGCTATTATCAAAAAGACAAAAAAATAACAACTGCTGTCAAGGGTGTGGAGCAAAGGCAACTCTTATACGTTGTTGGTGGGAATGTAATCTAGTAGTACAGCCACTATGGAGAACAGTGAGGAAGTTCCTTAAAAAAAAACACAAATAAAATTACCATATGTTCCAGCAGTTCTACTACTGGGCATTTATCCAAAGGAAAGGAAATCAGTATATCAAAGAGACACCTTCTCCCCCATGTTTACTGCAGCATTAATCATCATAGCCAAGATATGGAGTCAACCTAGGTGTCCAACAACAGATGAATGAATAAAGAAAATGTGGTGTATATATTTTATATATATGAAACATATATATCATTTATATATTTATAAATTATATATATAATATAATATATATATTTATATATAATTTATAAATATATATAAATTTATAAAATATATAAATATATAATATAATATATATTTTATATATAATATATGAATATATAAATTTATAAAATATATAAATATATAAACATTAAAAAATACATTAAAAATATATAATATGAAATATATTATATATGAAATATATATAATATATGGTATGTATAAATATATATGGTATATATAAAAAATATATATATATTTTAGATGGAGTTTTGCTCTTGTTGTCCATGCTGGAGTGCAGTGGCGCTATCTCTGCTCACTGCAACCTCCACCTCCCAGGTTCAAGTGAGTCTCCTGCCTCAGCCTCCTGAATAGCTGGGATTACAGGTGCCTGCCACGATGCCTGGCTAATTTTTGTATTTTTAGTAGAGACAGGGTTTCACCATCTTGACCAGGCTGGTCTTGAACTCCTGACCTCAGATGATCCGCCCATCTCGGCCTCCCAAAGTACTGGGATTACGGGCATGAGCCACCATGCCTAGTGTATATGAACATATTTTTATAAATACATAAAATATATGATTATATATAATGTATTATATATAGTTATATATAAAACATTACATATATATATATATAATGGAATACTGTTCAGCCCTTAAAAAGAATGAAATCCTGTCATTTGCAGCAACCTGGATGGAACTGGAGGACATTATGTTACGTGAGTAAGCAAGGAACAGACAAACACTGCATGTTCCCACTAATATGTGGAAGCTAAAAAAGTTGATCTCTTAGAAGTAAAAAGTACAGTAGGGGATACTAGAGGCTGGGAAATATAGGAGGAAGGGGTATACAAAGACTGTCATCTTCATGGGATTGAATGACCAATACCACTACCTTTGTGGCAGGGAGGAGTACTGGAGGCCAAGTAGCATAGGTCAGTAGCCCTTATCACTTCATTGCTGGACAGTTGCAGTGGGTACCTCTTCCTGCACTTTATACTGCAATCCATGGTAAACCACATATTGTGCTTCTGATAGGATTTTTTTTTTTTTTTTTGAGACAGAATCTCACTCTGTCATCCAGGATGGAGTACAGTGGTGTGATCTTGGCTCACTGCAACCCCTGCCTCCTGGGTTGAAGTGATTCTCATGCCTCAGCCTCCCGAGAAGCTGGGACTACAGGCACCTACCACCACACCCAGCTAATTTTGTATTTTTAGTAGAAATGGGGTTTCACTATGCTGGCCAGGCTGGTCTCAAACTCCTGACCTCATCATCTGCCCACCTCAGCCTCCCAGAGAGCTGGGTCTACAGGCATGAGCCACTGCACCCAGACAGGATTATTTCTTAGTGATGTTCTTCTATTAATACCTTGAGCATAATCAAAGCTACCACTTACTGAATGTTTTCTATGACCGAGGGCTCTGTGCTAAAATACTTTTCCAGTGTTGCCTCAATCTTTACAATGGCCCTGTGGGGTAGCTAATAGTATTGTTCCCATTTAACAGATGATAAAACTGAGGTTTAGTAAGATTAAGTAACTTGCCCAGATCATATATCTAAAAAATAGGATAACTGGAATTAAAACTGAGCCTGATTCCAAAGCTGTTCTTTTTTTTTTAATTTTATTTATTTATTTATTTATTTTGAGACAGAGTCTCGCCCTGTGGCCCAGGCTGGAGCGCAATGGCACCATCTCAGCTCACTGCAACCTCTGCCTCCTGGGTTCAAGCGATTCCCCTGCCTCAGCCTCCTGAGTAGCTGGGATTACAGGCGTGCACCACCACACCCAGCTAATTTTTTGTATCTTTAGTAGAGACAGGGTTTTACCATGTTGGCCAGGCTGGTCTTGAACTCCTGACCTAGTGATCTGCCCGGCTCAGCCTCCCAAAGTACTGGGCTTACAGTGCCCAGCTATTCAAGACTGTTCTTAACCACCCACCCATATCCTCCTCACACTTACAGCAGAGTGTAGTGGAAAGGGACTGGATTGAATGTGGCCAGTGAGAGATATTTTCTTTCTTTCCTCAGTGGGTTGACATGTGAGTTGAGGTGGCCGAATATAAAACCATCAATGACAATAGAAGGCAGTATAGATAGAGCACCAACCCCTGCCCTAGAAACCCAGGCATGGGGCAGCTGGGAGAGGCTTCTGGAGAAGGCATTTGAGAGAGATGGGGCCAGGCCTTCAATGTGGGCCTGGAATTACACCTATGAGAAGCCCCTATCTGGCAGGGCTTACACTGTCCCCACTCTTATGTCTCATTTCACCCTGCCTTCCCGTGTCTCTATCCTCCCCTTCAACCAAATGGATCTGTGGGAGGCTTTCTTCACAACACATAATGAGCCCAAGAGCTAACACTTATGGAGGGTGCATATTGTGCTAGTCACTATGCTGAGCACTTTACATAAGGCAGTTTAATCCTCACAACAGCCCTGTAACATAGGTACTGCTATGAGCTCCATTTTACAGATGAGGCTATCGAGGCACAGAAAGGTTAAGTAACTTGCCCAAGGCCACCCGGTTAGTGTGACAGCCAGAATCAGAACCCAGGCAGTTTGGTTGTAGACTCCCTGCCTTTGAGGTCTGGGCTGGATTACATCTCCAGTATAATTTCTGTTCTCCTGCATCTGAGCCTCCCTGGAGGTCCTGACCTCTACTTTGCAAGTCCTTTTCACACATTTCTATAAAATCCAACCCAGTCAAATGCAAGTTAAATAACGCAACAGCAATCACTATAAGGGGAGCAAAGACTTTTTGAACAACAAACTTCTATGACTGGCCCTGAGCCTGGTGGTTCCCATTTAATTTTCACAACAATCCTCTAAGACAGTGGTCTCCAACCTTTTGACACCAGGGACTAGTTACATGGAAGACAATTTTTCTACGGACAGAGTGGAAGTGGTTTCAGGATGAAACTGTTCCACCTCAGATCATCAGGCATTAGATTTTCATAAGGAGAGCACAACCTAGATCCCTCGCATGTGCAGTTCACAACAGAATTTGTGCTTCTATGAGAATCTAATGCCACTGTTGATCTCACAGGTGGTGAAGCTCAGCTGGTAATGCTTGTTTGCCCTGCCACTCACCTCCTGCTCTACAGCCTGGTTCCTAACAGGCCACAGAAGGGTCCCCCCAAGGGTAAGGGACCCTTACTGTAAGGTTTTTATAAATGGGGAAATTGAGTCTCAAAGACATTAAGTAACTCACTCAAGGGCTGAGACTCCCATGCAAAACCTAAGCCCTCCCCTGTATAGCTTGGTCTCAAATCCCTTCTCCTCACTGAAGCCTTCCTCCCCACCCCAACAAGCGCACATCAGTCCCTGCTCAGCACTGACCACACTCTTTTTTTTTCTTTTTTTTGAGACAGGGTCTCACTCTGTTGCCCTGGCTAGAGTGCAGTGGTGTGATCATGGCTCACTGCAGCCTCAACCTCCTGGGCTCAAGTGGTCCTCCTGCCTAGGCCTCCCAAAATATCGGGATTACAGCCATGAACCACTGCACCCAGTCTACTCATTCATTTTTTAATGAGCTTTGATTCTTCTGCAGCTTATCAAATATTCTCCCAGTGCCTTCTCTCTGGTGTTCTGAGTCCTGCCTTCAGTAGCTGTACATGACAAGTCTAGCCAGTCTCTTAGGACAGCCCTTCACCTGCCTGGGAGCAGCTATTATTGTGTTTCCTTCAGGGAGTCTCTGCAGAACCTGAACCTCAGTCCCTCCAGCTGTTTCCTGAAAGACACAGTTTCAGTGCCTATCACCCTACTGGCTGCCCCGCTTTCAATGAATTGTGCTTGATCTCAAGAACAGAACATTTGACTCTACAGTGTAAGGTTGTAGGTTGTGGGTAGATCACTGCAGAATATTCTAGATAATTTCTCCCTGAATATGGACCCAGTAGTTTTATAAAGACAAAACATGGGCCGGGCATGGTGGCTCACGCCTGTAATCCCAGCACTTTGGGAGGCTGAGGCAGGTGGATCACAAGGTCAGGAGGTCGAGACCATCCTGGCTAACACGTGAAACCCCATCTCTACTAAAAATACAAAAACAAAATTAGCCGGGCGTGGTGGTGGGCACCTGTAGTCCCAGCTACTCGGGAGGCTGAGGCAGGAGAATGGTGTGAACCCGGGAGGCGGAGCTTGCAGTGAGCTGAGATCGTGCCACTGCACTCCAGCCTGGGTGACACAGCAAGACTCTGTCTCAAAAAACAAAACAAAACAAAACAAACAAAACATATTTTTAAGCTCTATCGTAAGCAGAGTTCAGTCCTCAATGCGGTGAGCCAGACTAATTGCTTAATAACCTAGAAGCTAGGCTGAAAAACTGGTGCCAGTGGAGGGGAAAGATTTTCCTTCCTCAAGGGCTTCTATTCAGTGGGGGGTCCTAGCCAGAGGCTGGCCAGGGAGGCCAAGGGGGAGAGAGGCAGTGAAGAGCCTGTACTTGCTGGTCGCTAGCAGTCCCAGCAGGCAAGGGAAGGGCACAGTGTTAGGGAAGGGGGCCAAAGCCAAACAGCTTACTATCATTTTGATTTGTCCACTTGACTTCTTTTCTTATAAGGGAAGTTAGGCACCTTTTTGTATGTATAAAAATAATATATATACATATATTTTTTTTTTGAGACAGAGTCTCACTCTGTTGCCCAGGCTGGAGTGCAGTGGCACAATCTCAGCTCACTGCAACCTCCGCCTCCCGGGTTCAAGTGATTCTCCTGCCTCAGCCTCCCGAGTAGCTGGGATTACAGGTGCCCACCACCACACCCAGCTAATTTTTTGTATTTTTAGTAGAGATGGAGTTTTGCCATGTTGGCCAGGCTAGACTCAAACTCCTGACCCCAAGTGATCCACCCACCTTGACCTCCCAAATCACTGGGATTACAGGCATGAGCCACTGCGCCTGGCCTCTGTTGCTGATTTCTAGAAGATTTTTATATGTTAAGGAAATTAATTCCTTGTGTTATACAGTACAAATGCATTTTTCCAGTTTGTCATTTATTCGCTTAATGTTTTATTTTAATTTTAATTATTTTTAGAGATGGGGTCTCACTCTGTTGCCCAGGCTGGAGTGCAGTGGTGCCATTATACTCACTGCGGCTTTGAACTCCTGAGGCCAAGCGATCCTCCTGCTGAGAGGATCCTCCTGAGGGAGCCTCCCAAGTAGCTGGGATGATAGGCACCCACCACCATCCCCAGCTAATTGTCATTGTTGTTGTTGTTGTTAAGAAGGGGTCTTGCTGTCTTGCCCAGGATGGTCTCAAACTCCTGGCTTCAAGTGATCCTCCTACCTCAACCTCCTAACAGGTGGGGTTAATAGGCATGAGCCACTGTGCCTGGCCAATGCTATTTTTTTTTCTATGTAGAAACATTTTATTTTCCAAGTAGTCAAATGTATCAATCTTTTCATTTGGGGAGTCTTTGCTTCTATTTCTCCTCCTTCTTTTTCACATATATCATATCTAGGAAAGCCTTCTCTATTCTGCTATTATAAAAATAATATCATATGTTGCCTTCAATTATTATTATTATTATTTTGAGACAGAGTCTTGCTCTGTCGCCCAGACTGAAGTGCAGTGGCACTATCTCAGCTCACTGCAAGCTCCGCCTCCTGGGTTCAAGTGATTCTCATGCCTCAGCCTCCCGAGTTGCTGGGATTACAGGTGTGTGGCACCATGCCCAGCTAATTTTTGTATTTTTAGTAGAGACGGGGTTTCATTATGTTGGCCAGGCTGGTCTCGAACTCCTGACCTCAAGTGATCTGCCTGCCTCAGCCTCCCAAAGTGCTGGGATTCCAGGTGTGAACCACCGTGCCTGGACGTCTTCAATTATTTTTATTATTTTACTCTTTACATGTCAATCTTTGATCCATCTAAAATTCATTCTGATGTACTATGTATTGTTCATTTACTGTATGTGCTGAGCATGGCACTCAGCACTTTATATACATTATCTTATTTAACAGTAGTTATGGAAACCTCTATTATAATGATGAGAACATTGAAGCTTAGCAAGGCTAATTCAGTCAAGATCTTACATCCAGTGTCAGGACAGAGCCCAAGTCTGCCTGAATCCAATTTTCTTTTCTTTTTTTTTTCTTTTTCTTTTTGAGACGGAGTTTCATTCTTGTTGCCCAGGCTGGAGTGCAATGGCGCAATCTTGGCTCACTGCAACCTCCATTTGCAGTTGTTTGTTTTTCGAACTCGTTACCTCAAGTGATCCACCCACCTCGGCCTCCCAAAGTGCTGGGATTATTGGCTTGAGCCACTGCGCCCAGCCTATCTTGGTTGTTTTTTGAAACCTTCTGTTGACACCTTAAAAAAATCAAGAAAGGACCAGCATTAAAATTTGAGGGGTGGGACGGGATATCTGTGTTGGAAGAAAATCCTTAAAGTAACTACTGGCCGGGTGCAGTGGCTCACTGCAGCTTTGAACTCCTGAGGTCAGTTCAGTCACTTGAGGTAAGGAGTTCAAGACCAGCCTGACCAACATGGTGAAACCCCATCTCAACTAAAGATATAAAAAATTAGCTGGGAATGGTGGCGTGCACCTGTAATCCCAGCTACTCGGGAGGCTGAGGCAGGAGAATCTCCTGAACCTGGGAGGCAGAGGTTGCAGTGAGCTGAGATCATACTATTGCACTCCAGGCTGGGTGACAGAGCAAGACTCTGTCTCCAAAAAAAAAAAAAAAGAATTCTTTAAGGCAGGCTGGGTGCAGTGACTCATGTCTGTAATCCCAGCACTTTGGAGGCTGAGGCAGAAGTATCACTTGAGCCGAGGAGCTCCAGACCAGCCTGGGCAACATAGTGAAACTTTGTCTCTACAAAAAAATTAAAAAATTAGCTGGATGTGGTGGCACATGCCTGTGGTCCCAACTATCGGGAGGCTTAGATGGGAGGATTGCTTGAGCCTGGGAGGTGGAAGTTGCAGTGGCCAAGATCTTGCCACTGCACTGCAGCCTGGGTGACAGAGTAAGACTCTGTCTCAAAATAAATAAATAAATAATAAAAAGATTTTTTAAAAGAAATACTTCATAACTGACACTCCTGATGGTGCAGGGAACAACTGTGTTTGGAAAAATAGAACATACACACACGACTCTGAAGTGAAATGCGTTTCAGAAGACTGGACTCCCAAAGAGAAGTTTGAGGAATACCTTAACCAATTTTTTTTTTGTCTTACGTTTTTCTTTTGTTTTAGGCACACTTGATATATGACACAATCTATGTCTATTAAACTTTTTGTTTCAGCAACTGACAGTCAATTAATGAAAGTACAGGCATTGATTTAAGCATCAGCAATGGTGACTTTGGCTTCAACTCGTGGCTCAATACTGATGGGAATAATCAGTTTAGCCATCTCAAAGAACTATGCAAATCAATGATTGCTTGTGGATTCTCATCTGGAAAGGATCCCATGTCTCAGAACCTTAAGCACAAGGAGTTTATCTTCTAGCAGTTCTCAGAGTTTTGGTAGGCATCTGGACAGGCCCTTTCACTTTGAGGATCTTCTCTTTTGCGCCTCTGATCAAGTCAGCCACACCTTCTCCAGGGGTTTTCCTTTGCGGCTGGATAGCTTGACTTCAGTTCTGTGACTCCCCACCTCTGGCTCCATGCGTGTCTTTCTGGTGTCTTTAAAGGCCAAGGCTTTGGCAAGGCTTCCTGGCCAACCTGTTCCTAGTCCAGAACGAGTTGCTCCGTGAGCTGTGAGTCAAGTGCAGGAGTGGCCAGCCCCACTGCAGTGGCGGCTCACCTTCCTCAAAGAGTTTAAAGTTTAAAAGTTTCTTTTAATCATCATGAAATAAGAGTGCGAAGTGATACAAAGACATTGTGTCAGTACCTTTTGTTGTTGCATATATACTTGTATGTTGCTTAACGATAGGGATACCTTCTGAGAAATGGATCGTTAGGTGATTTTTGTGTGAATGCTATAGAAGGTGCTTACATATAAACCTTAGTTTACTGTAATTTTTAACTTATAAACTTTTTAATCTTTTAAAACTTTTGGGATCTTTATAATGTCACTTAATCTTTTACAGTTTCACTTAGCTTAAAACACAAATACATTGTGCAGCTGTACAAAAAATTTTCTTTCTTTATATCCTTATTCTATATGCTTTTTTCTTTATATCTTTATTCCATACGCTTTGTATCCTTATTCTACATGTTTATTCTATATCCTTTTTTCTAATGCATATGTCAATATGCATTAACCTAGGCCTACACAGGGTCAGAATCATCAATATCACTGTCTTTTACTCCATGTCTACCTGACCCACAGGAAGGTCCTTGGAGGCAATAACACGGGGAGCTGTCACCTCCTACGACAACACTGCCTTCTTCTAGAACACTTCCTGAAGGACCCTTCTTGAGGGGGTGACATTCTTTTCAGAAATATGTCCATGGTGGTTTGCTTGGTTTGTTTCTTTTTTTAATCAAAGATTTTCCTGAGTAATGACATTGGGCTACAAATGTTATGACAGCTACAGTGTCACCGGGCGATAGGAATTTTTCAGCTCCATGATAATCTTATGGGACCACTGTCATATATACAGTCCACTGTTGACTGAAAGGTCATTCTGTGGCATGTGACTGTACATCATTTGAACTCCATCTTTGGCAACTGACTGTACCAATGGATCTAATTAGTCTCCTAGGTTGGTAAATTTTTTTCTTATGCTCTTAGACTGGGTGTCCCTACTTGTATTTACCATTGAAACCAGATTAAAGGATTCTACCACTGCCTTTATTAAGTTTCATCTTTTTTCTTTTTTTTTGAGATGGAGTTTTTACTCTTGTTGCCTAGGCTGGAGTGCAATGGCGAGATGGCTCACTGCAACCTCCGCCTCCCCAATTCAAGTGATTCTCCTGCTTCAGCCTCCCAAATAGCTGGGATTACAGGCACCCACCACCATGTCTGGCTAATTTTTTGTATTTTTAGTAGAGACGGGTTTCTCCATATTGATCAGGCTGGTCTCGAACTCCTGACCTCATGTGATCCACCCACCTCGGCCTCCCAAAGTGCTGGGATTACAGGCATGAGCCACAGCAGCAGGGCATTTTGTTTTGTTTTGTTTTTTGAGATGTAGTCTCACTCTGTCACCGAGGCTGGAGGCAGTATGGCTCACTGCAACCTTCACCTCCTGGGTTTAAGCAATTCTCCTGCCTCAGCCTCCTGAGTAGTTGGGTTTACAGGCGCACGCCACCATACCAGGCTAATTTTTGTATTTTTTGTAGAGACAGGGTTTCGCCATGTTGGCCAGGCTGGTCTCGAACTCCTGACCTCAGGTGAGCTCCCTGCCTCAGCCTCCCAAAGTGCTGGGATTACAGGCATGAGCCACCATGCCCAGCCTTTTTTTTTTTTTTCTTTTTCTTTTTTTTTTTCAGATGGAGTTTTTCTCTGTTCCCAGGCTGGAGTGCAGTGGTGTAATCATAACTCACTGTAGCTCCAAACTACTGGGCTCAAATGATCCTCTTGCCTCAGCCTCCCAAGTAGCTAGGGCTACAGGCACAGGTCATCATGCCCAGTTAATTTAGTTTTAAATTTTTTTTTGTAGAAATAGAGTCTTGCTATGTTGCCCCGGCTGGTCTCAAACTCCTGGCCTGAAGTGATCCTCCTGCCTCAGCCTCCCAAAGTGCTGGGTTCACAGGCATGAGCCACCATGCCTGGCCTTTGTGATTTCTTAAAGATTGGTGTTGATGTCTGTATGGACATATCTGCAAATTATTTCATTATCTTGGAACTATTCCATAAGATTTGCAGAATTAAACTTATCTGAGGCAGTTGGTAGTCTCTTACCACCTCCTCACTTGTCTTGGGCTTCATGGTGGTTTTATTTATTTATTTATTTACTTTTATTTTTATGTATTTATTTTTTGAGACAGAGTCTTGCTCTATTGCCTAGGCTGGAGTGCAGCAGCGCAATCTCGGCTCACTCCTCCACCTCCCGAGTTCAAATGATTCTCTTGCCTCAGCCTCCTGAGTAGCTGGGACTACAGGCACACAGCCATTTCTAGCTAATTACACGGTTTGTGCTGTGCTCTTAAATTTTTTTTTCTTTTTCTTTTTTTTTTTTGAGATAGAGGCTCACTGTCACCCAGGCTGGAGTGCAGTGGCTCTATCTCCATGCAGTGCAACCTCCGCCTCCCGGGTTCAAGTGATTCTTGTGCCTCAGCCTCCCAAGCAGCTAGGACTGAGCACATGCCACCATGCCCGGATAATTTTTTTTTGTACTTTTAGTAGAGATGGGGTTTCACCACGTTGGCCAGGCTGGTCTCGAACTCCTGGCCCCAAGTGATCCGCCCACCTTGGCCTGCCAAAGTGTTGGGATTACAGGCATAAGCCACCACACCCAGCCTTCATGGTGGTTTTAAATCTTTATAGAACATCCATCAGAAGTGCATGGAGTGGGCAGAGCCTGTTCAAAATGTAGATTCCCAGTCTGCTCCCAGAGATTTAGGCGTAGTAGAGCTGAGATGGGGCCTGAGAATACGCATTTTAACACACTGGTTGATTCTGATGCTCCACTCTATGAGAAGCACCTTATAGAGAGGAAAATGATGCAAAATAATAATTCCACACTTACAACTTTTCCTGATAATCTGTTGGCATTACATATCTCTCCCAAGCAATGGATCATAGTCTTACTTGGCTGCTTTTTTTGATGCAGCATGGCCTATAAAAAGCCCTTTTGCTTAACATTTTTCACAAACCTCAGATTATTCTGCATTTTGTCCTTCCTGATTTCCTCACAAAACTGCCGTTTAAGAGTAATTATTCCTGGCCATGGGCCATTCCTGTTATGAGTAGCATGGGTGCTTTAAAAACCTGAGCCCACCAGAGAACTCTCTGTCCAGCCCTGCCTTGGCCACTTCAGGTTCTCACAGGGCAGTCGCCTTCCCTGTATGGCATTCAGCAGGGATTCATTGATAATGTGATGAAGACTGTGGTCGACAGGGAGAAGCGCTATATGGGCTACTTATTAGGATGCCTATGTGAAATTTGCCCAGGGATGGGTAATATACGGGAGCTCTTCCACTTGGAAGCGGTTGAGGTAAGAGGATAGTGGATTCATGCCAAAGCTGAGGCTGTCCAGCCTTCTGGAACTGCTGACATCTGACCTTCTACCCCTCCCCACATGCCCCCATCCAAACCCTTCCTCTCTGACTCTCTGGATCTTATATACACTTCCACTACAGCATATTCTACACTGCATTTTAATTGTTTGTATGTCTGCCATTTATTATACTTTCTGAAAGGCAGGAACCATGTCTCCTTTATTTAAAATTAAAACAATACAAAAGCCAGGTGTGGTGGCTCACGCCTGTAATCCCAGCACTTGGGAGGCCGAGGCAGGCTGATCACTTGAGGTCAAGAGTTCGAGACTAGCCTGGCCAACATGGCAAAACCCCTTCTTTACTAAAAATACAAAAATTAGCCGGGTGTGGTGGCGCATGTCTGTAATCCCAGTTACTTGGGAGGCTGAGGCAGGAGAATTGCCTGAATCTGGAGGCAGAGGTTGCAGTGAGCCAAGATTGTGCCACTATACTCCAGCCTGGGTGACAGAGGGAGACTCTGTCTCAAACAACAAACAAACAAACAAACAAACAACAACAGAAGCCTGTGCTTTAGACACTACTTGGCACGTAATAGGCACTCAATAAATATGTGTTAAATCAAACCAAAGATGACAAATATTTGATGTGCGTACTGACCTCCCTCTCCTGCATGGGGGCAGACGTTGCTAATGGATCTTAATGTTCTTTCCTACTGAGCCTGGAAGCAGCTTCAATATCCTTCAAAACATGGCTTTCCATAAAATCTGCCAGAATTGGCTTGCAAAAGAAACCTATTTGCCAATTCTAAACAAAATGGAAGTCCTTTTCTCCCTACCTTTCAGTTCTTCACTCCGTTTGTAGCATCACAAATAAAAACTTACAAATATAAATTAGGTACTTAAAAAGTCAGTCCAAGTTGGTGTGATATATACTAAGGGGATAATACAGGGAATTACAGTGAAATGTAATGCTGGAGGAGCTAGCATCTAGCAATAAGCAGATGGCTGAGTCTTCCAACTTGTGAGACTCTGAAATGATATGGTGAGATAATAGTGAGAATGACACTAAAACTCAGCACCTCTTCTCGTGGGATCAGCAGAACTGAAGCTTTTCAAGTTATGATTCTAATACCATAAAAGCAGGGCCCACATTTCAGTTGGATCCAAAATCTATGTGTAAGTTGGGAATCCTGGCTTCTGACACTCACCAGGAGGCAGGGATGGTATTATTAATGCTAAAAGGGAGATAAACAATAGCAGGGAAGACCAGGCTTGGTGTCTCAGGCCTGTAATCCCAGCACTTTGGGAGGCCGAGGTGGGCAGATCACTTGAGGTGAGGAGTTTGAGACCAGCTTGGACAACATGGCAAAACTCCGTCTCTACTAAAAATACAAGAATTAGCCAGGCGTGGTGGTGCGTGCTTGTAGTGTGTGCTACTTGGGAGGCTGAGGCAGGAGAATCACTTGAACCTAGTGGGCAAAGTTCGCAGTGAGCTGAGATCACGCCACTGCACTCCAGCCTGGGTGACAGAGTGAGACTCTGTCTCAAAACAAAACAAAAAAATAGCAGGGAAGTCCAGGAGCATTTTCTTTTCTTCTACTCCCTTCCCCTTCCCTCTCCCTTCCCCATGCACCCTTTGAACCGTGATTATCATCTTTTACTTAGCAATCTTGAGGTTTCCACTGATAAAGTTCTTTTGTGTGTTTACATAACCTGCCCAAAGTGGGGCTGCTCTGAAGTAAAGCCAGATCCTCTATCACTGACTCTTTCTCTCTCAGCAGTGGCCACTATAGTTGTTTTCTCTCAAATCCATTCTTTAGAACTCAGCGACACTGAGAAAAACTTCTTAAACTCCTGGATTGGAGACTAAAGAACTTAACAGCATATTTAAGACTTGAATAAGCTCTCAATTTTCTGGTCTCAGTCTCAGAGGGGAATTGGGTTTTAAGGACCTGTAATACAGAAATCCTTACTTATTGGACTCTACTAGTAAGTGAGATTCTCCAAATTAAAAACAAAACAAACAAACCAAAAATGACCATGGTGGCTTATACCTCTAATCCCAGCATGTTGGGAGGCCGAGGCAGGAGGATTGCTTGAGGCCAGGAGTTTGAGACAAGCCTGGGCAACCTAGAAAGACCCCACCTCTACAAAAAATAAAAAAATATAGCTGGGAGTGATGGCCACACCTGTAGTTCCAGCTACCTAGGAGGCTGAGGTGGGAGGATCACTTGAGCCCAGCAGGTCAGGGCTGCAGAGAGCAGTGATTGTAACCCTGTATACCAGCGTGGGTGATAAGGCAAAACCTGCCTTTAAATAATAATAATAATAATAATAATAATAATAATAATAATATAATAATAATAAGGCCGGGTGCAGTGGCTCACATCTGTAATCCCAGCACTTTGTGAGGCTGAAGCAGGCGAATCACGAGGTCAGGAGATCGAGACCATCTTGGCCAACATGGTGAAACCCTGTCTCTACTAAAATACAAAAAATTAGCCGAGTGTGGTGGCATGAGCCTGTAGTACCAGCTACTCAGGAGGCTGAGGCAGTGGAATCGCTTCAACCTGGGAGGCGGAGGTTGCAGTGAGCCAAGATCATGCCACTGCACTCCAGCCTGGCGACAGAGCAAGACTCCATCTGAAAAAAAGATTACCATAAAGGCAATTTTTCTGTGAACATACAATGTAAATATAGAAAATATATTAATGTATTAAGGCATTAGATCCATCTCTGCTTTCATAAACAGCCTAACTAGTTCTGTGCTGCCCCAAGATCAGAATCAAGAGCAGAAATATTTGTTCACTATGCTGTCGAGTAGTGCAGGAGCTTCCCACAAGATTTTGTGGTATGTTGGCTTAAATGTTTCCATTGTGAGGCCAGGCATGGTGGCTCACACCTGTAATACCAGCACTTTGGGAGGTCGAGGCGGGTGAATCACTTGAGGTCAGGAGTCTGGGACCAGCCTGGCCAACATGGCGAAACCCCGTCTCTACTAAAAATACAAAAATTAGCCGGCTATGGTGGTGGGTGCCTGTAATCCCAGTTACTCAGGAGGCTGAGGCAGGAGGATCACTTGAACCCAGGAGGCAGAGTTTGCAGTGAGCAGAGATCGTGCCACTGAACTCCAGCCTGGGCAACAGAGTGAGACTTTGTCTCAAAATAAAATAAAATTAAATAAGTTTCAACTGTGCCTCTTTTTGAGCTTTTAGGACAGGTTTTTATAGTCCTGTCTGTTCTCTCCTTCTGGAGCTGTCAGATGCCATACCTAGCTCTCACTATGAGCCCGCCTGCCTGCCTGCCTTCCTTGCTTCCTTCCTCCCTCCCTCCCTCCTTCCCTCTCTCCCTCCCTTCTTTCTCTCCCTTTCTTTCTCTTTTTTCTTTCTTACTTCTTCTTTCTTCTCTTTCTCTCTCTCTTTCTTTCTTTTCTTTCTCTCTCTCTTTTTCCCTCCCTCCCTCCCTCCTTCCTTCCTTCCTTCTTTCCTTGTCACACTCTGTCACCCAGGTGGGAGTGCAATGGCACAATCTTGGCTCACCACTGTAACCTCCGCCTCCCAGGTTCAAGTGATCCTCCTGCCTCAGCCTCTCGAGTAGCTGGGATTACAGGCATGTGTCACCATGTTCAGCTAATTTTTGTATTTTTAGTAGAGACAAGGTTTCACCATGTAGGCCAGACTGGTCTCAAACTCCTGACCTCAAGTGATCTACCGGCTTCAGCCTCCCAAAATGCTGGGATTACAGGTGTGAGCCACTGTGTCAGGCTATTTTATTCTTTATTTTTTAAAAAATAAAGTCAGGGCCTCACTATGTTCTGAGGTTGGCCTCAAACTCCTGGCCTCAAGTGATCCTTCCACCTTGGCCTCCCAAAATGCTGGGATTACAAGTGTGAGCCACAATGTCCTGCGAGCCCACTTTCAAAATGTATGTCTACTTTCAAGTTATTATTTCTAAGAGGTTATGGGCTAGAAAATTAGAGAATCAGATTTCTTTGAGTTGTGTATAAAATCAGAGTTACTAGGCTCTAAATGAAGCCTTAGGGACTTTCTGATGAATAAAGTGCTTCAAATAAAGTAATGAACATTGTGTCATCTAATTGGACTATGTAGAGTCATGTTATACTCATTCCTGGATTCTTGGGTGGCTGAGTTTGCTGGAAAAGTAATTTTTGGATAAAGTGTTACAATTTAAAATAATTTAATAGTGGTTAAAAAGTTAAATTAAAAAACATTTCTTAGAAAATTTCTGATATGTTCCTGAGACATTTTATGTAATTCAATTTTTGTATCTATTTAAGGGAATCTTGCAATGATAATTTTCCTGAAGTACATAAGAGGTAAGAAAACATATGCTTGCTTTTCCATATGTTAAGTTGTTGAGAGCAAGTTATGCTGGTTTTTTAGTTTCTAAGTGTGCAGTTCAACAGAGCCTACAAAGATCAGGAAGGGATTTGCATGTCCGGGAATAAGGCAAAATAGGTATTCACATGAACTTCCCACTGAAAGCAACCAAAAATGTTCGCTAAAAAAAATGTTGGCCAGGCACGGTGGCTCATGCCTGTAATCCCAGCACTTTGGGAGGCTGAGATGGGTAGATCACTTGAGGCCAGGGGTTCAAGACCAGCCTGGCCAACATGGCGAAACTCCGTCTCTACTAAAAATACAAAAATTAGCCAGGCATGATGGCGTGTGCCTGTAATCCCAGCTACTCGGGAGGCTGAGGCATGAGAATCACTTGAACCTGGGAGGTGGAGGTTGCAGTGAGCCAAGATCATGCCACTGCACTCCTGCCTGGGTGACAGAGTGAGATTCCATCTAAAAAAAAATGTTTAGCTTCTCAAAAGCATAAAAGATCTGGCAAAATAGTAAAAAACTAAAGTCCAAAATCAAAGGGAAAATAAGAACTCTGAAAGTTATGTAGAGCCTTGAAGCTGTTTTTGCACTGAGGGCATTTGCCAGCTTAGGCAAACTTGAACTTTGTTTCTGAGGGCCTTTCAGGACAAGGGGTACAGAATCATAGCCCACCACAGCCTGTCCCTCCCCTTACTGTGGGTCATGGGTCAACTCCACAGACAAGGGTGAAACAAAAGTCAATGTGCCTTCCCCATCAGGCCCAGGAGATCACAGGCAAAGCTGCCCTTCTGATAAGCAGACTAGGGCAGGTAGCAATGGTAGGAAACAGCCCTGAGAAGTTACAAGTGCAAATTAGTCCTTTCATGGCTTCCAAATTTATATCACTTTGGTCGTCAAAAATAAATTAACAAAAACCATAAAATCATAAAAACCTCTCGAGTTGTGAATTTAGTTTAAAGTACCTTAGTGCAAAGTGCCCCCTGGGCGACTGGCACAAGCAAATGAAAGTCCTCTCTGTAGGAAATTAGCATCACCCTATGCTTCAAATAATCCCCCCAAATAATTTTTAAGGACAATGATCAGCACGTAGTCAAAAATAACCAAGCCTATAAGGAAATAAGCCATCAAGAATCAGAAATAGAAGAAAGAGACCTGCAAAGACTTCAAATTTTGAAATTATTAGATGGACTCTATAAAAACAACTATGCTTACTAAATTTAATAAAAAATTAGTAAAAAAAAATATGGAAAAGGGAACTATAAAAGTGACCTAGCAGATTTGAAAAAGAACCAGGCCAAGTGCGGTGGCTCATACCTGTAATCCCAGCACTTTGGGAGTCCCAAAGGGAGGATTGCTCGAGCCCAGGAGTTCAAGACCAGCCTGGGCAACATGGTGAAACCCTGTCTCTACAAAATATACAAAAAATTAGCTGGGCCTGGTGGTATGCACCCATAGTCTCAGCTACCTGGGAGGCTGAGGTGGGAGGATTGACTGAGCCCAGGAAGGTTGAGTCTGCAGTGAGCCAAGATCATGCCACTCCACTCCAGCCTGGGTAACAGACTGAGAACCTGTCTCAAAACAAACAAACAAACAAAACCCAAATTGAACTTCTCAAAATTAAAGATACAATAACCAAAATTTAAAACTCAATTGACGTATGTTAACAGCAGATAAATACTAATGAAGAGAGAATTAGAGGACTGCAATATAGATCAGAAGAAATTATGTGCAGTACAGCACAGAAAGACAACAGTATAGAAAATACGAAAGATAGGTTAGGAGACATGGAGAATATAGAGTGAAAAGGTCTAACATTACTTTAATCAGACTCCCAGAAGGAGAGGAGAAAGGGACTTGGAGAAAAATAATATATGAAGACATAATAGCTGAAAATTTTCCAGAACTGATCAAAGACATCAGTCTACACATTTAAGAATGGTAGAAAGAAATGGCAAGAAAAATAAAAAGAAATCTGTATCCAGACACATCATTGTGAAACTTTAACAACCAAAGACAAACGAGGTCTTAAAATCAACCAAAGAAAAAGATGATATTCAAAATAGTGACAAATAGGCAATAGCTGCATGAAAGTAGCAAAGGAAGTCCAAAGCCAGTGGAATGAAACCATCAGTGAACTTAAATAATTGCCAAACCAGAATTCTATATCCAGCAAAAATATCTTTCAAGAATGAAGGCAAAATAAGTCAGTTTTAGACAAATCAATACAGAGTTTCCTCCTAGTACAGTCTGACTTCAGACCTTTCGTTTAGGTAGAATAAAAGTGATCTCATAAGGGACACCTGAGATAAAAGAAAGAAGAAAGTTCAAAGAAGTGGTAAGTATATGGATACATCTAAGTAAATATTATTAAAGTGGTGCAAAAGTAATTGCGGTTTTTGCAAGGAAACAAATTCTCCCACGGAGTCTCTAGAAAGACCACAGCCCTACAGACTCATTTTAGACTTCCAACCTCTAGAAGTGTAAGATAATAAATTTGCGTTGTTGCAAGCACTAAGTTTGTGGTAATTTGTTATAGCAGCAATAGGAAACTAATAAGTACACACACACACACACACACACACACACACACACGCAGTCCCCAACTTACCATGTTGACTTAACAATTTTTTGACTCTATGATGGTGGGAAAGTGATATGCATTCAGTAGAAACCACACTTCCAGTACCCATACAACTATTATGTTTTTGACTGTCACTACAGCATTTAATAAACTATGTGAGATATTAACACTTTATTACAAAATAGGCTTTGTGTTAGATGATTTTGCCCAACTGTAGGCTAATGTAAGTGTTCTCAGCACATTTAAGCTAGGCTAGGCTAATCTATGATGTTTTAGTAGGTTAGGTGTATGAAATGCAATTTTTTTGGAAGACTTTATAGGGGAGTGTTGAATTCTGCTTTTCCCATGGACAGCCTACATGAATTTTTTTGAAATTATTTTTTATTACTTCCTTTACTATCATTCCCAATAAATGCATTTTTAACTTATGATAGTTTTGGCTGGATGCAGTGGCTCACGCCTGTAATCTCAGCACTTTGGGAGGCTGAGGCAGGGGGATTGCTTTGAGCTCAGGAGTTCAAGCTCAAGACTCCATCTCCACAAGAAATTTTAAAAGTTTGCCGTGCATGCTGGTGTGTGCCTGTGGTCCCAGCAACTCAGGAGGCTGAGGCAGGAGGATTCCATGAGCCCAGGTGGTGGAGGCTGCAGTGAGCCATAATCATGCCACTGCACTCACTCCAGCCTGACAGAGCAAGACCCTGTTTCAAAAAAAAAAAAAAAAAAAAAAAAAAGAGAGAGAGAGAGATTTTCAATTTACGATGGGTATATCTGGACATAATCCTATTATAACTCAAGGAGCATCTAAATATATGTGGGGGGGAGTTGTGTGTGTGTGTGTTACTTATAACAAAGCAATAAATAAAAGCAAGGAAGTGACTATCACAGAAGTCAGGATGGTGGTTCCTCTAGTGATTGAGAAGAGAGTCAGAGAGGACAGGGCTCTGAGGCCCTGGCAATTCTGTATCTTGAAATGGGTAGGGTTGCACAGGTTATAATTATTATTATTATTATTATTATTATTATTATTATTATTTTTGTTATGGAGTCTCACTCTGTTGCCCAGGCTGGAGTGCAGTGGCATGATCTCAGCTCACCTCAACCTCCACCTCCTGGGTTCAAGAGATTCTCCTGCCTCAGCCTCCCGAGTAGCTGGGATTACAGGTGTGCACCACTGCACTCTGCTAATAATTATTCTTAAACCATCCATATATGTTTATCCACTCTTTCTGTAATAGTTAACATTTCACAATAACAAAAATGTAAAAAGCCAAAAAAAGGGCCCCGCCCAAAAAACTGAGGAATCCTGGAATTTAGATGGGATTCACAGACTATTTAATTATTAAGTTTCGAGTCATTGAGAGACAGATGAACGATCTGTAGAATATCCCTGTTCCTTATAGTGTCTCCTTACTGCCACCTCACATTTGACTTCTCCTCTGCTTGTTAATTCCCCCACCATAGTTGGGAATGGAAAGAATGTGGAGGAACAAAGGCCACGTGTGGGCTCTTTCGTTAATTAAATATGTGAACTTGGACAAGTTACTTAAACTCTTTGTTTCTTAATCTATAAAATGGAAGTAATCATTTCCTATAAGAACCTCTTAGGGTTCTTTTACAGGAAATAAATGAGATAAAGCACTTACAACAATTTCTATGTAGAAATGTCACTTCTTTTTGAATTTCATTTATCCATCCCCCGTATCTCCACCTCTAAATGTTTATGGAGAACTTGCCTTGTACCAGGCCCTTTGCTGGCTCCTAGGGATACAAAGCCAATAAACCAAAACCCCATCTTCAAAGTGTTCATAGTTTAATAGAGGAAGCAGATGAAAACTACACGATGGTAATGCAAAGGGTCAGTGAGACAAGTAAGGTTTAAACAATGCACTGAGGCATTCCAAGGGAAGGAGTCATTAACCCTGCCGAGGGTGGAGTGAGGCAGGGGCCTGGTCAGGGAAGCCTGCCCAGGGAAACACTTGAGCAAAGTCTTGAAGGATGAGTTGGAATTTTCCAGCTGGAGAAAATGAGGGAGGAAAGGATAAATTTCCAGGAAGGGATCAGTATAGGCAGGCTTGGAAGGAGATGATGGATTGGGGAAATGGCAAGTTGTTGGGTATTAGGGTATTGAGGAGGGAGATGAAATTGGAGTACTCCGCTGTGGTCAGAAATCAAAAGGCCACATTCACCAAATGTAAGTTTGGAACTTCCTCCCCAGGCAGTGGAGGGCTGTTGGGAGCAGGGGTGAGGAGGATCAGAGCTGTATTTTGGAAAAATCCCTCTGCCTCTGTGGGGACGGATGGGAAAGGCTCTACTTGCAGTGAGAGGTGAGAGGACTGAACTAAGGCAGTGGCCTTGGAATGGATAAAGGGGACATAGATTAAGAGTCATTTAGGAGACAGAATTGGGTGGACTTGGTACTCATTGATTCAGGGTGGGGGTAATTGCTCTATTTCCAGCTTGTGCTAATAATGATGGTAGATAATAATACCATTAACCAAGTTAAAGGAAACCAACAGATCGGCTGTGGGGTGAAGATAATAAGAAGTTTGTTTTGGATTTACTGTGGGATATCCAGGCAGAGATTTCTAGTAGGGGGTTGGAAATTTTGTTCTGAAACTCAGAAGAGAAATGAAATGTGGACATAGAGATTTGAAAGCCATTAATATAGAAGCCAGGGGAATGTGTGGGCTATCCCAAGCAATCGATGTTTGTTGAATCACTTGAAAAGCATGAGCAGTGTGCTCCCCTAAGTGCCTTTTTCCTTAGCATGTTTTTGGACCTGGATTAAGAATGTTTTTATTGAGTACCCAAGATCCTTCACCCCAGATCATACAGATTGTAGAGTAGCTACTAATAACTTGGGTCCAGGTTACAGCTTAAATTTAGAGTGTTGGATTTTACCAAAGTCATTCAGGAATGACAAACAAGCAGAAAACTCTCTTAGAGTATTCTGACAGGCAAATCTTGTACCTGGATACCGATTAAGTAAAAATTTTGCACAAAATATTCAATATAATAGCAAGGTTCTGAGAATGTCAAGATCTGTACTCTTCTCAGATGGAAATTTGGTGAGTAACTTGTTAAAATTTTGTAGCATAAATAAAAATCCCTGATGTTTTAAAATTTTCATCTATTATTGTGATTTTCAGTAGCATACCTTGGAAGTTTCAGGCCTCTTGAATGCAGAATCATAGAATTTTTAGCCCTGGAAGGAGCCTTAAAGTCATTGAATCCAGTCCTTTAAGTTTGCAAGTGGAGACACAGAGACTAAGGTGACAGTGCCATGCTGGGCCACTCCGTTTGGGGTGAGTGACCAACCCGAGTGGCCAGCTGAGTGGCCCAGCTGATCCCTGAGTCATTCTTTCCCCTTTCCATATCCTTCCTCTCAATGGAGTCCAAGCTTGCTAAGGTTTCAGGATAAAAATGAACTAAAACTCAGCTGTCCAAATGAAAGGTTTTAATTGATTTATGAATTTAATGCATATCTGTGATGCTTGGAGCTAGATAAGAACAAAAAGCCAAGCGTGATTAAGATTCTTCATTTGCAGGCCGGGCGCGGTGGCTCACGCCTGTAATCCCAGCACTTTGGGAGGCCGAGGCGGGCGGATCACGAGGTCAGGAGATCGAGACCATCCTGGCTAACACGGTGAAACCCCGTCTCTACTAAAAATACAAAAAATTAGCCGGGCGAGGTGGCGGGCGCCTGTAGTCCCAGCTACTCGGGAGGCTGAGGCAGGAGAATGGCGTGAACCCGGGAGGCGGAGCTTGCAGTGAGCCGAGATCGCGCCACTGCACTCCAGCCTGGGCGACAGAGCGAGACTCCGTCTCAAAAAAAAAAAAAAAAAAAAAAAAAAAAAAAAAAAAAAAGATTCTTCATTTGCCTCTTTCTGTCCCAGGTTTCTTGGCAGAATGCATTATTGGAGTTCCACAAGGACAGACCTGCCTGCAGGATAGGACAGTGACAAGGGTCTGATCTCAAGTAGGGTTGCCAGATTTAGCAAATAAAACTAGAGGATGCCCAGTTAAATGTGAATTTCATATAAGCCATGAGTAATTTTCTAGCATAAGTATGTCTTATGCAATATTTGGGATACACTTATACTAAAAAACAGTATCCACTGCTTATCTGCAATTCGAAGTTAACTGGGAGTCCTGTATTTTACCTGGCAATCCTACTCTTAAAGGACGCAGATTTTTAAGCATTTACAGATTATTGAGGCAGTCAGAGTCAGCCCCACTAGAGGTAACTGATGTTTTACAAAATTGCACATTTCAAAACTACCTAGGATTCACTATTCTTTGTGCAAAAGTGAAGGAGTTTTTATGCTGTGCCACTCCCATCTCCTGCCCCCTAAGTGGTAGTATAACGTGAGACCAATCTTTGACAAGATTAGCAAGCGTGGTGGCGGAGGGGGTGGGAGGGCACAGACAGAGTGCCTCAATCTCTGTGTGTTCTAAAGTAGTTGCATTCGCCTTTGTCTTTAGTGGCACAGACCAATTTTGCAGGCACAGAATCAGAATTCGTTACATAATCAGTGATTACAAAACCAGAGCTAAAATGTGGAACAATACAATGTTCTACAGAAAACCATAAAAAGAAGCATTTTGCAAGACAGTGTTTCACTCTTGGCGGATCCTCCATGTGAGCCTCGTTTAATGAGAGACTGAGCTAGTCCCACCGTACTGCAGGGAGCCTCATCACAAAAAAGGGCTGAGCTATGAGCGCGATGAAATGCCAGCCATGTCTCAGCAAATTAGCCGAGTTTGGCGACACGCTCAGCGGCAGTAAGATGTCATGACAATACTAGCTCTAAGAGTGATTTTCAAGTTCCGCCCCTGTGTCCACATGATGAAATCACCTTCCCAGGTGGCTCCGATGTGGTCCGCTGAAAGTGGTAGGGGTGGTGACAGCAATGTCAGTGGAGGTGGGGAGAGGGTTAAAGTGATTCGGCAAATCCAGAAAGAAACACAATTTGATCAATAGAATTAGGATATAGTTGCAAGGATGTTTGTAAAGTCACACCTAGAGCCATGGCCAAATTTTCTCATGGCAGCATTGAGAATCATGCAGTCAGTGACAATTTCAACAGAAAGGCTTTTATAGGACATGTGAGTCTAATATTTTTAAAAAATTCATCATCCAGTCTTAATGTTGTGTAGAGTGAAAAATAAATGTTGAAAACCAGGCCATAGTGAGGTTAAGAATATGGTTAAGTGGCCGGGTGTGGTGGCTCATACCTGTAATCCCAGCACTTTGGGAGGCCAAGGCAGGCGGATCACATAAGGCCAGGAGTTTGAGACCAGCCTGGGAAACATGGCAAAACCCCATCTTTACTAAAAATACAAAAGTCAGTGGGGTGTGGTGGCATACGCATGCCTGTAATCCCAGCTACTTGGGAGGCTGAGGCATGAGAATCTCTTGAACCCAGGAGGTTGAGGCTGCAGTGAGCTGAGATTGTACCACTGAACTCCAGCCTGGGAGACAGAGCAAGACTGTCTAAAAAAAAAAAAAAAAAGAATTTGGTTAATTGTACGAAGTCATATGTGGCTGCTGCCATGGCCAAAATTCACATTAAACAATTATATAATAGTTCTATTTTCTGAAACTTTAATAAAGAATAGTATTTGGTGTCTACTGTGGGCCACATGTTTTACAGGAGCTTTCTATGATCCCATCTAATTATTTTTAATTTATTTTTAAACTGTGATATGGTGGATATACATAACATAAAATGGACCATTTAAACCATTTTTAAGTGTATTTAATGCCACTAAATTATTAATTTTATTTTTTTTGTAGAGACAAGGTCTCACCACGTTGCCCAGGTTGGTCTCAAACTCCGGAGCTCAAGCAATCCTCCTACCTTGAGGATCCTCCTACCTCCTACCCAATACCTGCCAAAGTATTGGGATTACAGGTGTGAGCCACTGCACCTGGTGGCCCAGCATAGGTTTGTTTTGTTTTTTGTTTTAGAAACAGGGTTCTTGCTTTAGTTCTCAGGCTGGAGTGCTGTGGTGTGATCATAGTTCACAGCAATCTCCAACCCCTGGGCTCAAGTAATCCTCCAACCTTAGCCTCCTGAGTAGCTGGAACTACACGCTTCAGCCACTGTGCCCAGTTAATTTTTATTTTTTGTAGAAATAGCGGTCTTGCCATCTTGCCCAGGCTGGTCTTGAACTCCTGGTCTCAAGCAATCCTCCTACCTTGGCCTCCCAAAGTGCTAGGATTACAAGTGTGAGCCACTGCACCCAGACTTAATGCCACTGAATTTTAAGAATCAATTCAGTGGCATGAAGTACGTTCACAGTGTTGTACAACCATCATCACCATCCATCTCTGGGACTTTTTCATCTTCCCAAATTGCAGCTCTACCCATGAAACAATAGCTCCCCATTACCCTCTCCCTCCAGCCTCTGGTAACCATTATCTGACTTTCTGTTGCTATACATTTGCCTATTTGAGATACTTCATATATGTGGAATCATACAATCTTTTTCCTCCTGTGTCTGACCAATTTCACTCAGCATGATGTCTTCAAAGTTCACCCATGATGTAGAGCATGTATTAGCTCATCTAATTCCTAGAACCTGAGAAATCGGTTCTATTATCACCCTAAGGAAATGGCACTGCCCCCCCCAAGCATTGCATGCTTCTGTCTTTGAAATTAAAGTGGAAGTGAATGGTCTATCCTGCTAGGATTGCCCTATGGACACCATAAAGTGTGGCCACATCCTGGGGTTAAGGATCCCAAGTCCTTTGAATCATCCTGGAAGAGGGTTTGGCGATGCTGTGGCGATGTTTTTGAGTTCTTTCAGCCTCCAAGAAGGGATGAAATGGGCCTCGGTGAGAAATAGAGCTGGTTGGTGACTTTCTGGGAACAAGGCCAATTTGTCCAAAGCAACTTTCAGAGGCCCTGAGCCCTGAAATGATCCTGGTGCCTCATCCTATCTCCCCCAAACCCCAATATGGAATTCGCAATAGAAACAATACCAAACCATTCAACTGATGCAAGCATTCAACTAATGCAGGGAAACCCACGATGGTCCCACTACTCCAATGCTTTTTTTTTTCTTTTCCAGAGACTGAGCTTACTCTGTTGTCCAGGCTGGAGTGCAGTGGTGCAATCTTGGCTGACTGCAACCTCCGCCTTCAGGTTCAAGCAATTCTCCTGCCTCAGCCTCCTGCGTAGCTGGGATTACAGGCATGCACCACCATGCCTGGCTAATTTTTGTATTTTTAGTAGAGATGTGGTTTCACCATGTTGGCCAGGCTGCTCTCAAACTCCTGAGCTTAACTGATCCTCCTGCCTCAACCTCCCAAAGTGCTGTGATTACAGGTGTGAGCCACTGTGCACGGCCCCTGATTTTTTTAAGAAAAATATATTTTATTTTGACATAATTTCAGACATACAGAAAAGCTGTAAAAATAATATTGAGTTTTCCTAAATGCTTCACGTAGCTTTCCTTAATGCTAACATGTTGCATAACTATAGTACATGATTAAAATTCAGAATTAACACACATACAATACTATTAACTAGATGACTGACTTTGTTCAGGCTTAACTAATATTTTCACTAATGTTCTTTTCCTGTTTCTATATCCAATCCAGGATTCTGCACTGCATTTTGTTGTCATATGTCCTTACTCAGCTCCAACCTGTGACAGTTACTCAGTCTTCCCTTATCTCTCACAATCTTGACTTTTTTTTTTTTTTTTTTGAGATGGAGTCTTGCTCTGTCTCCCAGGCTGGAGTGCAGTGATGCAATCTCAGCTAACTGCAACCTCCGCCTCCCATGTTCAGGTGATTCTCCTGTATCAGCCTCCCAAGTAGCTGGGATTACAGGCACACCCCGCCATGCCCGGCTAATTCTTTGTAGTTTAGTAGAGACGGGTTTTCACCATGTTGTCCAGGCTGGTCTCGAACACCTGAGGTCAGTCAGTCTGCTCGCCTCAGCCTCCCAAAGTGTTGAGATTACAGGTGTGAGCCACTGCACACGGCTAATGATGATTTTCTATTTTCTTAATTATTAATACATTTATTTGCTTTGAATTCTTCTGTAAGGAAAAGCTGTCCTTTCTCCCACATTTATTTATTTATTCAATTATTTATTGATACCAGTATGGATACATGGATATTTATTTTATACTTTGATGCTTTAAACAATTAATCAAATGTCAAATTATTTTTAAAATTTCTTCTTTTTCTTTTTTTTTTTTTTTTAGGCAGAATCTCACTCTGTCACCCAGGCTAGAGTGCAGTGGCACGATTTAGGCTCACTGCAACCTCCGCTTCCCGGGTTCAAGCGATTCTCCTGCCTCATCCTCCTGAATAGCTGGGATTACAGGCACCTGCCACCACGCTTAGCCGATTTTTTGTATTTTTGGTAGAGACAGGGTTTTACCATATTGGTCAGGCTGGTCTTGAACTCCTGACCTCAAGTGATCCACCCGCCTTGGCCTCTCAAAGTGCTGGGTTACAGCGTGAGCCACCGCACCTGGCTAAAAATTTCTTTTCTCTCTCCCATGTTCATTCTCTGCCTCTTCTTCTGTTACCCAGCATGGTTGGTGACCTAACCATGGAGTGGGCCTGCCTGTTGAGCCATTCTGCTGTGAAGAGATGGGGGTAAGTTCACGGAGAGCTGGCATTGAAGGATGGCTGGGAAGTCTCTGTGCTAGGATGGGGCAGGCAATGGCAATGTGTGTTCTAGATACTGATGTGACTCACCTGCAGTGAGGAGCAGAATTCCTAAGGTCCCCAGGAGGGCAGGAAAGGTGGGGATTCACATTCAGCCACAATGGTCAAGAAAGAGAAAAGGAGTGGGGCTTCAGAACACCTGGGGGTTGATGATGTCTTACACTTGGTGTTTCTCAAGTCCCAGGGCTCAGGTCTGGAGAAAAGGTGATTATGTAGGTCAGCGTCTCCAACTATAGAAAACAAGGCACTTGCTAGCGTAAGCTCAAGGCCATCCTCAGGAATGAATAGCTGTTGACTTTTCATTTTAAGTGCGGATTCGGGCATGTGAGGACAAAGTAATAATTCGGGTGAAAGGTCTCCCTTATGAAAGGATTCACTCTGAATCGCAGAAAACAACTCCTTCTCCTCCTAAGTACACCTTAACATTATTCCTTTTATAAGGGTAAGAGTCAAACTGGGACTTGGTAATCCAGCCAAAAACTGGATTCAGGGTGTGAATGAGCCTTATTGACTCTCTATGTATCCATAAACCACCTTGTAACCCCCCACCTGACATTATGTCTACCTGTCCTATTGAATCAGAGGTCCCCAAAGCAAGCTGAGGGTGCCTACCTTCTTGGGAGAGAAGGACCCAGGCTCCATTCCTGCCACCGTGGGTTTGTAAGTCTTCGTAGACAGTGAGCCCCTTCTGCTTGGCTTCTCCTCCTCAGCTTTTGCAGGCAAGCTAAGGCTTTAGCCTTTCCTCGAGGGAGCTTTGGCCAATTTAGGGCAAAGCGGAACTGTGTTTGGTAGTAACCTCGGGCTTGGGTTTCTGTGTCACTCAGCATACGTGGAATGTTCATGTTTCTGTCTGCCTTCACTTTCGAGCATGTTCTGTGTACCAGGCCCCATACAAAGTGCTTTAGGTAAGTATTACTATCCCATGACAAATGTTTTAGGTAAGTATTATTATCCCATTTTACACATGAAGAAACTGAGACTCAGGGATTTCCACCACCATGGATGGCACAGAGTTAGGACCGAGGTCTCTCCAGCCCCAAAGTTGAGCCTTCATCCATCAAGCCATGCCACTTTTGGAATTGTGTCTGTCCAACGTCAGAACTTCTTTCATTCCCTGTCCTTGTCCTTGTTGAATGTTGTATGTTCAGAGATTTTTCCTTGGCTTTAGGGTCTGGGTCACAACTCCACCACACCCTCAGGGACATGGTGCATCTCACCAGGGAGGTTATTCCTTCAAAAGTGTGGGCTCTTGGGGCGACACTGAAAGGGGAGTCAGAGCTTCAGAGTTTGTGGTTTCCTGGGCAAATTCCACAGTGAAAAGAACAAGACAAGAATCATTCATTTGAGTGCTTTAAAATAATAAATTATTGTTTCTATTTCCTGAGCACTTACAAAGTGCCAGGCATTGCGACAAGCACTTCACACACATTATCTCACCATATTTCCAACTACCCGCAAGGTATAGGTCCCAATCCCTTACCTGGTTCCGTTCAGATTCAGGTATGTTTCAGAATTCCGAAGCGTTCATGTTTTTAAGGGGCAAATCTGTGCCTGTACTGTATTTTTCATAACACCTCCCAGCAAGGTCTGGGGTGACATCCATCATTAGACATCGATATTTCTGCAGCTGACATATGGATAATCATGCTTAATGGGATAAATAAAAACTATATTATATAAAGTCTCATAATCTTTCAGGTCAGGTTTTACCATCAAATGAATTTCCTGCTAACTTAAAAAAAAAGCTGTTTTTCAGAGCCTACTGGATTTCTGAATTGCTGATAAGGGATTATGGATCTGGAATATTATTTTTCCCACTGTATAGATGAGAAAACTGAGATTTAGAGACATCAAGGAACTTATCCAAGGTCATACCACTAAGTGGTGGAGCCAGGGTTTGGAGCTGGTTTGATGTGCTTGTACCCCAGCACTTTTTTTTTTTAACCTCTGTTTTAACTTTAAAGCTTCACATGGCAGGAGATAAAAGTATTTGGAGGTGGGGGTTTTGGAGGTTTGTTTTTGTTTGTTTGTTTTTGTTGTTGTAGTTGTTTTTTTGGAGACAGGGTCTCACTCTGTTGCCCAGGCTGGATTGCAGTGGCATGATCATGGCTCACTGCAACCTTGACCTCCTGGGCTCAGGTGATCTTCCCATCTCAGCCTCCCAGGTAGCTGGGACTACAGGTGTGCGTGACCACACCCAGGTAATTTTTTTAGAGATGGGGTTTTGCCATGTTGCCCAGGCTGGTCTCAAAATGCTGGGCTCAAGCAATCCACCCTCCTCATCCTTCCAAAGTAGATAAAAGTTTTCGGACTTCATTGACTTTATTTCTTCATGAGGATCCACTTAAAGCTGACATCCAAATACATTTTCACTGGGAATGATTAATAAATGTTTCTCATAAATTGATAGGCTAGACCATATTTCTGTATCCAGTCACCTTCTCAAAGAGGTTAACAAAACAGAACATCATCATGTTTGGGAGGAGGAGGTGTGTAACTTTCCCATTTTCACTAAGAAAATAGTTTGTCCCTTTCTGTTCTTTCCACCTTCATGTGTTTTCTTGTTTGGTTCCATTTCTGCTCTGGTTAATGTATTTGAAGCCTCTGGTTTCCGTTCATCCAGGTGCCAGGAGCCACTGGTGTCCCCATCGCCTCATTTTCTTCCCCTAGGCAGGGCTTCTCCTCAGCATCTCATTGACCCCATTGTTCAAAGTTCTTGCCAATCCTCCCATCCATGGATTTCAATATGTAAACCCCATCTTGACAACTACTTGCTGAGTGAATATTAGAGAAATAGGATCGTTTCACATAAACATCTGCTACTTCATTCTAGAACTTAAAAGTTTGTGATTCCAGTTAAAGCAGACGAGCCTGTTTTTCAGGGGATTGCAGAGGACAGAGGTGAGGGGTGTGTGTGTATTCCTGCTGCTTTGCCAAGTCTCCCACCTCCTCCAAGTCACTAAGAATGGGGACACCTGGCCAGCTACTCAGCAAGACATCAGATTCTGGGAGGCAGATGAGAAAAGCAGGGAGAGATTGGCTTTTTGGCACTTGCATCTCTGCAGTTCAGCTGGTCTGGGCCTGGGCTAAGTGACTGTTACTGGCTACAGGTTCTGGATAATGAGTTCAGAGACTGGGATCCATTGACAGGCACTTGGTTGACTTTGTCTCTACAGTTTTTCAATTAAGTAGATTGTTCTTCTGAAGGCAATTTTGAAACATCCAAATTTTGGTGGGACAGAGCAATTGCCGGTATTGTTAGGTTATTTGGTAGCATCTGAGGATGGGGAAAAGAAAAACAATACAAAGTGGATCTGTTCCCTTTTAAAATTTTGTTTTTCCACAGTCATCTCTCTTCTTACAAAATCCTGTCTCACCCCTGATGATCTTACGAAAAACACTCTTTTGTTCTTCAAGTTATAAGAAAACAAACCGTGGAAAGTAGCTGATTTTCATTAAAAACTGATGAATGCTTGGGTCAAATCTCCTAATTACAGAGATCAAAGGAGACTAATAAATTTTAACTCAAAGTTCTTTTTTTCTTCAAAAGAATAGCCTTCAGTGAAAACAAGTACTTCCTAACCCAATAAAGAAATCTGCAACAATCCATTCTCCTAGCTAATTTACTTAAGAGTTGTGTTTGTTTAAATTACACATGCTCTGGTGTGTCTGGCCTTCCCTTTCTTCTTTACAACTCAAGCCAGTGAAATACCAACAGGGTTCTTTCTTTCTCTTTCTTTCTTTCTTTCTTTCTTTCTTTCCTTCTTTCTTTCTTTCTTTCTTTCTTTCTTTCTTTCTTTCTTTCTTTCTTTCTTTCTTTCTTTCTTTCTTTCTTTTTGTTTTTTTTAGAGATAAGGTTCTCACTATGTTGCTCAGGCTGGTCTTAAACTCCTGGGCTCAAGCAATACTCCTGCCTCAGCCTCCCAAAGTGTTGGGATTACAGGCGTGAGCTGCTGCACCCAGCCCAACAGGGATTTTCATGGGCACTATTTCTTTTGATGATAAAGCATCCCCCCATTTCTCTTTTGTTTATGTTTGAGGTAACTATGCATTCGCAGCCTCACAGATCCTCTCTTCTCTCACCTTTGATTCCAGGTAATGTTTTCTCTCCTTGACAATGCAGACCTGCAACCCATGGTTCTGTTCTCAGCTCCCTCCTTCCTTACTCTGCCCTCTGTCCCTCTGTCCCTCTGTGGTTATCCATTGCTGTGACCTGATTGCCCTCCTATAAGCTGGAGACCAGCTCTCCAGAGCTAAGAATTCAGCTGCCTTCTCTTGGACTTCTCTGTTGGGATATTTCACGGGCACCTCAAACTCAACATGTCCTGAAGCGTCCTTGTCATCCACCACCACCCTTCCTCCCGCCATCACTGCCTCCACACCTTATCGGCCTCTTCCTCAACCCTAGTCTTTCTCTTAATCCTCAAGCTCAATGGATGGTTCTATTCTTTACTCTTCTTCTAAGTCAGAGTTATCCTCCATCATCCTCCGTGATTCCTTCATCCCTCAGATCCTGTCAGGCATGCAGTTCTGTCAATGCTGCTTCCTGAGCAGCTTCGGAAGCCATCCCTCTCCTCCATGCCACTGCATTGCCTCAGTGCGGGTCCTCCTCCCTCACCTGGACTACTCAGCCTCCCGACACTAACTCCTACAGCCCTGGGTCATCCTCACCCCACTCATCCTAACCACATCCCAAACCAGCCTTTGGGTACTGTACTCTCATGGAAGCTAATTTTCTCAAACACAAGTCTGATTTTTTCCCCTCTTTGTATGTTCCTCTTCATTTACAAATTAAAATCCTACATTTTCAGCACTGTATTCAAGGCCCTCCGTGTTCTGGATGCATCGTCTGCCTTGCATGTTTAATGGTGCCTGACACTTCTCATGGATCCTTGAACATAGCATATGGCTTCACATCTCTGGGCCTCTGCACACGATGTTTCCTCTATCTAGAATGCTCTTTCCCCTAATCTGCCTAGAAGACACTCACATGGTCTTTCATGTCAACAGACGTTTATCGAGTGTCTACTATGAGCCCCAAGACTGCTAGGCAGTGGAGACAGAAAAGTGAGAAGGTGTGGTCCTCTTCTTGGCCATCCAGTTGAAACATCAGCTCTTGAAGCTCCCCGTAAATCTCCCCTCTCCAACCCTACCACCTATGCACAGTAGACCATTTTTCCTTACTGTGCTTCTTTCCACTTGGTGCATAATTCCTTCGCTGCACTTACATGGTATAACTTTTGTTTGTCTGCTGAGGCTCAGACCAATGTTCATTGCTTTGGGGGAGGAAGTATGTAGTTTAAGAATATATGGGCACTAGCATCTGTGTGGTAGGTAGAATTCTAAAATTGTCCAAAGATTCCTGACCCTTGGTGTGCATGCCTTCCCCTTGATGTAGGCAGGAGTGGTGAATATGATGGAATTTTACTCCAGTGAATAGATTACATTATATAGCAAAGGTGAAGAGGTTTTGCAGATTAATTAAGGTTGGCTTTGAGTTCATTGAAAGGGAATTTATCCTGGGTAGGCCTGACCTAATCAAGTGAGCCATTCAAAAGAGAATACAGGCCTTTGCTGAAAGGAGAGATCTGAAGCAGTGGAGACCTTCTCTTATTGGCCATGAAGAAGCAATTTGCTATGTTGTGGAGAAAGTTGTATGCCAGGAGCAGTGGGTGGCTTCTAGGAGCTGAAGGCCTTAGTCTCACAACCACAAGCCACTGGATTCTGCCAGCAAATGGTAAGCTTGAAAGAAGATCCCAAGCCTCATATGAAATTGCAGTCCTGGCTGACATAATCATTTTAGCCTCATGAGACCTTGAGCAGAGACCTCAGCTAAAATGTGCCCAAACTTCTGACCCATAGAAATGGTGAGATAATAAATGGGTGTTGTTTCAAGACACTAAATTTGTGGTAATATGTTATACAACAGGAAAAAACTAATACAATCTGATAGGCTTGTATTGAATTCCTGTTCTTTAGTTACTACAAATGTGATCTTGGACTTAACCTCTCTGAGCCTGAGTTTCCTCATCTGTAAAATGGGTAATACCTACCGGTAAAATGAGTAATAGTAAAACCTACCTTATGGTACATTTGTGAGGGTTAAATATACTCAGTACATTTGAGTTGAATGAATGAATGATGCTGAGTCACTTTAAAGAACAAATATAGCACATGTACCGTCTGAACCTCAAGTAAAAAAATTTTTTAAAAAGAACAGGTATAAACACAGCCTTTTCATCTGATTTTTTTTTTCTAATTTAGTGCTGGTATAATCCTAGTTCACTCATATATAAAATTAGGTACCACCTAGATGACATTTTAGGTGCCTTCTAGTTATACATTCTATAATGCTGATAATCTTGAGATAAGGTCTTAGAATGATAATCTTAAAGTTGCAAAAAAAAATTAGTATTCTTAAAGAGTACCCTAAAAGAGATATTTGTTAATGAGATATTCTTCTTTCCTGAGCCTCTCTCTTGAACCAGTCACTATCCCCAACACAATACCATCAGGTATTAATATCCAGATGTCTGCACTGACATTGATAGCATTAGTGCAAAGGTTTTGCCAGCTGAAAATGCAAAATAGTCTTTGATCAAATGTTAAAGACACATTTGGATTTCTTTGATTTTTTTTTTTTTTTTTAAATGGAGTTTCCCTGTTGCCCAGGCTGGAGTACAGTGGCATGATCTCGGCTTGCTGCAACATCCGCCTCCCGGATGTTCAAGCGATTCTTTTGCCTCAGCCTCCCAAGAGGCTTGGGCTGCAGGCACGCACCACCGCACCTGGCTAATTTTTATATTTTTAGTAGAGACAGGTTTTGCCAGGTTGGCCAGGCTGGTCTTGAACTCCTGACCTCAAATGATCCACCCACCTCGGCCAAAGTGCTGAGATTACAGGTGTGAGCCACCGCACCCGGCCTCTTTGAATATTAATATATCCTAGTAATATGAGGAATATGACCTAAAAGTAGAAATAAAGAAGTACATATACTTAACAGGTGATGAGATTTTGTTTTACTTATGCTTTACTTATGCTTTTCTCTGAAATGCCATGGGAGATTCAGTCCCTAATATTTGGCAGAGGGAGGTGATAAGGAATCCTTCTATAACTGTTGCTGCTGCTGTTTGGGCAAGTGGAATATATATACATACATTTTATTATGAACACAAATGTAAATACTGACTTACCATTGGGATGTTGGCAACTGTCTGTCAACTAAGATCCCAAAGGGATCCCGATGACTATCCAGAGATGTAGTTTATCTTTAGAGCTACCTTTCAACATCAAGTGATATTCCAGACTTATCTACCTCTTAGCAAGAGGGAACAGTAGAATGCCCTCTCAGAGGTGCACGCCTTGGTGTGCTACGGGGAGGTCCATGTTGTGCCAGCACTATCTCTCCTCAGCCATAAGGCTCACGTTAAACTTCTCAGCCAAGAGCAGAAGATTGTGTTCCCTAAGAGGCCTCTGTTAACCATATACTACCTGAGCAGCAGTTTGTGAAGAATGAAATCCAAAAAGAGCAACTAGTCAAGGTGTGTGAGTGTGTGTGTGTGTGTGTGCCTCTGGGTGGGGAGAAATGGCACAACCATCTCTTCCTAACCCACCCCTGCTCCCAGCAGACACACCCATGGTCAGCTTGGCTGTACAGGGTGGAGATGGAATCACAAAGGGTCTTGCCATGGTTAGGACAGCTCTGAGGGAAGTAAAGGCCCTGTGTCGCTCACAATAGTACAGCCTTGCCCTCCAAGGGAAGGGAGGAATGGGTGGGCCTGTGCAGGGAGTAGAGAGGGAGGTATCTGTGATTATCTAGGGGGAGAAAGGAAAGGCTGAATGCTCTCAGTCCCCGAAGATGCAGGAGCCTCAGACAGGCTGCAAATCCCCTCCTCCACATGGTGACCACAGCCAGAACAGCCCCAGAAGCTGCAGCTCCTTCACTGCAGCTGTTCCAACACTGGGGTGGGCTCAGACCCAGGCAAAACACCAGGTCCCAAGATACACTTGGTTTATGAAAGGCCTCCCTTCCCCTTCATGATGGGGTGCAGTGTGGGGTAGAAAACGCCCATGTCCCTGCCTCTGGGACTGAGTCACTTGAGGATGCTGCAGAGTTACCAAAAACCTGCCTGCGCCTGGTCTCAGTAGCCCCACCAGATAGCAATTGTTATTGTGATTATTGTTCTATAGAGGAGAAAACAGTTTCAGCAAGGTTAATGGGCTTGCCCAGACAGTGGTAAAAATGACCCCTAGCTCAGGCCTCCTTAGCCAGACCTTTCTGTAATCTTGTGCTCTGTCTGTCTGATATTCTGGGGCAGGAAAGAGAAACCAGGGCAAGGGCCTCAAGACTCTCTTCATCACCAACTCCCTGCAAGTCAGTTTGGGCAACAGCACACGGACTTGTCCTCTGCCTGGTTTTCTAGTTGAGCTGGTTCCCCATAGTATGCGGAAGCTTTAAAATGGCCCTTCAGCTGTGCATGGTGAGAGAAGGCATCTGGCAGATGAGCACCTCGCATATGGTGGAGGAGGTGAGGGGCTTAGGGGGAGGGAGCATTGCCAACCCCACCTCCTCCCAGGAGGCAGGAGAGCTCAGGTCCAGAGCATGGACTGTGGAGCCAGGCAGAGCTGAAACCAAGTCTTACCTCTACAGTGATTAGTTATATGACCTTGAGCAAGTTATTTACTTTTTCTAAGTCTCTGGCTCCTCAACAGTAAAAAATCGGAAAAATGATGGCATCTCTCTTCTGTTATTAAGAGGATTATATGAGATAAGGAATGCAAAGCACTTTGCACAGTGCCAGACCCACTGAAAGAACTCCTTAATGATACATAACACATGCCACGGAACACCCATTTATTCATTCCGCAAGAATTTATGGAAGGCCACAACTCTGTCCAGTGGTGTGCTAAAAATTTTATACCTGGGGCTTTACTCACATAGGTCTCCTTAGAATCTAATCACACAAATAGTCCTTTATGTATACATATTGTAATATGTGCTGGTTGTATAGACATGGAAAATGGGTTTTGGTGCTTAAGTTATTTCTGCCCTTTATCTCTCCTTTATTTCCAGCAATGAGGATGTAGCTGAATGCGTATGGGACTGGAGTGAAGGCAGTTGCATACTAGCTGTGAACAGCTGGGCAAGCCACTTAGCTTCTCCAAGTCTCTGCTTCTCACCTGCAAAATGGGGAGAATCACACCATCCCAAATTGCAGCAATGGCTTGGGTAAAGCACTGGACTTAGGGCAGATGCTCAATACATATTAGTTGTCCCTCTACATTTCAACATGTTTTGGTGGGATTAGGAAGTATTCACTCGTGGCCATTCCCAGCCTCCACCCACCACTCCCCCACCCCCTGCCGCTAAAGTGGACTCAAGCCTGGCTGTCCAGGCGTCTTCTCTCAAGCCAATTTGGGGCTTTGCACAGGAGATTTCAGAAAAGGGTGGAAAGAACAGTAAGAAGCTGAGGGCAGAGGCAGCTGTTGGAGGTGCTGGAGGGTTTGGGAGGAGATTTATGGGCCATGTGGGAGCAGTGGGCTCAGTGTGCGGCCAGTGCATGGGGGAGGAAACTGAGGCAAGGGTCCACAGGAAAGAGCAGAGGCCGATGCCAGAAGCAGAGGGCTCTGTGATCTGCAGGTCCTCCCCATTGTCCTCCTTTTGCTGGTCTGCTGTGGTCTCAAAGCAATATACTTCCCAGACTGCTTCACAGAGTGTTTCTGAAAATTAAGAGTCATTTCTTCATTCATTCATTGAGTAGCAGTTGAGCAACCACTCTGTACCAGACGCATAAAATAATAAATTTGATCATCTCTATCAACAAGAATAACGAGGAAACAGGTTTGAGAGTAATGAGGAGGGAGCGAGAGCAAGAGAAAGTGAGTTCTGATACATTTCTTATGCTTTTGTCAATAATTAAATCTGTTCTTAAGGTGGGGCACGGTGGTAGCTCACGCCTGTAATCCCAGCGCTTTGGGAGGCCGAGATGGGAAGATTGCTTGAAATCAGGAGTTCCAGACCAGTCTGGGCAACATAGCATGATGCTGTCTCTGTTTTTTCTTTTTTCTTTTTTTTTTTTGCTGTCTCTATTAAAAAAAAAAAAAATCTGTTCTTAAGAAGCACCTCCCTGTCCTATAATTCTGCATTCTAGATGAAAGCAGAATAGAAACATCACCATTTCATGAGGGTAGAGCTGAGCACTTGGCCACCTCATACACCAGCAAGCCCCATATACATCCACCAGAGTGTCTTCACAATGTCAAGCCCTCGTTTCAGTGTTTACTCCTGGGCCCTCCCCTCTGCCACGCCCAGCCACCTCTTATTGGTTAGTGGGATAATAGTAACATTACTGAAAGCCTACTCCTGCCAACATTTCTGCTCCTACCTCTTGTCAATATTAGTGTGATTCTCAACCCATCCTTTCGGAATATACCATAGTCCCTGTGCCCAGCCTTCCATTTGAGTCTGTGAGAGCTAAAGACTCAGGCACCGCTGACGTTGTGCTATTCACACACAGGCACATGCCTATCCTAGAACTGACTTAGGGGGGTTTTCCCAGATTACATTTTTACATTTAATTTTTGTGTGTTTTTTATAGGCAGATTTAGATACGGCAAGAATGTGCCTGCATGTGCACACGTGCACATATATGCAGGCATGCATGCACGCATGTACCACTAGAGTGTAAAGTATCTTTTGGCCCAGTCCCTTAGGTCACCTGAAATGCTTCTAGTTCACAGGTGCTGTGAGCGGGTCACATTCTAGTAGTGGTGCTCTAGGGTGGTTCTAGGGCCATCTTTGCTGAAAGAGCAGGACACATGGGTATTGGGCACCTGCTTTTCCTCCCCCAGAGCAGCTGGGAAGTGCTAGATTGTCCTTGTGAGAGTCTGACCTTGCCTTGGAGCAAAGAGAGATGAGAGGCTCCCAAAACACCATGGGAGTGTGTGCGTGTGTGTGTGTGTATATGTGTGTGCGCGCGCACGCACAGGGCTATTTGGTGCTTGGAAAGATTGAGCCTCAGCCTTCTGGAATGCATGTCCTACTGAGGACTTCTAGCTCTTCCTGGATCCTTATATGCCCATTTGCTATTGTAAATAGCTATATGACGTTGTGATACTATTCCAAACCCTAGTCATAGCAACCACATACCTAATAGCCAAGGGATAACCATACTATCTTCCCTTTCTGAAGAACCTTTCAGCAAAAGATTTCAGGGAATTTTACCAAGAAAACCATCCCATCCCCTCCTCCTTCCATTTGACAGGTGGAGAAGTGAGGCACAGTGAAGCCAGAGGAGCCTGGTCAGACGGTGAGTCAGAAGTAGAGCAGGGCTGCACCTGGTGACACCTATTTCCTCCCTTGTGGTTTGGCCCCTGCCTCATAGGCTTCCTGGAAAGGTGTAGCTTCTTCATGGCTTACTTGTTGAGTAAACACTGCTATGAGCTTTCAAATATTTCCCTAGGTTGCAGGAGGTTGTGTCTCTCAGCAAAAAGTAAGTGTTGAGGCTGAGCACAATGGCTCGCACCTGTTATCCCAGGCCTTTGGGAGGCCAAGGCAGGAGGATCACTTGAGCCCAGGAGATTGAGACCAGCCTGGGCAACATGGTGAAACCCTGTGATATGGTTTGGCTGTGTCCCCACCCAAATCTCATCTTGAATTGTAGTTCCCATAATCCCTTGGTATTATGGAAGGGACCAGGTGGAGATAATTGAATCATGGGGGCAGTTTCCCTCATCCTGTTCTCATGATAGTGAGTTAGTTCTCATGAGATCTGATGGTTTTATAAGGGGCTTCCCCCTTTGCTGGGCACTTATTCTTCTTGCTGCTGCCATGTGAAGAAGGAACTGTTTGCTTCCGTTTCTGCCATGATTGTAAGTTTCCTGAGGCCTCCCCAGCCATGCTGAACTCTGAGTCAGTTAAACCTCTTTTCTTTATAAATTACCCAGGCTCAGGGAGTTCTTTATAGCAGCATAAGAATGGACTAATACACCCTGTATCTTCCAAAAATTTAAAAATTAGCCGGGCATGGTGGCATGTGCCCTATAGTCCCAGCTACTTGGGAGGCTGAGATGAGAGGATAGCTCGGGCCTGGGAGGTCAAGTAAGCCAAGATCATGCCACTGTACTCCAACCTGGTCAACAGAGCAAGACCCTGTCTCAAAAAAATAAGTAAATAAATATAAATAAAGTAAGCACTGTACAATTAAAAGGGCTTGTTGGTCACCTCTGGTCAACCCAGCGCAGGAATTATTTGTGCTCCTCAGGGTGCACTCTCTTGCTATTGAGATCTGTTGCAACACCTTTCAGCAGTTCTTTGGCAAAATTACTGCTTAGTAAGCCCCACAATGTCACAACCCATCTTCTACCACAGTTTGTGACCACTACTGGGATATCCGGGGCATCTATTTCATCTGGTGTCATATCATCCCATTTCCATGAAGATCAGCTTCGGCAAACTTTTTGTCCCTTGACTTTTCACGTTGCCACCAGTTTTGTCCCTGGATTCTTTTTCCCAGGGGAGCACTTTGCTCTTCCCTAATCTGAAGAAAGGATTGGAAGCAATCACACTTCTCCCTTTATTGAGAATAAGACTTATATTTGTCAAGGTCTCAAAAATTTAGGGTTTTATAGAGATAAGGGCAAAGAAGAAATGTTCCCAAGGATAAGAAAATAGAAGGACCTCTGATTCCATCACAACATAATCATGACATGGGAGTTCAAAACAATTGCTTCTATTGCCAACTGGTGATCATTCCTTTCCACTTTTACAGTCAGAAACTCTATGAATATATTTTTTAAAGATAGGTGTGAGAGAAAGCAGGTTTGGTTTCCATTTTTCCTTTGGTAGATAGTAAGCTATGAATGCTTTCTTTAAGAGTATTTGTAAATGTGCCCGGAGGTTAATGAAAACTGAGAACATTTGATGCGGCAAAATAATGCCAGCTTTGTGTGTTCTCCCGGAAGTTCCCTGAGCTTGGATCTTAAGTTGGAACCATTTTCTCCAACATCTTAAAAGATTACATGACATAAAAAGCAGAGAAACTTGGTATACTCTAGAAAAGTAATATTTACAAGCAAATAAAGGAGTGCCTCAATTTATCTGTAGATAAGTGAACATTCAGAAAAAAAAATCTCTGAGGTGCTAAAACAGTTATGACAAAGCCCAAGCACTTATGTATTGCTAACTAGGCGAGCGTCCCTTCGATGATGCTTCGAGGCTATTGTTTCCACCTCATTTCTACAAGACTTAGTTATATTAGAAGTTATCTACAGTTATCTGTAGAAGACAGATCCCAGCCAATAGGAAAGGAGCATTTGAAAAGGGGCAACATTTGGGGCAAGCAGGGATCAGATAACAGAAGTGACATCTAGGAGTGATGGCTAGAAAAGAGACAACAAATAATTACGTTTAAAGCATCATTTAAGAATGATTAACCATAACCGTAAGCATGATTTATGATGAAAGAATTAGAATATGTTCATCATCATCCTCTACTGAACAGAGCAAGGATATATGTAATTCATTTCAGGTATTCTGTCAAAACGTGGCTAGGAAGATAGGCTGCATGTGCAAGCGTGGGAACCACCCCCTTAAATGAAATGCAATGTTGCTCAGCAAGGAAGAACTCCCGAGACATCCTTCCACCGTCGTGCCATTGGAGGGCATGGCGCCGGCTTCCTTCCTGAGTCACTCACTGTTTACGGGCAGCCGCTGGCTTCCAGGCCGCGTCCCCTCCAGTAAAAAGGGGGCGTGCTTGGTAGAGATCCTTGAGACCTTTGATGGCAGGATCTGAAACAAGGCCAGGCCCCATTATAGGGCAATTACCCTTCAGGCTGATTGGTGCAGAGACGCTGTAAACGCACCTTTGCGGAACACAGACGACACAGGAAAGACGTTTGGCAGTAATACTACGACAGCGAGGGGCCCGGGAAGCCCGCGGAAACGCAGGAGGCGGCCAGGAGAGGCAGCGCTACGCACATCCCCCCCACCTTCGGAGCCCTGTCCTAGCTTAGGCTGAGACAACTGGGAGGGGCTGGCTTCTTTGTTCCCCTCTTTCCCCGCAACCTGCCAGAGGGAACTGGAGAGAGGGGTCCTCCTAGCTTTAGGCACACTTAAAGCAGCCTGCCAGGAAGGAAATGCGGGGGCTCCACCTTAGAGGCGGTCGAGGCCAGCGTGAAAGCACAGGGTGGCGACCACTTCCCCCACCCCCCACCCCGGTTCTCATCCCCGGCCTACCCTCCTGCCTCCTGCCCAGAGCCCAGACTACATGCAAGGCCTTGCGCCAGATCCTGGAGATGCCACGATGAAGGTGGGAGGTGACATTTTAAAATATCCCTCAATTCCAGCACTTTGAGAGGCCGAGGGGGGCGGATCACTTGAGATTAGGAGTTCGAGACCAGCCTGGCCAACATGGTAAAACCCTATCTCTACTAAAAATAAAAGAATTCGCCGGGCATAGTGATGCACGCCTGTAATCCCAGCTATTCCGGAGGCTGAGGCAGGAGAATCACTTGAACCCAGGAGAGGTTGCAGTGAGCCGAGATCGTGCCACTGCACTCCAGCCTGGGTGAAAAAGCCAGACCTTGTCTCAAAACAACAGCAGCAGCAGCAGCAGCAGCAGCAGCAGCAACAACAAAGCCACAACAATACTGATGGAGGTTTTCTCCCCAGCTTCCTGTCTCTGGTCTGCACTGCCCAATAGGAAGTCACTAGCCACATGTGGCCATTGAGCTCTTGAAATGTGGCTGGCGCTGTCAGTGTAAAATATGCACCAAGATCAGAAGGCTTGGTACAAAGAAAAAACAAATTATCTCATTAATAACCTTTTTATATTGATTACATGTTGAAATAATAACATTTCGGATATATGGGTCAAATAAACTATATTAAAATTAATGACACCTGTTTCTATTTGCATTTTTTTCGGGTTTGTTTGTTTGTTTGTTTGCTTTTTTTTTTTTTTTTTTTGAGATGAAGTCTCGATCTGTCACCCAGGCAGGAGTGCAGTGGCATGATGTCAGCTCACTGCAACCTCTGCCTCTCAGGTTCAAGCGATTCTCCCATCTCAGCCTCCAGAGTAGCTGGGACTACAGGTACGCATCACCACAACCAGCTATTTTTTTTGTATTTTTAGTAGAGACAGGGTTTCACCATGTTGGCCAGGCTGGTCTCAGACTCCTGACCTCAAGTGATCCACATGCCTCGGCCTCTCAAAGTGCTGGGATTACAGGCATAAGCCACCGTGCCCAGCCTCTTTTTGCACTTTTTAGTGAGGCTACTGCAAAATTTACAATTATACAGATGGCTTGCATTATATTTTTCCTGGATGGTGCTGCTCCAGGCAGCTCCCACTGAGGCAGCTCAGGTTGGAAGTCCTTGGCTAACTCCCTTAGTGTCTCAGAAGGGAAGGGGTCTTTCCTAGCCTTTGAGTTTCAATAGTTTGGGCCTGTGGGGAAAGGGAAGCACTCTAGCAAAAGCAGTAGATCCAAGAAGGGTCCACGAGATTTCCAAGCCACCTTCCCACCCTACCTCCCAGATCAGGTAAGGAGTCCTCAGGGTGGAGGGAGCGGGGAGAGCTCAGGTTCTGGGGAGTCCCTGAGAACATCAGGGGAAGGATATCGGGCACAGCACAGAATCTTACTGAGCACTGGGCATGTGTGCCTGGCACTGTTCTAGGCCCTGGGCTTTCAATGGTGAGACGCAGACAGAGTCCATTTCCCCAGGGTGTGTAAGACAGAGCATAAACCTGTGAACAAATGATATTTTAAAATTTCAGGCACTGCCAAGTGCAACAAGGACTCACTGATGTGTTTGTGGGACTGGACAGCACCACGTAGAGCTTGGGTCCCATTCTGCTGCCCTCCCTAAGTAAAACAGCCCAGGGTGGAGGTGGCTGTGTGATGGGTCCAGGTGTTACCGGTGGAGGGTGTCCAGGTTCTTGGTGTCTTGAACAAAGATTTGGACAAAACACACAAACAAAGCAAGGAAAGAATGAAGTAACAAAAGCAGAGATTTATTGAAAATGAAAGTACATTCCACAGCATGGGAGCAGGCCAAGCGTAGGAGCTTAAGGGCCCTGTTAGAGAATTTTTGGGAGTTTAAGGGCTGGGCGTGGTGGCTCACACCTGTAATCCCAGCACTTTGGGAGGCTGAGGCGGGCAGATCACGAGGTCAGGAGATCGAGACCATCCTGGCTAACACGGTGAAACCCCGTCTCTACTAAAAATACAAAAACAAAATTAGCCAGGCGTGGTGACGGGCACCTGTAGTCCCGGCTACTTGGGAGGCTGAGGTGGGAGAATGGCATGAACCTGGGAGGTGGAGCTTGCAGTGAGCCGAGATTGTGCCACTGCACTCCAGCCTGGGTGACAGAGCGAGACTCCGTCTCAAAAAAAAAAAAAAAAAAAAAGAGAGAATTTTTGGGAGTTTAAATACCCTCTAGAGGTTTCCATTGGTTACTTGGTATATTCCCTATGTAAATGAAGAGGATGAAGTAAAGTTACAAAGTCATTTACTCGGTGTACGCCCTATGAAGGGGATATTTCCTGGCATAGCTGAAGTGTGAATTGGCCTTATGTTCCCTGCCCCCACACCCTACTTTCCTGCCTCACAGGCACACGGCAAAGGCAGTGCCCCAGGTCTACCTGGGTCAGCCATAGAGCAGGCAACAGAGGACCTGAGGCTGCCTAGAGAGCTGGGCCCATAGAGGCCACGTGGTCAGAGCTGGTGTTAAGAAGCAGGTGGTGAGAACTGGGGCCCCTGGAGCGACGGGGCACCCTGTGTCTAAGCTGGGGCTATGGCTCAGCTTCAGCAGATTCTTGCCGTAAAGAAACATGAGCCCGGTACTAGCAGATCTAATTTTTCAGGAGAAATAAGAAATCTGGATTTCATGTGAACTATTCCAACTTTTAAACTTTTGCATGAAAAAAGTTCCCCTGTGTAGGCCAAAGGAAAGTTATCTGCAAGCCAGATGTGGCCTCCAACTACAATATGGAACTTGGTCTTGTTGGAACTCAGAAAAAAAATACCCCAAAGTAAGGGGCTTTGGCATGCTGAGAGCTTTGAACTGAAGGAAATTGGAAGTCCTCAGAAGCAGCCTCAGGTGCAAGTTCTCTCTGACCTTCTCCTGCCCTCTGTCTCTTGTCCCTCTTTTTCCCCTGAAGCAAGTCATAGAAACCAGAATTCCTCTTCCCCAAGGTGGGCAATAGAAACTAGAACCCTTCTCCCCTACAGCAAGCAGTAACGTCTAGAAAGGCCACACTCTCCCTTTTCCCTTGAAGACCCTCATTCCAAGAGGGGTCCTGCCCCACACCCGGGAAGAAGAAATGCTACACAGAGCCCAAGAAGAATCTGAGCAGATGGTCCCCCCTCAGTCCATTACCATTAGATCACACCCTTTTGCCCATCACATTTCTGCACTGCTGTCCCTGCTTTGTTGAACCTAAGCATAAAAATGGACCATTTTTCCTTTGGGTCTTTGGGTCTGAATAGTCCTGTGTCACATAAAACTTTGATTAAGCAAATCTGTTACGTTTTTCCCTTGTTAACCTGTCTGTTATAGAAATGTCGGCTGTGACCCTTATGATGCGCGAGGAAAGGGATCACACCTTTCCGCCCCTACAGTAGAAACTGAGGCAGTACCCTGGGGTGACTTGTTTCCTCCACTCACCACCCTCCAGCCACCGGAAGCGTCCTTCTGCTCCTTGACCATCACCTCTGGGGACTTTGTGCACAGCTCCAGTTTGTACCCTCCCCTCTACCTTCCCCCATGCCCTCACCCTTTTGCTGGGTGACTCCTATTTCCCCTTAAGGGCTTAGCAGAGCATTCGTTTTCAAACATTCCTTGCTGCAGCCCAGAATAAGGAATGCATTTAATATCAAGTCCCAGAACATAAATACAACAGAGCTATTTGTTACGTAGTGGAGGATGGGGCTTTCAGAATGGAAGGTGAGCAAAAATGAGTCTAGGTAAGACTGAAAATGCAATAACATTGTCTCAACATTAATTCAGCTACTATTTATTGAGTATTTACAGTCTACGTGGTGACGGGGACACAGGGATGAGCAACTGTACAATTATGCTTTAAATATTCCTATTTATTGAGTTCCTACTACTTATAAGGTATTTTAACTGTTTACTGACTTCAGGGATCACTGCAAGCTAACAGTCTAGTGGAGATGTAAGAAAGTATTTACAATAATCGCTAAAACAACGGTCTTTGGTCGGCCATGGTGGCTCATGACTACAATCCCAGCAGTTTGGGAGGCTGAGGCAGGAGGATCACTTGAGTCTGGGAGTTTGAGACCAGTCTGGGCAACATAGTGAGACCCCGTCTCTACAGAAAATGAATAAAAATAGCCAGGCATGGTGGCATGGACCTGTAGCCCCAGCTACTCTGGAGGCTGAGGCAAGAGGATCACTTGAGCTGGGAGGTTGAGGCTGCAGTGAGCCAAGGAAATGCCACTGCACTCCAGCCTGGATAACAGAGCAAGACTCTGTCTCAAAACAACAACAAAACAAAACAAAACAATAGTCTTTGACTTCTAGTGTATTAATAAAATCCATAGACTATTCATGATGGTGAGTGAGGTGTTGGATAATTTCTTTTGATGATCATCACCCAGTTTCAGGTTTTAGCCCACCAAGCCATCAGGTGTATCCATTTTCAAACCTATAACCTTCTACTTAGTGTGGTTGACCTGTCTATTGTAATAGAGTTTTGCTATCCACTCACTGTTTCTCTGAGAATACTGATCCCATTTGCCTGCTTTGTAGATTATTTTACAAACACATATGGTAAAATTTCTGTCTTACACATAATGTAGCTAAGCTAACTCTCAGGACTCACCTTGCCTTTCTTTTTTTTTTTTTTTGAGACGAAGTTTCACTCTTATTGCCCAGGCTGGAGTGCAATGGCGTGATCTCTGCTCACTGCAACCTCCGCCTCCCGGGTTCAAGCCATTCTCCTGCCTCAACCTCCTGAGTAGCTGGGCTTACAGGCATGCACCACCATGCCCGGCTAATTTTTTATTTTTAGTAGAAACAGGGTTTCTCCATGTTGGCCAGGCTGGTCTCGAACTCCTGACCTCAAGTGATCCGCCTGCTTCGGCCTCCCAAAGTGCTGGGATTATAGGCATGAGCCACTGCGCCCGGCCTCATCTGGCCTTTCTAATTCACCAGACCTTGTGCCATAGCTGCTAATTAAACTTTCTAAAAGTGGCTGTTACTAGTCATTGTAACCCTTATCATTCATTTTTTAAAAATCCATTTGTTTCATTAATTTGTAAATGTATTTCATTTATTTACGTTTTTCAACTTGTGTCTCTGAATGTAATTTCTCCTTGGAGGTTTTTCTACTGTGTCAACCCAGGGAGTCTATCCTTTAAGCTTTAACCAACATTTAGGTTTTCTTGCCATAATTAAAGTTAAAAATGTGTTGTTTAATCTGCCTTGCAGAAAAGTAGGAGCCCTGCTGGAATTCCTAAAAATGTTTTGTAATAATCTAGTTAGCGCGATATTAGACTTTTTTCTTGTGTTTATAATTTAGATTTTCTCCCCTTAGCTTTATTTCATTATGTCTGATTAAATCTGTTATATGATGCAACTTAATTTCCCAGCCTTTGTGTTTTGAACCAACATATGCTTAACTACTGTACAATTATGATTCATCCCCCCAACTTACATTAAACTGCCCCACTCTCCAGTCCTCCTGCTCCAGAGCCAACTTGGGGCATTTATGAAGCTTTGGTCTCTCTCATATGGGAGTAACAGGCCTTTAGGGCTTCCTCGGTAGGAAGTGGGGCATGTTCCATACCCACACACATACAGTGGGCACGTCCCCAAACATAGGAGGGGGTTAAGATGCTTGGCTCCTGTTCCCCTACCTGCCAAAGTATGACTATCCCTTACAGTTAGGCAAGCTCGCCAGAGATATACTGTACCTTTACAGTAGGAGACTGAGGGGCAGCCGTGTGATCTGTGGTCTTTCTTTTTCTTTTTTCTTTTTTTTTTTTTTTTTGAGACGGAGTCTCGCTCTGTTGCCCAGGGTGGAGTGCAGTGGTGCAATCTCAGCTCACTACAACCTCCACCTCCCGGGCTTAAGTGATACTCCTGCCTCAGCCTCCTGAGTAGCTGGGATTACAGGCACCTGCCACCACGCCCAGCTAATTTTTGTATTTTTAGTAGAGATGAGGTTTCACCATGTTGGCCAGGCTGGTCTCGAACTCCTGACCTCAGATGATCCACCCACCTCAGCCTCCCAAAAGGTTGGGATTACAGGCATGAGCCACTGTGCCCAGCCAATCTGTGGTCTTTCTTTCCCACTCCCAGCTTCTATGTCTGTGGAAATAGGAAATGTATTAGTGGAGCGTTTACCCAGTTGTTTGAAGGGAAAGACCTGTTCAAAGGCTCCTGGGAGGAACTTAGTCATGTGGCCACACAGCTGCAAGGGAGCCTGGGAAATGTGGTCTTTGCTTGAGCAAAGACCTGCTATCATGGAAAAAAGGGGAGAATGGATAGAGGCACAACTAGAAGTGGGCCAGAGGTATCAAGAAGCACTCCCAAGCAGAACCACAAACCTGCAGTCCAGAGCTCAGGAGGCCAACGTGATAGCTGGGAGTCAGTCAAGTTCTCAGCACACCTGCTGTCACCACTGGTGACATCTTAAAGGCACTGTGTGGCTTCTGAGGCTGCTGGAGGGAGTATTATTTTCAGGAGTCCACAAGGACCAACAAATGTGTTTCCCACTGAGATTTTTTTGAGGATTTGAATTCCTTAGCATATCTTAGGCTTTCTGGCGAACTAGGTGGATTTTAGCTGGCCTCCCTCTGCCCATGGTGACCTTATTTCCAGAACAACAAAGAAGGGCATGCATGCTGACAGGTGGCTTGACTGTAGATCTGGATACCTAAACATTTCTGGAAATTTCAGCAAGTGTGGTCATCCTGCTGTTGCTTGTATAGTATAATTATGTCCTGCTCCTGTAATAGTCACTGAAGGGGGCCTTTGGGATGCCTCTACTTTCCCAATAGAGCTGTTCTTCACAGAGCTCCACACCCGTTCTTGGCAAGCCACTCTTGTGCAAAAACACAATGGCATGAAATTGTGGGGGGAAAAAAAACAGTCCGGGTGCAGTGGCTCATGCCTGTAATCCCAAAACTTTGGGAAGCTGAGGCGGGCAGATCATGAGGTCAGGAGTTCGAGATCAGCCTGGCCAACATGGGAAAACTCTGTCTCTACTAAAAATACAAAACTTAGCTGGGCATGGTGGTGTGCGCATGTAATGCCAGTTACACAGGAGGCTGAGGCAGGATAATTGCTTGAGCCCGAGAGGTGGAGGTTGCAGTGAGCCGAAATCATGCCACTGCACTCCAGCCTGGGTGACAGAGAAAGACACTGTCCAAAGAAAAAAAAAACAAAAACCAAAACAATAGTTATATAAAATAGATTGATTTCCAATTAAGAGAAAAGGAAAGAGTTGCAGCCATATCTCCACAATAGTCATTAAACAACACTGTCTGGAGCAGGATAAAGTTAGAAACATTCAGCAATAGAGAACAGAAAGGACACCCAGATAATTCACAGAAGATAAATTCTTATCACTGGAGTGGCCAAGATATAATTTTCATGATGGTAAAAATATTAATCAAATCTTATTGTTTTTCAGCAAAGAAATCCAGATTCCTTACCCTGGCATTCAGGACTTTCAAAATTAAGGTCTTAATCTCATTTATGAGCATAGATGCAAAAACACCAAGTGAAATATTATTTAAATGGTGCATTATTACCAAGTAGGGCTAATTTTAGGGATGCAAAAGTGGTTCAACACTAGGAAATCTATTAATGTAATTCAATACATTAATTAATAGTTTAAAGGAGAAAAACCATTTGAGTATCTCAGTAGATGGTGAACAAGCTTTTGATTAAATTCAACGCCATTGCTATTAAAGACTCTTACTAGATGAAAAATATGGAAATAGCTACTGGAAACACACAGCAAACATCACACTGAATGGAGTAAAAGTAATATTCTCACAAAGACACGAAGAAGATGGTGATGCCTCCTACCATCGCTACTATTCAGTGGAGTCTGCTAAAAGTCTCAGTGAACCAATAAAATACGTACAAGAAAAGCAGTATAAAGATTGGAAGGGGCAGAGCACAGTGGCTCATGCCTGTAATCCCAGTACTTTGGGAGGCCCAGGCGGGCAGATCACCTGAGGTCAGGAGTTCGAGACCAGCCTGACCAATATGGCAAAACGCTGTCTCTACCAAAAAATATAAAAGTTAGCCAGGTGTAGTGGCGGGCACCTGTAATCCCAGTAACTAGGGAGGCTGAGGCAGAAGAATTGCTTGAACCATGGAGGTGGAGGTTGCAGTGAGCTGAGATAGTGCCGTTACATTCCAGCCTGAGCCACAGAGTGAGACCCTGTCTCAAAAAAAAAAAAAAAAAAAAAAAAAAGATGGGAAGGAAGTGATCAACTGCCACTATTTGTAAACCATATCATTATCCAGATAGAAAATGCATGATAATAAAATGAGAAATTATCAGATTAATAAGAAAGATACAAAATCAATACATCAGAATACTACAAAAAATACAAAATACTTACGCATAAGTACCATCAGAAATATGGGAGATCTATAATTATAAAAGATCTAAAATTATCAAAGTTTATTGAAGAACATAAAAGAAGACCAAAAGAAGGTGAAAGATATTCTAGCTGCTGAATGAGAAAACTTGTTACTGTCTAGATGTCAGTTTTTAAAAAATTAATCTATAAATTTAATTCACTCCTAATCAAAATTTTAACTGGATTTTTTGGTAGCTCTTGATACACTGATTTTGAAGTTCATGTGTGTGGATTATTTCTGAAAGGGCAGATAAACTGGTAAAGCCTATTGAGGGGGAATTGAATGATAGAATTTAGGGGAGGGAGACTTAGTCATTGTCTACCTTATTGTGTCTTTTGTATTTGGGTAATATGTGCATGTTTCCCCTAGACAACAAACTAAATAAAATTAAAATATAGGGCTTATTCAGGGAAAATCTATTTAAGAAAAACAAGATGTTTTTGGGAAAAAAGGTATCACGTTATCAAATAGGAAAACATAATCAAGCCATAATTCAAGGTTTTGTTACTGGGGCAGAGATAATTGAACACACCAGTGGGACAGAATAGAGAGTTAAAAACAGTCATGTAGGGCTGGGCATGGTGGGTCATGCCCGTAATCCCAGCACTTTAGGAGGTTGAGACAGGAGAATTGCTTGAGCCCAGGAGTTTGATACTAGCCTGGGCAACATAGTGAGACACTGTCTCTACAAAAAATACACACACACACGCACACACACACACACACACAAATTAGCCCGGTGCGGTGGCACATGCCTGTAGTCCCAGCTACTCAGGAGGCTGAAGTGGGAGGATCACTTGAGCCCAGGAAGTGGAGGCTGCAGTGAGCCGTAATTGCTCACTGGACTCCGGCCTGGGTGACAGAGTGATACTCTGTCTCAAAACAACAGCCAAAACATGCAAAAAAAGCCAACAACAAAAACAGTTATGTATATATGGCAATGTATGATAAAGGCAGCATTTAAAATCAACGGGTAAAATAATGGACTATTAAATAGATATTGAGCCTCTCAGTTCCTTCTCTGTATAGTGGTTATAGTGACTTCATAGGATTCTTGGAAGGGTTATGGAATATGATTCAGCCTTAAAAAAGAAGGAAATTCTGACACATGTTCCAACATGGATGAACCTTGAGGACACTATGCTGAGTGAAATAAACCAGTCATGGAAGGACAAACAGTGTATGATTCTACTTATAACTTATATGAGGTACCTTGAGCAATCAAAATCTTTTTTTATTTGAGACAGAGTCTCGCTCTTGTTGTCCAGGCTAGAGTGCAATGGCACGATCTCAGCTCACTGCAACCTCCGCCTCCTGGGTTCGAGTGATTCTCCTGCCTCAGCCTCCTAAGTAGCTGGGATTACAGGTGTCTGCCACCATGTCTGGCCAATTTTTGTATTTTTAGTAGAGATGGGGTTCACCATGTTGGTCAGGCTGGTCTCGAACTCCTGACCTTATGATCTGCCTGCCTCGGCCTCCTAAAGTGCTGGGATTACAGGCATGAGCCACTGCACCTAGCCGAGTAGTCAAAATCTTAGAGAGTAGAGTGGTTGTTGCCAGGGGCTAAGGGGAGGGGGAAATGGGGAATGAGTGTTTAGTGGGTACAAAGTTTCAGCTTGGGGAGATGAAGAAGTTCTGGAGATGGATGGTGGTGATGGTTGCATGATAATGTGAATGTACTTAATGCCATAGAACAATGCACTTCCAAATTGTTAAAATGGTAAGTTTTATGTTATATTACTACAATTTAAAAAACAAAACATAATAACCATTAAAAAAGAAAAACAAGACAAAACAAACAAAAAACCACACCAAACCACCGTGTGATATGTATTATTGATAATTCCAACTGTTGGAGGATTACAACAAACTCAGAATGTTTAATGTGGCCTTTCATTTAGATTTATTTATTTATTTATTTACTTGAGACGGGGTCTTGTTCTGTCACTCAGGCTGGAGTGCAGTTGCAAAACCACGGATTCCTGATCTCAAGCGATCCTCCCACCTCAGCCTCCTGAGTAACTGGGATTATAGGCATGTGCCACCATGTCCAGTTACTTTTTAAATTTTTAGTAGATGAGGTATCACTATGTTGCCCAGGCTGGTCTGGAACTCCTGGGCTCAAGTGATCCTCCCACCTTGGCCTCCCAAAGTGCTGGGAATACAGGCATGAGCCACCTTGCCCAGCCAGTTTTTTTAAAAAAAATTGTCAGTCCTTCAAAATAATTATAAACAGGGCATAAATGGCAAATGACCAGGCTTAACAGGAGAACGTAAGTTTAATGACAGGATCTAGTGCAATACTATACATGGTAAGACTTTACTGTTTTTACGTAAAGACTTTCCCAGAAAGTCTTCCAAATCTCTTTTTTAAAGGTGAGTTGGGGTGGGAAATGGGCTTCAGTGATTGTCACTTTGAGCAGCGCCTGGGCTGCCTCCATAAAGAAGCCAGGTGGCCAGGACTGGACAGACACAGGGGCTGATGTGGGTGTCGGTGGATGGGCAGCAGCCTGAGACCAGCCCCCCTCAGCAAGGCTGTGATGGATACATTAGCACGTGGGATAGGGTAGGGAGGAGAAAGAAGCAGGTGTTTCCATCGCTACCCTTTGTGTCACTTCGTGTTGGCACCTTTCCAGATTATTCAGTTTTTCCTCTAGACCCTGAGTTTCTTTGTCAGGGTCTTCGGGAAAGGATAAAGAGCAGAAAACAAGCATCTTCATGCCTGTCTTGACCTTTCTTCCTATGTAGGACTGAGTCCAACTCATGGCCCTGGATTCCTTCTTGATACTAAGCGTCCCTTTCCCACAGTCCACCTCTTGGCTGCTAAGCCTTCTCACCCCCAGCCAACCCACAGACAAGGGCCCCATCTGACACTAGCCCCACATCCAAGGCGTCCTTTCTGCCTCTCACTGGAGGAGAGTATGAGCTCCGCAAAGGCTCCCTGGCCACATGTCCCAGGGCGTAAGGAATTCTGTGGACTGGAGGATTTCCACTGTGCTTCGACGCTCTGTGAATCCGGGAGCTGCCAGCTATACTCGTTTACAGTGGGGTGAGGTGGCTAACAAAATGAGTTAAAAAATAATTGCTCTGGCATCTTTTCTCCCACCAAGTAACATTCTCAGCTCTCAGCAGGGAGTTGAAATGAACCCAAAGTAGGAAACTGATATTTTAATTTGAATTGAAACTGAACTCAAATAACAATATTGTTCTCTCTTTGAAGCTTGAACTAAATCTGACCTAGACAAAATCCAGAAAATTTCTTAACCTATTCCTCCTCTCCAAAAACAACCTGCAGTGACAGCCTCGATCCTTCTGAATTCTGAACCTGCTTCATGTTTTATTATATTTTTCCAACTGAGTAGAGTGATATGTTAAATAATTTTTTAAAATTTATTACCATGATAGAAGCATGATCTCTTAAGCAACATTATATCTTTGCTGTTGAAAGGAGTTGATAAACTTCAAAGGTTTTATTTAATTAGAAAAAATTTTAAAACTGGTGTGAAATTAATATGAGGTTTAATACTGTATTTTCATGTTTTTGTGTTTCTTTTTAAAGGGATAAACTCAAGCAGCTACATAAAAAATAATTTTAAAAAGCTTAGTGAACATTATAGCCCCAAATTTTTGTTGCTAGGTCTGTAAAGAATTTCCGTATGAGAGAGTATGGTGGTAGGAAATGTAGAATCCATGAGTGTCATCGTTTGAATGTGTCCTTCAAAGTTCATGTGCTGGAAACTTAATCGCCAATGCAACATTGTTGAGAGGTGGGACCTTTGAGTGGATTAATGTGTTGAGAGGTGAAAGAATTAATGCCATTATTGCAGAGTGGGTTAGTTATCATGGGAATGGGTTAGCTATCATGGGAATGGGTTTCTGATAAAAGTATGAGTTCAGCCCCCTCTCTCTCACTCTCTCTCCTCTCTTGCCCATCTTATTTCTGCAATGGGATGATATAGCATGAAGGCCCTCACCAGATGCCAGCGCTATGCTCTGGGACCTCCCATCCTCCAGAACTGTGAACCTAATAAACTTTTGTCGTTTATAAATCACCTCGTCTCTGGTATTCTGTTATCACTGCACAAACAGACTAAGGCATGAGCCAATAGCCATGCCTCCTTGAGACCTGGCATAGCATCTAGAATGCATCTGGAGCTCAGTACCTATTTGTTAAGTGAATTAATCAAGGAGGAGTTCCTCCTGGCTTCTATGTGAGGACATATTTGCCTTTGTGCATTGTAGACCTTTGGTCTTGATTTTAAATGTTTTCTCAGCGTAGCCCTTTTGGCTTCTAGGCTTGTCTGTGAGTCTCTCTCTCTCAGCACTGTAACCACCCTTTTCATTTCCTGTTAATATCTCTGTTATTCATTTTTTCTTTCTGACTTGTTAATTCATCACAAAAGTTTGTGTATGTGTGTGTGATTTTCTGAATGTTTGATCTCTAATATGATCTTATTTTTCTTAAATAACTTCATTAGAAGCCTCAACTTTATTTTCTTCTTATATGGAGTTGTATACTTTAAAAAGTATGCACAAGATTAAAGAGGAACTATGTGTAATCTAAGAAATTTATTTATTTTTTCCTTAGATATCTAAATATAGCCTAGCTGTTATGCTTTGGCTCAAATTTTGACTTGGTAAATTTGTTCTATTCATTTATTTATCTTTTTTATAATTAAAAAAATAGAGATGGGGTCTTGCTATGTTGGCCAGGGTAGTCTTGAACTCCTGGCCTCAAGCAATCCTCTTGCCTTGGCTTCCCAAAATCTGGGATCACAGGTATGAGCCACCATGCCTGGCCTATTCATTTCTTTCACATTTATCTATTTTCTATGGTTAGCACCAATGCCTTCCCTTGAGTATAGCAAAGGGGGGCATTTCCCCCAGATTGTACAGAGGAAACTCTAAACAGCAGTGAGTAGGAAAGAAGTAACTGCCCCCATATCCCGCCCCTGCCAATACCCTCAGCGTTCAAGTTACTCTTTTGGACATTGTCTCCCGTTTCTTTCCTCCTGTGCCACTTTCTCTATTTCTATTTCTAATATTTACAATCTCAGTTCTGATGACCAATGCTGCCATACAATTCATTTCAGCTTGAGCCTACTTGTACCCCTCTGGGGAAAGCCCAGGTTGGTAAATACTACGTGCAAACAACCCTTGCACAACATCCACATCTCCATCTATTTTCCACTGAGACACAAGCCCTGTCCTTTGCAGACTTCAAAGTGCCTGATCCCTGATCAAATGAGCACATGATCCGAACTAAGCAATGAGAATCTTGCCCTATAAAAATGAGATCTTGAGCCATGTGACACAAGGACCCCAAATGGCAAAACAGGTTCATCCCAAAAGGCAGGGCTGCCCATTAGTTCTTGCTCTCTGGATCTCTGGAGTCACCCCAGTTTCTGTCCTCACTAAGCCTTTTCCTGTGATTCTCTGGGCTACCCTGTAGCCTTTCAATACATTTCTTTTTGTCTTCAGTTACCCAGTGTTCATTTCTGTTGTTTGCAACCAAAGAGCTCCAAGTGATACCAGTGTTTGCAATTATTTGAGAACTTCCTCTGTTTCTTCATTGTTATGCTTTAATAAGAACAGCCACATAGATCAGTGTGGAATCTTAAGCCTTGACCACCAGATCGTTCATCATGTACATCTATTTTCACCAGCCCCCTTTCCAGATACCTCAATGCTACCTTTGCTTCTCTTGATTCTATTTTCTTTGGAAGATGTGGAACTATCCTGTTTATATTAAAGTCTGCTATTGGCTGGGTGCGGTGGCTCATGCCTGTAATCCCAACACTTTGGGAGACTGAGGTGGGCAGATCACCCGAGGTCAGGAGTTCAAGACCAGCCTGGCCAACATGGTGAAACCCCGTCTCTACTAAAAATACAAAAAATTAGCCAGGCATGGTGGCAGGCGCCTGTCATTTCACCTACTCTGGAGGCTGAAGCAGGAGAATTGCTTGAACCCAGGGGGTGGAGGTTGCCGTGAGCCGAGATTGCGTCATTGCACTTTAGCCTGGGCAACGAGAGTGAAACTCTGTCTCAAAAACAAAACAAAACAAAACAAAACAAAACAAAACAAAAAACAACCAAACCAAAACAAAACAAAACAAAGTCTACTATCACTTTGGGATGACAGGGTATACTTTACTGCCATTTAGTGAACAATTGAGCTTTATCACTATGTATTTACTTAAACAGAAACCAGCTAAACCAGAATGAAATCAGCTACCGGAATCCCTCCCACTTCACTTTCCACCTGGGCTCCCTCTGACAACAGGTAACCTTTGGGTGAAGTTGGCACAGAACTTTGAGAGACAGGACTCCCAACTGGATGACATTTTTAACATAAAGCAGCTATGGTAGCGTCGCCAAGAGCTTTCTCATCAGGGGGGCCGGCACTCTGCCTTGCTCTCTCCTTCATCCTTCCCCTTCCACCTTCCATTCTATTTCTGCCTCTTTGACCAGCTAAAGTGATTAGTTCTGGTGACTCTCATTCATCACCTACCATTGGCAGACTGGGGTTTCCCTCTAAGGGCAGTGGCTCTTGGGAATGGTCTCGGGGACTCCCCAGAGGTCTCAGGTCAGGTCAATACGGTCATTCCCTTGGCTCTTAGCTGGGCTAACTGATAGCCTTGGTGGCCTTTAGCAATGACAGAGGTGTTTTTGTTTGCATGATCAGACAGCATCCGCCTTGGCAATGCTGAAGCACCTCTGAGCAAACCACTCAGAATGGCCTGATGTGACCTTCCAGAGGGCAGATGCTAAGTCTGCCTTCTCTCTCCACCGTGGTTGATGGAATAAATTAATGGTTGATAGAATTATAGCAGAGTACACATAACTAACTTAATTTTAGCCCCTGACCAGCACAAGAACACAAGAGTCATCTAAGCAAAGTGGTGAGAAGGAAGGAATCCAGGGGCTCTCCAGAAGAGGAAGGGTTTTGTAGTGAGTGGCTAAGGAGTATAAACACTGGACTCTAGACATAGGGTCCGGCTCTACTACTTAGCTATTAATTTGGGCAAAATTACTTATGTTCTCTGAGCCTTATCTGTAAAGCAGAGATAGTATTAGCACCTATCTCATAGGGTTCTTGTGACAATTAAATGGGATGAAACCTAAAAAGTCCCCAGCATGAAGACTGGCATATAGTGCAATAAATATGAGCTACTGTTATCACTGGTAATAAAATCATCAGCAACTAGCCAAATGGGGGAACAGCCTATGTGCATTGGGACCTTTCTGGAGGCAAAGGCTGCAGGAGGCCTTTCCAGAGATTCAGAACTGGAGACCCCAGTGGGGCACCCTGCACATGGCAGCAGAGGCCAGCATAGGACAGAGCAGAACCAAGGAGAGCTTGCATTTCCCCACCAATGCCACGCTGTTGCCCAAATCCAGCAAGATTTGGAACTCATTCAAAGGGGAAGAACGAGGGAAGGGGGAATCTTGAAGTTATCTAAGTTTGTAGATGAGAAATGTTCGTACCTGCTACACCTGCAAAAGTTTGTCCTGGCACAGCTGAGACAGATGCAGAACTATGTGGCATGTAGGGTGAAGCTACCCATCTCCCCATCCCTGCTGCCCTTCTACCACCATCCTTGCCATTACCCTTCTCTCCTTGAGGAAAGAATGCAAGTCTGGTCAGAAGAATGGCGAGGCACTGCTGGAAAGGTTGGCATTCAGATCCTGGACTAAGTCTCTGGACTTCCTCCTGCTGGGGCTGGAGCTGGAGCCCGGCATGGTGGTGCCAGTGTGATGGCCGGCTGCCTGCTGAGCACAGGGAGCTTGATGAGCAGAGACGCAGAATGGTCCTTGAGCTTGATCCCAGAGAGGCAAGTGGTGTAGGAATGGAAAGGAAGAGCTGGATTCTACAGAAATTCCTGAGAAGTATTGTCAGGGATTCACAGAAGTGGGGGAAAGTTAGAGAGCACTGGGATCTGGGCCTGGATGGCTCAGAGAATCATGATGCCAGAAATTCAGATATCAGGGCCAGGCGTGGTGGCTCACCCCTGCAATCTCAGCACTTTGGAAGGCCGAGGTGGGCAGATCACCTGAGGTCAGGAGTTCGAGACGAGCCTGGCCAAAGTGGCAAAACCCCGTCTCTACTAAAAGCACAAAAGTTAGCTGGGCGTAGCGGCGGGTGCCTGTAATCCCAGCTACTCAGGAGGCTGACGCAGGAGAATTGCTTGAACCAGGGAGGCGGAGGTTGTGGTGAGCTGAGATGGCGCCATTGCACTCCAGCCTGGGCAACAAGAGAAAAACTCCGTCTCAAAAAAAAAAAAAAAAAAAAAAAAAAAAATTAAAATAAAAAAATTAAAAATAAAGTGGCAGATGGCAGAGATGAGCTCATTGAAAAAGGAATGTTCTAAAGTTTTACACTTTCTATGTACAGGAACTCAACTTTCTCAGGGGTAGACAGACGGGTGAAATTTTTCCGCAAAGGTGTTCTGGGTTACAACACAGACCTTTTTAGCCAGAAATTGCTAGAAAGGCAAACACGTTTTGATTAACTCTAGATTGAACATGGCTGTGAGGAAAGGAAGTCAGAGCTCTATTTTTAAGGTAGTTTGATGCAAGGTGAGCTCCGCTTCCCTTGCCACGGTGCAGATTACGTGGTCACGACACACTTCCACCACCTGGTGGCCAAACACTTAAATTGCAAGGCCTGCTCTTTAAGAAGTCCTCAACAATAGGGAGGACCTAATAGCATCTTCTTCTCCTGGCTCTGCAAAAACTTTTGAAACAGCCCTCAGAAGAAAGAAGCTGGAGCTCTGCTCGCTTCTCCAAAGACGGAGTTTGGTTTTGCTCCCCTGGTATAATCAGAAAAGCCAAGGAAGACTTTGAAGTAAACACAGTCCTTCCTCTGAAGTGCCAAGAACCCTAAAATTCTTGCAGTAGTAATTAATTCTATTTCCTTTCTGAGTGTTCTCTTTGAAAATATAGACACCCATTGTGAAGGGTGAGCTGTTAAATCATTAACACTTTAGTGTGAATAACTGTCTCAGACACTTTCCTTAGGTGGGGCTCATAGCTCCTAGAGGGTCTTAGAGGGGGGTTAAGGAAAGACCCAAAGGGAGGAAGAGAGGGCATCTGATATGGTCCTTCTATTATCCTGGGACCAAGAGGGCCAGGAGGAACCCCTGGTGAGAGCCTTGCCCTGGCTGCATGTGGTAACCTGCTTCACCCCAGCCTGCAAAAGCATTGACAAAACCCTGATGACAAGTTAACCAGAGAAAGCAGTGTGTGCTGTGTCTGGGAGGACATGGGAAATGCTAAGAAAGACCGATAATGACAGTGTCCCAAAGAGGAAGCTGGGTCCTCTAGCTGGTGGACACTGTTTTTGTTGTTGTGTGTTTTGTTGTTGTTGTTTTTTTTTTGAGTGTCACTCTTGTTGCCCAGGCTGGAGGGCAGTGGTACGATCTCAGCTCACTGCAACTTCCACCTCCCAGGCTCAGGCGATCCTCCCACCTCAGCCTCCCGAGTAGCTGGGACTACAGGTGCATGCCACCACACCCGGCTAATTTTTGTATTTTTAGTAGAGATGGGGTTTCACCATTGTTGGCCAGGCTGATCTCGAACTCCTGACCTCAGGTGATCTGCCCGCCTTGGCTTTCCAAAGTGCTGGGATTACAGGTGTGAGCCACTGCACCTGGACTGTTGTTTCTTTAAAACAGTGTATAAGGTTTATGGGCCCCATCCTCCCCACAGATAAAAATGGTTTAGTCCTCAATGTTTAAAATTGGGAGATTTCACATAAAAACCTGGATTTCTGGCTTTTCCTGTAAAAAGAATAAGGATGAGGATAATGATGATGAGACCAGCATTTTCACATGCTCTTCTAAAGCCGACAGGGAGCTGCTCTGCTGGGAGGGGATGTGCACCTTCCGGTTCTCCACAGTCCCCAGAAGTCCCACTTGCTGCACTTATGTTCCTGGCCTGGCTCCTGAAACCATCTGTGGTTGTGACTCTGCTTTCAAATACTACTAATAATTAAAATGATGATAAAAGTAATGAAAATACCAGTAATGCTATCAGTCATTTTGTCAGAGGCATTTGAACCAGAGCAACTCCATCATTAACAGGGGCTGGGTAAAATAAGACCCACTGGGCTGCATTCCCAGGAGGTTAGGCATTCTAAGTCACAGGATGAGATAGGAGGTCGGCACAAGGTACAGGTCACAAAGACCTTGACGATAAAACAGGTGACGGTAAAGCAGCTGGCCAAAACCCACCAAAACCAAGATGGCCACAAAAGTGACCTCTGGTCATCTTCACTGCTCATTACATGGTAATTATAATGCATTATCATGCTGAAAGACACTCCCACCAGCTCATGGCAGTTTACAAATGCCATGGCAATGTCAGGGGGTTACCCTATATGGTCGAAAAGGGGTAGGAATCCTCAGTTCCTGGAATTGCCCACCCCTTTCCCAGAAAATTAATGAATAATCCACCCCTTGTTTAGCATATAATCAAGAAATAACCATAAAAATGGGCAACCAGCGGCCCTCAGGGCCTTTTGCCTATGGAGTAGCCATTCTTTTGTTTCTTTACTTCTCCAATAAATTTGCTTTCACTTTATTCAATGAATTCGCCTCAAATTCTTTCTTTTGCGAGGTCCAAGAACCCTCTCTTGGGGCCTGCATCAGGACCCGTTTCTGGTAACAATTTAATGCTACTTCAAGCCAGACATTGTGCTAGTAATATTACTAACAAATTAACTCTGATTCTCAAAAAACAATGGTGTTTATATTTTCATATTAGCAAGATGAAAACCAAAGGACAAGGGAATTTCGTAGTCACATGCTCCTTTTTGTACTGGTATTAGAATATTGCCACTGTAGATTTTTCTTGGGTGTTTATTATATATTTTGTATTTATTCTCATTTCAATAGAGACACAGCTAAAAATGAATAGCACTACATTTATTTTCAACACAGGCAACAATCTGGCTCGGTTTGTAGCACCAAAATTGCACCCAAGACTGTCCTGCTTGTCCTCACCTCTGTGCAATTCATGATTCTGAGCAACACCACTCCAATCTCCCCTGTTCTACCCATGAGGTAATTGGCTTTCTGTTTAGCTACATGAGACTTCTTTTCTAGACAAATACTTATGGCTCCCTATTGTTTTGCTAATTAATTAAGACCTATGTTGTATTTCAAATGACCAAGTGCATTTTTGTCAACTGGAAAAAAACAAACAAACAAACAAGAAGGTGTTTTGATTCTTGCCCAGTTATTAACAATTCAAGTAAGTCCACATACGCTGCTGCTTCTCTGACTATGAGGAGTGAGCCCTAGGGAGGCATACAGGAAGCCTCCAAGGGTGACTAATGGGCTTTCTTTTGGATACAGAAATAATGCTACTGCTTTCAATTATTTGGAGTTCTTACCTCCCTCCCCAGTAGAGATAGATTTCCATGGTCCTACTATACTGTCCCTTCTGGTACCCTAGATCGGGGTGCCCAATCCCCTGGCCAAGGACCGGTACTGTCTGTGGCCTGTTAGGAAGCAGGCCACACAGCAGAAGGTGAGCAGCGGGCAAGCCAGCCTGACCACCTGAGCTCCACCTCCTGTCAGCTCAGCAGCAGCATTAGATTCTCATAGGAGTGTGAACCCTACTGTGAACTGCACATGTGAGGGATCTAGGTTGCGTGTTCCTTATGAGACTCTAACTAATGCTTGATGATCTGAGGTGGACAGTTTCACCCCAGAAACATCTGCCCCATCCCCCCACTCCTCCACCACCCACTGGTGGAAAAATTGTCTTCCACAAAACCGGTCCCTGGTGCCAAAAAGGTTGGGGACTGCAGCTCTAGGTAACCAAAGGCATGCATTTCCTCCATCCCTATCCTTTCTTTCAAGGAAGAAAGAAATGTGGGAGACAATGGGCCTATTTTCTCATCCCATTAAATTAGTTTGGCAGAAATTAGTTTGATCATATATTGTGTGTTTAATTTAAAAAAATCCCAGTGACACATCTTTTAATGCCCCTGTTGGTGAAGAAAGCAAAATTCTGTACAATATTTGAAGAAGTTTGTTCTGAGCCAAATGTGAGGCCCATGACCCATGACACAGCCTCAGGAGGTCCTGAGAACATGCGTCCAAGGTGGTTGGGTTACAGCTTGGTTTTATACATTTTAAGGAAACAGAAGTTACAGGCAAAGACATAAATCAACACATGTGAGGTATACATTGGTTCAGCCCAGAAAGGCAGGACATCTGGAAGCAGGGGATTTCCAGGTCATAGGTGGATTCAAAGATTTTCTGATTGGTGATTGGTTGAAAGAGTTAAGCTTTGCCTGAAGAGCTGAGTCAGCATAAAGCAATGCTTGAGTCAAGATAAGGGGGATTGTGGAACCCCAGGTTTTTGTTATATAAAGTCTCTAAGTCAGCTTCAGAGAGAATAGATGGTATATGTCTCTTACTGGGCCTTGAAAGGTATCAGACTCTCCAAAATAGTCCTAGTAAGGGAAGGAGATTCTCTAGAGAATGCAAATTTTCCCCGCAAGAGATGGCTTTGCGGAGCTATTCCAAAATATGTCAAAGAAATATATTTGGGGGTAAAATACTTTGATTTCCTCTAGGGCCTGTTATCTCTCATGTGATGCTACACCAGCATCAGGTTGGAACTTGGTATCATGTTGCTACAGTCTGTTTTGTCAGTCTTATAATCTCTTTGTGAATGTTCATGCTGGTCAGTCATGTGCCTGAACTCCAAAGGGAGGAGGGTGTAGCAAAGGACATCTGACCTCCCTTCCCATCATGGCCTTAACTAGTTTTTTGAGGGTTTGTTTTGGGGTTTGTTTGTTTGTCTGTTTGTTTGTTTGTTTTTTTGAGACAGAGTCTCACTCTGTCCCCCAGGCTGGAGTGCAGTGGTGCAATCTCAGCTCGCTGCAACCTCTGCCTCCTGAGCTGAAGCGATTCTCCCGCTTCAGCCTCCCGAATAGCTGGGACTACAGGTGTGAGGCACATGCTAAACTAATTTTTGTATTTTTAGTAGAGACGGGGTTTCATCATGTTGGCCAGGCTGGTCTCGAACTCCTGACCTCAAGTGATCCACCCGCCTCAGCCTCCCAAAGTGCTGGGATTACAGGCGAGAGCCACCGCACCCGAGTTGTTTTTGTTGTTGTTGTTGTTGTTTTTTAATATATATTTTTTTACTAACAAAGTTCAGTCTCTGGAGAGACGGTCAAAAATTGCCAATGCTGACTATATTTCAACTCATCGTGGCAGGGTACTGAGAAGAGTTTTCCATTAGCAATAATCACACCTCAGGTAAACCTCATTGGCTGCCATTGCACAAAGTTTCCTCGGGTTTTCTTTGGGATCCTCTTGGCCAAGGGGGGAATCCATTCAGTGGTTGGGGGTGCTTAGAATTTTATTTTTGGTTTACTCCCACAAACTTTGTAACGTTCCTTCTTTCCTTCCCCTCTGTTTATTTATTTCAGTAATTTTCTTTTTTTCTCTCTCTCTCCTTTTCTTTTTTTAGACAGAGTCTCACTCTGTCATCCAGGCTGGAGTCCAGTGGCATGATCTCGGCTCACTGCAACCTCTGCCTCCCGGGTTCAAGTGATTTTCATGTCTCAGCCTCCCGAGTAGCTGGGATTACAAGCATGCGCCACCACGCCCAGCTACTTTTTTGTATTTTTTAGTAGGGATGGGGTTTTGGTATGTTGGCCAGGCTGATCTCGAACTCCTGGCCTCAAGTGATCCTCCTGCCTTGGCCTTCCAAAGTCCTAGTAATTCTCTTTTTATCAGTTTTAATTCTCATTGAAGTTATCTATAATCATAAGAGTCAAATCCAAGGCTTGTTACAAAAATTAGCAGATCTCTCTCACTCCATTTCCTGATCTCTAAACAGAACCACTTTCAAATCTCTAGATAATTTTATACTATATTCTATAAATTTTCAGTTTCAGGTGTATGTTGTCAACTTCTTGCGATGGAAAATAAGGCCTTTACTTTCACTCTCGCTCTCTCTCTCGCTCTCTTTATTGCTCTCTCTCTCTCACATACACACATTCACACTTTCTGACTTCCTGTCTTCCTGAAACAATTACATAAGCTTTGGTTAGACACATATTCAGTGTTGTATTGGTCAAGTCTAATCAGGAGTTAGAAACCACAGAGTAATTGGTACATAGAAAGTTTAATATAAAGAGTTATTCACTACAGTATAGGATTATCTATCAAGGGGGAAAGAGAACTGTAAAGAATGCCTAGAGGTGGGCAAGTGTGGGAGACCAGAGTACCCCTCCCCAAAGTACAAGGGATTATCAAGCTGAAGACACTTAAGAAGAAACAAACGCACCAGAGCGCTCTGCCCTCTGTTGGGGCTTGGAAAACAATGCCCTGCAGTACGGCACTTTGGCGGGTTGAGCACTTTGATCTCAAGGAGACTGGAAGGCTCCAGAAGCAAGTTCTCTCTGATCTTTTCTGTTCTATCTCTCCTGCCTCTTTTTTCCCCCAAAGCAAGTCATGGACACCAGAATTCCACTTCCCCAAGGCTGGTTATTAGAAACTGATCCCCTCTTCTCCAAAGCAAGCCTTAAAATGAGACATATCATTCTCATCTTCCCCATCTTTCTGTGTAGAAGCTGGCCATAAAGACATTCTCCGGCCTGCCTTGCCAAATAGTTGGTCATAAGACTCCCATTCCAGAGGGGTCCTGCGCTATCCCCCGAGCAAGGAATGCTGCACAGAGAAGCCAAGAAGAATCTGAACATACAGGCTTTGCCGGGTCTCCCCACTCAATCCATTATCATTGGATCATATTGTTGTTGTCCAGTCACATTTCTACATGCCTGCCCATTTTTTATTTGACTTAAGCATAAAAATAGACAATTTTCCCTGGGTCTTTAGGACTTTATTTCTGAAGTTTGCCGTGTCATGTAAAACTTTGATTAAATAAGTTGTGTTATGTTTTTCTCCTGTGAACCTGTCTTTGTTATAGGAGTTGTCGGCCATGACCCTTATGATGGGTGAGGAAAGGGATCACACCTTTTCTGCCCCTGCATTCTCCTCTATTTGCCTAAAAGAAGAATATAGATCTATAAAGAAAAAGGGCATCTGTATGAGTCAGGGTTCTCCAGGAGGACAGAACTAATAGGATATATGTGTATATAAAAGAGAGTTTACTAGGGAGGATTGGCTCACACAATTACAAGGCAAAGTCCTACAAGAGGCCGTTTGCAAGCTGGGGAGAAGGAAAAGCTGGTAGTGGCTCAGTCCAAGTCCGAAAGCCTCAGAACCAGGGAAGCCAACAGTGCAGCCTTCAGTCTGCGGTTGAAGGTCCGGGAGACCCTGGGAAGCTGCTGGTGCAAGTCCCAGAGTCCAAAGGCCAAAGAATCTGGCGTCTGATATCCAAGGGCAGGAGGAGCAGAGGCAAGCACCCAACGTGGGAAGAAGAAAGAGAGCCAGAGGACTCAGCAAGCAAAGTTACCCCACCTTCTTCACCTGCTTTGTTCTGGCTGTGCTGGCTGCCATTGGATGGTGTCCACCCACACTGAGGGTGAGTCTTCCTCTCCCAGTCCACTGACTCACATGTCAATCTCCCCAGCACCCTCACAGACACACCAGAAACGATACCAGCCACCTAGCATTCCCCAATCCAGTCAAGTTGGCACCTAATATTAACCGTCACAGTATCCTTCCTTGCTCTCTGAAGGTTACCAGTGGGCCAGATGTGGTGGCTCATGCCTGGAATCACAGCACTTTGGGAGGCTGAGGCTGGTGGATCACCTGAGGTCAGGAATTTGAGATCAGCCTGGTCAACTTGGTGAAACCCTGTTTCTACTAAAAATATACACACACACACAAATTAGCCCAGCATGGTGGCGGGCCCCTGCAGTCCCAGCCACTTGGGAGGCTGAGGCAGGAGAATTGCTTGAGCCCAGGAGGCAGAGGTTGTAGTGAGCCAAGATCGTGCCACTGCACTCCACTTGCACTCCAGCCTGGGTGACAGAGCGAGACTCCATCTCAAAAAAATAAAAATAAATAAATAAGGGGGCTGGGGGCAGTGGCTCACGCCTGTAATCCTAGCACGTTGGGAGGCCAAGGTGGGCAGATCACTTGAAGTCAGGAGTTCAAAACCAGCCTGGCCAATATAGTGAAATCTCGTCTCTACTAAAATCACAAAAATTAGCCGGGTGTGGTGGTGGACGCCTGTAATCCCAGCTACTTGGGAGGCTGAGGCAGGAGAATCACTTGAACCGGGAGGCGGAGTTTGCAGTGAGCCGAGATTGCACCACTGCACTCCAGCCTGGGCTACTGAGCGAGACTCCATCTCAAAAATAAATAAATAAATAAATAAATAAATAAAACAAATAAATAAAAATAAAGGTTACCACTGAAGAAAGCTTTAAACTGTCTCGGCCTGGAGATGAAGCCAGAGGAATGCATATGAACAAGCTTTACTAACCAGCCTTTATCTGCCAGTTCTTTGCCTTTCCTCAAGTTGCTGCCTGTAGAAACTCAAAATCCATTTCCTTTGTCCTGTCACTTCTCTAAAAGTGTACTGTTCTTTGTTAAAGATGCCAGCTAAGCTGGAATTCCAAGCCACCACTTTGAGAACTACTCATTCTCTGTGTATCTCCCATGTATTATGAAGTATATATGTGAATAAATTTGTTTGCTTTTCTTTTGTTAATTTGCCTTTTGTAACAGAAGTCTGTTTCTACTACAGACCTCTGGAGGTTCTTTTCCCCCATGCAAGGATACTCCCGGGAGGAACGTCCCTCCCTGAGGCTGAGATGGCACAGAAGTTTTCTGGGTTGCTCCAGGCCACTGGACAAGAAGAAAACACCACTCCGAGGTAGAGATGTGTAGAAAACCGTGGCCAGGATTGGCAAGCAGAAAACACCTCTCTGGAGGGCTGGCAGGCCAAGGCTGGGAAGCCAACTGAGGCACCCGCATGATTCACTGGGGATCATTCCTGGGAAGGCTGCGGGAACCCTGTGGGAAGTTATCCATCTGGTGCTGCTGGATCCTAATGGAGCTGTCACTGGATCTTTGGTTGCCGCATTGGGGGGTGTGGGGAGAGGATTGAAAAGCAGCAAAACCTGGATGGTGGAAGCAACCGCCTTCCTCCTTCAGCATCCCTCCAACGCCCTCTACTGACGATGCTTTTAACATCATGCCGGCTGCAAAGGAGAAATAGTCAAAGGACCCCGAATCTCACAGTGTGAATCTGGAGAGGCAGTAAATTGATAACTGGCATAAGTGTTTACCTTTTACGAATCGATTAATGTTATTGACAGCTGAGTCATGTAACATATTACGATTACTTCTCCTTCCCTACTTTTTTGTTTTTTCTCGGATTAATCATTGGTTTTGTTGTTTTTGTTTATTTAATTATCACCAATCCCCAAACTCTCCCTAGTTATGTAAATCTTCTCTCCCACAGGGGAACAATAGTCTCAGTCCTCATTCTGGCAACATTTGGGTACTGGACCATGAGGCAGGTGAGGGACACATGGCAGCGGAGACCATCGTCATTATTTGAGGAAGTTTATGCATCTTCAGCAGGATCCCCCACTGTGGTCTTGTGACCAATTCACAGAGGCCACTGGCTTGGGGTCTTTCTTCTACCCTCTCCTTTCATCTCCTTAAGGGTGTTCTTACACGTGTTCTGCTCACTCCTTCATCAACTCACTCCTCTCCTGGCTTCTCATATTACATTTATTTATTTATTTATTTATTTATTTATTTATTTATTTAGATGGAGTCTTGCTCTGTCACCCAGACTGGAGTGGAGTGGCGCGATTTTGGCTCACTGCAACCTCCGTCTCCCAGGTTCAAGCGATTCTTCTGCCTCAGCCTCCCCAGTAGCTGGGACTACAGGCGTGTGCCACCATGCCCAGCTGATTTGTGTGTGTGTGTGTGTGTGTGTGTGTGTGTGTGTGTATATATATATATATATATATATATATATATATATATATATAGAGAGAGAGAGAGAGAGAGAGAGAGAGAGAGAGAGAGAGAGAAACAGAGAGTATGTATGTGTGTGTATTTTCACCATGTTGGCCAGGCTGGTCTCGAACTCCCGACCTCAGGTGATCTGCCTGTCTCAGCCTCCCAAAGTGCTGGGATTACAAGTGTGAGCCACCGCACCTGAAGCATAAGTTTTTTAAAATTCAACTATCTAAATAGGTTTATTCCATAGGTAGAATATTTTTCCCCATTTGTTTTGAAGATCAAATAACTTTAGGATTCAAAATAATGTGAAAGTCTTAGTACACACTTGGATGAGTTGATCTTAAACTGCTATTCATGGAAAGCTTTTCAAGCCTGAAATATTAAGGAAACTCACTGTTTCCTTAAAAAAAAAAACAGCTGGCTTTAATTGTTGGTCTTTACTGAATGAATGGATTTTCCAGATAGACAAAAAATAGTTTTCTATAACTAGCACAGAAAGGGAAGAAATAAAGTGAATTGCAACAGGCCAGCATTCAGATGATGGCAAATCCAGGGCTCTAGTCTTTGGTTAGAGGCTTAAGTGCTTAGAACCTATTAGAAGTTGTATTTGAAGAATAAAATGGTAACCAAAATAGTTTAAGTGGGTAAAAAAGGAGTCAGACCTCATCTGAAATTGGATTTCAGAATGGTTAAATTTGGATGTAAAATAAAACAAATATACGAGAATTTAAGAAGTATATGTACATATTTATAAATCTTAGATGAGGGAAGTCTTACTAAGCTAAACATATTGAAGCCAAAAAGGCATCAAAAGATTGACATAGCCTGGGCAACGTGGCAAGACCCTGTCTACAAAAAAAAAAAATTAAAAAATTAGCTGGGCGTGGCAGCCTGTGTCTGTTGTCCCAGCTACTCAGGAGACTAAAGCAGGAGGATTGCTTGAGTCTGGGAGGTTGAGGTTGCAGTGAGCCATGATCTCACTACTACACTTCAGGCTGGGTGACAGAGTTAGACCCTGTTTCAGAGAATAAATGAATTAAAACAAAAGATTGACAGATTTGAGCACACGAACATCCAACATCTTCCATAAAACCCATTTATGGACTAAATGTTTATGTTCCCACAAAATTCACACGTTGAAGGCTTTACCCACAATGTGATGGTATTTGGAGTTGGGTCCTTTGGGAGGTAATTAGGGTTACATGAGGTCATGAGGGTGGGGCCCTCATAATAGGATTAGTGTCTTTATAAGCAGAGATACCAGAGGGCTCTTTCTCTCTCTCTCTGTCTCTCTGTCTCTCTCTCTCTCGCATGTGAGGACACAGTGAGAAGGCAGCTATCTTCAAGCCAGAAAGAGAGCCCTCACTAGAAACTAACAATACTTGCATGCTAATCTCAGATTTCCAGCCTCCAAGACTGTGAGAAAATAAATTTCTGTTGTGTGAGCCATCCAGTCTACAGTATTTTATTATGGCAGCTGGAACAGAGTAGTACATAGTAGGCTAAGGAAAGTTTAAAAACTAGAAGTATGGAAAAAAGTATTTGCAACTTATGTAATTGGCTATATGTTTACAACTCCAAAATATGTAAAAATTTAAAAACAAATCAGCTAGAAAAATACAAATATCCCAATAGAAAAATGAGCAAAGGACACAGAGAGATCATTTATGAAATAACTACAAATTAACAACAAACAAAAGAAAATGTGTTCTATATCATTACTGTGATGGCAGGAATAGCCCTTGAAAGATGCTCATATCCTAATCTCCAAAACTGTGAATATATTACCTTACATGGCAAAGGAACTTTGCAGGTGTGATTAAGTTAAGGATTTTGAGATGAGAGGATTACCTTAGATTGTCTGGGTCGGCCCAGTGTAATCACAAGGGTCCTTATAAGTGAAACAGAAAGTCAGGAGAGTCCAAGTCAAAGAAAGAGATGTGATGAAGGAAGCAGAGATTGGAGTGCTGTGCTCTGAAGACGGAGAAAGGGGCCACAAGCCAAGGAATGCTGGTAGCCTCTAGAAGCTGGAAAAGGCAGGGGAAATGAATTCTCCTCCAGAGCTTCTAGAAAGGAATACAGCTCTGCCACATGTTGACTTCAGCCCTGTAAGACTCATTTTGGACTTCTGACCTCCAGATCTATAAGATAATAAATTTGTGTTGTTTTAAGTCATTAACTTTGTGGTAGTTTGTACAGCAGCAATAGGATACTAATACAATCACTAGTCAAGGACATCTAAATTAAAGGAATGATATGCATGCTTTTAAATCAGTATAAATGAAAACTATTGGTGTGGCAGAATATAGGCACATATACTTTTGGTACATATAATTTAATAATGTAAATAAGCATGCCCTTTCTTGGCGAGCAACGGTATTTATCAACCTGTATCAGATCTTTAAATGGGCATCTTTTACCTAACAACTTTTTCTTTGACTACATTCTAAGCACCCAATTTCCAGTTGCATTTAGTAGTGAAACTCTTCCTTCACACAAAATTGAGCAGAGGGAAGTGCATCTACAATTGCCAAAGCAGTGTTAGGGGATGCAGCCCTGAAGCCTGGCAGAAGTCAGGCAGAAGAAGCCTGAAGCCACCTCACCCCTGCTGAAGTCCCTCAGGCATTTCCAGGGCTCCATGGAACACACTTGGAGAATCACTGTCTTGGGGGAATAACTGGACAAGCAAACAAAAACTCCATGCAAGGATGTTTATCACAACATTGTTTCCATTGCAAAAAAATTAGAAATCACCTATATGCCTCCCAAGGAAAGTGACTTGTTAGGAAAAAATGCTCAGTATCACTAATCATCAGGAAATACAAAACTACAATGGGATATCACCTCACCCCTTTTAAAATGGCTATTATCGAAAAGATGAAAGATCAAAACTGTTGGACTAGGATATGGAGAAAAGGGAACCCTTGTACACTATTGGTGGGAATGTAAATTGCCACTGTGGAATTGTCACTATGGAAAATAGTATGGAGTTTCCTCAAAAATTAAAAATAGAACTACCATATGATCCAGCAGTCCCACTACTGGGTATAGATCCAAAAGAAATAAAACGAGTATGTCAAAGACATATCTGCACTCCCATCTTTGTCGCAGCACTATTCACAATAACCAAGATACAGAATCAACTTAAGTATCCCTCCACAGATGAATGAAGAAACAAACACAGATATGCAGACACACACACACACACACACACACATACACACACACACACCCCACACAATGTAACACTAATCAGTTTTTAAAAAGAAGGACATTTCTTTTTTGACAACATGGATGAACCTGAAGGATGTGCTAAGTGAAAAAAAGCCAGGCACAGAAAAATAAATATCTCATGATCTCACCTACATGGTGGAATCTAAAAAAGTGGCACTCGTTGAAGCTGAGAGTGGAATGGTGGTTGCCAGGGGCTGTGGGGTGGGGAATGGGGAGGTGTTGGTGAAAGGGTCCAAAGTTTCGGTTAAGAGAAATAAGTTTAAGGGATCTATCGCATAATGTGATGACTACAGTTAATAATGTATACTTGAAAGTTGCTAAGAGATTTTTATGATCTCAAAACAAAAAATGGTAAGTATGTGAGGTGATGAATATGACAATTAGCTTAATTTAATAATTTCACAAAGTATATATATATATATATCAAAGCATCACATTGTACCAAAAATATATACAATTATTTATTTATTTTTATTTTATATTATTTTATTTATTTATTCTTTGAGATGAAGTCTCATTCTCTCCCCCAGGCTGGAATGCAGTGGTGTGATCTCAGCTCACTTGCAACCTCCACCTCCCAGATTCAAGCGATTCTCCTGCCTCAGCCTCCCAACTAGTTGGGATTAAAAGTGCCTGCCACCATGCCGGGCTAATTTTTATATTTTTAGTAGAGACAGGATTTCGCCATGTTGGCAAGCTGGTCTCGAACTCCTGACCTCAGGTGATCTGTTTGCCTCGGCCTCCCAAAGTGCTCGGATTACAGGTGCCAGCAACCGCACCTGGTCAATATATACAATTTTTATTTGTCAACTATATGTTAATAAAAAAGTTTAAAAAGTGACCTGTGGCCAGGCACGGTGGCTCATACCTATAATCCCAGCACTTCGGGAGGCTGAGGTGGGTGGATCACCTGAGGTCAGGAGTTTGAGACCAGCCTGCCCAACATGGTGAAACCCTGTCTCTACTAAAAATACAAAAATTAGCCAGGGGTGTTGGCAGATGCCTATAATCCCAGCTACTAGGGAGGTTGAGGCAGGAGAATTGCTTGAACCCGGGAGGTGGAGGTTGCAGTGAGCCAAGATTGCACCATTGCATTCCAGCCTGGGCAACAAGAGTGAAACTCCATCTAAAAAAAAATTAAGTGACTTGTTATGATTTATTCATAAAATAGAATACTATGCAGCCATTAAAAATGATGAAAAACATCTATATTGACATAGGAAGAGTTATGCAATTTATTGGGGGGGAAAATATGTTATAAAACATGTTGGCATGGTAGGATTCATTTCTGAAATATACATACAAATGTGTATAAATTATAAAGACATATAAAGAGATATGGATTGAAGCATTAATAGTAATCATCTCTAGGTGGTGGAATTAAGTTGAGCTTTACTTTTTTTTTTTTTTGAGACAAAGTCTCGCTCTGTCACCCAGGCTGGAGTGCAGTGGCACCATCTCAGCTCACTGCAACCTCTGCCTCTCTGGTTCAAGTGATTCTCCTGCCTCAGCCTCCTGAGTAGCTGGGACTACAGGTGCATGCCGCCACACCCGGCTAATTTTTTGTATTTTTAGTAGAGATGGGGTTTCACCGTGTTAGCCTGGATGGTCTCGATCTCTTGACCTCATGATCCACCTGCCTCGGCCTCCTAAAGTGCTGGGATTACAGGCGTGAGGCACCGTGCCCGGCCTTTACTTTCTACTTTACTTCTTCGTGTATTTTCTATATTTAAAAAAAAGTCTATATTGTATATTCAGAAAAAAAGCTGGTTATACCATGAATAATGAATGAACAAAAAAGGAATAAATGGCATGTGTGTGTGTGTGTGTGTGTGCACGTGTGCGCACACAAGTGCATGCATGTAAGAGAGGGAGAAAGAAAGAACAGAAAGGAAGTCAGAAATTTATCTTCATGAGCTTAGGTAGCTAATGGAGTGAGATATAAACATATTTTATGTGACAAGGTGCGAGCAAAGCATTAATGTTGGATATCTTCCATTTGCCCCTCTAGCTCCACTTTCTCCCCTTCTCTTCTGCTCTGCTCTTGGTGAGGCTGGCCCATGTGGACACCATTGACATCTCCCTTGCCTCTTGGCTTCTTGTTGGGTTTCCCATGGAGATGCACCACGAGAGATTAGAGGGTGGGGATGGGATATACATCCCAAGCTCCCTCCTCATGTGAATGCCAAGGGTGTGCTTTGGGCTGCACGTGACATCCTTCTAGCAAAGTCCACAGCTCCTATCTGGAGGACCTGTCCCTGAAGCATCCTCTCTGGGTTCCCCCCTCTCCCTTTTCAGGTCTAATGGTGAAGTTTCTTGCTTTGGTTAACCTCAGTGCACAGCATGATCCCTTGATAGTTTTGGTAACGCCTACCTATTGTAAATTACCCATCTTGAGCCTGTCATCTGTTTTCAGCTGGAATCCTTACTATTAGGTTGATGCAAAAGTAATTGTGGTTTTTGCCATTGAAAGTAATGACAAAACCCACAATTATTTTGGTACTAGCCTAATAATACACAAGGGGTGTGTGTGTGTGTGTGTGTGTGTGTAAACAACTATAAAGGTGGATGGTTTTCTTCAAATATCTTACAGTCTTTTTTTTTTTTTTTTTTGAGATGGAGTCTCACTCTGTTACCAGGCTGGAGTGCAATGGCGTGATCTCAGCTCACTGCAACCTCCACCTCCCAGGTTCAACCGATTCTCCTGCCTCAGCCTCTCAAGTAGCTGGGATTACAGGCACCCGCCACCAAGCCCAGCTAATTTTTTTTATTTTTAGTAAAGATGCGGTTTCACCATGTCGGCCAGGATGGTCTCGATCTCCTGACCTTGTTATCCGCCCGCCTCAGCTTCCCCAGGTGCTGGGATTACAGGCATGAGCCACCATGTCCAGCCGTATCTTACAGTCTTATTTAAATGTCCCATTTTTCTCCCATGAGTACATGCCAGGTATGTATCATACATCTCAGTCAACAAAAACAGGCACTAAAGAAATAACATTTTCATCATTTTATGTAGCTCACTATTCCACTGGGGTGGCAAAACGCAGGGTCACTAGGTTTGGGATTTACTCCTCCACCCACTTTCCCCCAGTTTTGTGACTAAGAAATGGGAAGCCTACCTGGTGTCGAGGCACAGTGGATGGGATGTCATGTCATCTGGTTAGGCAGGCAACTGCCAGGGCACCCCATGCTCAACCCTGTGCTCAGTGAGCAATTCAAGAGCTTGTGTTTCCTTCTCCCGCTACTATGCTACCCATGGGCACTCAGGGATGGCTCTGCTGCTCCTGTGTGATTCTTCGGTGTAGGAAGCTCTGGGAGGCTGCCTAAGCCCCATCTGGCAGGTGATATGATACAGCCGCTTCTTCATTAGGGTCTTGCAACTTCCTCAGGGATCTACAGGAAAACACAAATTTCATCGCTGCTCACACCCTCATGTTCCACACCCTACTTGGGCATCTTATGGTCTTCCCAGGGCTTAGCTTGTGGTATGGGGACAAGACCACTTTCTCTGGAGCCCACCAATGCCCACACTAAATTGTTGCCCTTGAAGCTGTCATTGTTTTCCCCCTACCCAGGAAAATTTATTTTCCAGACTGTGTTTGGGGAAGCTTTCTCATTATGTATTCTCCTGAATATTTGGTTTAGATAGTTAAAAGATGTAAAAATGTTCCCTAAATCGATATATTGATTCATGCATTCACCAATGTATTGAAAATCCCAGCATGTTTTTTGGGAACATTCATAAGCTGATTCTAAAATGTATATAGAAATGTAAGAGGCCAACAATGCTACAGACACTTAAAGAAGAAGCAAGTTGGAAGACAATCTATCAGATAAAAAGATTTATTATAAAGCTACAATAATTAAGACAGAATAGTAATGGTACAAGAATAGGCAAGTAGACCAATGGAACAACATAGAGTCAAAGAACAGACCCACACATTAATGGACACTTGATTTATGACAAAAGTGGCATGCTGAGCCGTAGGAGAAAGGACAATCTTCTTAATAAGTGGTTCTGGGTCAACGGGATATCCATAAACATACACCAATTTCAGGTGGACTACAGATCTAAATGTGAAAGGCCAAAGAATAAGTTTCTTGATATCACAACAGAAAATCCTAATGACCATAAATTAACTCTTTTAAAAATTTGAGACAGTCGGCCAGCCTCAGTGGCTCACACCTGTAACCCCAGCACTTTGGGAGGCCAAGGCAGGCGGATCACCGGAGGTCAGGAGTTCAAGACCAGCCTGGCCAACATGGTGAAACCCCGTCTCTACTAAAAATACAAAAATTAGCCAGGCATGGTGGCGGGTGCCTGTCATCCCAGCCACTCGGGAGGCTGAGGCAGGAGAATTGCTTGAACCTGGGTGGCGGAGGTTGCAGTGAGCTCAGATGGCGCCACTGCACTTCAGCCTGGGCGGCAGAGCGAGACTTTGTCTCAAAAAAAAAAAAAAAAAAAAAAATTGAGGCAGTCTTGTTCTGTCATGCATGGCTCGCTGCAGCCTCAACCTTCCATGCTCAAGTGATCTTCCCATCTCAGCCTCCTGAGTAGCTGGGATTACAGGGGTGTGCCACCACATCCAGCTAATTTTTTTTAAGTTTTTTGTGGAGACTGGTCTCACTATGTTGCCCAAGTTGATCTCCAACTCCTGGGCTCAAGTGATCCTCCCAACTCAGACTCCCAAGGTGCTGGGATTATAGGTGTGAGCCACCAGGCCCAGCAAAATTAAGCAATTTTTAATTGGGCTGCTTTAAAATTAGCAAGTTTTTTTTTTAATCATGAAAAGATACCACTGAAAGACTGAAAAAGCAAGAATGAGAAACAATATTTGTAGCACATAAGAAGGACTCATATCTAGAATATATAAAGAATTTCTACAGAGCGATTAGAACACAACAGCCAGTCCAACAGAAAAACAGGCAGGAAATTTGACAAGCCATCTTACAAGAGAAGATATCCAAATACTTGGAAAGCAAGAGAAAAGGTGCTTGGCCAGGTACAGTAGCTCACACCTGTTATCACAGCACTTTGGAAGGCTGAGGCAGGAGGATCGCTTGAGCCCAGGAAGTCAAGGCTGCAGTGAGCTATGATCATGCCACTGCACTCCAGCCTGGTGACAGAGCAAGACTTTGTCTCTACATACAAAAAAGAAAAGAAAAGAAAAGAAAAGAAAAGAAAAGAAAAGAAAAGAAAAGAAAAGAAAAGAAAAGAAAAGGAAAGGTGCTCAATCTCATTATACCTGGAAAATGCAACTAAAACTACAACACAGGCCAGGCATGGTGGCTCACACCTGTAATCCCAGCACTTTGGGAGGCTGAGGTGGGCAGATCACCTGAGGTCAGGAGTTCAAGACCAGCCTGGTCAATATGGTGAAACCCTGTCTCTACTAAAGATACAAAAATTAGCCAGGCATGGTGGCGCATGCCTGTAATACCAGCTACTTGGGAGACTGAGGCAGGAGAACTGCTTGAACCCAGGAGGGGGAGTTTGCAGTGAGCCGAGATCGTGCCACTGCACTCCAGCTTGGGCAACAGAGCAAGACCCAGTCTCAAAATAAATAAATAAATAAATAAGATTGCAAGTACTATGTGTTGGTGGGATGTAGAACAACTGCAGCCCTCACACTCTGCTGGTGAACGTGTAAATTAGCATAGCCTCTTTGGAAAGGAGTTGGTCAGAATCAACTAAAGCTGAGCAAACATCCTGTCACCCGGCAATTCCATCCCTAGTTATATCCTCTAAGAAATGAATACATATGTACAAAAGACAGAGCTTCATGACAACATTATTCTTAATGGCTGCAAACTAGAAACAACTCAAATGGCTATCAAGAGTTGAATAGACAAATTAATGCATTGTATAGTCACATAAAGGAATTTTTTACACCAATGAAAATGAACTATTGTCACATGCAACAACATGGATGAATCTATAGATATAATGTGAAGCAAAAGAAGACAAGCACAACGGGATACATATTGGATAACAAAACAATAAGAACTTGGCCAGGCGTGGTGGCTCACACCAGTAATCCCAGCACTTTGGGAAGCCGAGGCGGCCAGATTGCTTGAGATCAGGAGTTCAAAACTGGCCTGGATAACATGGCAAAACCCCATCTGTCAAAAAATACAAAAATTAGCCAGGTGTGGTGGCATGCGCCTGTAGTCCCAGCTACCCTGGAGGCTGAAGTGGGAGGATTGCTTGAGCCTGGGAGGTTGAGGTTGCAGTAAGCTGTGATTGCACCACTGCACTCCAGCCTGGACAACAGAGTGAGACCCTGTCTCAAAAAAAAGAGGAGAAGGAGAAGGAGAAGAAGAAGAACTACTCCCCCGCAGCATGGGAAGTCAGGATAGTGCTAGGTGCTAGGCAGGGAGAGAAGGAGGGGAGTGATTGGATGAGGAGTGGGAGGGCCGTAATGTCCAAAACTCACTGCTGGTGACACAGGTGGGCTTAGTTTGTGATGACCTCACACTTAACCACTTGTAATACGATTTCTGCACTTCTCTGAAGCTATGTTATATACTTTAAAAAGAGTCTATTTACAAAAAATATACATTTGATTTATGTTGTAAGTCCTTTATGTTCCCTGAAGGATCAAGCTTTTGGAAACTCAAAAGCCAGGGTGGCACTCCCTTTTCCCTGCCACTTTTTTCTCCTCTGAAGTCATGAACCCCAAACAGCTTCCCTGACAGATGGGGTGGGGGGGAGGCAAATAGAAAAGAAGATAGCAATGTGAGTGAGGAAATGCAGCGGGGGGCTCTCTGGTTAATTTGTAAAGGCTATTCTCCTATTCAATCAACGTTTGTTCACCTGTAGGACCAGTTTGTAATAATTATGAAATTGGAGGGGAAAATTGTAAATTTTTTTTACATTAAAAAAGTTCTGAATCATGCATGACAGGTGAATGTGTAGAAGAGGTGTTTTTGTTTGTTTGTTTGTTTGGTTGGTTGTTTTGTTGGTTTTTGAGACAGGGTCTTATTTTGTCACCCTGGAGTGCAGGGGTGCCATTACAACTCACTGCTGCCTTGACCTCCTGGGTTCAAGGGATCCTCCTGCCACAGTGTACCAAGTAGCTGAAACTACAGGTGCATGCCACCACACCTGGCTATTAAAAATGTTTTTTTTAGTAGCGACGAGGTCTCATTATGTTGTCCAGGCTAGTCTCAAATTCCTGTGCTCAAGGGATCTGCCCACTTCAGCCTCCTGAAGTGCTGAGATTACAGGCATGAGCCGCCGCACCTGGTCAAAAAGTTTTTAATAGAGTCATTATATTCTAATTTTCTCTCACACATGCTATATGTAATTGTGTGCATTTAAAACTTTGGAGGAAAACAGTTTTAAGGTAGGTTTATGGTTCTTTTTATTAAAGATAATGCCGTACTCCTAAAAATGAAAAACCTGTCCATTTTTCTTTCAAAGTAATTTACCCAAAGCCTCCCAATTTGGGTAGGTACAAAAGTTTCACAATTTAGAACTTTTAAAAAGTCGTTTATTTGGCGTGGATGGGCCAGGACTGCAGGTATAATTTCTTGCCACTAGATGTCTCTGAGTTTTAAAGCAGCAGACTCGTGGGTTTTTGTCTATTTATACATACAGATCACCTACCTCCCTGTTAACAGAGTTTCATAATCCTCTTATGTAACGCTGGGTTGTCAGCTACAGTTAATCATCAGTTGGGAGATGGGCAGGCAGGGACCCCAAGGACTTCATGTCCTCGAGACAGGGTTGGACGTGTTGAGAGAAGGTTGAGACCAGGTGTGACCAAGCAGAACCCCGTGACTCTGAAATGCATCCACGCGGAGGCCAGGGAATGATGGAAAACAAAGAGCTCGCTGCTGCAGCACGTGCCGGCTGGATGCGGAGACCACGGCATCCACTCCTTACAGCTGGGAGCCAGCAGAGGAGCTAGTGGGCCGGGAAAGCCGTCAGTCCTGCGTTTTGCCTTGGCTGGCTGCGGGCGCCACTTGAAACAAGCCAGTCATGCCTCTCCCAACCCTACCCCCACCCCCTGGAACCTAACGGCCTGCAGAAGCCAGGAATTCTCCCCGGACTCCTGGAGTACATCGCCAGGGCATCTAATCAGTCTGTTTTCCATGGTGTTTTCGTATATGTGTCCGTCTGCCAGACTAGACAGAGACGCCCAGAGGGCACAAACCATGTCTTGTTCAGCACCGCATCCAATTGTTTTTGTACACAGTAGGCAAGTGTCCGTTGAAACCAATGTGTGATTAGAAAAAGTGTCTGAAAGACTGATGAAATAATCACTGACAAGTTATTGAATCTTAAGAAGTCCTGGCCAGGTGCGGTGGCCCACGCCTGTAATTCCAGCACTTTGGGAGTCCGAGGCCGGCAGATCACCAGGTCAGGAGTTCAAGACCAGCCCTGGCCAACATGGTGAAACCCCGTCTCTACTACAAGTACAAAAATTAGCAGGGCGTGGTGGCGGGCGCCTGTAATTGCAGCTACTTGGGAGGCTGAGGCAGGAGAATTGCTTGAACCTGGGAGGCGGAGGTTGCAGTAAGCCGAGATCACACCACTGCACTCCAGCCTAGGCAACAGAATGAGGTTCCATCTCAAAAAAAAAAAAAATCTTATATCCTCTGATAACAGAAATGGCCTCTCATTAATGGCCCCAAATGGTTATTTGGAGGCTGGTTTATGCAACTCCTTAAATCGTGTGCGTTTCAGTGAAAAAGTGAAGGGGATGAACTCTGGAGTAAAACTGTCTGGGTAAAACCCCAGCTCCAACATTTATCCAACATTTATCAGTTATGTGACTTTGGGCAAGTGATTTAATCTTTCTCCATCTCAGTTTTGCCTTCTGTAAAATGGGAACAATAATAGTATTTATTTCATGGGTTTGTCATGGGGATTAAATAAGTTAAATACTCATAGCAGGCTTCACACAGCTTCCAGCACATAGTGGTGTCTCAATAGTGGTTCAGAATTAGGGTCCTAACAAGAATGCCTCCAGTTCAAACCCTTGTGTGTAATTGACAAGTTACCTAACCTCTTTAGGCCTCAGTTTCTTCATCTGTAAGTTGGGGGTAACAGTACTCACTTCATAGACTGATATGGGCAGTAAGTGAGACAGGAAGCTTCCAGTCCGGCCACTGCTGACATTGCCCTAAATCACTTAGGACATGACATGAACAGCCTGTGGATAGTTCAGGCAGGCGCTCAGGAATCAGTCATCAAATTAACTTTCACAACACTAGCACCCCCTGACTTTTCTTTAATTCTTTACTTTTGTAGAATTTTAGAAGGCATTTTTATGTTTATTATTTTACTTGGATCATCGAGCCCATTTTAATCCCAAGGTTGGTTGGTGGTTAGTGAAGTAAATGGGTCTCAGTATAGCGAGGCATCAGGCTACGTGGGGAGCCAAGAAGAGGGAAGATGCTTGTGCAGAGGGAAGGAGCAGAGGAAGGAGAGCTTGGGAGGGGCCTGTGGGCTTCATCTAAGCCTCTAAGCTTCCTGCCCTTTTATGGTTGGTGGGGTTGTTTTAGGGCTCTTTGGAACATGCAACAAAATCTATGAATATTCACCCAGAAAATTGTACATGCACACAACATCCTCATTCATTTTCAGAAACTTTACACAGTGTCAGATTGAGATCTGTGGCAGACCACAATTTGGCACCCCTTTCAAATTGATTTTTTTAAATTTAATATTTGTAGAGTACTGTCAGTGAGAAACTAATTGTATACTAATAAAAATCACGCACTCCTTTGTGTCTGAGATTAGAATCGATCACATACAAGCAGTTTTCTGAAATTCTTGAACCCATTTAAAAGTTAGGTAAATAACTGACTCTTTTCTGGTAGTCAGTACAACCCCATGAATTATTCTATTGACTGTGAATATCAAGTAGCTGCCCGTGCAAAGTGCTCAGCAGAAAGAGCCCCAATGAGGGGTATTCTCTTTTTCTCACTCAAGGCTGAGAGTGAAAGCAATTTAGATTTTTCCACTCTGGAAGGGTTGTGTGGGAGCCTTAGTTAGCTGACACCATCCTTCCAATTTACTTTAATGCTGTTTGTGAGCACTTTACAGATGAATGCCTCAGCACCTGCTGACCTGCCCACCCTTCAGTCCCCATCTAGATTCAGGTCCCAGGTTAAGACATGTGGACTAGACAGTCCATGTTTAAACACCGACGAGGTCATTAGCAGCTCTGAACATGCAAATGCATTACTCTGCACCTGAAGTGCATAGGATGGGAAGAGGCGGCCAAGGAGGGAGATAGAACAATAGAAAAAGTGACTACCTGGAAGCCAACGAGTCCATGGAAGCTTTGAGAAAGGGCACCTTTATGCATTTTCTGGAATGCTGGTGTTCTAGAATCCCCAGCCAAAGCGTCTCCTCTTTGCCAGTCAGGGCACTTGTCTCAGGCTTTTGGTTTGTTTTTTGAGACAAGGTCTCACTCTCACCTGGGCTGGAGTGCAGTGATGCGATCATGGTTTACTTCAGCCTCTACCTCCTGGGCTTAAGTGATCCTCCCACCTCAGCCTGCTGAGAAGCTGGGACTATAGGTACACCACTACGTCCAGCTAATTTTATTTTTTGTAGAAACAGGGGTCTTGCTATGTTGCCCAGGCTGGTCTCAAACTCCTGGACTCAAGTGATCCTCCCACCTCGGCTTCCCAAAGTCCTGGGATTACAAGTGAGCCACTGGGCCCGACTCTGGTTTTGCATACAAGGCTGGGAGACAGGCTCTTTATGGCTGAAAGGACTCCTGTGGAATATATTTATTCATGCCTTGACTGCCAGGCCCTAGGGGTCTTGATATCAGTTGGCAGGGAAAGCCATTCTCAGACCTCCTGCCGGGTCATGTCCCATTTTGGGGCCTTCCACAGCAGGCCTGCAAGAGGATGTCCGTGGGGTGGGTTGGCCAGGGGAGCAGGGGAGCTTTTGCATCTGTTTTCAGAGCCAGGAATCCATGGGTCTAAGGGTTGTAATGATTTGGTTCATCCCCAACACAGGGTGGTGCCTGTCAGCAAGTTTGCACCACAGCAAACACTTTGTGTGGGGAATCAGGACAGCAGTGAGAGAGCTGGGGCCAGAGGGTGTCTGTCTTCTGGCCTCCAGGCAGCTTTTGCTGATGCTGACCAACTCAGCGCTAGGAGAGGCAGAATGAATAGCCTCCATGGCCTGGCTGGCAGCAAAAATTTAGCAGTCAGTATTGGAACAGTGTCATGCCTCAGAGGCCTCAGAGAGGAGAAGGCAGTGTTACAGAAAGCAGTGGCTGTCAAAATGCAGCTCCTTTTGCAGCAGTAGCCACATCACCTGGGAGAGCTTGTAAGAAATGCGCATTTTCCTCAGGTGCTGATACTTTGGGAAGCTGAGGCCGGAGGATTGCTTCAGTGCAGGAATTTGAGATCAGCCTGGGGAATATACCAAGACCTCATTTCTACTAAAAAAACAAACAGACAAAAAAAAAAAAAAAAAGCAGGCATGGTGGTGCACACCTTGTAGTCCCAACTACTTGGGATGCTGATGTGGAAGGATTGCTTGAGTCTAGGAATTTGTGGTTACAGTGAGCTATGATCACGCCACAGCATTCCAGTCTTGGCAAGACAGTGAGAACTTGTCTTTAAGAAAAAAGAAAAAAAAAGAAATACACATTCTCAGGCTCCACTCCAGATCCTTGGAATCAGAAGCTCTGAGGGTGGGGCCTGTGCAATGAGCCCTGCAAGGGTGGCAGGCTGGGGAGCAGGCAAGGGTCTGGTTGTGCAGTTCCAACACTCCCTTCACCCTTGGAGCCAGCCAGTATTCAGTCCTGGGGATCTGTGCAGGGAAGCTGCCGCTCTGCCACAGCCTGAAGTCTTCTCTGCTAAATCCTGCACTGCCCACAGCAGCCCCAGTGGCCAGACCCAGGAACCTGCAAAGCCCTGTGCCGTGTGCCCCGAATGGCATGGGTCCCTGGCTCCTGAAAGGTGCTGAGGAGGCTGGGCCCCCACACTGACATCCATTCTTGGGAACAGCCAGAGCTGCAGCAGACATGGATGAGGGGCTTCTGAGCAGGAGGGCCAGTGTGTACAAAATGCTGGGAGGTGAGTGGGCTGTCCAGGTCCCTTCTAATGGCTGACCCACTCCATGGTAAAAGAACTGGAGAGGTGGCCTGCCATCTCTGTGACTCCCATGACTGAGGCAGGATTAATGCTCACTGTGGAAGACCTCCACGATGTGGCTACGTGGGGAAGCTTTCTGTGTGTTCTCCCATAAACCAAGGGAAGAGTACTGGGGCAAAGCAGATTTTATTAGCTCATACTGAGAAGTACAGAGAGGCACAGGACACAAAAGCTTCTCTAGGGCTATTCCTAGCCTGGGGGACTCAGCTCTCAGGAGCACAGAGCCTGCAGAGAGACATGAGGAGGCCAGAGGCAGTGCCACCCCTGCTTCCAGGAGCCTTCCTTATCTGCTCTGCTGGCAGGAACTGCACCTGTGAAGTTAAAGCAGGGGGGCCAGGCAATGCAGAATGCAGATCTTCAAGCAGTGCACTTTACGTTGACCCTCTATTTACTAGAACATAGATTCATGAGTGCAATATAGATTCATCAACCCGCTTCCACTGGGAGAGTAAAAAATTAAAAAAAAAAAAAATTCCAGGGGGAGGAGCCAAGATGGCCAAACAGGAACAGCTCCGGTCTACAGCTCCCAGCGTGAGCGATGCAGAAGACGGGTGATTTCTGGATTTCCAACTGAGGTACCGGGTTCATCTCACTGGGGTGTGCCAGACAGTGGGTGCAGGACAGTGGGTGCAGCGCACCATGCACGAGCCAAAGCAGGGCAAGGCATCACCTCACCCAGGAAGCGCAAGGGGTCAGGGAATTCCCTTTCCTAGTCAAAGAAAGGGGTGACAGACAGCACCTGGAAAATTGGGTCACTCCCACCCTAATATTGCACTTTCCCAACAGGCTTAAAAAACGGCACACCAGGAGATTATATCCCGCACATGGCTCAGAGGATCCTACGCCCACAGAGTCTCGCTGATTGCTAGCACAGCAGTCTGAGATCAAACTGCAAGGCAGCAGCAAGGCTGGGGGAGGGGCGCCCACCATTGCCGAGACTTGATTAGGTAAACAAAGTGGCTGGGAAGCTCGAACTGGGTGGAGCCCACCACAGTTCAAGGAGGCCTGCCTGCCTCTGTAGGCTCCACCTCTGGGGGTAGGGCACAGACAAACAAAGAGACAGCAGTAACCTCTGCAGACTTAAATGTCCCTGTCTGACAGCTTTGAAGAGAGTAGTGGTTCTCCCAGCACGCAGCTTGAGATCTGAGAAGGGGCAGACTGCCTCCTCAAGTGGGTCCCTGACCCCCGAGTAGCTTAACTTGGAGGCACACCCCAGTAGGGGTGGACTGACACCTCACACAGCCAGGTACTCCTCGGACACAAAACTTCCAGAGCAACGATCAGGCAGCAGCATTTGCGGTTCACCAATATCTGCTGTTCTGCAGCCACCACGGCTGATACCCAGGCAAACAGGGTCTGGAGTGGACCTCTAGCAAACTCCAACAGACCTGAAGCTGAGGGTCCTGTCTGTTAGAAGGAAAACTAACAAACAGGAAGGAGATCCACACCAAAAACCCATCTGTACGTCACCATCATCAAAGACCAAAGGTAGGTAAAACCACAAAGATGGGGAAAAAACAGAGCAGAAAAACTGGAAACTCTAAAAATCAGAGCGCCTCTCCTCCTCCAAAGGAACGCAGCTCCTCACCAACAATGGAACAAAGCTGGACGGAGAATGACTTTGATGAGTTGAGAGAAGAAGGCTTCAGACGATCAAACTACTCCGAGCTAAAGGAGGAAGTTCGACCAATGGCAAAGAAGTTAAAAACTTTGAAAAAAAATTAGACGAATGGATAACTAGAATAACTAATGCAGAGAAGTCCTTAAAGGACCTGATAGAGCTGAAAACCAAGGCACGAGAACTACGTGACAAATGCAGAAGGCTCAGTAGCCAATGTGATCAACTGGAAGAAAGGGTATCAGTGATGGAAGATGAAATGAATGAAATGAAGCAAGAAGAGAAGTTTAGAGAAAAAAGAATAAAAAGAAACGAACAAAGCCTCCAAGAAATATGGGACTATGTGAAAAGACCAAATCTACATCTCATTGGTGTATCTGAAAGTGACGGGGAGAATGGAACCAAGTTGGAAAACACTCTGCAGGATATTATCCAGGAGAACTTCCTCAATCTAGCAAGGCAGGCCAACATTCAGATTCAGGAAATACAGAGAACGCCACAAAGATACTTCTCGAGAAGAGCAACTCCAAGACACATAATTATCAGATTCACCAAAGTTGAAATGAAGGAAAAAATGTTAAGGGCAGCCAGAGAGAAAGGGTGGGTTACCCACAAAGGGAAGCCCATCAGACTAACAGCTGATCTCTCAGCAGAAACTCTACAAGCCAGAAGAGAGTGGGGGCCAATATTCAACATTCTTAAAAGAATTTTCAACTCAGAATTTCATATCCAGCCAAACTAAGCTTCATAAGTGAAGGAGAAATAAAATCCTTTACAGACAAGCAAATGCTGAGAGGTTTTGTCACCACCAGGCCTGCCCTAAAAGAGCTCCTGAAGGAAGCACTAAACATGGAAAGGAACAACTGGTACCAGCCACTGCAAAAACATGCCAAATTGTAAAGACCGTCAAGGCTAGGAATAAACTGCATCAACTAATGAGCAAAATAGCCAGCTGACATCATAATGACAGGATCAAATTCACACATAATGATATTAACTTTGAATGTAAATGGGCTAAATGCTCCAATTAAAAGACACAGACTGGCAAATTGGATAAAGAGTCAAGACCCATCAGTGTGCTGTATTCAGGAAACCCATCTCACATGCAGACACACACATAGGCTCAAAATAAAGGGATGGAGGAAAATCTACCAAGCAAATGGAAAACAGAAAAAGGCAGGGGTTGCAATCCTAGTCTCTGATAAAACAGGCTTTAAACCAACAAAGATCAAAAGAGACAAAGAAGGCTATTACATAATGGTAGAGGGATCAATTTAACAAGAAGAACTAACTATCCTAAATATATATGCACCCAATATGGGAGCACCCAGTTCATAAAGCAAGTCCTTAGAGACCTACAAAGAGACTTAGACTCCCACACAATAATAATGGGAGACTTTAACACCCCACTGTCAACATTAGACACATCAACGAGACAGAAAGTTAACAAGGATATCCAGGAATTGAACTCAGCTCTGCACCAAGCAGACCTAATAGACATCTACAGAACTCTCCACCCCAAATCAACAGAATATACATTCTTTTCAGCACCACACCACACCTATTCCAAAATTGACCACATAGTTGGAAGTAAAGCACTCCTCAGCAAATGTAAAAGAACAGAAATTATAACAAATTGTCTCTCAGATCACAGTGCAATCAAACTAGAACTCAGGATTAAGAAACTCACTCATAACCGCTCAACTACATGGAAACTGAACAACCTGCTCCTGAATGACTACTGGGTACATAATGAAATAAAGCCAGAAATAAAGATGTTCTTTGAAACCAACGAGAACAAAGACACAACATACCAGAATCTCTGGGACATATTCAAAGCAGTGTGTAGAGGGAAATTTGTAGCACTAAATGCCCACAAGAGAAAGCAGGAAAGATCTAAAATTGACACCTTAACATCACAATTAAAAGAACTAGAGAAGCAAGAGCAAACACATTCAAAAGCTAGCAGAAGGCAAGAAATAACTAAGATCAGAGCAGAACTGAAGGAAACAGAGACACAAAAAACCCTTCAAAAAATCAATGAATCCAGGAGCTAGTTTTTTGAAAAGATCAACAAAATTGATAGACCACTAGCAAGACTAATAAAGAAGAAAAGAGAGAAGAATCAAACAGATGCAATAAAAAATGATAAAGGGGATATCACCACTGATCCCACAGAAATACAAACTACCATCAGAGAATACTATAAACACCTCTATGCAAATAAACTAGAAAATCTGGAAGAAATGGATAAATTCCTCGACACATACACTCTCCCAAGACTAAACCAGGAAGAAGTTGAATCTCTGAATAGACCAATAACAGGCTCTGAAATTGAGGTAATAATTAATAGCTTACCAACCAAAAAAAGTCCAGGACCAGATGGATTCACAGCTGAATTCTACCAGAGGTACAAGGAGGAGCTGGTACCATTCCTTCTGAAACTATTCCAATCAATAGAAAAAGAGGGAATCCTCCCTAACTCATTTTATGAGGCCAACATCATCCTGATACCAAAGCCTGGCAGAGACACAACAAAAAAAGAGAATTTTAGACCAATATCCCTGATGAACATCGATGCAAAAATCCTCAGTAAAATACTGGCAAACCGAATCCAGCAGCACATCAAAAAGCTTATCCACCATGATCAAGTGGGCTTCATCCCTGGGATGCAAGGCTGGTTCAACATATGCAAATCAATAAATGTAATCCAGCATATAAACAGAACCAACGACAAAAACCACATGATTGTCTCAATAGATGCAGAAAAGGCCTTTGACAAAATTCAACAGCCCTTCATGCTAAAAACTCTCAATAAATTAGGTATTGATGGGACGTATCTCAAAATAAGAGCTATTTATGACAAACCCACAGCCAATATCATACTGAATGGGCAAAACCTGGAAGCATTCCCTTTGAAAACTGGCACAAGACAGGGATGCCCTCTCTCACCACTCCTATTCAACATGGTGTTGGAATTTCTGGCCAGGGCAATCAGGCAGGAGAAAGAAATAAAGGGTATTCAATTAGGAAAAGAGGAAGTCAAATTGCCCCTGTTTGCAGATGACATGACTGTATATCTAGAAAACCCCATTGTCTCAGCCCAAAATCTCCTTAAGCTGATAAGCAACTTCAGCAAAGTCTCAGGATACAAAATCAATGTGCAAAAATCACAAGCATTCTTATACACCAATAACAGACAAACAGAGAGCCAAATCATGAGTGAACTCCAATTCACAATTGCTTCAAAGAGAATAAAATACCTAGGAATCCAACTTACAAGGCATGTGAAGGACCTCTTCAAGGAGAGCTACAAACCACTGCTCAAGGAAATAAAAGAGAATACAAACAAATGGAAGAACATTCCATGCTCATGGGTAGGAAGAATCAATATCGTGAAAATGGCCATACTGCCCAAGGTAATTTATAGATTCAATGCCATCCCCATCAAGCTACCAATGACTTTCTTCACAGAATTGGAAAAAACTACTTTAAAGTTCATATGGAACCAAAAAAGAGCCCACATTGCCAAGTCAATCCTAAGCCAAAAGAACAAAGCTGGAGGCATCACGCTACCTGACTTCAAACTATACTACAAGGCTACAGTAACCAAAACAGCATGGTACTAGTACCAAAACAGAGATATAGACCAATGGAACAGAACAGAGCCCTCAGAAATAATGCCACATATCTACAACTATCTGATCTTTGACAAACCTGACAAAAACAAGAAATGGGGAAAGGATTCCCTATTTAATAAATGGTACTGGGAAAACTGGCTAGCCATATGTAGATAGCTGAAACTGGATCCCTTCCTTACACCTTATACAAAAATTAATTCAAGATGGATTAAAGACTTAAATGTTAGACCTAAAACCATAAAAACCCTTGAAGAAAACCTAGGCAATACCATTCAGGACATAGGCATGGGCAAGAACTTCATGTCTAAAACACCAAAAGCAATGGCAACAAAAGCCAAAATTGACAAATGGGATCTAATTAAACTAAAGAGCTTCTGCACAGCAAAAGAAACTACCATCAGAGTGAACAGGCAACCTACAGAATGGGAGAAAATTTTTGCAATCTACTCATCTGACAAAGGGCTAATATCCAGAATCTACAATGAACTCAAACAAATTTACAAGAAAAAAAAAAACAACCCCATCAAAAAGTGGGCGAAGGACATGAATAGACACTTCTCAAAAGAAGACATTTATGCAGCCAACAGACACATGAAAAAATGCTCATCATTACTGGCCATCAGAGAAATGCAAATCAAAACCACAAAGAGATACCATCTCACACCAGTTAGAATGGCAATCATTAAAAAGTCAGGAAACAACAGGTGCTGGAGAGGATGTGGAGAAATAGGAACACTTTTACACTGTTGGTGGGACTGTAAACTAGTTCAACCAATGTGGAAGTCAGTGTGGCAATTACTCGGGGATCTACAACTAGAAATACCATTTGACCCAGCCATCCCATTACTGGGTATATACCCAAAAGATTATAAATCATGCTGCTATAAAGACACATGCACACGTATGTTTATTGCAGCACTATTCACAATAGCAAAGACTTGGAACCAACCCAAATGTGCAACAACAATAGACTGGATTAAGAAAATGTGGCACATATACACCATGGAATACTATGCAGCCATAAAAAATGATGAGTTCATGTCCTTTGTAGGGACATGGATGAAGCTGGAAACCATCATTCTCAGCAAACTATCGCAAAGACAAAAAACCAAACACCGCATGTTCTCGCTTATAGGTGGGAATTGAACAATGAGAACATGTGGACACAGGAAGGGGAACATCACACACCAGGGCCTGTTGTGGGGTGGGGGGAGGAGGGAGGGATAGCATTAGGAGATATACCTAATGTTAAATAACGAGTTAATGGGCACAGCACACCAACATGGCACATGTATATATGTGTAACTAACCTGCATGTTGTGCACATGTACCCTAAAACTTAAAGTATAATAAAAAAAATAATTCTCAGCTGGAGATTCCATCACTTGGTCCATAGGATCTCCCTTTTGTTAACTTTGTTCAGTTGCTTGCCTTTAGGCGGAGCTATCCTTAAGTCACCCCGGAGCTGGTGAGAATTTAGCCTGCTACTAAAGGCTGCCAGGGAGGAGGTGCCATTCCCTGCTCAGGCAACCCATCCTGTGTCTCTCAGCCCTCCCATGGAACACAGATTCTTATCGAGAAGTCGTCACTGGAAATGTGAGCTGCTTGCTTTTTCTTTTCTTCCCAGGCAAAAGTTTATTTTTAAATAAATTGTTCCTGTCAGAACAAGGCTTGGATCTTACTGTTTAGTCATTTTATTCCAAAGTAGATACAATAGTTTGCCTCAACTCACCCCAGGACTTGTGGGCGCTCAACAGAGTGACAGCAGGAGGCCCTGCGCATCCGCTGGCCTTGTCTGTCCCCCTGCTGGATGTAATCTGCGGGGTCACGGTGCCCACTGACTGCAGAAACGCTCCGCTTTGTAGGAAGAATAAGCATTGAATGAAAATCCTTCTGTGAACAGACCTGTAGTCATTTGATCTCACCTGCGCTTGTCACTATCGCCTGAGTAAAAATAAAGCCTTCCTAATTTACCTCACTTCTCGGGGAGGGGAACGTCCACCTGATCCCAAAATGAACTTCGTGATTCTGAGCAGACTCTGCTTTGTGACTGTGTCCACAGCCCTGAGCTTGGTTTCACCTGGTGTTCGTCAGCCTCTTTCTCTTGGGGAAGACAGCCTGGGGGCAGGCCGAGAGGTCAAGATTTGGTCGTGTGCTTTTACTATGGACACCGACAGGATCTCCCCTTCTCCCCTTCCGCTTTTCCTTTCTACGCTCTGGGCGGGGACTGGTGAGCACGAAACAGTGAGTGTTTCTGCAGTCACGAGAGTGGTCTTGCCAGCAGAGAAAAGCTTCTCACAGGTGCACACAGTGCTGAACGCACCTGCAAACTCTGTGGGAGGCTGAGGCAGTGCACAGCCCCTCTCGCTGAGGGGAGGAGGAGCCCCCATCCGAGACACCTCAGGGCAGGCGGCCTATAGGTGGCACCTGGCCACGCTACAGTGAAGCACACCTGCTGCAGCAAAGCCCACCTGCCTCTCCTCGTACTCATGCTACTTAGTGAAGGCTCAAAGGCAGGTCTTTTTAATCCTAACAGAGGGGGAAACTGAGGCACTGAGAGCTTACATGGCTTGTCCCGGGTGACTTGGCTGTTAAATCATAACACTGGGGTTCAAATCCAAAGTTATGTGACTGCAGAGCCTCAGGTTTTTGTTTTTCCTGCTGTGCTGCTTTGCTAAACAATGTTACTGGCTGACTGGCAGGGATCATCGCCAGTTTTTAAGTTCCTAATAATTTGAAAAAAAAAAAAAAAAAAGTAAACCAAAATGCATTTCTCCTCAGAAGTCAGGGAGGAATATGTCCTCTGGTCCTGGAAAATGAATACGTGAATGAATGAATGAATGAATGAAGTGAGTAAATGTATCCTCCTTATTCTAACTACAACCACGCTCCAGGGCCTCCCTGGCTTTCCGTCCTACCTCGCACCCGTTTCACGAGGCAGTTGGGCGGATGGATCCCCATCCTAGGCTGTGTCCTCCTCTCCCCTTCTCCGGCCGTGTGGTGGGAAAGCCTTGAACAGGGGATGAGGAACCTGGTCCTTGAGTCACTGAGACTTGCAGAGCTTCAGGGGCCTCCACTCAAACATGGGACGAGAAGCGCCCTTCAGTGCTGCCTCAAGGCTCTAAGGAGGTGAAGCTGCTGCAGGCAGCTGGGCAAGCGCACCAGGCACGGGGGCAGGGGCGGCTTCGGAATGAGGCGGCTCCACATCTCGCCGCAGCAGGGCCAGGCAGGACCCAGGGTCTGAACCTCCTCCACTGTGGAGCCGGAGACCCCCCGGAGTCAGGCCGTCAGTTCCCAGAAGACAGACAGGAGGCCGGGCTGCAGGCGGGGCAGCCCAGCTGTGGCCGCGCCCTCCACGGCCTGAGCTGGGACTCAAGTGACATCTGTTGTACTATCCCGTTGATGTCTAAAAAAACAACTTACATCCCGCTTTCACTCTGGGGGAATTACCTGTCTGCACTGAGCACAGTCTGGTGGGACAGGTAAGCTGATGTTCTCTTTCTCTGGCGTTTGAATTCTAGAGCAGAAGAACAGGAAGCTGGAAACAGTGGGCCCTCGCTCACCCCCTCAGAGTGCCCTGAAAGAACCCCAGCCCGGAGTTCCTCGGTTGCCCTCTGCATTTGCTTCCTGGGGCTGCCTTAACATAGAACCAGAAACTGAGGGGGCTTAAACCAGTGGTCCCCAGCCCTTTTGGCACCAGGGACTGGCTTCACGGAAGGCAGTTTTTCCATGGAGGGGGGTCGATTTCGGGATGAAACTGTTCCACTTCAGATCATCAGGCATTCGATTCTCATAAGGAGAGCACAACCTAGATCCCTGGCATGCGCAGTTCACAGCAGGGTTCAGCCTCTGGGCTGATCTGACAGGAGGCCAAGCTCAGGCGGTAATGCTTGCTCTCTGCTTACCTCCTGCTGTGCAGCCTGGTTCCTAACAGGCCACTGACTGGTAATGGTCTGCGGCCCAAGGGTTGGGGACCCCTGGCTTAAAAAACAGGAATCGTATCATCTCACAGTTCTGGAGGCTGGAAGTCTAAAATCGAGGTGCCGGCAGGGTGGTTCCTCCTGAGGCCTCTCTCCTTGGCTTGTAGATGTCTTCGTGTTCACACAGCATTTCCCTCTGTGTTTATGAGTCTGTCTCTAAATTTCTACTTTTTATAAGAACATCAGTCATACTGGATTAGGGCCCACTCTAATGACATCATCTTAACCAATTATTTCTTCAACAACCTTATTTCCAAAGAAGGCCACATTCTGAGCTACTGGAGGTTAAGACTTCAGCATACGGACTTTTGGGGGCCGCAATTCAGCTCATAACATCCTCCTTTCCCAGTGCAGTTCCCTTGCCTCCTTGTCAGTTCTGTGACTTCCTCATATCATGCCAGTCAATTCTTTTTTCACTTAAGTTCTCTGAAGTCTGTTTCTGTTGCTGGCAACCCAAGAACTCTGATGAAATATGGGCTCCTATCAGCCAGAGGGAGGGCTGTGTCTCCAGACACACTCCCGATTTCCTAACCAGAACTCAGACTCTCCTATCAGCCAGAGGGAGGACTCTGTCTCCAGACACACTCCCGATTTCCCAGCCAGAACTCAGGCTGCTGAAGAACACCTCCACCTCAAAGGGGTTGGATGCCACCTTGACCCTCTGAGGTTCCCCTAAGGAGTAAATGTGAGCTGTCAGGCAGCAGCCCACAGAGGGCAGCTTTAGCTCAATGCCACAGGGGAGCCCTAGTGACACACTGAGTCAGCCCCAGAGCTGGCTCAGTCAGGGGCAAGGGAGCTGGCGTTCTTATACCCCACACTAGACACCACGGCCCAGGGCTTGGTGTGTGAATTCTCAGGCAGCCTGGAGCAGTCCTCCAACAAAGAGACAAGCATGCTGCCACCAGAATGAAAGCCCACAGAACATTAAAGAACCAGCCTGAGGAGAGATCTGCAGAGCTCTGAGGATCTGCCATGATCTTCCACATTTTGAGTCTGTCCTCACTTTCCACAACAAACCCTGTTGTGTGCTTTCTGGATTTGACCTGTGTGAGGCTGGCTCAGCCAGGCTGGGGCCCTGACACCCAGAGTGACTGCAGACGCCTGTGCCCTCTTAGGCTTAGGCCCTGGCTTGACCACAGCAGGCACCTCCCACTGCCTCTTCCCATCCCCTGCCAAGTGGGACACACAGACTGTCCTGAGCTGTATTACTTCTTAGTATCAGCAGCCAAAATATACTGACCTCTGCACCAAGCACTTTAAACCCATTGTCTCGATTAATCTCTATTTATTCATTTATTATTTTTTGAGACGGAGTCCCATTCCATCACCCATCCTCAGATGAGGCACTGAGAGGTTTAATAACTAGTTCAAGGTCATGCTGCTAGAAAATGGCAGAACCAGGACATATCCCATGTATGTCCACCTCCCATGCCCTCCTCCTAGCCCATTTCCCACCTCTAGGCTGGACTGGGGAATATGCTCAGGTTCAAGGACAGGTGAAGATGGTGGCGTAGACTCAGTAGAAGTTCCTTTTACTTTGGTTTACTTCCTAAGTAAGTGTGAAGGATACAAATGCAATTCTGGTGCAGGTGAGTAGATGAGCTCCCCGTTACTTCTCTTCGGTTTCACGAAGGCCCATCCAAAGATTGGTGGTCTTAGAGGCTGCACAGGTGTAATGAGACATTGGCTATACTGGAGAAGCACAGAACTGTGGGCTGGCTGCCTTTGATACCCTGAGCTACATCACCACCCAGAAACAACTTCAACTGCCTTATAAAGCAATGATCCCACTCCTTGGTGAGTCATGTCACCAAACCTCATCTGAAGGTTGGGGTTCCAGGTCTGGGAGTTCTTGCAGTGTCAACACTGGGGCAATTGCCCCTTATTGGTGCCAGTGTCACATAGGCCTTGGAGTTTCCCATTCATATCCACCTCAGGGCTTTTCATGGGCAGGGCTGGACACACCTATCCACCACGCTGTCCCTCAGGCCTGGGGCTGGAGCTGCGGCCCCTCCACGGAGGCTCTGTGAATAAGGGCGACCCATTCTGTCCTACATCAGCTTCACATGTGTCACTCTGCAATGGCCTCTGCATTGAAAAATTCCTCCCCAGAAGGAGGCCCAGCTTCTGATGGCTTTGGAAAGTGATGATGGTTAATTTCACGTGTCAACTTGACTGGGCTAAGGGATGCCCCCATAGCTGGTAAAACATGATTTCTTGGTGTGTTTGTGAGGGCATTTCTGGAAGAGATTGGCATTTGGATTGGTAGACTGAGTGAAGAAGAGCCCCCCTCGCCAATATCGGCGGGCATCATCCAATCCTTCAAGGACCTAAATGGCACAGAAGAGGTGGAGGAAGGACAGATTTGCTCTCTGCCTGAGCTGGGACATCCATCTCCTCCTGCCTAGGACATAGCCACTCCTGGTTCTCCGGCTGGCGGCTGGCAGATCAAAGAACTTCTCCGCCTCCACAATCATGGGAGCCAATCCTCACAAATCTCTTTCTGTAGATCCATGTCTGTCCTATTGATTCTGTGTCAATAGGATACCCCGACTTATGTGGCCCCTTAGCACATTTCACCTCAGAGATGCTCGCAGGCCCAGGCAAGCAGTGGTGACTGCCCTCGAGGCCTCTCCCAGGACTCCTAGCTGGAAAAGGGGTCTGCGGGGCTTTGTTCTGGGCTGTGTGCTGTATCGACTTTTCCAGGACCACTCCCAGACTCCAGCCACTGTATGTGACTGTGCACAGCCCCACTCTAGGAGGCGCCCTTCTTATTGCATACCCTTGGCAATGTGAGGAGTGGCCCCTGGAGGAGTGCAGGCCACAGAGTGTGTGGCTGTACAGGGCAGCCCTGCTTCAACCTGCCCATTGTTACCTCCCATTTCCCCCAAGGCTGCTCTGGCCTAGAGTCCGAGCTGTGTGGTCAGAAATCTTTGACTCCTTCCTCTTCCTCATCCTCCATAGCCAATCAGTGTTCAAGTCCATTCAAGACTTTCCTCCTAACTCCCCCACACCCCACCCACATTAGTCGCTTCCTTTGATTTCCACTTCTCCAGGCGCCATCCATACCTCTCAGGCTCACACCTGGTTGGCTGCAGGGGCATCTGACCTAGCCGTCCTTCCTCCAGTCTCATGCCCGCCATCCATTCATCGTCCAGCATACACTTACCAAGCACCTATTCTGTGTTGGGCACCCCATCAGGCACTGGGCATGCAAAGAAATAGGACAACTGGGCACGGGGGCTCATACCTGTAATCCCAGCACTTTGGGAGGCCAAGGCAGGCAGATCATAAGGTCAGGAGATCGAGACCATGGTGGCCAACATGGTGAAACCCCGTCTCTACTAAAAATACAAAAATTAGCTGGGCGTGGTGGTATGTGCCTGTAATCCCAGCTACTTGGGAGGCTGAGGCAGGAGAATTGCTTGAACCAGGGAGTCGGAGATGGTGGTGAGCCGAGATCACGCCACTGCAGTCCAGTCTAACAACAGAGTGAGACTCTGCCTCAAAAAAAAGAAAAGAAAAGAAAGAAAGAAAGAAATAGGACAGACACACCCACACAATTCTATCTTCCAAGTATTCCCTTTCTACATCTGCATACATACCTTCTAAGAAGGTTTTTAAGTTTTCATTCTCAGCCTTTAGGACTTTTGTTAGGCTGAGCAGGGTGAGGCCCAGAGAAATGAATTGGAAGGAGCCAGGAAAACAAAAACAAAAAAAACTAACAAGCCTGGAGAGGCCAGGTTGCTTGAGACTGGAAAAGGCAGAACAAGTTTGAACCAGGAAGGAGAGAAAAGAGTTAGCAAGTGCTCACTGTCATGGCAAGTGCTTTGGGAGTTGAGGGAGGAAAACCGTGGAGAACAGGGACAGCTGTCCCGCAGTGATAAGTAGGGCTTTCATGAGGTAGCTGTTTTAGAAATTCCATCTTTTCAAAAAACTTCAGTAGAGATATATTTTTAAAAAATGACATCAGACTGATGTTTTAAAAAAATGTGGCCCAGTGCTTACACAGGCCACGACATGACCCAGGTTATAGAGGAATAAGGCATGGCTCTTTGTTAAGAGCACAGTCTAGTTGGCAGAGACAGCTATATTAAGAAAATAATTTCAATCCACTCTACTCAGACTTCACTCTCTTTCCATCATTAAGATCCCTCTTTGCAAAGCCTCCCACGGCTTACCATTACCTGTAGGAGAGAGTCCCACATGCTTGGCCCTGTGATGAATCATCCACTCACTCAGCCAGATACCTTGTCTATTCCCTGAAATCCACTGACTCGCCACGTGCTACTTCCTTCAGGGTTCTGAGCCTCAGGTGTGCATCTCAAAAAGGGACATACTACCTGTTTATTGTATCTGAAATTAAATATACAGAGAGATACATGAATATAGTCTATACCAGTGATTGGCACAGAGGAGGTTCTCAATAAAAAACCTTCAACTTCAAAATAAAAGCAAACCTTCTAAGCACCTGCCATGTGCTAGAGAGCCTGCTCTGCAAATGGCTTGGACACCCAGGTGGGACCAGGCCTGTCCAAGTATAAAAACTCTCCACAGCTCAACCCCCACGGGCCTTCCTCTCATTTCATTCCCCCCTTCCTATTCTGATCCTGCTAAATTACCCCAAGCAGATACGAGTTTTACAAATCCTTAGACGTGCAAAAATGGGAGTTCGTCTTCCCATAACCCAACAGAACTTTGCTCTTATCCTCGTTGCTGTGCTAAGAGTTGTTTCGTCATAACTTTAATGATTTCCTTCTTTCCCACCAGCTGGTAGAACTTTCACTCCTCTCCTTTCTTAGAGATGGGGAAAGACTGCTCTTCCAGCATCACCCCTCACTCACTCTACCACCCCCGATTTTGCTTACTCCATGGTTTACGGCAAGGGCTGGCAAACGTTTTCTATAAAGGGCCAGACAGTAAATATTTTTGGTTTCGTAGAACATTCTGTCTTTGGGGCAACTACTGAACTGTGCCGTTGTGGCCGGAAAGCGGCCTATACAATATGTAAATAAATGGGTGTTGCTGTTTCCATAAACCTTTATCTACAAAACAGGTAGCAGGCCCTAGTTTGCTGACCCCTGGTTTATGGTATAAGCACTATGATCTCAGTCTTGGAGACTTTAGCTTTTGATACTTACAGCCAAGCTTTTAAAACCCACAAGACCCTTTTCTACCTCAAGCCTTGGTCCCTGCATTTGTAAATCACAGCTTTTATTAGTTATTAGTTATTGCTTCTCTGATAGAGATTTATGAAAGTCTCCTTAACAGACAGGGGCCAAGAATCTGACTCTTCGTTCTTTAAGTATCTACTCTTGCCCCTAAACCTGCTGAGTGGTAGCAGGAGGGTCCCTGGTGTAGCCCTAATAGGTCTGTTTCCCAATGCACACAGCAAGTCAACATGCCAAAAAACCACGTTGCAGCAGAGAAAGGAGTTTAATCATACAGTCACCTAACGAGGTTATGGGAGGAGACCTCAAATCCATCTCCTCAACAAAGTTGGGTTTAGAGTTTTTAAGGGTTTTGGAGTGGGCCAAAGTATGCAAATCATTGATTGGTCAAAGAGTGCAGGGTCAAAGAGTGCAGGGACAGGAAGACGAAGAAGCTGTATTCTCAGGCTGATCCTGTTCCTCTGTTGGGGTCTCCAAACTGGTTGCTGGAATTCAGAGTCTGAAAAACATCTTAAGTGATCCTTAAACAAAAATCTTCTGGTTCTAATGTCAGAGATGCTGTCTGTAGGAACAATGAGGATGCAAGTCAATTCTTAAACACATCATTAGAAATGCAAAAATGGAACTTCACTCTCCTATAACTGAACACAACTTTGCTGTTATCCTCATTCAAGTCAGAAATCCTATCTACAGGAACAACAGGAATGCAGATGGTTAGTATCTGGGGCTATATGACTTTCAGCAGTAAGGAAGTGGGCCAGAGTGCAGCCAGATTAATGCTTAATTACAGCTATATTTCTGTGCAGAGCCCAGCATGAATTCTCATCGACACTGTAGGGGTGGTTTCTCTGGGAAATAACAATTTTTGTTCTCTCAAGTCTTATTCCACTACAGCAGTGGTTCTAAAAGAGTGATTCCCAGGCCAGCAGCACCAGGTCCCCAGAGAGCGTGTTAGAAATGCAGATTCTTGGCCCTTACTCCAGATCTATGGGATGGAAAACTCGGGGTGGAGCCAGCAGTCCTGATGTGGGATTCCCACACCTGCTGAAGGTTGAGAGCCCTGCGCCGAAACCTCACATCTTGCATCCTCTTTTCCTTGCCCTCATATTTTGGCCATGCTTTTTCCTCCATTCCAAATGCTTCTCATGGGTCTCTTCCATCCTCCAAAACCTTCTGACTCTAAAACTCAGCTGAGAATTGTGTGCTACCTTGAGACAGCCCCACGTGATCGCCATCGTTAATTACCTCCTTTCCTGTTAACTTTTTGCATGTTAAGGTTTTGCCTCTGTAATAGGCCAGAAAGCATTTTCCAACAAAGAATCGGGCCTTCAATGTTTTTGCGCTGCTCACATCAACTAGCAAACTTCCTGTCTCAGATCATTTTCCTAGAAGGGATTCTAAGAAAGGTCCTCAGAGCCTGTGACCTTCTGAGCCAGTCCCCTACGGGAATCCTTGTGAGGGAGCAGGAGAGGCAGAGAACAGGGAAGGGGGAAATGTGAGCAGGGAAGTGGCTCCGTCAATGCTAGAATTGAAATTTTTTATTTTTTGTTTTGTAGAGAAGGTAGTTGGCAGGGCTCTCACTTTGTTTCCCAGGCTGGTCTTGAATGCCTGGCCTCAAGTGATCCTCTTGCCTCGGCCTCCCAAAGTAGCTTTGATTTTGAGGAGCATAAACCACACCCCGTGTGAGGCAAGGGGCTGGCATTCTGTTCTTCCTGTCAGCCACTCGTGGGCTGTGAGCCACCCTGAGGAGTGCCACTTTTTGGGGAAGGGTTGCCCATCAGCTGAGGCTCTCCTCCCCAGAGGACAGCAGCTGAGAGCCATCTGCAGCCACCACAGCAGAGCAGCAGTGGGATAGGCACCCCGACCCCAGAAAGAGGATCTGGGCAGGGCTCTAGCACCATCTCTGTCTTATACAAAGCAGGTGTTCAATAAATATTTGGTAATTAATTGATTCCTTCTACCCTCTCATTCCCTGTCTATATAAGTTAATTCTACCATAAGAGTACTGTGTCAATGAGCACTCTAGCCCTCACAACGCATTTTATAGGCACACTCTGTGGAAGAAATACCAAGTTCACTTTGCGAACTGGAATAGGAGCAGCCTGGAGAATTCATGCCTCACTGTCTATGGGGGTGAGTATGGACATGCAGGTATAGAAAGAGAAAATGCACCATCTGGAACCATTGAGAAGCAGGAGGAAAAGTTACAGCCGCAAGCACCACAACCGTCTGTGAACAGATACAATTTTGTGTTTCATCTGGAGTGTGAGTCATTTCCCACTTTCTTCTCCTCATCCTCCCTAAAGTCCAAGTCAACCAAGGAGGAGCTCCAGATGGCTCACCCACAATTAGGTCTTCTTTGATTGTTCTAGGAGGATTAATTAGTCACCACCATGAGTATAAAGACCAAATCAAGAGGCAATATGGCAGAGGGAGAGAGAGGGAGGGAGAGACCTGCCTGCTGCTGAGGCGAGCACAGAAGGGCCTGTGGATTACACAGATGGTGTGTCATTCAAACTCTCTTTTGGAGAATGCCAACGTAGGGATGGGCCAGGTGTGTTAAACAGTCCTATTCAATGATTCATAGTCCTGGCTACACCCTAGAATCACCTGGGGAACTTTAAAAAATACTGATGCCCAGGCCCTGCCCTGAGATTCTGGTATAAGTGGTGCATTGGAGCCTGGGGATGAATATTTCCTTTTTAAAAGCTCCCTGGCTGGATCAATGTGCACTTAGTGAAGAACAATGTTGCAGTGCTTGCAATTTATTTGAACTGCGGTCAGTTTATTGCATTTCCCAAAGTATTTGTCATCTATCTGCCCAGTCCTGTGTTTGGCACTACAGAGAAAACAAAGCAATGGAAACCAGAAATAGCAAAGGATGTGGAGGAGTCCAAAGGTTTGGGTTCAAAGTCCAAGTCTGCCATTTTCCTGCTGTGTGACTTTGGGGAAGCCAAGTCCTTGAGGGGGTGGCATGATTGTGAGGTTGAAAGAGAACAGGACTAGGGCCAAGGGCTCTAATCCTTCCACCTTTGCGGTTAACTCGTGGTGTCACTTCAAAGCCAGTCACACCACCTCTCTAGACTTCTGTTTTTCTGTGGATAAAAGGAAAGAATGAGACTAGGTCAGTGGTTTCCAGATTTGGGTTTGAGAGACAGAACCTTCATGGTGCAGGTGTTTCTTGGTTGAAGGGTGGGAGGGCAATGAGACCCATCTTAGGGACTCCTGCTTCTCCTTCCAGGAAATCCCTGCTGTTACTCGAGGGGAACTATTTGAAACCCATTGGACTAGAAGATGTGCTCCCAGGCCCCTTGCTGTGAAGTCCTGTGGTCTTGTCTCTCACTTGCTCTGGACAAACACCCTGAGCAGTACTTTCTGCACTTAGGTACTTATGAATACTTTCACATGATGAGCGGGAATGGGTCCTGGAGCTTGTCCACTGGGCACATTTTCCTTCTAAGTGCATTGCTACTTCCTCCTCCCTGACTTCCTCTTGCATCCTATTATTGATTAGTTCGACTTGGCAAGTTTGTCGTAATTTCCAATTCTCTCTGCCAAGTTCCTCATTCCTTGAAGGATGAGCTGGCTTTGAAGACAATGATGCATATGTTCACTGTGGATTCTAGAAAAGGGGGGACTTCCCAGAATATGTGTTTCTGTGATTTCCATGACACTTCTCTACCAAGGGCCGTGGGCCGCCTCCCTCAGCTCTGATCTGGGAGAGCAATATCTATTCCTATAGTCAAGCTTGCTCCAGACTGCATTAAAGAAGGAGGAGACAGGGTGTTTCCTAATCGATGATGCCCCTATTAAAATTGTATATGTTGCAAGCTGTTACAGGGCCTGAATCAGAACCAGGAGACTATGGCCACAGGGGGCCATCAGAGTTGTTTTCAACCCCTCCGTGCCAGTTTAAGTCTTCTGCGAAGCAGATACCAAAATGGGATTAGATGTTCCAGAGACATATGGAGGGAAGTGCCCATCAAGGATGCAGGGGAGGAATTGGGAGGAGGCAGGGAGAGGCTTCTGGCCGCAGTGCAGATCTGACATCTGTGAATGGTGATTAGGAAGGGGAGTATAGGACAGGAAGAATCTCAGAATTCAGGGCCATTCTGAGGGAGCCTCCGCAGACAACTAGGAATCCCCAGGCAAAGGCTGCCCACCTCGAACAGAAACACCCAGCTCGCAGTCTCTGTCCTGTCAGTTGTGGCTGGGAGCAGCCCTGGGGGAGCATCATCTCGGTGTGAACGTGCATGGTGGGACAAAGGCACACAGCTGGAGGCTGGCAGAAGGTTGGAGGGGAGCACCTCCTTCCCCGCCACACCTCTGCTCTCAGTTCAGCTGGTGTAGATTTCACCAGGTGGCCCCAAAGAAATCACAGCACCCTTGTCTTGGCTGATACAGCCTCTGCTGGAAGGTGGCCCACTGGCTGGCTCTGTGTAACTGGAGATGGCAGTGTCCTAGGGGACAGTATTTGAAGACCTGGAAGCACTCAATCTCTTTGGAATATCCACCTTCACTAGACCTGCTATCGGACATGTAAGCCACTTCACAAGTTAAGGCCCTTTTGCAGACACAAGGATAGTAGCCTTCACATTAAAGAGCACGCTTCAGCTGAAGTCCATCAAAAATCAATTGGACCATGCTAGCAGCTCTGGAAGAAGCCTGGGAGGGTCTAAATTTCTCCCACTGACAGATGGGAAAATTGAGGCTCAGAGAGGCTGAAGTGACTGACCCTGAGTCACAGACTCAGTAGATGATGGAGGGAGAGAGAGAGATTAAGAGCCAAGGTCTGACCTCCCTCATTCACTCAACACGAGCATGTGGTACTTCAGTTTTCAAGCATTGAGGATGCAGCTGTGTCTGTTGACAGACAAAATCCCTGCCTTCAGGAAGCTTACACGGCTGTTGGGGGAGAGAAGTGATAAATGTATAAACATAATAATTTCAGATCGTGGCAAGTGCAATGAAGAAAACGAGATAGAGCAATAGGACAGGAGAGGGAGAGGAAGAGGAAGAGAAAAAAGCCCCCAAGAGTGGTCAGGGGAGGCTTCTCTGGGATGTGGATTTGATCTGAGTCATGAGTGAGGAGAACGTGCAAGCCCCTGAAAGATCTGGGAGCAAGGCCGGGCTTGGTGGCTCATGCCTCTAATGCCAGCACTTTGGGAGGCCGAAGCAGGAAGATCACTTGAGCTCAAGAGTTTGAGACCAGCCTGGGCAGCATGGTGAGACCCCATCTCTTCAAAAAAATACAAAAACTAGCCAGGTGTGGTGGCACATGCCTGTAGTCCCAGCTTCTCAGGAGGCTGAAGGGGGAGCCCAGGAGGTTGAGGCTGCAGTGAGCTGGTGAGCTGAGATCAACGCCACTGCACTCCAGCCTGGGCAACAGAGAGACCCTGTCTCAAAAAAAAAAAAAAAAAAAAAAAAAGAAAGAAAGAAAAAAAAGACCTGAGAGCAGAGCAGGGTGGATGGGAAGGACCAAGGCCCTGTGGCAGGAATGGGCTGAGCTTAGGGCTCAAGCCGGAGGGTGGACACCCCTGAGAACAGGGCCAGGAAACTGGTTGGAGAATTGCAGGGGTTTTGTAGGTCCTCTAGTGAGTTTGGATTTTTATTCTGATTTCTATGGAAGCCAATCCATGAGAAGGGCTGGAATGGCATTGAGAGGTTAATGAGATGGGGAATGAACTCCTGGAGGGACGAAGCCCACCAGCTGTCATGTCACAGTCTCCATGAGCTTCTGCACTGGGGGCAGGAACCCATCTTCTAGAGCTGCTTTCAGAGACAAAGATGGTCCTAAACCCACATGGTGAGGCAGGTGGGTGGCTTCGACCTGGGGACTCATTCCTGCAGAAAGGAGAGCAGGGAGGAGCACTGCCACTGCCTCCTTCCTCCCCTCCCCAACCCCCACCCCCAGCCCCCTTCTCCAGAGCGCTCACCCTCAGAATCTTGGTTCCTAACCTTGGCTCCATGGGGATCATTTGGGGAGCTTCATCTCTTTTTATTTATTTATGTATTTATTTTGGGACAGGGTCCCGCTCTGTCACCCAGGCTGGGGTGCAGTGGCAAGATCTCAGCTCACTACAACCTCCACCTCACGGGTTCAAGTGATTCTCCACAAAGGAAATTGCGGTTTTTGTAATTACTTTTAATTGCAAAAGTAGGTGATTCCGATGCATGCCAAAGTTTGAGGACCACTGTTCTAAATAAACTTTGAACAGACATTTAGTAATATTGGTTTGAAAGGTCAGCAATCATTAGCCTCCTTGGGATGCCCATGTGTCTTCCCACTTGAGGCATGTTATGTCCATCCATGAATAATGACTTCCTGGGCACTTACTTGAGTTCCTGGTGCTATTCTAACTGCTTCGCATGTATTATCTTTCATAACAATCCTATGAGGTAGGAACCATTATTGTTGCTACTATTATTCCCATCCCTAGCCAGGATTCAAGCCCAGGCAGTCTGGCACTAGAGCCTGGCACATAATCTTGCCCTTCTAGTTGGCACAAAATCTCAGTGACCGTTTAGCTCATTGGCTGGCACAGTGTCGAGTAAATGCTCATTAATTCCGAATATGAACAGATATGGGTTGGGAAGGAGAATTCTTAGGGCATGGAATTTGCAGGGAATAGGGAGTGTCAGGGGTGGGGTGGGAGGCCGCAGGGGAAAGGAAAGAAGAGAAGAGAGAGCCAGGAGGCACTGTGGGTTTAGCAGGTGCCTGCAAGAGGACCCTGCAAGAAGGAAAGAGGGGAAGTCACTCATTGCCAAGTCAGTCATGAGCCCTACCTGTCCTGGGGCCACGTCAATTTACCAGCCAGAAAGGAGGCCAACATCAAGCCAGGGCCTCTGCTGTGCTTTGGGAACATCCAGAATGAGGGAGTGCAGGTTCGATTCCTCAAGGCCCTCATCTTCCCTCTCCTGCAACAGTCCCATCTCGGCCACTTCCGAAGGCATCTCCAGCCCCGCGTATCCTGTCTATACAGGGAATGCATAACTGAGATGAGTAGCCAAGAATTTTGAGCCACAAACCTTCATTTTGCCAGCATATTCAGGAAGCTCTACAGACTGGGCTTCAGACAGTGGAATTAAGGAAATTAGGAAGATGGAGCCCTGTCCTTAAGGAGCTTGCAGTCTAGTGGGGAAGACAGATAAACACACACAAAGTCAAGAGAATAAGAACTTGAAAGGGGTGCAAACAAAACCTCGCTTGAGTTCTAGCACTCTGGAAGAAAAAAAAAAAAAGTCTTGAAGCCACCAAGGAAGGAATAGTGAAAAGCTTCAGAAGAAAAGTAATATATGAACAGAGCCTTCAAGGGCAAGTAAGAGTTTCTCAGGCCAACTATGTAGTAGGAAGGGTATTCCAGGCAGAAGGAACAGCATAGGCTAAGGCATAGAGTGAAGAAAGTTAAAGAAATGTTGGCCGGGTGCGGTGGCTCACACTTGTAATCACAGCACTTTGGGAGGCTGAGGCAGGAGGATTGCTTGAGCCCAGGAGTTTGAGACCAGCCTGGGCAACATAGTGAGACTCTGTCTCTATAAAAAATAAATAAATAAAAGAAAGTTTAAGAAATGTTAAGGAGAAACAACGATTGGTTTTGTGGCTGAAGCAAAAGATGGGTGCACAGAGAAGACAGAGGAAGGCAAAAGAGCCAGTAGGAGATGTAGGGAGGAAAAGTAGGGTCCTATGAGCTGTATCTTCGATGGCAGGTAAAAACCCACTGTAGTTGGCTTAAACTAAAAAGAAGAATTTGCTATAAAGAAATAGGAAATCTCTCAGAGCCCAAAGACAGAGATACACTGGGATGCCAGGAAGTATTAAAAATTGAAAGCATCAGGCCAGGGTGAGCCCAGGCAGTGTTCACGCTCCATCTTTTTACCTGCTTCTCTCTGCAGACAGGACTCTATTCTCTTCTCTCTCTGTCCACAGGGGAATTCTGCACAATCCAGTCCACATGACAGACACATGACCTGCTCATAGCTCTAGGGTTTACATGATACAGATTGAGACACGTGGAGAAAATAATTCTGTGATTCCAATTCCAATCCTTGGGGAGGGATCTCTGAGTGGTACAGCTCAGGTCCTATAACTGCTCCTCATCCAGTCAGCTATGGCTAAGAGGCGAGGTCACATTTTGCAAATATGATACCTGGTAGTCCTACCCTGGAGGGTAAAGGGAACAGTTCCCAAAGGAAGCGGGGATCTGTAACACATAGACTGAGTGGGTACCCTAGAAATTCTCAACCATAGCCTCATAAGCCACGGTAGGGAATTTAGACTTTATCAGATAAGCAATTGGAGGTACTGGAAGGCATGACAAGATGGAATTTGTCTTTAGAACTGTTGTAGACAATGTAAAGGATGTATTACGAAGAGAGCATGAAGGCTAGGAGGCCACTTGGGAAAGTGCTGAAATAACCAGGCCACGGAACGATGAGACTCAAATAGGACAAAGGCAGTGAGAGTGGAGAGGCATTTTAAGGATGGAAATAAGGCCTTGGTGATGGTTGAAAGTGGGGGCTGAGGATGAAAGAGCTGAATGGCTCCTTGTTTCCTGCTGATGTGACAGGGGACAGTGATGCTGCTAAGTGGAATAGTGGCTACAGAAAGGGGGAGAATTGGGGAGGGGGCACAGAACATACGTAGTACGTGGGAAAGTGAGGCTAGCTTAGACCATGCTGAACTGGAGAGGTGACCAGATGGAGAAACTGATGGATCCCATCTGCTGTTGCTTTCCTCAGACCCCTTGACACAAGCTCCATTACCAATAAAGGGGAATTGGGTGGCATTATAAAATTCTTCTCATCTTATTGGTTGAGAATTGAGAAATCAGGAAGAAGCCAAGTCTAGAAGACAGAGTGGGGGTTTTGGAGTCAGCCAGACAGTGTGTGTGCCAGTCAGCTGTGTGACCTTGAGAAAATTACTCAACCTCTCTGAGTCTCAATTTTCCCAAAGGTGAAATGGTATCCTAGGCTAACCTTATAGAATATTATGGAGGTGAAGTGTGGTAATATTTGTAGTGTCCTTACAATATAAAGAAGCTCTCAGTAAGTGGTCACTGGGATTATTAGTTTTTTTTCCCCGAGAAATGCTGCATTCATAGTCTTGGGTCTGAAGCTGGGTTTCCCTGACAAATTTATCTACTCCCTGAGCTCCTTCTAAAATGATTACTCCACCAACTTATTACTTAACTGAGTTCTTCTCTACCATAGCAATAGAATCCTAAATTAATTCAAAATTTGAGTCTGGACCAGCAATCAACTGACTCTGAACTGACAAGTTTGACTATGTAGTGGATCAAATCATTGGGGAAGATAATAACAGCCTCTGTTGGCTGTTTACTGTATATTGGGCACTGTTCTGAGGGCTTGACAAAGTATTTACTCAAAAAAATTCTCACACATAACCCTACAAAGTCAGTACCATTATTCTCATCCCATTTTATAGATGAGGAAACTGAGGCCCAGAGATGTGAAATAACCTACGAAGATTGTACAGCTAGGAGGCTATAGAGCCAGGATTTGCATCCAGGCAGTCTGCCCCAGAGCCCACAATCTCATCCAGTCATACATACTACATAATTCACTCTTATTTTTCATTGTTCCCCCAGAGAACATCTCATTGTTCCACAGAACATTTATTCTCAAGCCTGTCTCAACCCAACATGAGGTATTTTGAAAATAATTTATTTGGAACTGATTTTCTCTTCAAAATAAATTGAGAGCAATTAGCTATTTCACCCAGCCTCACTTGCATTCAAATATTCTCTTTAAGAAGGGAAGTAGGCCAGGCATGGTGGCTTATGCCTGTAATCCCAGCACTTTGGGAGGCCGAGGCAGGTGGATCATTTGAGGTCAGGAGTTCAAGACTAGCCTGGACAACATGGTGAAACCCCATCTCTACTAAGAATACAAAAAAATTGGCCGGGCATGGTGGCTTGTGCCTGTAGTCCCAGTTACTTGGGAGGCTGAGGCAGGAGGATTGCTTGAACCCAGGAGGTGGAGGTTGCAGTGAGCCAAGATCGTGCCACTGCACTACAGCCTGGGCAACAGAGCAAGACACTGTCAAAAAAAAAAAAAAAAAAAAAAAAAAGAAGGAAAGTAACTCCTACTAAGGGAGCAGAGATAGTGTCTTCATCTGTTTGAGTTATTACAACAAGATACCTTAAACTGGGTAATTTATAAACAATAGAGATTTATTGCTCACAGTTCTGAGGCTGGGAAGTCCACTATCAAGGTCCTGGCAGATTCAGTGTAGTGAGGCCCTGCCCCTCATAGATGGTGCCTCCCAAGGTCCTCATACAGTGGTACAGTCGAAGGGGCCAAGAAGCTCCCTCAGGCCTTTTGCAAGAGCATGAATCCCACTCATGAAGCCTCCATCCTCATGACCGAATCACTTCCCTGATGCCCCTTTCCCGACACCACTGCACCGGGATTAAGGTTCAGCATATGAATTTTGGGGAGACATGCACATTCAGCCCTTAGCCGATAGTCATGGCAATTGTAAGTTGTCATGGTGCTCTACTCTCTGTCACAAGTTGAGCAGGTGGTGATGTCAAAATCTGAACATGGCCGTGAGAAGATATCCTTCAGGTAGAGGTCACTTTCCATGGTTGTCTCAGGAGACAGTTTCAGAAATGTTCATTTAAATCAAGATTTTAACTTTCAAGGACTCCCTTGAAAATCCAAAGAAAGTTACTTGACAACACATGTAGATGAGGGGGAAAAGAAGTTACTGACATTCTCCTCATAAAAATGTACAAGGTCAGGCATGGCAGCTCACACCTGTAATACTAGCATTTTGGGAGGCCAAAGCGGGAAGATTGCTTGAGCATTCAAGACCAGCCTGGGCAACATAGAGAGACCCCATTGCTATGAAAAACAATTTTTTTAATTAGCTGGGCATGGTGGCACACACCTGTGGTCTCAGCTACTCAGAAAACTGAGACAGAAGGATTGCTTGAGCCCAGGAGGTCAAGGCTGCAGTGAGCCATGTCATACCACTGCACTCCAGCCTGGGCGTCAGAGTGAGAACCTGTCTCAAAAGAAAAAACAAAGGGCGAGGTGTGGTGGCTCACATCTATAATTCCAGCATTTTGAGAGGCCAAGGCAAGAAAATTGCTTGAGCCCAAGAGTTCGAGACTAGCCTGGGAGACATAATGAGACCCTGTCTCTCTAAAAATAGTAATAATAAATATATAAGCACGGCTCTAAATAAAATCCCTGCCTCAGAAAAAGATAAATAAATAAAACCCCATGTAATTTTGGAGAGAGGCATGGATCTTCTGAAATCCATCCCTGAACCTCAAGAAGCTCTGCCATAGAAGATAGGCTGGGCAGATACTCTAATCATCCCTCCGAATTCAGTCTTGGCTTGTTAATTTGCAATGTAACTCCCTGTGAATATCCCCATAAAACTGAAATTCATTTTGCTCACTTATCATGCTCTGCCCTTGAGACACTTGTGAAATTAGCTGCAGAGAACCATTCGGATGGGCAGGCACCATTTCTCACTGGATATGGCATTATATCAGGAATTATGCCCTGCCTTCCCAGTCTGGGGTACAAAATAAAGTTGTGTTTCTTTGAAAATTCAAATCAAATGACTCTAAACGCTCTTCTTGATTATAAAGGAAGCACTGTTCTTATTATAAGGTTCTGCTCCCCTAAGTATGCTTTGAAAACCCTGAGAAATTGCTCTGTTGTCAGTAAGGAATCCCTCCAGCTGCTTTTGAAGCCCACTGCACTGCCCTCTGGGCACCTTCCATCCTGCTCAAGGCACGCAATGCCCCATGTGCCAGAGCCGGTCAGCAGCTCCATGAGGTGTTCTCTTCAAACGCCTTCGTTTGAAGAGTCACAGCTATTATTTCACCCTGTGGTGGCGATGGTGGCACGTGGGGGAATTGTTATAGTTTCCATTGACCACTTTTTCCAGCTAACACATGGCTTCATGTATTGCTCAAGTGGTCGACAGCAGGGACATTCATTGAATCAAGAGCTATAGAAATGTAACTACACATGAACTTCTCAGTTTGTATATAGCAGGGACATTCATTGAATCAAGAGCTATAGAAATGTAACTACACATGAACTTCTCAGTTTGTATATAAATTTAATGTATTTACTTATGTATTAAACCATTCAAGCGATAGATAAAGATCTGTAATAGATTTCAAGCCAGTGTACATTATGTAGATTTCCTCTAGCTCTTCCCAGCAGGACAATTCTAGCCCACAGATTAAGTAGGCAAGGGGGCATGGGTCAGGACAGGAAGTGCTGTGCAAAGAAATCTCCCTCCACCCTTCCCCCAGGGCCTGAGTTTAATTACGTGCAGTACACAAGTACCCTAGAAAATGTACCTGACTGGTTGGCTCATAGTCTCACCCTTCATTTTGAATTTATTTATTTATTTATTTATTTATTTTAAATTTATTATTATTATTTTTTTGAGACGGAGTCTCGCTCTGTCGCCCAGGCTGGAGTGCAGTGGCGCGATCTCCGCTCACTGCAAGATCCGCCTCCTGGGTTCATGCCATTCTGCTGCCTCAGCCTCCCGAGTAGCTGGGACTACAGGCGCCCACCACCGCACCCGGCTAATTTTTTGTATTTTTAGTAGAGACGGGGTTTCGCCATGTTAGCCAGGATGGTCTCGATCTCCTAACCTCGTGATCCGCCCGCCTCGGCCTCCCAAAGTGCTGGGATTACAGGCATGAGCCACCGCGCCCGGCCCATTTTGAATTTAACTGGGCAGCTATCCTCCCACGCATTCACGAGCCATTCACAGCTGAGAGATTGGAAAGCTTGATGGATTATTGGCAGAAAGACCTAGGTAGAGCTGGGAAACCATAGTAGACTCTTCTGAGTAGCCACAAAGCACTAAGTATCTGGGCAGTGAGAGATAAGAATGATGGAGAAATAAGAAAGATGAGATGTCTAAGATAAACACACTTGATTCACAATTAGGCCCAAGGCCAGCACTACCCTTCCCAGATTCACCCAAGAGGTAACTTACATAATAAATGCCTATTGCTGTATGGGTCAGATGAAACTTATTTTCCCATAGCCTAATGTCATTTAGGTCCTGCCTGATTTCTTTTTCACAATGGACCTGTGATAAATACTAAATTGCAAAGTCATTCTATTGTCCTTTGCAAAATAAACCACTCCAAAACTTAATGACTTGGAACAAAACTGTAATTACCTTGAGCAACTTTTCCTTTTTTTTTTTTTTTTTTTTTTTTGAGACAGGGTTTCACTCCCATCGCCCAGGCTGTAGTGCAATGTCGTGATCACAGCTCATTGCAGCCTCAACCTCCCAGACTCAAGTGATCCTCCCGCCTCTCAGCCTCTGGAGTACCTGGGATCGTAGGCGTGCACCATGACACTCAGCTAATTTTTAGATTTTCTGTAGACTGGACCTTGCTATGTTTCCTAGGCTGCTCTCAAACTGCTGGACTCAAGTGATCCTCCTGCTTCGGCCTCCCATTGTGCTGGGATTACAGGCATGAGCCGCCATGTCCAGGTTGAGCAACTTTTGAAGAAAGTATTTGGACTTTGCCAGGCAAAAACTGTAAACATTGAATGCAAGTCAGTAGTTTTGGTTTGCTTTTTCTCCTGCAGAGGTATGAGTTAACAATTTTGAAAGCATTCTCTGTATATTTTAGGATTAAGAAAATAAGACAATATGTCATAGATAATAGGAGCCAGGTTTTTCACCGTTAGAAAAGGAAGTTAACAAATATGAAAAGGGAGGGAGCTAGAATGAAACCTTATGGAGTTATTCCATAAGGTTATGAACTCATGGTTTGAACTAATCATTTTTAATATAGAGAGATAGATATAAAAATAGATAAAGTGTGGGTATATATGTGTGTGTGCACGTGGACACATATATATATTTACTGGGTCTGGTCACTAAGAGGGCTAAAAAGCAATGATGCTCAGTAGCAATGAGCATGCCTATCACCAAGATCTTGGTTTCTAAATACTTTCCTCACTAAAAAGAACCAAAACTCCTTAGGAAAATGATTCAAAGGCTGGGGCAAGGACAATACAAAATGAGCCTGGAACATCTTCTGCCGGAAAAGTATGTAAGTGCTCAGAGAATCATGGGAACATATGAAAAGGACTTGGGACCAGTTGGAAGAGGCTCTCAAAGGCCAAATCTGGGAATTTAAGCATCAGAATACATCATGATATTAACAGATTATAACCCACTGACTCAAATGGAAATCACTTAGTTAAAACTGTTATAACTAAGTAAGTAGGGGAAAAGGGAAATCTCTTTCTTGCAGTAGAATGCTCATTAATAAGTATAGAAGAAGTGATGAAATTAGAAAATCACCATTTGCAATTATCATGGTAGAAATTGTTTAATCAATTGAATCATCAATGGATACTAAAGCTAGTGGCTCAAAGAGTCATGAACAACAGGATCATTACACAGTCTCAAAGCATCACTCTGTAAAATACTTATTAATTACAAACAAAAAACCCATAACTTTATACTGAGTAAATTTATAAAACTGTCAGATGCCATCATAACCTAATATTTAAGTTCAATATCACCTGTAATGGGATGAATCGACATTGCTTACCTCCTGATATGATGCACTGAGAAAATACAAAATCTCTTTTGTTGTATTTCTGCCAAAAAATGTGTAACCTGAATCTAATTGTGAGAAAATACCAGATAAATTCAAGTTGAGGGACATTCTATAAACTAAGTGACCAGTACTCTTCAAAAGTGTTAATATCATGCAAAGCAAAGAAAGCCTGGGAACTGGCCCAGGTTAAATGAGGTTATACAGACATGACAAGAGAATGCAATGCATAATCCAGGATTTTCTTTTGCTAAAAAAGGTCATTTTGGGGACAATTGGCAAAATTTGAACAAGGTCTGTAGATTAGATAATAGCATTATAAAAATGTAATTTTCTGGCTTTTATAATTATACTGTGTTTATGTAAGAGAATTTTCTTGCTTTTAGGAGATACACATTGCCTTATATAGGGGTATGCAACTTACTTTTAACTTTTAACATTTGCCCTGTCCTCCTGCAATTGTTTAACATTTGGGCAATTTGGATGAAAGATGTGGGATTTTTTGGGGTGTTATTTTTATATCTTTTCTGTAAGTTTATAATTATATCAAAATAGAAAGGGCTTATAAACAACTATTTTTTTTTTTTTAAGACAGAGTCTCCCTCTGTCACTCAGGCTAGAGTACATTGGTGCCATCTTGGCTCACTGCAACCTCCCCCTGCCGGGTTCAAGCAATCCTCATGCCTCAGCCTCACAAATAGCTGGGATTACAGGTGCGCACCATTATGCTTAGCTAATTTTTGTATTTTTAGTAGAGACGGTTTCTCTGTGTCGCCCAGGCTGGTCTTGAACTCCTGTGCTCAAGTGATCTGCCCACCTTGTCTTCTCAAAGTGCTGGGATTACAGGTGTGAGCAACCGCACCCAGCCAAACAACTATTTTCTTGCTTCTTCTGTGTCAGGTTCAAGTCCAAGTTCCAGCCCATGCTGAGGTCTGAAGGAAGTGGGTGGATGAATGGCAGATAGCTGAAACAACACTCGGGGGGCTGTCAGTAGGGGAAATATGGCTTTATTCAGCAGCTCGCTCATCAGCAGCTCTTCTACACTGTCTGTTCTGTCTCGGCTGCTTGCTGCGGCTGCCCCCACGCACAGCTGTGTGGCCAGCTCTCCCTTCAGGGTCAGCAGTTTATCTCCTTCTCTCTCTGGGCATGAGCGCAAGAGCCATGTCAAGCCATGCCCAAGAGCCAAGCCAAGCCATGTCCCCCATGCACAGTGTCAGCAGGGCAGTTATACCTTTTACAGACAATAGTGGCTCCAAGGCAAGTATCAGCTTACACAAACAGGTTATACAACAAGTGGAGTATGTGCCTGCACCCTAAACTTGCTGAGTCATGCAGGCTCAGATGTCTGCCTTGTCTACTCTTAACCAAAGGTACTATGGGTCGTCTGGGGCTCAGTGGTCAGTTTTTCTTCTGTCCTTACTCATGATCTCTTGCATGTGCCATCAAATGCTGGGGCAGAAACATCCCAGAAGGCTCCATGTGCATGTCTTCTCCTGTTCTTTGGTGAAGGTGGCTGGGAGGCTGGGCTCAGCCCCGGTACTAGGACAGCAGGCCCCTCTCTCCATAGTCTTGGGGCTTCTTCCTCTCCAGGCTTCTCCACATGGCATCTCCAGCAGGGTGGCAGGACTTGTTACATGGTGGCTCAGGGTTCCTGAAAGTGCCGAAGTAGAAGTCACCAGGCCTTCTTGAATCTTAGAGCCATGAGAAGCGTGTGTTACTTCCCCTGTATTCTGTTCATTCAAAAGACCCACAGGGTCAGCCAGATTCAATGTAGGGGGAACTTTACAAAGATGTGATGATCAGGAGGTATGGCTCACGAATGGCCATTGTTTGCAGACCAGTTACAACAACAACAATCGAGGTTCAATCTGCAAAGCATAACCACTATGCGTAGTGCAGAATAAGGGGTTTGTTAAATGCCCAGGACCTCACAGAATTGTGGGAGGAACGGATGAAGAGGGGTTGATAAGGAGGGGCTGGAAGCTCTGCCAAAGCAGTGACATGGATGGGCAAGTCAGAGCTTGCGGGAAACCTGGGGAGCCAGGTACATCTGGCTGCTGGAGTGGGATGATGAGAAAGCTGGTAGGGACCAAGGGGGGGCTGTGGCCTCTGTGTGTGGGGGTGTGGCTTGGAGTTGCTGTTGGTCAGCAAGGCCAATGATCAGGAGGAAGAGGTGGTCACAGAGCCAGAGAGAGTGAGGACAAGCTGGAATCTGCCAGCATGTCTGCATTGGTCTTTCTCCGCACTGAAATCACAATGACTTTCCGAAAACATTGGTCACTGTTTCCCTTCTACCCTCCAAATCTCACACACTGTTTCTCTTTGGCTAAGTCTAAGCTGGAACCACAGGGAGAAGGGGATCGTGACAAACCTCGTTCTAGCTTAGCCAACGTAACATAGTATAAAAATGTCAAAAGAGGAAAAGAGAAAGGACCATAACTGAGGGCTTGCAACTTGGATGGAATCTGTGAGCATATTTTTTGTAGCCAGAAAAGAACCCCAATATAATAGGTCATAATTAAGAGCATTTGCTAAGTAAGCCTCATAAATATAATGAAATCATAAGCGAGAGCATCACTTTCCCACAGACTGTGTTGAACTGAACCTCCTTTGTACCAATGGTTTCCAATAAAACCTCAATGAACATGATAAAAATGGCTGAAATTTGAAGCTTAAGCCAAATTCCTTAAAAAGAGCAAAAGAGTCTCAAATTCACATTAGGAATTTATCCAAAACCATTTTCTAGCTTGACTGAGCAACAATGATGATGATAGCCAGCATTCTTATACTCCCGGGCGCTTACCAGGCACTATTCTAAGAGTGTTAATTCATTTCACCTTTGTTACAACTCTATAAAATAGGCATTATTATCTCCACTTTATACATGAGGACACTGAGGCACTGAGAGGTTAGAAGCCTGCCCAAGGTCACATACTGTTAAATATCAAAGATACGGTTTGAACCCCAGGAGTGCAGTGCTCAAGGCTGCTCCACACCGGCAGGCTGAATTGCCTGTCATACCCTGCCTTCCATATCATGGCATCCAAGGATTCGTCCATAAGAACATATGTTCCCAATAAAAGCCTTGGGCATTGTCAGATACTTTTGTTTGTAATAAACTTGTTTATTCATTCAGTCAGCCAAGATGAACTCAAAGCTTATCATCATGTACCAGATATGCTAAGCTCAGGGGTCACTACAGTGAGCAAAACCTGACCTGGTCCCCTTTCTCCTGGAGCCTACTGGCCAGTGGAAAAAGAAGTGACTCCAGTGATCTCACAAATGAGAGTGCAATTGCTGGCTGGTGTATATGTTCTAAGGTGGATGAGTCAACCATCCTCGGTTCTATTATTTTCTGCACATTGCAGCAGGAAAGTGGAAAGTGTATATTCTGGAGAACTTTTTGCTAAAACAGTTGATATGGTTTGGCTGTGTCCCCACCCAAATCTCACCTTGAATTGTAATAATCCCCATGTGTCAAGGACAGGGCCAGGTGGAGATAATTGAATCATGGGAGCGGTTTCCCTCATACTGTTCTTGTGGTAGTGAATAAGTATCACCAGATCTGATAGTTTTATAAAGGGGAGTCCCCCTGCACATGCCCTCTTGCCTGCTGCCATGTAAGACATGTCTTGCTTTCCCTTCGCCTTCCACCATGATTGTGAGGCCTCCCCAGCCATGCAGTACTGTGAGTCAATTAAACTTCTTACTTTATAAATTACCCAGTCTCAGGTACGTCTTTATTAGCAGTGTGAGAACAGACTAATATGAGGGTTCAATTCCTTCTTAATTTTTACTTAACCAGAAACACCGATTCTCTGAGCATTCCTACTCCCTGACTGCCTCTCACTCCTTCAAGTTCCTCCTGCCGGTGCCCATGGGCTGAGTTCATACTTAGCTCCCTGTGTCTGCCTTTCCTATCAGTCTTTCTCTGATTGGCGAATTTTCCCTTCTCTTCCTAATATTGCTTTTACCTGTTGGGTTTGTTTGTCTAACAGCCCTCCTCCTACCTCTGTTAAAGAAATGTAATTACAGAGAGCAAAGGGGAAATAACAGTTGGCTAATTATTAAGTAGCCTTTCCCAAGAACACTGAGAACATTTTAAAATTGCACATGGCAGGGTGCAAGAGCCCGTGACTGTAATCTCAGCACTTTGGGAGGTTGAGGTGGGAGGATCGCTTGAGGCCAGGAGTTCAAGACCAGCCTGGGCAACATAGCAAGACCTTGTCCTTGTCTCTCTAAAAAAAAAAAAAAAAAAAAAAAAAAAAATTGTCAAAAAAAATTGGCTGGGCATGGTGGTTCACCCTATAGTCCTAGCTACCAGAAGGCTGAAGCAGGAGGATACCATGAGCACAAGCAGTTGGAGGTTGCAGTGAGCTATGATCATGCCACTGAGCAAGACAGAGCAAGATCCTATCTCTAAAATAAAATAAAATAAATAATAAATTACACCCCCATTAAATCAGGTAGGCCTGGAAAATAATGAGTGGTTTTAAATCTCTTTAAGAAGGGTGTGAATGGAAAATGTACAATTTAAACCAAAACAACCTCTCTCATGATATGGTTGGAATGTCTCTTCATCCTAACGTCCTTCTAGGGACAATTGAAGCTAGCTTGACGCTAGTGCAAAGGCCCTAAACACGAGGAAAGAGATTTCACGAGTGTCTGTCGTGTTACGCAATAAAGCACAGGGCTGTTTGGGGTTATTGTTTTGCTCTAGGGGTTGCAGCTGGAAGGTGGTATGGACTGAATGTCCCCCACCAAAAAAACTCATATGTTGAAGTCTAATCCCCAGTGTGATGGTATTTGGAGGTGGCATCTCCAAACTAGGGTGGAGCCCTCATGAATGAGATTAGTACCCTTATAAAAGGAGACATGAGAGAGAGAATCTCCCTCTCCCCGATGTGAGGACACAGTGAGATGGTAGCCACCTGCCAGCCAGGAAGAGAGCCCTCACTAACAGCCAGACCATGCTGGTACCCTGATCTCAGACTTCTAGCCTCCAGAATTGTGAGGAATACATGTCATTTACACCACCCAGTGTATGATATTTTTGTTATAGCAACCTGAACAGACTAAGACAGAAGGAGTGAAAATATAAAGGAACAGAAACATAAATTTTCATAGACTTTATAAGTTGTCTGAAGTCACTATGTCTATTCATTTCACACACAGAGAATTTTTGTATTCTCAAATTTAAAACTTGAATCTCAACTCCTGAAGAATGACATGGAAGTTCCAAAACCTGCAGTAACTAATGACTCACCAGTTATAGTTGTATCCCCCCGGCTGGTGGGCAGGAGTTAGTCACTTAGTGTAAGTGGGGTTAACTGACCTCTTAGCAGTCCCCTCTCAGTATGGCTGTGTGGTTCTCAAGAATTACTCAATCCCATTGATTCATCACATCCACCCTCTGGGACAGCAGAGTGACACACTGCTGGTTACCAACACGTCAGGTTCTCCTGTCTTTCCAGCAGGGAGGATAGTGCTTCCTTGCCCCTTTGAAATTAGGTTTCTCCATCTGACTTGCTTTGACCAGTGAAATGTAAATGGAAGGGACACATTTTATGTCTGCATGGAAGCACTTAAACGTCATCTTCTCCTGTTACATGTTGATATCAAGGTGCCTTAAGACCAAACATCCCTGGAAAGCTGAAACAATCCATGGAGAACAGCTGCCCTGGAGAATTAACTGGACCCACGGTGGGCATTTTGCATGAGTGAAAGACAAATGTTAGTGGTTTATTTTTATTTTTATTTTTATTTTTTGAGGCAGAGTCTCGCTCTGTTGCTTAGGCTGGAGTGCAATGGCATGATCTTGGCTCACTGCAACCTCTGCCTTCCGAGTTCAAGCAATTCTCCTGCCTCAGCCTCCCAAGTAGCTGGGATTACAGGCACCCACCATCATGCCCGGCTAATTTTTGTATTTTTGTAGAGATGGGGTTTCACCATGTTGGCCAGGCTGGTCTCGAACTCCTCACCTCAGGTGATCCACCTGCCTCGGCCTCCCAAAGTGCTGGGATTACAGGCGTGAGCCACCGCACCCAGCCAAATGTTAGTGTTATTAAACAACTGAGATTTTGGGAGTCTTTGTTACTGCAGCATAAAATAGCCTATGCTGTCTGACACAAGCAAATATTATTACCTGATTTTAAAAATAAGGAAACTGCAGGATTGATATATGATGGCAAAAATTAAAAATTCAAAGATCTTTAAGAAGTTTGTTGTCTCCTTCCCATAACTTATGATGACATCTATCTCTTTTTTTCTTTCTTTTTCTTTTGTCTCTTTTAAACCTTCTCAGCATCCCAGCTCTGGCCAAATCTCACTTCCTCCTTCCATTGTTCCCCATGTTACTAAGTAAGGTTCTTGAGGGCAGGGACTGTGCCACTAAGTGTTGTGCACATAGCACATGCTTAAAAAAGATTAGTTTAATTGAGTCATTTCCAACAATGTCATGCTTGCATTATTTTTTTAAGATCCAAAACAGCCTATTCTATAATGATTTTTCTCTTGGAAAGTCATTTTGAGAAAAATAAAATTATTTGTGGGAGAAAACCACCATGGCACATGTACACCTATGTAACAAACCTGCACATTCTGCACATGTATTCCAGAACTTAAAGTACAATAAAATTTAAAAAAATTGTTATACATTTAAAAATTATGACTAGCAGCCAGGCACGGTGGCTCACGCCTGTAATCCCACCATTTTGGGAGGCCAAGGCGGGTGGATCACAAGGTCAAGAGATCAAGACCATCCTGGGCAACATGATGAAACCCCATCTTTACTAAAAATACAACAATTAGCTGGGCATGGTGGCATGTGCCTGTAATCCCAGCTATTCAGGAGGCTGAGATAGGAGAATCGCTTGAACCCAGGAGGTAGAGGTTGTAGTGAGCCAAGATCACGCCACTGCACTCCAGCCTGGCAACAGAGCAAGACTCTGTCAAAAAAAAAAGAAGAAAAAGAGAAAGAAAGAGAGAGAGAAAGAGAGAGAGAAAGAAAGAAAGAAAGAAAGAAAAAGAAAGAAAGAAAGAAAGAGAAAGAAAGGAAGGAAGGAAGGAAGAAAGAAAGAGGAAAGAAAAGAAAGAAAGAAGAAAGGAAGGAAGGAAGGGAAGACGGAATGAAGGGCAGAGAGAGGAAGGGAGAAGTAGTGGGGGAAGGCATTGCCTAGAGCAGAAACCCCCAGCACTCAGGGCAAGGCTGTAAGTACCCAGTTAATAATGAATGCAGCTAGTCCGCTCCTTGGGGACTACTCTGGAGCCTCTATTCCTGAGACAGTTAAATTATTGATGAAAAATATATAATGTTATGGCCTGAGCTGACAGTTGGAAGACAAGCTGACAGCACTTTAAATTTATTCTGCCCCCAGTAAAGTAGCGGCCACTCTCTGATTTTCAGAGGTGCCTGAGGCCCCAGCAAGTGACGATGCTGAAGAGGTCAGGGTTTTCGAAAGGTCCATGGCTCTCCCTGGCCAGGTCTAGAGGCAGCAGGAGACCTTGGACAGAAGGGTGGGCTTACCTGCTGATGTTCTTTCTTTATGTGTGAATCCCCAGGAATTGTGAATGGTTCCTCAAGTCTCCATGCAAACAAGCCAGCCCTGGGCACTTCCCAAGCAACACCCATTCTCCACTCTCATCTGCTCGGTCTTGCTAACTTCAGGTTGAAGCCTCTAGTAGCCTGCTAGGGCTGCCATAACAAAGTATGGCAATCTGGGTGGCTTAACCAACAGAGATCTCTGATCTCACAGTTCTGGCAGCTGGAAGTCCGAGACCAAGTAGCTGGCAGGGTTGGTTCCTCCTGAGGGCAGTGAGGGAGGACCTGTTCTACGCCTCTCTCCTAGCTGCTGGTGGTTTGATGCAATCTTTGGTGTTCGTTGGCTTGTAGATGCATCTCCGTGATCTCTGCCTCTTTATGTTCTACATGGCATCTCCCTGTGTGTGTGTTTGTGTCTCTGGGTGAAATGTTCCCTTTTTATAAGGACACAGTCATATTGAATTAGGGCCCACTCTAATAACCTCATCTTAACTTGATTATATTGCAAAGACCCTATTTCCAAATAAGGTCACATTCACAGGTACTAGGGGTTAGGACTTCAACATCTTTTGGGGGAACACAATTCAACCTTGTTACTAAACCAGGCTTTCTTTTGTCTGCACTGACTCCTGGCCCCCATCGCTAGAGAAGGCTCTGCATTCTACCTGTTTCTGGGGCCAAACCTCAGGGAAAGGAAAGGCCCAGAGAATGATTAATAGATTTCTGGAGATTTTTTTTTCCTCGCCAGAAAAAGGAGGAAATTATGTGCAACCTGCATTTCATCAAAAGAGAACTGGAAAGCTCTAGTCTCTCTCCCCACTCTGCTAAGCCTTTGCAGAACTGCCCAAGGCACTCTGTTTGCCTTTCAGAATTACTTTATCTGGCCATAAGCCCGGACCTCCCTGCTTAACTACACAACTCCAGGGGCTGGCCCAGGGGAATGGGTGAAGGGAGTGCAGCTTCATTTAGGGAACAGATTCTGGAAGGCTGAGGGCCAGGTATGGTGCTACATAGTGGAGTTGCAAAGATGAGAAGGCAGGGTCCCTACCTGTCAGAAAAAGCTGTAACAGAGGCCCACAGGCACTATGAGGGCCCAAAGGAATGAGTTCTCAAGTCTACATGGCGGCATCAGGAAGCCTTCACAGAAGAGCTAAGACTCAAAGGATATAAGGTGCCTGCCAAGTAGAAAAACAAGGAGAGGGTGTTCCAGGCAAAGGGAGCAGCAGGCACAAAGGCACAGAGGTGTGGCGGGGCCTGGGGATCCTGTCACCCAGAAGCAGTTAAGTGTTGCTGGATCCCAAGCTTAAGGTGGGAGGAGCAGAAAATGAGGTGAGTCGGGCTGAGAGGCTTGGACTGTTACTTGAGGTGCTGCAGGAGTGTACAGGAAAGGGATTCAGTGAGATCTGGGATCCACATGGTGCATCACCCAAGATTCTGCAACCAGGAAGAGGGGGTGTTGGGAATGCAGGCCTAGAAGCAGCATGGCGGGTGGAGGTCAGGGGACTGGGCAGGAGGGAAGACCTGGCACTGGACAAGTTCTTTAACCTCTCCTGGTCTCTGTTAGGATGAGGGCATAATAGAATCTGCACTTCAAGGTGTTGTGATTATGAGAAATCATGCAGATGAGATTCTGGTAAGTGGTGCCTGGCTTAGAGGAGGCCCTCAATACATAGAAGTCATGTGACTTAGTCACACTGAGATTATGCAAATTGAACCAGCTATACTTAGTAACCACCTCATCAAAACAAAGTGCAAGAAATTGCAAAGATATGGAACCAACCTAAGTGTGCCCATCTACCAACAAGTGGATAAAGAAAATGTGATATATATACACCATGGAATACTACTCAGCCATAAAAAGAAACAAAATAATGTACTTTGCAGCAACTCAGATGGAGCTGGAGGCAATTATTCTTTTTCTTTTCTTTTTCTTTCTTTCTTTCTTTTTTTTTTTTTTTGAGACAGAGTCTTGCTCTTGTCATCCAGGCTGGAGGGCAATGGCACAAACTCAGCTCACTGCAACATCCACTTCCCGGGCTCATATGATTCTCCTGCCTCAGCCTCCCAAGTAGCTGGGATTACAGGCACCCACCACCATGCGCAGCTAATTTTTGTATTTTTAGAAGAGATGGGGTTTCGCCATGTTGGCAAGGCTAGTCTCGAACTCCTGACCTCGTGATCCGCCTGCCTTGGCCTCCCAAAGTGCTGAGATTACAGGCATGAGCCAGCACGCCCAGCCTGGAGGCCATTATTCTAAGAAGGTAACTCAGAAATGAAAAACGAAATACTGTTATGTTCTCACTTATAAGTAGGAGTTAAGCTATAAAGACTCAAAGACATACAGAGCGATACAATGGACTTTGGGGACTGATGAAGGGGAAGTTGGGAAGAGGGTGAGTGATAAAAGACTACATTTTGGGTACAATGTACACTGCTCAGGTGACAAGTGCACTAAAATCTCAGAATATACCACTAAAGAACTCATCCATGTAACCAAAACCACGTGCACCCCAAAAACTATTGAAATAAAAATATAAAATATTTTTAAAAGTTCAAAAGAAGAAAAGGGTTTCATTTTACTTATTGTGGTGCATTAAAGATGACTGCAAATTCTTTGACACTCCTCCCAGAGATAGGTGGGCTTTGAGTCACTTTCCCTTGATTTTAGAAGGCTTTGTGACTACTTTGACCAATAGAATACAGTAAAAACGGACCTCTCCAGTGTCCAGGGCTAGGCATTAAGAAACAATCAGCTCCCACTTTCTGTCTCTTGGAACACACTCTGAAAGCCTAGGGCCACCATGGCAGAGGTCCTACTACCCTGAGGCCCCATGTTTGAGAAACCACAGATAGGAGCTCTAGCAGGCAGTCCCCACCTGCACTCAGCCTCGGAGCTGTCCCAGCCAATGCATAAGACATGTGAGTGGAGCCTCCAGACCAGCTCATTACCAGCTGAATACCACCGAGTGACCTCAGTCAATGCCACAAGGGGCAGAAGAGCCATCCATCTGAGCCCTGCCTGAACTCCCACCCCACTGAATCTGAGATATAATCAATGGTTGTATTTTATTTATTTATTTATTTATTATTTTTTTTTTTTATTGATCATTCTTGGGTGTTTCTCGCAGAGGGGGATTTGGCAGGGTCACAGGACAATAGTGGAGGGAAGGTCAGCAGATAAGTGAACAAAGGTCTCTGGTTTTCCTAGGCAGAGGACCCTGCGGCCTTCCGCAGTGTTTGTGTCCCTGGGTACTTGAGATTAGGGAGTGGTGATGACTCTTAACGAGCATGCTGCCTTCAAGCATTTGTTTAACAAAGCACATCTTGCACCACCCTTAATCCATTCAACCCTGAGTGGACACAGCACATGTTTCAGAGAGCACAGGGTTGGGGGTAAGGTCACAGATCAACAGGATCCTAAGGCAGAAGAATTTTTCTTAGTACAGAACAAAATGAAAAGTCTCCCATGTCTACCTCTTTCTACACAGACATGGCAACCATCCAATTTCTCAATCTTTTCCCCAACTTTCCCCCCTTTCTATTCCACAAAACCGCCATTGTCATCATGGCCCGTTCTCAATGAGCTGTTGAGTACACCTCCCAGACGGGGTGGTGGCCGGGCAGAGGGGCTCCTCACTTCCCAGTAGGGGCGGCCGGGCAGAGGCGCCCCTCACCTCCCCGACGGGGCGGCTGGCCGGGCGGGGGGCTGACCCCCCCACCTCCCTCCCGGATGGGGCGGCTGGCCGGGCAGAGGGGCTCCTCTCTTCCCAGTAGGGGCGGCCGGGCAGAGGCACCCCTCATCTCCCGGATGGGGCGGCTGGCCGGGTGGGGGGCTGACCCCCCCACCTCCCTCCTGGACGGGGCGGCTGGCCGGGCAGAGGGGCTCCTCACTTCCCAGTAGGGGCGGCCAGGCAGAGGCGCCCCTCACCTCCCGGACGGGGCGGCTGGCCGGGCGGGAGGCTGACCTCCCCACCTCCCTCCCGGATGGGGTGGCTGGCCGGGCCGGGGGCTGACCCCCCCACCTCCCTCCCGGATGGGGCAGCTGGCCGGGCAGAGGGGCTCCTCTCTTCCCAGTAGGGGCGGCCGGGCAGAGGCGCCCCTCACCTCCCGGATGGGGCGGCTGGCCGGGCGGGGAGCTGACCCCCCCACATCCTTCCCGGACAGGGCGGCTGGCCGGGCAGAGGGGCTCCTCACTTCCCAGTAGGGGCGGCCGGGCAGAGGCGCCCCTCACCTCCCGGACCGGGGCGGCTGGCCGGGCGGGGGGCTGACCCCCACCTCCCTCCCAGACGGGGTGGCTGCCGGGTGGAGACGCTCCTCACTTCCCAGACGGAGCGGCTGCCAGGCGGAGGGGCTCCTCACTTCTCAGACGGTGCGGCTGCCGGGCGGAGGGGCTCCTCACTTCTCAGACGGGGCGGCTGCCAGGCGGAGGGGCTCCTCACTTCTCAGACGGGGCGGTTGCCAGGCAGAGGGTCTCCTCACCTCTCAGACGGGGCGGCCAGGCAGAGACACTCCTCACATCCCAGACGGGGCGGCAGGGCAGAGGCGCTCCCCACATCTCAGACGATGGGCGGCCTGGCAGAGACGCCCCTCACTTCCTAGATGGGACGGCGGCCGGGCAGAGACGCTCCTCACCTTCCAGACTGGGCAGCCAGGCAGAGAGGCTCCTCACATCCCAGACGATGGGCGGCCAGGCAGAGACGCTCCTCACTTCCCAGACGGGGTGGCGGCCGGGCAGAGGCTGCAATCTCGGCACTTTGGGGGGCCAAGGCAGGCAGCTGGGAGGTGGAGGTTGTAGCGAGCCGAGATCATGCCACTGCACTCCAGCCTGGGCACCATTGAGCACTGAGTGAACGCGACTCCGTCTGCCATCCCGGCACCTCGGGAGGCCAAGGCTGGCGGATCACTCGCGGTTAGGAGCTGGAGACCAGCCCGGCCAACACAGCGAAAACCAATGGTTGTATTTTAAACCAATAAATCTAGGGCTAATTTGTTACATAGCAGCAACAATAGATAACTGGAAATATACATATTCTTCTATTCTCACAACAGTCTGGTGATATAGGAATTATTATTATGTCCATTTTACAGATGAGGAAACTAAGGTAAAGACAGTTGAAGTCATTTTCCTAAGTCACACAGCTGGAAAGCAGTGGAGCCAAGCTCCAGCCCTGAGTTCACATCTCCATGCTGAGAAGTCCTTGGTCTTCTTGCCATACCAGGGCATGTCTATTCCTTCCCTACTTTTACCCAGGGTGTAAAAGGGGATAGGAAGGGAGAACAGAGACCGCCAGGCAGAGTGAAGCAAAGTAGAGTGTGCTTGTCCCTACAAGTGCAATGCTCAGTCCCTATTCCATGGCCTGGGCCACATGGAAGGTGGATGGCAGGCCTCCTACATGGGCTGACAATGTTGGTAACAGCCTCCCTAGGGAAACAGGTAGACTCTCTTGCCCCACTTACCAACCTCAGTGCCTGTCAGAGTAGCATCAATACACCATAATTCTTGTGTTGAAGCACTTTAAGTGACAAGGACAAAGCAGATGCCCTTGGAAGGGACCTGGTTTGAGGTGAGATGGTGACCAGTGGTCCCCCAGAGGCCATTAGCGAACCACTGGAAGTGAGCCAGGTCCAGAGCACACAGGATAGGCTGTCTTCTCACAAGCTTTGGTTTATTTTGTCTAATTGTTTCATCTTCACTACAACTCTATTTTAAAGTAAATATCATTATTTCCAATAATGATAATGGAGAAATAGAATCTCGGAAAGGAAAAAAATAATCTGCCAAGTAATCATTTGGCATTGGATCCCAACCCAAGTCTTCTGACTCCATATAGGGGGGAGGTGTCACAAAACAGGGGATTCCAAAAGAGTGTCACTTGGTTTATGGAGTTGTCGAAGGCAGTCCTGAAATAGTCAAGGATGCTGTAGGCTCTGCTGCTTGGTCTCAATTTACCTGTCTTCACTCCTGAAAAGATTCATTCCTTATGTTAAAATATAGTTTAAAAACAAACCTATAAAACAGTCAACTTGTCGTTTTGGAGTCTTAGAGCGGAAAGAATGGGGCATGAACGAGGTCATAGACAATGTCATAGACTGCTGACAGTGGGAGGGGAGTATTGATTATGTTGTCAAATGGAGCACAGAGTCAAGACTCAGTCATTACGGCCTACAGCCAGGCTGGCCTGCAGTGGTACAAATGTCCCTGATGAAGGTCAGGGAAGTGGGGCTTTTTAATTCTAGCTCTGCCCAGCTAGGGGCCACTCACTACCCACTCCGGAACTCAGTTTTCTTGACCCTAGCATGAAGGTTTGGACTTAGATGATTGTAAAGATCATTCTCTGCTTTTGGGACTAGGGAATTATTTTCCCTCTCTCTGCCTGCCAGGAGGTGAACCTTTGCAATTCTCCCAAAGCAAGGGTTTAAATGGATGATCTGATCAGACCGAGCACAGTAGGAAGGCTAAAATCCGGGTTCTGGAATCTGGCAGATCCAATTCCAAATTCCAACTTGGCTGGTTATTAATGGTGTGACCTTGGGCAGCTATTTCACCTCTTCATGGTTTCAGTTACCCTACTTACTGGGAATATACATTGTTAATGTGTGTCATAGACTGAGTGTATCCCCCTCTAAAACTTGTATGTTGAAGCTTTAACATCCAATATGATTGTATTTGGAGGTAGGACCTTTGGGAGGTGATTAGGGCTAGGCAGAGTCATAAGGGTGGGGCCTCCATGGTGGGATTAGTGTCCTTATACAAAGAGGAAGAGAGACTAGAGTTTACTGTCTCTCTGCCATGTGAGAACAGTGAGAAGATGGACATCTGTAAGTCAGGAAGAGGGCCCTCAACAGCCCGTGAGTCTGCCAGCACCTTGAACTTTCCAGCCTCCAGAACTGTGAGAAATAAATGTCTGTCGTTTAAGCCACCCAGTGTACGGTTTTTTTGTTACAGCAGCCTGAGCTGTCTAATACATGCTGTGATGAGAATAAAATGAAAAAACACACACCACAGTTCTTTGCACACAGAGTCTGTTGAACAGTGAGCCCTCAATGCAGTCTCTCTATTGGTTTAATGGTCCCTCCCTTGATTTGCTCTGATGTAATCCTGATTTTTTTCCAATAACTGGAGCATTTCCTGAGAAGTGGCTGGCCTCCGTAGTTGCATTTTGTGGAGGTATTTCTTTAGGGAAGACTGTCCTTGCAATGCATTGCAAGACATTTAGCATCCCTGACCCCTCCCCTTTAATGCCAGTGCTGACTTTCTTCTTACCCCGGTCATTGTGATAACCAAAATGCCCGTTAACAGGGACAGTTCCACCTCTAGCTGAAAGCTGTAAAGATAAGAATGTCCCCTTCTGCTCTCTCCGGTCCGTGCCTCCAAGATGACAAAGAAAAGAAGGAACAATGGTCGTGCCAAAAAGGGCCGCGGCCACGTGCAGCCTATTCGCTGCACTAACTGTGCCCGATGCGTGCCCAAGGACAAGGCCATTAAGAAATTCGTCATTCGAAACATAGTGGAGGCCGCAGCAGTCAGGGACATTTCTGAAGTGAGCGTCTTCGATGCCTATGTGCTTCCCAAGCTGTATGTGAAGCTACATTACTGTGTGAGTTGTGCAATTCACAGCAAAGTAGTCAGGAATCGATCTCGTGAAGCCCGCAAGGACCGAACACCCCCACCCCGATTTAGACCTGCGGGTGCTGCCCCACGTCCCCCACCAAAGCCCATGTGAGGAGCTGAGTTCTTAAAGACTGAAGACAGGCTGTTCTCTGGAGAAAAATAAAATGGAAATTGTACTTAAAAAAAAAAAAAAAAAGAATGTCCCCTCCTTTGTTTCTACATTCCTGCAGGCCTGAGTCTCTTGGACTGACCTTTTGATGCATTGGTTGGATGGGCATTGTGATCTGCTTGGTTTCTAATGGCTGAATGAGCCACCAGAGACCTTGGTGGGCCAGGAGCTGAGGAAAGTCATTCAGTCAGACACTAAAGAAAAGATGGCAAAGACTGGGCCAAGAGTTCCCTCTGCTTTCTTGTTGCTTTCATGGAATTCATTAATTCATTCTTCTTTCATTAACCAAAACATTTGTAGTACCAATAAGCCATGAGGAAAATGCAAGTCAAAACCCCAATGAAATATCACTTCACGCCCACTTAGGAAGGCTGTAATGAAAAATACAAGTAATTACAAGTGTTGGTGAGGATGTGGAGAAATTTAAACCCTCACTCACTAATAGCGGGAATGTCAAAGGATGCAGCTGATTTGGAAAACAATCTAGCAGTAACTCATGGTAACATGGAGTTACCATATGACCCGGTAATTTTACTCCTAAGTATATACCCAAGAGAAATGAAAACATCTATCCACACAGAACCTCAGGCACAAATGTTCATAGCAGCATTATTTATAATAGCCAAAGATTGGAAACAACCCAAATGTCCATCCACGGATGAATGGATAAACTGGTACATCCATAAAATGGAATATTATTTGGCAACAAAAAGGAATGAAGTACTGATACATGCCACAACATGGATGAACCTTGACAACATTATGCTAGGTGAAAGAAGACAGTCAAAAAGATCACATATTGTATGATTCCATTTATGTCAAATATCCAGAATAGGAAAGGACAAAGACTGTAGCATTTCACTAATATGAGGCATCTAAAGTAGTCACATTCGTAGACATAGAAAGTATGTAGAATGCTGGTCACTGGGGGCTGAGAGGCGGAGGAAGGGGAGTTGTTTAATGGGTACAGAGTTTCAATTCTGCAAGATGAAGTTCTGGAGATCTGTTTCACAACAATGTGAACACAATACTGAACTGTACACTTAAAATGGTTAAGATAGTAAATTTTATGACATATGATTCTTATTACAATTTTTTTAAATGTTTAAAAAATAATTCAGAATAGGTAAATCCAAGAGGTAGGACACAGATGGGTTGCTGCCTGGGGTTGGGGGGACAAGCAATGGTCCCAGGGGATAATAGGAAGTGGCTGCTTAATGGGTTTGGGGTTTCCTTTTGGGGTAATGAAATTATTTTGAAATGAGATAGAGGTGGTGGTTGCATAAATTGTGAATGTATTAAATGTCTTGAATTGTTCACTTTAAAATGTTGAATTTTCATGTTGTATGAATTTCACCTCAATTAAAAAATAAAGATAGTGACTTTTGTGGCGCATAAAACAGTATTTATTGTAATTTGATTATAATTTGAAGATTTCTTCCCCCTTATATGGGAGCTTCAAGAAGCAGTTTGCATTTGTCAAAAATGCTGCATGCTGGAGCTGTCGTGGAGGTCTGAGTGCAGAATGATAGGATGAGCCATTCTTTTTGTTAAACCTGGTAGCTTTCTGGGTTTTCCAAAATGCTAAGATGATTTTCAACATATTAATTACTGGATTGTACCCAGAATATTTGTTTAATATATATGTTTCTAGTATTCTAGATCTCCCCCTTTTTTTGAGACAAGGTCTCTCTTTGTTGCCCAGGCTAGAGTGCAGTGGCGTGATCACAGCTCACTGAAGCCTCAACCTCCCGGCTCAAGTGATCTTCCGACCACCTCAGCCTCTTGAGTAGCTGGGACTACAGGCACACATCACCATGCCCAGCTCATTTTTGAATTTTTTGTAGAGACAGTGTCTCATTATGTTGCCAAGGCTAGTCTTGAACTCCTGGGCTCAAGTGAATCTCCTGCCTCAGCCTCCCAAGGTGGTGGGATTACAGGCATGAGCCACTGTGCCCGGCCTATATCTCATACATAGAAAAAAATCCAAATGTGAACGCTTAGAATTTGGGGATTCTACTTAAAATTCTGTAAAGAATTGTTCTCTTATTAGGAGCATACTGATTAAAGGGTAACATTTTGAGGAAAAAAACATCCCACACATTAGTGCTTTAGGGGAAAATGTGGCTAGTATAAGCAGAGAAGGAATGATGTTTGCTTCTAGACCTTGCTTGTTGCTTGTAGCATTCTTGGTGGCGATGACACATGATGGGAAATGCTTTGAGGAAGAAGAGAATGGAATGGCTGAGTCTGAATTGAGCTCAGAGGCCTGACTCAATGGTTCTGTGAGAGGTACAGGCCCGGAAGAACAGCCAGGGAGACACCTGCTGATGCGAAGCTAAGAGCTGGCAGTGCTGCCCTAGTTCCTAGAGAGACCATGTCCTTCAAGACCTTGTCCTGGATTCACTGTTTGGTCCCTGGTGCAATGTGAGGGCTCTCAGAGGTGGGACTAAAAGCCTTCAAGGATTGTCTCACCATTTTGGAGGAACTACTGCAACTCATTCATTAAGGTGGAGGTAAAAACATGGATGTAGATTATGGGCATTTCTTCATAATCTTAATAAAATACCAAATTCAGGGACAAGAGATGATGATGTCACCAGCTGGCTGATGACAGGCAAGTCACTCGTCTTTTCTATTCCCCACTGCACTTACTTGTCGGGTGAAGGACAGCCCCAGAAACACTCCCCAGCAGCTGGTTCAAATCTGTATCATTCTAACAAAATAAAAACGTATAGCAAGGTTGATCAGGTAACCTATACATTTAAAGCCTGGGCCATAAAGGCCACACAAAGGTAAGGAATTTTGAGTGGAGATTTACAACACTAGTGCACTTTATTTTCTCAATTAACACTCATCTGTGGGGCAACTAATACTTTAGCGAGTGCTGTGCTGGGTGCTGGGTGCTGGGAAGACAAGGCAAGACGTACCTGTACCCTTGCCTTGAAGGAGCTGAGAACCCAGAGAGAGAGACAGTCAAGTGAAGCGATGATGGCAGGGACAGTGGGGCAGTGGCAGGGGCTTGTGCAGGCGCAGAGGAGCCCCAGGTAGAGCTGGTGTCTCCTCATGCAGGGGCGTTCAATCTGAGTCTCAGAGGATGATACTCTAGACATGGCTTTTTTTGGCTTCAAGGAATAAACATCTCTTCAAACTAGCAAAGGTGAAAAAGAAGCTTTTACTGAGAGGACTGAGGGATCTCATGGGGCCCGAGATCAGGAAATGAGTTATGGAGCCCAGGGTCACTGAGCCGCAAAGGGACACTGAGAAGTCTAGAATCTTCTCCCTCCACAGTCGGGCCTTCCCCCTCCCCTCCCGCAGCCCCGCACTCTGTGACTGTCTGCTGTTTCAGTCTCTGTACATCAGCCCCTTCCATGCACTCATCAGCTTGTAAATGATCCCGAAACGGTGGCCATAGCCCCCAAGCCTACAATTCAGATAAACTTCTAATGCCCTTCGCTTTGTTTTTGTCTGTTTGATCACTCCCTGGCCACTTGTAGAGTTAATTCAAATTCTAGAGAGAAACAGCGCTCGGATTGATCCAGCTCAGTTCTTCAATCCAGGCCACCCAGTCACTAGTCAGCCAATGCGCATTGCCGTCTTTGGCTCAGGCGACCGTTCCCTGTCAGGCCAGCAGAGTGAGAGAGTCTAACGGGGTCCCTCTTCCAAGGGCGCGGGCCAGGCGAGTTATAGAGGAAGGTTGTTTTGCTTTGTTTTTGTTTTCTAATCTGGTGGAGAAGAGACAAAAGGAGAAATGGGAAGGAAAACAGGGGCCTCTCTGGCAAGCAAGTCGCAGGTGTGAGGCCCAGAAGCCTGAACAGTAATAGCGCATTGGAGGCACCTGAGAGGCTCAGTGACGGCGTCTTCACCCAGAGGCACTATTCAAATAGCAACTCGTGTGGCATGGGCACCGGCCACTCAGAACGGGCAGCGGCAGGGACAGCGGGATGGCAGGAAGTCCTGACCATCCGACCTGCCCTGATGTGTCATGATGTTTCCTTGTGCATGTGCATTTTTCATGAGGCGTGTGGCCATCTCTTATCAGCCTTTGTGACCTCATTTCCTCCTTTTTCAAATGAGCACTTCCAGGAGCCCAGGGGAAGGGTTGGCTTTGGAGGGTTTGGCCAGGGTTGGGGGGCACCTCCAGGCCCCTGCGGAGTGGACAGCGCAGTTGTGCCTTCCAGCTGCTGCTTAGGTCTTAGGGAAACTCATCTGCTCAAGGGGGCTTAGGGAATCTGATTTGCTTTTCCTTTTCTCAGCCTTTCTGAGCATAGGGAGAAGGAGGAAGCAGTTCGAATCCCATTGCGGGCTGCAGAGAGTTCTGGATGAGTAAGCACCAAAAACGTGGGAAGTTTCTGAAAAGGGTTTCTCAGCCAGCAGTGCTTTCACCCCTTGCTGGGCGAGTCGCTGCCGTGCAGTGCAGATGACTCATCTGGGTAACTCCCTTGACAGAAGGAGCCAGCCAAGCTGCAGCAAATGTGCGTTGGGGGGATGGGGAAGAAAGGAATGAACACAGAGCATTCCCTGTCACCAGACGCTATGCTAGACACTATGTGTATCATCTTATTAAATGATCCCAAATACCCTGTGACGATTCCATCCCAGATACTCTGGCCCCACCGCACACCTTGGGATCCACTACATGAACACTTCCTTTCCTGACGTCCCCAGGGCCCACCTATTTCACATGAAGCTCTGGATACTGTCAGAAAAAAACATCCAACACCTGGAGATAAGGCCAAGAAGGTGGCCGGCACATCCTTTCAATATCGTAGGTGGTAACAGGCCACCTTTATGAATCTCGCAGTCTAATACAATAGCCACTAGCCAAGTGTGGTTACAGAGCTCCTGACATACGCCAGTGTGAATTGAGATGTGCTGTAAGTGTATGATCTACACTGGGTTTCAAAGACTTAGTATGACAAAAATTATAATGTACCTTATTAACATTTTTAATGTTGAGTTCATGTTGAAATAGTATTTTTGATATATTGGGTTAAAGAAAACATCATTTAAATTAATTTCAGGTTAGGTGAGGTGGCTCATGCCTGTAATCCTAGCACTTTGGGAGGCCAAGGCAGGAGGATTGCTTGAGCCCAGGAGTTTGAGACCAGCCTTGGCAACATAGAGAGACCCTGTCTCTACAAACAAAAAACAAAACAAATAGCCAGGTGTGGTGGTGGAGATATTTTGCATTCTTTTTTTATAGTAAGTCTTCAAAATCTAGCACATCTCAGTTTGGACCAGCCACATTTCAACTTCTTAAGAGTCACATACAGTGAGTAGCTACCATATTGAGCAGTGCAGGTTTCGATCCTATGCTTAGAAGGATCATGACCAACAAATAAAGGCAGTTCAAGTTCTCTAGTGTTCCAGTGTGAGCTGGAAGGCAGTTGTCTCTACAAAGGGATCTTTTTCTATCCAAGGCAACCACAGGGCTGGGGATGGTAGGTGTGGAGCTGTACCTTAAAGCATATGTTAATGCTCTGGAAATCCATGTCTTTCCTTCAGACATTTCCCTCCTCTCTGTTCATAAGCTACATGACCTTGAGCAAATCACCTCCTCTCTTGGGTTCTCAGCTTCCTCATTTGCAAAATGAGAGGGTTGAACTTGAAGATGAGGCCCCTTCTGTCTTTGATGTGTCATCATTCTCTGAACCACCACTCGGGCAGCATCCTCTGGGGAGCAGCCACCCACTCTTGGGAGCTCTCAGGCACTTCCCAGAGCTGCCACCTGCTCTGAGCTACCTCTAGAGTAAGTGGTGCTCGGAGGCTGGGAAATGAATATTAAGCTGCCTACCCAACCTAAGAGTAGCTGCTCCCTTTGGAGAGGTGGGGAGATAAGACTTTGGATGTGTAGAATTCTAGGCGTACCTTTCTTTTTGGCCTACGCATGTATTTTTAAGGGGCACCTCTTGCTTCCTGGAGCTGCTGTGGTTAATCATTAGCAATAGAAGATAAAGGAAGTTTAGCAGTAGAATTATCTTCTGAGGATCCCCAAGAGACTGTGAAGGAAAGTCAAAGTCTGAGTGTAACAAAGGAAAAAGGGAAGCTACACACTAATTGCTCACTGAAGGAGCTATAACGAAGTCTTAATTTCTGTAGCTAAAAGTCACTGGAGCCTTTGATTAAACAAGGGGTTTGATGGTGAATATTTCTCTTAAATAAATCAACGAGGGGAAACCAAAGTGGATATGCCTTCCCCGACCCAAGATAATGTCTGTCCCCTGGGGACCCAACAACCAAATAACAAAAAGAGGCCTAACTGGACGGTGCCCCAGAAGTGCACCTATGGGCAGAAACTACAGGAACAAATTTCTGTCTGTAAGTGGAGGGAAACTCTGAGGGTGAGAAAGCCCTGCAAATCAATGGGCAGGAAATGCATGTCCCAGAGGTCCAGGCGGAGTCCAAATGACCACCTGGGAAAAATGGTACACGTGGTGGCTTAGAACCCTCCATCTGTGCCTCGTTGTTGAAATTACCTTACGATATTGTTTCTCTATCTCTTTTTAAAATCTGACACTGACACTGCAATCTGTTGTTAAATAATAGTTGTGCTTGAATCCTGATCAAGTGATAAGGTTCTGTGCCTTTTATTCAACTTCTGTGCATTGCCTGGGCCAGAGTAGCTACTCATTAGATGTTGAAAGAATGAATAAGCCAATCAATCAAACAAAAAACTGATGGATAAATGAATGAGTGAATTCATGAATGAATGAACATGTGATTCTTACATCAGATGGGTAGTTGGACTAGGTCATTTTCTTCAACCCTGAGGTTCAACGGTTCAGTGAAGTACGAACAGAGAGGAGTCCATGACTCCCTTCTCTGATGCTGAGGTCTGGCAGGTGACAGTCCTTTCTCCTGACCTTTCCTTCCAGCAGAACAGCCTGGAGTTCATGCAGCAGGGGTCCCTCTTCTCCTGGTGGTGACTTCTAACAGAAAGGGGCTGGGGGAGAAGCAGGGGCAGAGATGCCTTCTGTCACCTTGGAGCTTTTCCATTCAGGATGGTTCCCGTTTGTCACGTTAAGCCACAAGACTGGCCTTATATACAAGGGCCCTAGAGAGCCCTTCAGTGGTATGATTCATGAGATGCTAGGGAGAGCACAAAATATTGCCTTCTCTGCTGCCTGAAATCCCACCATTGTGGGGTGCACTGATAATTCCTTTGCATCTTGAAGGATGGGAATTTTAGGAGTTCTCTAGCATAGTACATGTAAATCTGGGAGAAGAGGCATCTTTAGCCTTCTTAGTGCTTATCAGCTTTGCCCTTAGCTTGGAAGGAACCCAGCAAGGGGTGCTGGAGACCCACTCTGCTGCCCTCCTCCCCAGGCACTGCAGGACCTGGACCCTCCCTCCCTAGAGCTTGGGGATATCAGTCACTCACCTGTAGGAACAGCCAGTGCCTTGCATGTGTTCTGGGCTCTGCTCCCGCCTGCCCCTCCATACCTATCGCCCTCTGCTTCTCCACACAAACCTTGGCTTCATCCAGACAAGCCTTCCTCATTCCACTCCCCAGGCTCTGTCCACCCCAGCTTTACCTGGCCTACCCTCCTTCCAATCCAGGCTCCAGCGCTGCTTGGCAAGCCTTGGATGTCTGATTAGGGGCCAGCCGGTTAACTTGCCTAGTTTCTTCAGTATCAAAACAGGAAGATTTGTATCAACCCTGTCGATCTCACAGGGCAGTTGTAAGAAGTAAGGAATAATCCTGATTATGAAAGTGTTGTTTTTTAATTTTATTTTATCTGTTTATTTCTTTAGAGATGTGGTCTCAATATGTTGCCCTGGATGATTTTAAGTTCCTGGCCTTAAGCAGTCCTCTCACCTCAGCCTCCCAAAGTACTGGGATTACACGCAGGAGCTACCATGCCCAGCCAATGAAAATGTTTGAAAATTTCAAAATGCTACACAAACACAGGGTTATTATAATGCTGATCCTAAAGGACCAGCAAACACAGGCACTCACGTAAACTCGGGTTTTTAATGTCTGTCCTTATTGTGTTTTAGAGGAAATTTGATCATGGGCTTGCAAACTCTTTGTAAAAGTATGGGCTACAGGTGTGATATCACTTTCTCATGCTGCATGTGTTTTAAATGTGAGACAGGAAAATATTCTTTGCTATTACACTTTTTCTCTGTATTATTATTATTTTATTTATTTATTTATTTTGAGACGGAGTCTTGCTCTGTCGCCCAGGCTGGAGTGCAGTGGTGCGATCTTGGCTCACTGCAAGCTCCGCCTCCCGGGTTCACACCATTCTCCTGCCTCAGCCTCCTGAGCAGCTGGGACCACAGGTGCCCGCCACCATACCCAGCTAATTTTTGTATTTTTAGTAGAGACGGGGTTTCACTGTGTTAGCCAGGATGGTCTTGATCTCCTGACCTCGTGATCCACCTGCCTCGGCCTCCCAAAGAGCTGGGATTACAGGTGTGAGCCACCGCACCCGGCCCCTCTCTGTATTATTTTTATAGTGAAGGTCTAATGGTCCTCTGGACATTGGTGGATAAATCGACAGTGAACTTTTTTCTTTCTTCTAGGCTAAGAGTCTTTGTAGTGACAGACACTGGATTCCGAGGAAATAGAGATGACATGAATAAGTAAGTAAGGGTTTTCTCTTTCTCTCCCTCTCTTTTTTTTTTTTTTTTGACACAACTTCTGATCTCAAGCAATCTTCTCACTTTAGCCTCCAAGTAGCTGGGACTACAGGTGCACACCACTGAGCCCAGCTTTCTCTCTCTTTTTATTCACATCTTCAACTTGGACACCTGATGAGCAACAGGCACTCAGGGCAATAGCAAAAGCCATTACCAGCCTGGCTTCTGAAGCTCTGTCTTTGGAATCCCAGCTCCTTACAAATCTCCTTCCTGTTCTAGGAGGATGTCTGATTCCAAAGCCCATTATTAGAATCCTTTTAACAGGCCAGGCACGGTGGCTCACACCTGTAATCCCAATACTTTGGGAGGCCAAGTTGGGAGGATCGCTTGAGCCCAGGAGTTTGAGAAAAGCCTGGGAAACATAGCAAGACTCAGTCTCTACTACTACTACTAATAAATTAGGCTGGGGTAGTGTTGCATGTCTGTAGTCCCACCTACTTGGGAAGCTGAGGTGACAGGATTGCTTGAGGCCAGGAGTTCAAGGCTGCTGTGATCATGCCATTATATTCCACCCTAGAAGACAGAGTAAGAAAGTCTGTCTAAAAAAAAAAAAAAAAAAAAAGAATCCTTTAAACAGATGAGGAAACCAAACTCAGAGGCAAGAAAGTTATCACTTGTGCAAACACACAAGTGATGAGTGGGAGGTGAGACTAAGGCCTGACCCTTTCTCCAATGGCCCATGACGAATGCTTGCCATCACGTAATACATTATTTTCAAAGACTGTTTTAGCCACTTGTAGTCATAATTTACAAACATGGGTCAAAAATGCACAATTTTCTTTCTTTTTTTTTTTTTTGAGATGGAGTCTCGCTCTGTCACCTAGGCAGGAGTGCAGTGGCATGATCTTGGCTCACTGCAAGCTCTGCCTCCTGGGTTCACGCCCGCCATTCGCCATTCTCCCGCCTCAGCCTCCCAAGTAGCTGGGACTACAGGCGCCTGCCACCACGCCCGGCTAATTTTGTTTTTGTATTTTTAGAAGAGACAGGGTTTCACTGTGTTAGCCAGGATGGTCTCAATCTCCTGACCTCGTGATCCGCGCGCCTCGGCCTCCCAAAGAGCTGAGATTACAGGCGTGAGCCACCACGCCCGGCCAAAAATACAACATTTTCAAAAGACTGTTCCTCCCACCTTTCCCCCAAGTATCCAGTTCTTCTGAGAGGCAACAAAATATATCAGTTTCTTGTAAACTTTTTCAGATATTTAATGTATATATAAGCAAATCTATTTGTTTTGCTTTTTGAAGTTTTTTTTCACAATTGATATACTCACTGTCCCGCACCTGGCTTCTTCTTTTTTTTTTTTGAGACGGAGTCTCGCTCTGTCACCCAGACTGGAGTGCAGTGGTGCAATCTCGGCTCACTGCAAGCTCCGCCTCTCGGGTTCACGCCATTCTCCTGCCTCAGCCTCCTGAGTAGCTGGGACTACAGGCGCCCGCCACTACGCCCAGCTAATTTTTTGTATTTTTAGTAGAGACGGGGTTTCACCATGTTAGCCAGGATGGTCTCGATCTCCTGACCTCGTGATCCACCTGCCTCGGCCTCCCAAAGTGCTGGGATTACAGGCGTGAGCCACCGCGCCCGGCCCACCTGGCTTCTTTTACTTAACAATATATTTTGTAGGTTTTTTCATGTGAAAACATAAAAAGCTTCCTCTTTCTTTTTATGGCTGTTTGGTGTTCAGTAGACGATAGATATATAGGTGGTTTCCAGTCATGTGCTATTTAAGCAAAGCTGCATTGAATAACTTTGGTATATGAGTATTTCTACAGGAAATCTTCCTAGAAGCAGATTGCTCAGTTGCTGAGGTATGTGACTTTGAAATTGAAAGGATATTGCCAAATTGTCCTCTGAGTTGGTTGTACCAAGTGACACCCCACAGCAATGCCCAAATGCTTTCTCCTCACCACCACAGTGGCTTTTCAGGCTCTGTGATCCTTGCTAAGGTCTCTCTACTCTCAGACCTGCACACTAGGCCTGACAAGACTCATTTCTCATTTTGTATCCAGTATGACCTTCCAGTTTGTTTAGAACCAGATGTCACTCTTCTGGTGACTAATGCAATATAAACTTCCAGGAAAAACAAAAACACATCCTCCCTACAAGGTACGTCATGATTCTATCCAAATGGCCATTATGTTTTTAGGGTATGATTTAATCCTTATTTAAACAAATCCCTTCTTGCCCAAGACTACATGGCTCTGTGTAGGCAATGGCTCTGCCATGGTGCCTTAGCACTGCTGCATGTTACCCATATGGGCAAAGGCTCGCGTCACAGCTTCTCTGTGTCTTGGCAGAAGACCTCGGGATCCTCCCAGAACGCAGAGGCAGGGAGACCTCTATGAAGCTGCTATGAGGCCATCCCCCACTCACCTCCCTATGTCCCCTGGAAGGCTGTCAGGAGACAGTTTTGTCACAGGATTCTTGGGGTGTCACTTTTTCAGCTGGAAACCTCTGTGGCCAGTGGCGTCTTTGCCTGAGTTTTGTTTGGGCCCCCTGGGCTTGTTCTGCCCACTCAGCCCAGCAGGCTGTGCTTGGCTCACACTACCGGCCCGGATCCCACACCTGCCAGGGGCAAGCCAGGTGCTGAGCAGCAAGGGATGTGTGAGCAAGCACAGGGTCTGGCCACTGTGCACAGCCAGGTGTATGGGCTGCCAGGTGTATGGGCTGTGCTGGAGAGGACAGTTCCAGGTGCTGGCCCAGGCACCTGCTGCATGTGAGGCTGCAGCTGGATCAGGCGTATCATATCGCAAGCGCTTCTACTGCAGGCACTGGGCAACGTGGTGGCACCGAGAAGCTTGGAGACAACAGGAACTGCAGAGCCCCAAAGAGGGTGTCACAGACCTGGCTCGGGGAGCTCCTAGGTCTGGGCTCCCTAAAGGGTAGCAGTTCTCTCCTAGTCACCTGCAACATGGTGAGTGGGGTGGGGGGCGTGTTTCAGCCCTGTTTGTGTTACAGCTCTTTCAGTCCCGCCATTCAGCGGGTCCGAGTTCTTGTCGCAAGTCCAGGAAGAATGAGGTATATGGAAAACTGGAGGGTGAGCAAGGCAGAGAGGAGCTTCATTGAGTGACAGAACAGCTCTCAGGAGACCTGAAGTGGGTAGTTCCTTTCTGCAGGCACGTGGTCCTGAGGAGTGTCCAGCTCTCAGGGGAGAGGAGACCCGGAGTGAGAAGCTCTTATCCGCAGGCAGGTCATCCTGACATCTCTCTGCGAGTCTAGCTGAGTCTGGGACTTCTACGGGTTTTGAAGGGAGGAAGTGTGTGCTGATTGGTCCATGGGTGGCCATCGGCGGGGCTGGAAAAAACACCAAAAGTTCTCACTCCCGCGGTGGACTCCACTGGGAACCGACAGGCCCCAGGCCTCAGGTCGTCCCTGTCTTCAAAGTGGGGCTTCACCGGGACCGCCCCTTTCCACCCGGGAACCTATCTGCCTCCTGCTGCCATTGACAGGTTTGTCCACCGCAATGCCCTGGCTATCCGTGCCATGGGGGACCTGCAGGCCCCTTTCAGCCTTCCTCCCCGTGCTCGTTGGCACCCAAAGTCTGGAGGGGGCAGAGGCGGCAGGGGGCTGGCATGGCAGGGCTGCCCCGAGTGTACGCACACCCGGCCGGGTTGCAAAGCGCCCGGACTTGACCAAAACTTTGCTCAGTCCCGGAGCAGACACTGGGAGTCTGGAGAAGCCACGCATCTGGAGCAGGCACTTCTGAGCCTGCAGAGGAAAGGGGACTTCCCGGGGCCCCCGAGAGCACAGGGATGCCCGGTTTGGGAGCCTTGGCTAGGCAGCTGCAGCTGCGCAGGAGGGTGGGGCTTCCGCCCCGCCGACTCAGAAGCGGGCGGGGCTTCGGCCTCTTCCCGGCTCCCGCCAGCTCCGTGGAGCCTGGAGCCCCAGCCGCGCCTCCCTGGCTGCAGCTGCTGTATTCACAGCAGCCGCTTCAGGCGGGCCGCCACGGCGATCAGTTTTTCATGGCCTCCAGGTTCTGATGAAGCGTGGGATTTTCTGCCCTGTACCCCTCAGAACAAGAAACCACCTTACTGCAGTCTGTAAGTGGCTCCTCAGTAACAGGGCACCCACAACTTTCATGGCATCCGCCCGTTACTTTTGTGTCTTCCCTTCTGTGTGTGGGACCAGGAACCTGTGGAGCTGGCTCTCAGCTTACTGCTCTTTCTGCTATGTAAGCGATCAACTGTCTGACTCTAAAAGTGACTCGTATTTTTCCTTTTGAATCAGACAGACCCTGATCTGGGTTTTGCTTTGTGTTTTATGTGTGAGCTTTATACTCTGAAGTCGCTTTATATTTTATTTTTTCATTTATTAACAAATATTTCTATCATATTTCCTATGGACCAAGCACTTTACAAAGTATTAATACATTTAATACTTGGTATAACCCTATAAAGTCAGTGCTATTATCACCCTCACTTTAAAAATGAGGAAGCAAAGCCCTAGAGTGGTTAAGAAACTTGTCCAAGATTACACAGCCAGTGGCAGAGTCAGATGGGCTGCTCTGGAGTCAAGGCTCTTAACCACTGTGTTTTGCTGCCTTATGTTAACAGAGTTTACACTTAGGGCACTTTTTCTCAGACAACACACATCAGAAGCACCTAGATTACCCAGTTGAAATGCAGTTTCCTGGGTTCCATCCGGACCTATCCTGTGAGAATCCTTGGTAATGGGTCCAGAAATTTCCAGATACCTAGAGATAGAACGAACACTCTGCCGCAATGAAGCAACTGGAGGATGAACAGACAGGAGGAGACCGGGTCCCTGGAGACCCGAGGAGCCACCATTTATGCAATTTGAAAACCCTGACTCTTGTCTTTGCAGAAAAATTCATTCCTATTTGGTTAAGCCACTGCAGCTGGGTTTTTCTTACATAAAGCTGACTGTATTCCTAAAAGACACAGAGGATCTCTTTAAATAGGAGTAATATATTTACTTATAATAATTTGATTTTCTGAAATAGCACTGTAGAAATATAATGTAGTCCACATATGTAACACTTTCTAATAGCTACATTTTAAAATGGCAAAAAGAGGTAAAATTATTTTAATATGTTGTATTTAACCCAATATATTGAAAGCATTATTTCAACATGATGCTAAAAATCATCAGTGATATTTTTACATTCTTTTTTTAAGAAAACTAGGTCTTCATAGTTCAGTGTGCATTGTACACCTTTTATTTATGGCACATCTTAATTCAGTCTGGCCACATTTCAAGAGCTCCATAGCCCCACGTGGCGGCTAGCAGCTGCTGTATTGGACAGTACAGTCCTACAGCTCCTCATCTGTGACCTGTTTTGTGCTCTGGTTCTCAAACTCGACTGCACTGGAATCATCAGAGGAGCTTAAAGGAATGCTACCTTGGTGGTCCCACCTCAAATACTGACACATCGGAGGTCTGAGTGCTGCTGGGGAATCAGGAGTTCTAAAGGCTCTCCAGGTGATTCTAGTTTAGGAATTACTGTTCTAGCGCCTTTTTTTCTTGAGCCTCATTATCAGTCTGGGAACAGTTGGATGGTGTTTTTTTCAGGAGCTGCTTTCTCCAAATCAGAACTGGCAGGCTTGCACTGGGTCTAAACTCTGTCTCCAACTCTGCCTCCACCTCCCTCTCTCACACACACATGTGTAGACACACACACCCCACCAAGGCCCTAGAAGCTTAGTCCATGCACTGTATGTTACCAGGTCAATGCAGCTGTGGTCTCAGGGCAACCAGATCATACCAAAACATCCCAAAGATGAGCTCTCTTCATTCTCAAAGACTTAAGTTACGACAAAATCCTGGGACCATGAATAAGCCTGTGAAGATAGATGTAACACTCTGATCATGGGCTGGAAAGACTAAAGCCCCGGTGGAGGTCAGAAAAGCCCAGATCCATGTGACGCCTATGAACGAGCGCCAGCCCAGCAGACCTCAGGACAGGCATCCACAAGAAAGCTGGCTGTGCACTAGGACTCTAGAAGCCAGGTACATTTCTCCCTAAAGTCCCTTTCAAATTAACCAATAACTCCAAGTGATACTTTTATTTTTACTTTTATCTTTTGAGACAAGGTCTCGCTCTGTCGCCTAGGCTGGTGTGTAGTGGAGCAATCATGGCTCACTGCAGCCTCAACCTCCTGGGCCCAAGCTATCCTCCCACCTCAGCCCTCTGAGTAGCTGTGACTACAAGCGCGTGCCACCGTGCCTGGCTAATTTTTAATTTTTTTTTGTAGAGACAGGGTCTCTCTGTATTGCCCAAACTGGTCTCAAACTCCTGGCCTCAAGCAATCCTCCTGCCTCAGCCTCCAAAGTGCTGTTATTACAAGCATGAGCCACTGTGCCCAGCTTAGTTGGTACTATTGATACCCTATGTCAGACATTACTTCTTTAAAGAACAATCAGCTGTTAAATACAAAACAAAACAAACTTTATTCTGGAAATAAAGTCTTAAAAACAAATTTCCCAAGTCAGATTCATTCTCTCCAACCCAATAGTTTTTTGAGTACCTATTCTGTCATTCATCATGTTTGGTTTTTACAAAGGAAGAAAGGTAGACTTTTTGTTAGGAAGCACAGGTGCCAGAAGGGGATTCAAGGTTTATTCACAAATGTTTGATAAGTATCTGCCCTGTGCCAGGTTCTGTGCTGAGTGCTGAGAACAGAGTGATAAAGAGGACATAGTTTCTGCCCTTCCGAAGCTTAAATTGTGCCTCTATTGGGTATAGCACTTGGCTGGAGTGTCTCTCCAGAATGCTTGCCCTGAGTAGGTTGGGGGCGGGGGGGCGGGTATACTTCTTGCTGATATCCCCTTGTATATGCAGTTTCTAGCTGAGGACAGCTTTTTGTCATTAAGAACTCCTGCTGGAGGTCAGTCAGGTAATTGCTGCTAGTAGAAATGATCTCCTGCTAGCAATTATCAACAATGAAAATGTTGATTAAATAATGGGTCTTCTAACTTCTTATCTGAAAAGTTATTTTTCTTTAATGGCATCAGTAAAGGGATAATGAGTTATCATGTGCCTCTTGTTAGGATGCCTAAGGACTCAACTGATCTTCAATGAGATTCCTGAAACTAACAAGAAAACATTAGAGGAAATAAAAAAGAGGGACACTATAAAAACTTACTGGCTTATACTCTCCAAAATTGTCAAGGCCATGAAGACAAAACCAAGAAATTGTTCCTGATTAAAGGAGACTAAAGACTAGAGACCTAACAACTAAATTAATTGGAGATTCTGGATTGGATCCAGGACCTAGACAAAAAATTGTTTTTCTTTTGCTACAAAGGACATTAATGGTACAACTGATAGATTTGAATAAGTTCTGTAGATTATAGTATCATAGCAGTGTAAATTTCTGATTTTGATAATTATATAATTTCATATGAGACTAAATTTTCTGATTTTGATAATTACATAATTTTATATGAGACTAATTATTTTGTATGTCCTTAAGAAAAAAACAACCAACTCTATGGAAGTAAAGCAGCATCATATCTGCAACTTTCTTTCTTTTTTTTTTTTTTCTGAGACAGAGTTTCACTCTTGTTGCCCAGGCTGGAGGGCAATGGCACGATCCTGGCTCACTGCAACCTCCACCTACTGGGTTCAAGCGATTCTCCTGCCTCAGCTTCCCGAGTAGCTGGGATTACAGGCATGTGCCACCATGCCTGGCTAATTTTGTATTTTTAGTAGAGATGGGGTTTCTCCATGTTGGTTAGCCTGGTCTCGAACTCCCAACCTGAGGTGAACCGCCCGCCTTGGCCTCCCAAAGTGCTGGGATTACAGGCATGAGCCATGGCGCCCGGCCAGATCTGCAACTTTCAATTAATTCAGAAGAAAATTTTTTTAGAGAAAAAATAAATGGAAAAATATTGACATTTGGGAAGTCTGGGTAAAATAAAAGGGTACATAAAACTTTGTGTACTCTTTATGTCTTTTCTGTAAATTTAAAATTTTTTAAAAATAAAAAATGGCAGAATATCTAATGTCCACTCCTACAGTTAAGAATATGCGGCCAGGCATGGTGGCTCATGTCTGTAATCCCAGCACTTTGGGAGGCCAAGGCGGGTGGATGACCTGAGGTCAGCAGTTCGAGACCAGCCTGGCCAACGTGGGGAAGCCCCATCTCTACTAAAAATACAAAAATTAGCCAGGTGTGGTGGCAGGCACCTGTAATCCCAGCTACTAGGGAGGCTGAGGCAGAGGTTGCAGTGAGCCGAGATCATGCCATTGCACTCCAGCCTGGACAACAAGAGCGAAACTCTGTCTCAAAAAAAAAAAAAAAAATGCAACCAAAAAAAAGGTCTTTAACCCCAAATCACCAAAAATTATACAACACTGAACATATTTGAATGTGTAAATGATACAATCAAGATACTGGATTTTTTAAAAAAATAAGAGTAAATAAGACTTTATTCTCAGGAAAAAATAAAGCTGCTGTTTTGTGTTAGAAAAAGTATTTTATTTGCTGTTCTGTGTTAGAAAATATTTCATTTCCTGGGAAAAGTAAAACTCTTCATGGTTAGTGTTTTGCTTTAAAGGCCCTTGAAAGAAAGCAAATCAAGCAGAGGGTGGGAATATGTTTTCTTAGTTTGAGCTGGGTTTTAGTTTTAAATTAGATTACCTGCCATACTGTTTAATTACCTAGAGACATTTCATTGTTTTCAGCATCATATTTTTAAACCTTTGGTTTCTTTCTTTCATCTTCTTAATATTCATCAGCATATTTGTTTATAGTTTCAGATGGCTCTGTAGATCAAGTTTTGGTGCGCCAGTGCTTCCGTTGTTTGCAGACCCACCTTGTCATTTTTCTCTGTGAGCTGACTGTCTTATATGTGGGGATGAAAGTGTCTAGTCCTATTTATTAGTCACAAGGCAGTAATCCAAACCCCTAACTGCATTTTCTGTTCAAGTTCTTCTCCTCCCTTTTGTGGTCCAGGGTATAAAGGATCTGTGGTCAGATTCATCTCTACATCTTTACCTAGTCCACTCCTTCTTCACCCCCTGGCTGCACTGGCTTCACTGGGGTTGCAGTGAGGTGGGGGCAGAAAAGGTCTCACTTGCCTGGAACTTAGAAAAACTGGGCATTGGTCTCCTTAGACCCTGACATTTAAGCTACCTTTCAAATTAGTCCCTTACAGATTATTTGGAGACCTGTCGCTGATTCTCTCTTGAGAGCCATCTCCACCAGCTCCTGGTTGACTCTGGTTTCTGTTAGTCCATCCCACATAGACTGCTTCAAAAGCCCAGTTGCTCTTAAGATAGCTATAGGCTGTCTTGATCCTGGCCTGCTGGGAACACGTCCACATTCTTGGCCTCCACAAACCTTGAGGGAATAGGCCATTTCTGACAGCAGTCACTTCTCCCTATTCTGCCATCAGCACAGCCAGCTAGCTAGCATCTCCTGACTTGACACTTCCCCAGAGCCTGGCATCACCCTCTGTGCCACACGAGTTACATTCCAGAAGAGTTTGTGAAGTGCTCCCAGTAGAGCACCCTCTCTCCCCTCCTCCACTAGGGGGGCACATGATGGGGAGAAATGCCTGGCACTTGAAAGCTTTCTCCAAAGAAAATCTCTCATTTCCAATTATCTGGGCTCTTCAACTTTGACCCTTTATATAAAGACCCTCTAACAAGGGACTAAGGTCTCCAAAAAGGACTTTCTGGACTCCTCTCTTGCAAATCCTGAGGAAAAAAAAAAAAAGCCAACAACCATATTTATATTTGATATATACTGTTTACAGATCATAAGTAAATTCTGTACTTCCAATTCTGTTGTCAGTAGAGTTTTCCTACAAAAAAAAAATTCAGTTAAATACAGAATCCTTGAAGAATCCTGAAGGAAGATGAAAAAAAATACTGAAAAGCTTAAGATTTGGCCATATATTGGGTGTAATCGGAGAGCCTCACTGATACGGACTGAATCAATATGTACTAAATGTAACTCATTTCCTCTAAAGCAGTCACCAACATTTTTGACACCAGAGACCAGTTTGGTGGAAGACGTATTTTTCCATGGACAGGATGAGGGTTGGTTTCAGGATGATTCAAGCACATTTATTGTGCACTTTATTTCTATTATCATTACATTGTAATATATAATGAAATAACTATACAGCTTAATAATTATCCCACTTAAATGGGAGCCCTGAGCTTGTTTTCCTGCAAACTAGATAGTCCCATCTGGAGGTGATGGGAGACAGGGACAGATCAGGCATTAGATTCTCCTAAGGAGTGTGCAACCTAGATCCTTCGCATGCACAGTTCACAATAGGGTTCATGCTCCTGTAAGAATCTAATGTCGCCGCTGATCTGACAGGAGGTGCTCAGGCAGTAATGTGAACAACGGGGAGTGGCTGTAAATACAGACGAAGATTTGCTCACTCATCCTCTGCTCATGGTACCAATCTTGTTATGTTTGTCTTGTCTCAGGCGTCTTTTCAATCTGTGTCAATTTTTACAGTCAGATTTGTAGCTTTAAGACTCAAGAGTTTATATGTATTTTTCTTTTCTAGTTAGTGCTGTGTCCATTTTAAGAGAGCTTTCCTTGCATTTAATGGTCAGCGAGTTATTCACTCTAAAGTTTGCTCATTCACCTCAAGTTGACTTCAATATATGGCCCAAGGTAAGAAAAATACAAATAGCATTCACTAAAAAAAACTGACAAAATCACATTTTATATGTGTGTGTACAACCTTTCCCTCAACACAGTAAAAGTTCTAAATGGCGTCTGTTCCTAAACTAAGTCAGGGTAATTAATGTGAAAAATTTGTTCTGATAAATAACCTCTATCTCTAATCTCTTATTTTGGGAAACATGATCTGCTAAGCAGATTCAAACTTTTTGTTCTACAAGTAGCCTTTTTGTTTTGGCCAGGTGTGGTGGCTCACACCTGTAATCCCAGCTACTTGGGAGATTGAGGCAGGACTGCGTGAGGCCAAGAGTTTGAGACCAGCCTGGGTAACATAGTGAGATCCCTCTTAGAAAAAAAGAAAAAAGCCCCCTTTTTTTTTTTTGGCTTAAATTGTAGTCTTGCATTTTTCCCATCTGTGTTTCTCCTCCCCCTACAGACATCAGCTGCATGGACAACTGCATCATTAATAACCATGGGAGTTTTGGCTAAGAAAATGCATATTCCTGGGCTCCAACCTAAATATTCAGAATTCTTGAAACTGAATGCTGAGAATAGGCATTTAAAACGAGTTCCCCTCGGGAGTCTAGACATAGCCTATTTTTTATACTCCCACATAGCCCCCAAACCCAAACCTACAAGCACATGTTAAGTTCTTAATTCCCTGCATCTTGATTGTGCTGTATATCCATTTGGGTCCCATTCTGCAAATCTTCACTCAAACATGAATCTCTAAGCGCCCCCCGCCCTTTTTTTTTTTGACAGAGTTTTGCTCTTGTTGCCCAGGCTGGAGTACAATGGCATGATCTTGGCTCACTGCAACGTCCGCCTCTCGGGTTCAAGCAATTCTCCTGCCTCAGCCTCCCGAGGAGCTGGGATTACAGGCACGCACCACCATGCCCGGCTAAATTTTTTGTATTTTTAGTAGAGATGGGGTCTCACCATGTTGGCCAGGCTGGTCTCAAACACCTGACCTCAGGTGATCCACCCGCCTCAGCCTCCCAAAGTGCTGGGATTACAGGCGTGAGCCACCACACCCAGCCAGAATCTCTAAGCCTTTGTAAGAAAACACACAGAACAGCAGCTGGCCAAAGCAAACATCCAATGTTAGAAAATGTAAGCACAAACTGAAAATTCATAGGGTTTTAAATTCTAAAATTCGGAATACTAAGAAGTAATCAATTAAGACCAGTTAGGTTTGGACTTTCAAGGAATGAACTCAAATATGATCAAATATTCACATCTCTGGTATCACCTAGGATTGGCTAACATTATGCTTAAATATATTAACTTGTAACTGCTTCTGCATCCCAGAGACATATATGCCTGCTTGTCTGGCAAGGTTGGACATCCTGTTACAATCTATATTCAGGTCTCTCCACTTTGAAAAGGAACTAGAATCAATCAAGGAGACTGTGACTACTACCAGTCACATAAAAGTATTTAATTAGTTTCACACTTAGAAAAGAATCCAAGTCTATTTTCCAAGTGCCCAGTCTCAGCCACCACTTTACTATTGTACATATTTTCAGTTCTACCATAGTATTTCCTATATGGTAAATGAGAGAATACAATCAAGCCAAATTTATTTCTTGACCTTTCCCTAGAGGAATGTGTAAGACCATCATTGAGCATAGAGCACCAGTTTTCAAAGTCAAAGTTTCACTCTCCATTTGAAGCCTGACTACAAATAACCTAAGATAGCAGCTTCCAAATTGGCTTTGACTCATTTTAAAATATGCATTGAGCCATGACAAGACTGGTGACTCTTTTGCAGGAAAAACATAATAAACAAATTGAGCCCCAAAATTAAGCCACTAGACATATTCTTTCTCTTTCTCCCCCCACCCCCTATAACAGCATGAAGTAACAGCTGTTAACTGGAAAAACAAAGACCATAAGCCAGAGCTGCAGGAAAGCCCATCGTTTTTACTAATCACACTGCTGCTCCACTTTCTGAAGGACAACTCTTAAGTGGCCAATTTAAAAAAAACATACCAGGGTGGGCACAGTGGCTCACGCCTGTAATCCCAGCACTTTGGGAGGCCGAGGTGGGCGGATCACAAGGTCAGGAGAATGAGACCATCATGGCTAACACGGTGAAACCCTCTCTCTACTAAAAATACAAATAATTAGCCAGGAGTGGTGGCACATGCCTGCAGTCCCAGCTACTTGCGAGGCTGAGGCAGGAGAATCACTTCAGCCTGGGAGGAGAAGGTTGCAGTGAGCCGAGATCAGGCCACTGCACCCCAGCCTGGGCGAGAGTTGACACTCCGTCTTAAAAACAAACGAACAAAAAAATTCCAGTACTTTACACACAAAAAGTCATTGGATTTTCCAATTTCCTGGCACTAGGATGTTACATTGACAAAAGCAGACGTAAAGCCTGGATTTGGGACAATCAAGGAATAGTTACAAACACATTATTCAAATTCCAAAACAAAGAATCTCAGGTTGGAAATTTTCCTTAATCTATTGGGAACTACTATGTAGAAAACATTAGTTAATACTAGTGAAGTGTTTTCATTATTCCAGGATCAACCTAGTTCAGATGACTGATGCACATTAAATAGGCAAATGTGCCAAGTTTCAGGTTTTATTTACTTGAATAATATCACATCTCTACTGGGCGCGGTGGCTTATGCCTGTAATCCCAGCACTTTGGGAGGTTGAGATGGGCGGATTGCCTGAGGTCGGGAATTCAAGACCAGCCTGGACAACATGGTGAAACCCTGTCTCTACTAAAAACACAAAAATTAGCCAGGTGTGGTGGCGGGCACCTGTAATCCCAGCTACTTGGGAGGCTGAGGCAGGAGAATCGCTTGAACCCAGCAGGCGGAGGTTGCACTCAGCCGAGATCGCACCACTGCACTCAAGCCTGGGTGACAGAGCAAGACTCTTGTCTCCAAAAAAAAAAAAAACAACAAAAAAATTCCCACCTCTTCAGTCTAGCTATAAAATATAATTACTTTATATATATATATATATATATATATATATATATATAATTATTTTACCTCCTTGGCTTGGGGGTCAGGAGAAATCAGTAAGTGAGGTAAAAGAAAGAGCTGCGAGGGAAAAGGATTGTTGCCCTAGATGCAGAAGGTATCTTTTCTCCTGGAAATAAAGACCCCAAGGTCTCCATTGCACTTTTATTTGAATGTAATATTTGGGACAATTATTCAAAAGGGCCAATATTTCCCAATTTAATCTGAGGTCATAATAAAACAAGCAACAAAACAGTGTTTGGGATTTCAGTTTCTCACCCTTATCATCAAGACTCACTGCCTCCCATCATCAATATTTATTGAGCATTTACAGTGTACTAGGCACAATAGAACATACAGAAAACATTGTCCCTGCTCTTGAGGAGCTTACATTCTAAAAGAAAAAATACACCTTTTTTAAAATGGCATTTTTGTTTGGTGTTTTCTGCAAAGTACTGAGGAAATATTTTGTAAAGTGAGCTTTGGGTATAACTTAGCCCCATCATTATTTAGAGAATAGAGGAGGAAGAAAGAGGAAGGATTTTAAAGGCAGACAATGACAGACCATTCAGGATAGGTAGGGTTTTAAAGGGAGATAAACACAGTCTCATCAACTAAGGAGAGATTTGCTGCAGTAAATAGGATGAGGGAAATAGTCTGTGGGATGCAAGCAAAGGAAGCAGGGTGCCTTAGACACTGAGTGGAGCCAGAAAGATCATGCGGCCTTTTTCCAAGTACATGGCCACCAAGTAAGAATGGTTGGTGACAAGACAGAAGGCTAAAACAGGAAGGTAATCTTGTGCACCTGACAAATAGAAAGAATAAAGGATCAAAATTGAAGGCAGGCTATAAGAGTATCAAGAAATTCTTAAAAACCAAAAAGTGATTTGGAAGCACAAAACTTACAGTTAATGCTACCCAATGTCATGATGGGCCAAGAACATTGTGGCTTCCTAAGTTAGAAAATGCCATATGCCAAAATTTTAAATGGAACACACTACATTTTTTTCTAATCAATCCCCCCCTCTCCCAGAAAAAATAGGAACTCATTTTTTTCAGGGTGGGGAGGAAGAGAGGGGATCATGGGACATGGAAACAGTAGTTATATTAGTAGTATTTTTGTTATGATAAATTTTGTGTTTAAACTTGGTAAGAGCCCATTAGCTGCCAAGAGGGAATAAGGAATAAATTTCAAAAAATGTACAATTTCCTTTAGAGAAGTTTCAGAACCAAGACTAATTTACATGAAAAGCTGTAGAGAAAGTAGTTGAAAAGTCCATTCATAAAACTTTTATTCCACTTACATGAATTTAATACACGTGTTCTTAACAATTATGCTTGGATTGTTCATGAAAATTTCATAAGACATTAAACAAAGCTAGCCATCATCTCAAGTTATTTCCCTGTTAACTATTTTTACAGCACATGCATGTTAGGCAAGTATCAAAAAAAAAAAAATCACAAAAGCAAAAATCCTAAAAAAAAGTTAAATACATGGGTTTTTGTTTTACTGCTGTGCTTGATATACATGAAGTAATGAATACCAAGCAATTCATTTTTCCTGCATCTTTACTTTTACATTTGTTCTTAGGTTGCCTAAAACATTTAAATACAAATAAAATGAGTGTAGCAAAAATAATGAAAGCTAACAGCAGGTAACTTTACAAATAATGGAATGTGAACCGTTTCTGCCCTTATCCAGAGTAAAATGGGTCACAACTTTGTCTAAAGGAACACTTCTGCAGCTGTAGTCAAAGGTGTACACATTGAGTATTCCACAGATATACATGGTTTAATATGTGGTATCCATGGGGTATGATTCTACCACAGCCTTGTAAGTGCTCCAAACCTTAAAGTACCCACAATTACTACACCTGTGACTGGAACCAATGATCCCTTTTATTCCCCGCCAGGACAAACCAGTATGTAGGCAGTTTTCTTTGCTTAGACATGGAAGCAGTTTTACACTGGCCCTTTTGAAGCCACAATGTACCAAAAGTACTATGCCAAACACTTATAACTTGTATAAAAATTCCACATCCCCATATTGGCCACCTCAAGATGAAAACAGATAACTCCCTAAATGTTAACTGGCTCTACTCCCCTAATATTAAACATAAAAACCACATGGGAAATATAGAAATTCAAATAGAAGTAACATAAACCTGTCATAAATCGTAAACAAAAAACTATTTGTGGGACAGCATGGATGACAAATGGTCTACTGTGTAAATTTTAGAATGAGGCAGACAAAAGTTGGAAGGCCGGTTAATTTTCCCCTCCTTCTCCTGCTTCAGCTTCGTCTCCTTGGGTATCCGATGTCCACAACTGGTAAAAGAAGGAAAGATTTTTCAGCAAGTTTCAGTGGGATGGGGGGGGGGGGGCGTTTTCATATAAGTGCCAAGATACCTGAATGTTTTAGTTGGAAAGCATTCTTAAAAAGATAGCAGCATCACTTAGCTTCAAGATACAAAAACATCTCAATATACAAATTTACTTTTTTTGTAACCACTATATAAGCAGGTTAAGTACACCACAGAGTTGCCTTCAAATAACCTTCAGATACAGGAAAGTTTTGGTTATCCACAGAAGGTGAAGAGAAATTACAAGAAATAATACTTTTTTTTTGAGATGGAGTCTCGCTCTGTCACCAGGCTGGAGTGCAGTGGCGTGATCTTGGCTCAATGAACCCTCCGCCTCCCAGGTTCAAGCGATTCTCCTGCCTCAGCCTCCTGAGTAGCTGGGACTACAGGCATGTGCCACCACACCCATCTAATTTTTGTATTTTTAGGAGAGACGGGGTTTCACTATGTTGGCCAAGATGGTCTTGATCTGATCTCGTGATCCACCCACCTCGGCCTCCCAAAGTGGTGAGATTACAGGTGTGAGCCACTGTGCCCAGGCCCTAAATTATTTTTTAAAAACTAAGCATCAATAGGTGTCAGAACCTAAAGAGCCCCAATATGAAAGATGGACGTCCAAGGTGAGTGCAACTATACCAGAAGCATCTAATTTGGCCCATGCTGAAGGAGCTAGGGTTGACTACTCTCCACTGGTAGATCTTAAAGTGACTCACACTCCAAACAGAATCCTATACTCCATGAAATTCAAGAACCAGCCTCAACTCTGAGCTAAACTACAAATCTAGCTTTTCTAACACTTTAAGCTTAGAAAAACAAACCTTTATTTATCAGGTTGGTGCAAAAGTAATCGCAGCTCTTGCCATTACTTTAAATGGCAAAACCCTCAATTACTTTTGCACTACCCTATCATATGATTCAAAATAAATGCTGGACAAAAACCAGAACCAAATCTTTTAACAGGTAAAAATGAAAGTTGTCCCATAGGTGGCAGGGTTATGAACTCTATTCCACCTGCTCCAATGTTAAAAATGTTGAAGTCTTAACCACTCTCTAGTGATTTTCAGAGGTAATTACAAAAGGATTCAAGACAATCTTAAATTTTATATATGACTTACACATGAAAACGGAGGGGAAGGGGAAAATACACTAATTATTATTTTTATATTCCCCAAATCATCCATTAGCTTCATTTATCTACTAAGCAAATATATCTCTGGCCTGGAAAGGAGACTACTTCCAAGGTCATACAGATAGCCAAATGACCTCTTGGAAACTGTGTGCTCCTCCTGTCAAACAAGGGGTTTTGTAATTGCAAGATGAAATTGTTTCTAATGTCTCTTTCCTGTTCTAACTTTCAAGGATTCTTGAATTTTCTGTATAAACATGCAAATTTGATACAAAATATTTCTTTTTCTAGAGTAATGTGTTGACAGTCTTGGTCAACCAAATTCAGAATGAAATATTAAGTTTTGGGATAATTTCTTTTCTTGACAGATAAATGTTCCAATCAACCTATAATGGTGACAGCTGACACTAATAAGGCTCAGAGAAGACATACAAGTAGTGACAGAATTAGAATCAAAACCCTGGTTTTTTCTTTTCTTTTTTTTTTTTTTTGAGACAGAGTCTCGCTCTTTTGCCCAGGCTGGAGTGTAGCGGTGTGATCTCAGCTCACTGCAACCTCTGCCTCCCGGGTTCAAGCAATTCTCTTCCTCAGCCTCCCGAGTAGCTGGGATTACAGGTGCCCACCACTATGCCCAGCTAATTTTTGTATTTTTAGTAGAGATGGGGTTTCACCATCTTGGCCAAGCTGTTCCTGAACTCCTGACCTGGTGATCCGCCCGCCTCGGCCTCCCAAAGTGCTGGGATTACAGGCGTGAGCCACCACGCCCGGCCAACCCTGGTTTTCTTATTGCAATATGCGCTCTTCATGCTATACTGATAGCAAAATTCAGTTGGAAGCAGACAGTAGATCAGGGCCTCTCAAAAAGTGATGTGAACAAAACACAGTATCTAGGTCTCAGGTCATCACTTTAAAAATGTCATCACTTCAAACTAGAAAAGAAAAATCCTTAATACTAAAGTTAGTTAACAAAGTGCTTCTTATGTTTGATATATAAGATTCTTTCATTCTTTACTGTGGCTTGTTATCTTGACTCAAGTATCAGAAAAGTTTATAGATAGCTCCAAATTGTGCTAATAAAGTAATTTTAGGTTTAATAAACAAGTATACAATACTATTCAAAAAACTCTTCAAGATTTTCAGCACTAGCATATAGAACTGGTTTATAGAAAATGGCAGTGGACTAGAATAAAGTTGGAAGAGAAATGTATAAAATGAGATTACATAGTCCCCAAGAGAAATGGCCCTAGAAGTCTAACAAAAAAACAGTAATACCTAGATTATGATCTGCAATTCCTACCTCTTTACCTGACACACAGCAAATGCTTGATAATTTTTTCACCTAAGCCTCAAAATTTCAAATCTAGTATTTATCTGAAGGAGAAGAATGAGAAGACCTAAGAAACAAACGAGACATACAAATCAACTGCATTGTGGACTGAATTTGAATCCCAATTCAAATAACTTAAAAAAAGAGAGATAATTGGAATTCAAGTATTATTTAGATATTCAAACATTATTAGGGAATTATGTTGATGTTCCTGGTGTGATAGTGACACTGTTTCTTTTTATACATCTGCAGTATCCCAAGGACAATCACGACCTTTCATATTAAGTCATTTAAAATAAGAAGCTAGGCAAAATAGACTTCCACTTGGATTCTGTAGATACCTGAGATTTTGTAACTCAAGTTATTAATTCCCTACCATTATCTTTACCAATATGGAGGCAACTTGATGGGCAAGAAAATCATTCTTAAAGGAACTAAAACATGTAGAGTCTCAGCACACTTTTGATACTAACAAATTTTAACAAGACAGGTAACTCATCAATGTGTGTATTTTTTAGTTCTCAGTCTAATATTTCAGTTTCTGTAATTTTCCTTCATAGGACTTTAATAGTAGCTGAGATATATTTATGAGAGCCTATGAAATGTGTTGAGAAAAAATTTTAAAAGATGTATTTAATAAAAAAAAAAATTCCCTAGAGTAAAACATAACCTCTTCAACCACATTCATCACTAATGATGCTGTTATGTACTTACTGTCAAGTTGTCTCTCAGTAATTGCATTATTAGCGTGCTGTCTTTGTATGACTCTTCACTTAATGTATCAAGTTCAGCAATGGCTTCATCAAAAGCCTACGATTTAAAAATAGTACATTACATTTCAGTGCTCAAATAATAAAGACTGCTAAATTTCTACGTAACAGGTAAAATACATACTGTCTTTGCAAGAGAGCAGGCTTTCTCTGGGGAGTTCAGAATCTCATAATAGAACACAGAGAAGTTAAGGGCCAGACCCAGTCTGATAGGATGTGTTGGTTGCATTTCCTTTTTGCTGATTTCAAAAGCTTCTTGGTATGCTTGTTGTGACTGATCGACAATCCCTGGATAAGACACACCAAAACGTACTGAGATAAAGTGTGCATTATATCTTCACCCCTCAAACCAAACCTTTAATATCTCACATATCCTTTGAAATACTAACCTGTAACAGCTTAATATTTGTTAATTGAACAAGGTCCTTTTTTTTTTTTAAAGGGAGCTTTCTCCTGGTACACACTAGCCATTGATCAATGTCAAGATAAAACAACTTTATAATCTCATTATTGTTATGTTTTTAAAAAATTGACGAGTTTTGACATCCCAGACCCAAGCAATCCTCCCACCTCAGCCTCCAGATTAGCTGGGACCAAAGGCTTGCACCACCATGCCCAGCTAATTTTCAAAATATTTTTTGTAGAGAGAGATGTTGCTCAGGCTGGTCACTTTTCTTAAAATCTTGAAAAAACATCCCTGTACACAATATTGGCTTTTCAGAAAGCATTTATTTTAGAATAGCAGTATGAGGCAGTAGATGTGTATTCTCAGAACACAAAGAGCACTGCTACTCCTTATTCGGCACTCTAAGCAATTCAAAACAAGACATTATGTACGCTTCAGAGACTCTTCCTCACTATGTTATCTTATACAAGTTCAACCAACAGGTTTAAAAACAGCATACCTTTCTTGTCATCACCAGCGGCAACCTCAGCCAAGTAACGGTAGTAATCTCCTTTCATTTTCAAATAGAAGACTTTGCTCTCTGCTTGTGAAGCATTGGGGATCAAGAACTTTTCCAAAAGAGACTTAAGAAGAAAAGAAACAGACATAGTGAGAATAAAACATTTACAAAACTGAAAGAACTTGCATTTCTTAAAGAACAAACTATAGCCTAAGTTATAAAACTTAAACACCCAGTCACTGTCAATACAATTGTGAATGCAGCTGGCACATGAATTTGTGGTTTAAAGCAGAATGCTTTGGGCAGCAATATTTTAAGTTTGAAGTTAGTGTTCAGTTTATTATTTGAGGACAATAAAATTGAACATTGGTCCCTGACAATGTTATCTATTTACATGCTGACTTCATGAATGTGGGGCATGACCGTTCACATTTAGGAACATTTTCTAATGAGCTGGCAAGCTTTCCATCTGAAGTTTCATGTGGTCATGACATGAAAATAGAAAGAACATACGGGATGAACCTTTTGGGACTCTGGAGAAATGACTAAAGCAGAAACCAATAATGTAAGACACTTAAGGAGTCCATGCCAGAGAAGGAGGAACAAAATAAACTTCATTTATAACAACACAATTCAAGCAAACCTCACAACAGATAAAAAAACCGTTCAAAAGTTTTATTTTTCCTAAAGACAGTGGTAGGAGACTTACAGATTTTAAAGAGCAGACCTTTAATCTCATTGAAGTCATTTTCGGCTAGTAAGATACACGATTACAGATCATCCCAGACAACAGATAAAATTAAAACATCATCCTATAAAATTCTGTCTAAAACTACTATTACAATCTGAGTCATTTGATTAGGATTTTAAAAATTACACTCTTTAACTGATTTTAAAGCAAAAAGATTAGATCATTGTGTTGGGGATGGGAAGAAGTCTCAATAAATGTGTAATTTTTTTCTTTCCAGTTAAGGGGGAGAAAAATAATTCTAGTAGTAGAATTAGGTAAACATTAAAGCAAAAAAACCCCAACCACCCATTCTCACTACCCCACTTCCTTTAAAGTTCAAGTACACTCTGAGAATCAAGGTGAAGTCAATTTTCAGCTGAGCTAAATTCCAAATCCATTCTTACAAAAAAAAAGTATTAGTTTATATAGCACCTACTTATATATAAAATATAAATTTGAAAAATGCTTTTAAATGGTAACTCCAACTTTTTGTTTACCCATTATGTTCCAATGCTGGGTAGGTGAACAGTTTTAACCCAACTTCTTCCCCCAATTTTTTTTTTTTTTTTTTTTACAACTCAAGCTACAGATAACCCAGATGAAGTGGCAGTAGGGCCAGATTGCACTGTGCTATATAAAGAGGTTAAAGGTGAGAAAAGTCAACCTGAAATGATGTTTCCTGCAATTATTAACCGATATTTAAAAATACTGGCCTGAGGCCGGGCACAGTGGCTCATGCCAGTAATCCCAGCACTCTGGGAGGCTAGGGTGGCAGGATCACTTGAGGTGAGCCTCGTCAACATGGTGAAACCCTGTCTCTACTAAAAATACAAAAATTAGCCAGGCGTGGTGACGGGCGCCTGTAATCCCAGCTGAGGCAGGAGAACTGCTTGAGCCCGAGAGATAGAGGCTGCAGTGAGCCGAGGTTGCACCACTGCACTGCAGCCTGGATGACAGAGCAAGACTCCATCTCAAAATAAATAAAAATAAAATAAAATTACTGGCCGGAAATCAGAAGAACGTTTTGGTTAGGATAGCAACCTCTGTCTTACACCACATTCATACTTTCATATTCAAAGTTCTCTTAGCTGCAAAAGTGTTTTGTCCTTTGAATACAATGCTTTTTACCACCTATGGTTGCTCTGTGGAGATCTGCCTCAAACAGTGGAAGACACTTGCATTTAAAATAGTCAAGTGAGTCTTTCCACTTAAAAACAATGGTTTTAAGAAACAAATGACCAGGATTTTCAAAAGTTTCATTGTTACACAAATTGTATTATTCATTCAACTATGGGAGATGGTATAAACATAAGTGGCTTTGGGGTGAGTCTGGTTTTGAATTACAGCACTATACACCGTGTGAACTACTTAATCTCAATGATTCAGTTATCTCACCTGTAAGGCAGAGACCTCTAAGATTATTGAGAAAAAATACAGGTAAGCACTTAGGAGTAAGCACTTAAAATTTTATTTCTATTATCACAATAACACCAGACACCATGCTAGAAGCTGGAAGCACAATATTCTGGTAATTCATAATCTAGCTGTAGAGACAAGGCTATCATTCCTTCCATTACAATACACTTTACAAGAATTGCAGGGCACGGTGGCTCACTCCTGTAATCCCAACACTTTGGGAGGCTGAGGTGGGAGGATCACTTCTTGAGTCCAGGAGTTTGAGACCACCCCGGTGAACATGAGATCCTGCCTCTACAAAAAAATTTAAAAGTTAACCAGGTGTGGTGGCACACCCCTATAGTCCCAGCTACTTGGAAGGCTGAGACAGGAGGATCATCTGAGTCCAGGAGTTTGAGGCTGCAGTGATCTGTAATTGAATTATACCACTGTACTCTAGGACAGGGTGACAGTGAGGCTGTCTCAAAAAGAGTAACACTGCCTAATCACGTCTTTCACTTTTCGGTAACTTTAACCCCCTCTATGTATGCAGAGATGAAGGCCATAAACACATGCAGTTACTTAAGAGTGAACCAGTCACTTAAGATGTAAAATTTTAAAGCTGTACTAAAAACTTAAATTTTTTTAGGAAAGGTGTTGATAAATGCTACTAAAAGTAGTAATCTATCTTTTGTAGGTAGTAACTTTCTACCTGGGTAATATGCTGAACTAAGCAGTTCCCTGGGAATTAAAATGGCAGTTAAGCACTTCTTTCCCCAAAGCTGAACACTGAATTAACCATAAAACAACTTTAAAGCTATTTGTTAGAACCCACAAGTAACAGGAGGGCTGGGTAAACAGCAGTCAGGCTGCTTACTGGCCTAATGATAGACCAAAAGAACCAAACAAGTGGCAAGTGTTTCTGGTGAGATGCTGACCATAAGAGTTGAGAAAGGTGGCTGGGCATGGTGGCTCACGCCTGTAATCCCAACACTTTGGGAGGCTGAGGTGGGCGGATCACGAGGTCAGGAGATCGAGGCCATCCTGGCTAACAAGGTGAAACCCCGGTCTCTACTACAAAAAGAAAAAATTAGCCAGGTGTGGTGGCGGGCGCCTGTAGTCCCAGCTACTCGGGAGACTGAGGCAGGAGAACAGTGTGAACCCGGGAGGCGGAGCTTGCAGTGAGCTGAGATAGTGCCACTGCACTCCAGCCTGGGCAACAGAGTGAGACTCCGTCTCAAAAAAAAAGAGTTGAGAAAGGCATAAATGGCCTACTTCTAATAAATCGTCCAATGACATAAGCTAATTAAGATTTAAAAACCCAAAACCAAGCAAGACTGGATTAAAGATTAAATTTAAAGGGGCTAACACTGTAGCTCAAAAAAAGCTAACTATAAAAGAACATTTTCTGCCAGGTGTGGTGGTTCATGCCTATAATCCCAGCACTTTGGGAGGCTGAGGCGGGTGGATCACCTGAGGTCAGGAGTTCGAGACCAGCCTGGCCAACACGGTAAAACCTCGTCTCTACCAAAAATACAAAAAATTAGCCAGGCGTGGTGGCACACGCCTGGAATCCCAGGTACTCAGGAGGCTGAGGCAGGAGAATCACTTGAACCCGGGAGGCAGAGGTTGCAGTGAGCTGAGATTGCGCCATTGCACTCCAGCCTGGGCAACAAGAGTGAAACTCCGTCTTAAAAAGAAAAAAAAAAAAAGGAACATATTCTCAGCCTCAATGGGGTGATATACCTACTAGAAAGGACGTTATTCCACAATCAGGAATCAAAGTTATGGCGAGTATACTAGAAACTGTCAGGATAATGGAAAGAACAGGACATGAATGGCTCCAAGAGACAAGACCAATTAAATTTAGCAAGAGGGAAGATTTCTGTTCAGTATGAGAAAACTTATGAGTGGTCCAGTACTGGAACCTGCTCAGTGAATTCCCTCTTTTCACATAAAGGTAAAACAGGAAACTAAAGAGGGTAACTTAGGTATTTTGTAGAGGAGATTCATAAAGAAGATGTCATCTGTTTCTTTTAAAAAAATTTTAATTGACAAAATAGTTGTAAATATTTTGGGGGTGCATGTGATATTGATACATGCATACAATATATAATGATCAAATCAGAGTAACTGGGATATCCATCACCTCAAACATTGATTTTTTTTTTTTTTTTTTGAGACAGTCTTGCTCTGGCACCCAGGCTGGGGTGCAGTGGCGCAATGTCGGCTCACTGCAACCTCCTCCTCCTGAGTTCAAGCGTTTCTCCTGCCTTGGCCTCCTGAGTAGCTGGGATTACAGGCATGTGCCACCATACCCAGCTAACTTTTGTATCTTTAGTACCAATGGGGTTTCGCCATGTTGGCCAGGCTGGTCTTGAACTTCTGACTTCAGGTGATCCACCTGCCTCAGCCTCCCAAAGTGCTGGGAATACAGGCGTAAAGCCACTGCACCTGGCCTCAAACATTGATCTTCTATTTGTGTTAGGAGCACTGCAATTCTTCTAGCTACTTTGGTAGAATAAATAAATGTTAACTATAATTTCCCTACTGTACTATTGAATACTAGAACTTATTTCTACTATCTAACCGGATTTTTGTACACGTGGTCTTTTTCAATTCTAAGGGAAGTCAGAGTTCACAGAATTAATTTAATGGTAACATAAAAGAGGCAATTAAGTATGTTGCTTTGTCAAACTGACCGAAGAATAACAAATCCAAGTTTTCCAGATTTGGAAGCCAGAAGATAAAACCCAATGTAGGAAGAATAGAAAAAAATGAATAAAAGAACAAAAGAAAAAGGAAGCAGCAGTTACAACAAAGCAGAAAAAAACATGGAGGTGCACCAAGTAGAGAATGGAAGGGAGGAAAGGGCTGATAGCTACTTTCAAAATATGCAATAACTTCAGAGAATATCCTGCTCAACACAGAAATAAACCTCCTAAATTTCGTTCACCTACAATAGTACAATGAAAGCAATCATGACTGAAATAAAGTCTGAAGTAAAAAGGGGAGGGAGTGGGCACACCATAATATAAGGAAGTATACACTAAGTGTCACAATTTCAACCGTATTTAGAACGAAGTCTCGCTCTGTCGCCCAGGCTGGAGTTCAGTGGTGTGATCTTGGCTCACTGCAACCTCAGCCTCCCCGGTTCAAGTGATTCTTCTGCCTCAGTCTCCCGAGTAGCCGGGACTGCAGGCACATGCCATCACACCCAGCTAATTTTTGTATTTTTAGTAGAGACAGGGTTTCACTGCATTGGCCAGGCTAGTCTTGAACTCCTGACCTCATGATCCACCTGCCTCAGCCTCCCAAAGTGCTGGGATTACAGGTGTGAGCCACCGCGCCCAGCCAACTCCAACTGTAAAACAAGGGCTAGGTTGACTGAAGGTTCAACTTGTAAAATTTTTCAATTATCACAGTACCTTAAGTTTTTAAACCAAATCTAAATGGTTTTGAGGTCAAACAAAATTCAAGCACATCCTACACTCAAGCTAAATCAAGGCTAAATGTTAATCTGTTGAATCTTCCTGAAATATAATCTCATTTAGAAATCCACAGTATTTCCTCAGTTTACTTCAAAATGTGGATGTAAGTTTTACTTTTTTCCCTCCCATTAATTTTTTTAATTTTTATTTAGAGATGAGGTCTTGCTCTGTCACACAGGCTGGAATGCAGTGGCCCCATCATAGCTTGCCCTGCTCCCATTAACTTTTAAATATGTTTTTTCATGACAGCCACTGTCTTTTAAAGATATCATGGCCAACATTTTAGAAAATACCCAAGATTAATTTGCTGAATTAGAGTTAATGCATTTATACAGCATTCACCCTAATAATATTAAGTGGGATAAGAAATCATTTACTCAGCAGCAAAATGCCACAAGAAGCCGGTATCTAATACTCTTTGGTAAACAGCTCCTAATCCAGAGTTAAATATGTGATATGGGCTCTGAAGAGAGGACACTAATCCTTAACCTAACCAACAGGTAAATTACATGAAATTTGAGATTTTAGAGATAAAAGAGATTTTTCTCTCTACTGCACCGTAGTATAATTAACCTCTTAGATTGTGAAAACACTTCCAAGAGATGGGGTTCAAATAACATTTTTCCTCCCAAGCCAGTTTCCAAAAGATGCCTTAATCCAAAGATAGTCTATATTTACAATGATGTTTTGTCTTTAAAATTAAGTCTATTAAAATTAAGGAACCACATAAATTGACAGGTCATCTGTTTCTGATCCCTTCTTGGCATAGACTCAACCTGATCCCACTAATATGAATTTTATAAACACTCACTCCTGCCTGTAGTCAAATATTCCTAATGAAAAGTTAATGAACTGAGAATCTATCTCTAGTGATATGCCTTTCTCACTGGTCTTTCAGTATGATTACCCCTAAACCACCAAAACTGCTGCCTGAGCTGGTGGCAAGACTTTAACCTTTCGGGCATTCAACACTTGTTAGAAGAAAAGCTTGATGTAATGCAAATCGTATAAACTCTAAAACCAGGCAGACTTGAAATTCCACCCTAACCCATTAATTTTGAGAATTTACACAATAGCTAATCTTTATTTTCTCATCTATATGAAAATCCACATCAAAAGGCTGTTATGAGGTCTAAATGAACATATAAACAGGAGGGCACCATTCACAGCTCCCAACCGAGAGTAGGCATTCTACTCACTGGTTGCTCAGTTATGTGAAAATAAAGTATGGAGATTCTGACATTCAAAAATCTGCTTTAGTGCTCTTGTACTCTTAAGTACATCATTTTGGCTTTGGTAATCTAAAATTTGTATAACTAGGAAAAATGGTGAAGTAGGATGCAAAAAAGTTTTCATTCAAAAACACAGGATTAAGACATATCAAAGAACAAAAGAAAAAAGAACAAAAGAAAAAAAGAACATTTCCTTTAGTATTTATTTTCTCTTTTTAAACAACAGACTTGTTAGGAACACAAACTATGGAGACAGACTGCTTACTGCCTAAATTCAAACTCTGTCACCTTGACAAAACTCTGAAATCTTCCTGGGTCTCAGATTCTCATCTGTAAAAGGCAAATATTAGTAGTAGACATAATGCACAAGGTTGTTGTAAGGATTAAATGAATTAACATATAATAAGCATTTAGCAGAGTCTGGCAAATAGTAAGCAACAAAGAAGTGCTGCCATCCTTTTGGAAGGTGAAAGTCTAGTGTCAACCACATTAGACTTCAAGTACTGTTTGTACTGCAGTAACTGATCTTAACCCACCCACTCACCCACCCAAAAACCACCTTAGCTCTGAACTCCCTCTTATGTGAAATAATTTCCTAATATTTAAGTAATATTACCTTATTTCTCCCAACCATGGTACATATATACTACCTCTATAAATAGGTACATTTTCTAGGAAAAAACCCTAAACGGTAACAATACTTCAAATTTATGGCTTAAAAGTTTGTCTCAAGACACTTTTACAGTCATAAAAAAGTAGAAAACTAAGATCATGGTGGTAGTAATTATTTTCCAAAGTTCTCATTTTTGCTCCAAAGCTTCAATTTTATCTGTCAAAAATATCATTTTCCCTTAAAGTGAGAGGCTCAATTCATTTAAGATATTTGTCGAATACCTAGGTCTGAATACCCACAGCTTATCTGCCTGCAGTTCTTTGAAGAAAAAAGTGTTCCATAAAAAAAGAAAAGCAGCTAGTTTATCTCACAATTCAAATAACTGCAAGTGTTTTTCTTAGAGACAACCACTGGACTTCCCATTTTGCCTCACTGAAAGATGTCTATTTAAGGGCTATTAATAAAATAATGTTTCAGATTCAAGGACATTAAAAAAAAAGTCTTTTTTCTTTTTAAAAGAAACAGTGAGTGCATAATGGTAAAGAAATACAATAATCACTAGTACAGTATAGTATCACTGCCTTGATTAGCGATAAGGAACCAGTAAGTTTGAGCAACCCTTGGGTTTGCACCAGTGCTAAATGTCAACAAAGTGATAAGAATCAGTATTAACAGTATTTGCCATGAAAATAGTTGTGACCTGGCTCGGCGCAGTGGCTCACACCTGTAACTCCAGCACTTTGGGAGGCCGAGGTGGGTGGATCATGAGGTCAGGAGCTCAAGACCAGCCTGGCCAAGATGGTGAAAGCCTGTCTCTACTAAAAATACAAAAATTAGCTGGGCATGGTGGTGTGTGCCTATAATCCCAGCTACTCGGGAGGCTGAGACAGAAGAATCACTTGAACCTGGGAGGTGGATGTTGCAGTGAGCCGAGATTGTGCCACTGCACTCCAGCCTGGGTAACAGAGTGAGCCTCCGTCTCAAAAAAAAAAAAGGAAGAAAATAGTTGTGACTTTTTGTGATGTAATAGACACCTCCCCAAAGGACTCCCAGTGGTCGGCATATCACTTTTAACAACTGATTTAAAGTAACCTCTGCTATGTTGTACACCTTAAATATATATTTTTTTTGCCAATCGTACCTCAATAAAGCTGGAAAAATAAAATGAAAAGAATCTGTGCTAAATACCTCTCCATACCTAGCTCTAATGCTATGTTCTCCCTAAAGCTAATTATTCAAAGCTATTCAGCTTCATCTACATTGTCTGTACAGATAGTGTGTAGTGTAGAGCTTTTTAACTGAAGAGAAAAAAGGGAAATATCCTAATTTCTGTCAATAAAGGACTAACGGCCAGGTGTGGTGGCTTATACCTTTAATCACAATCACTTTGGAAGGCTGAGCTGGGAGGATTGCTGGAGGCCAGGAGTTAGTGACCAGCCTAAGCAATATAGCAAGACCCCATCTCTACTAAAAATAATTTAAAAACTTAGCCTAGCGTGGCCAGGCGCGGTGGCTAACGCCTGTAATCCCAGCACTTTGGGAGGCCGAGGTGGGTGGATCACTTGAGGTCAGGAGTTCAAAACCAGCTTGGCCATCATGTTGAAACCCCATCTCTACTAAAAATACAAAAAATGAGGTGGGCATGGTGGTGCACACCTGTAATCCCAGCTACTTGGCAGGCTTGAGGCAGGAGACTCACTTGAACCCTGGAGGCGGAGGTTGCAGTGAGCTGAGATCGTGCCAAAGCACTCCAGCCTGGGCAACAAAGCTAGACTCGTCTCAAAAAAAAAAAAAAAAAAAAAAAAAAAAATTAGCCTAGTGTAGTGTGCACTTGCACTCCCAGCTACTCCAAAGGCTGAGATGGGAGGATCACTTGAGCACAGGATGTCATGGCTGCAGTGAGTGCACCACTGCACTCCAGCATGGGGGACAGAGGGAGACCCTATCTTTTTTTTTTTTTTTTAAAAGGAGGGTCTGGCTAAGTAAGTTGCTACATACCCAAATAATAGAATACTATACAGACATTAAGAGTGAGGAGGTACGGGCTGGTTGTGGTGGCTCACGCCTGTAATCCCACACTTTAGGAGGCCAAGGTGGGTGGATCACCTGAGGTCAGGAGTTCGAGACCAGCCTGGCTAACATGGCGAAACTCCGTCTCTACTAAAAATACAAAAATTAGCTGGGTGTGGTGGCAGGCGCCTGTAATCCCAGCTACTCAGGAGACTGAGACAGAAGAATCACTTGAACCCAGGAGGCAGAGGTTGTGCCATCTGCACTCCAACCTGGGCGATAGGGCGAGACTGTCTCCAAAAAACAAAAGAGTAAGGAGGTACCTGTCAAAATGAAACATAAGATATACATCAAAGTGTGTAGTTTTGTACAATTTACCAAACTAAGTATATGATCCTTATTCTTCAAGGACAGAATTGTTTACTTTGCACATAAATTCCCAGGATACACAAAGGACTAACAGAGATTACCTCCAAGAAGGCAGGATGAGGTTACAGCAGCTTTATTTTTTCCTTCTACATGCTATGCTCTTAACACCTAAATTCTTAGGAGCAAGTACAATTTAAAATAAAGATTACCAGCCTGGGTGACACCCCGTCTCTACTGGGAAAAAAAAAAAAATTGGATGTGGTGGCACACGACTGTAATCCCAGCTACTCGGGAGGCTGAGCCAGGAGAATTGCTTGAATGAACCCGGGAGGCAGAGGTTGCAGTGAGCCGACATTGTGCCACTGCACTCCAATGAGTTAGACTCCATCTCAAATAAAACAAACAATTATGGTTTTGCACCTTTAACTTTTCACACACATATATACTCTTAACCTACTCATAGGCTCTAATAAAGGCACGTTCTACACATTTTAAGCACTCAAAAATATTAAACTCCCTGACTGAATAATATACGCATAACTGTAATAGCTTCATTTAAATAAAACATTTTAAAACTATCTTGGAGGATATTTTAATAGCTCAACATCCTAAAAACTATTTTTCAGAAAGTCTTCATCATCAAGAGTGTATTACCTTACCAAATTCCTAAATAGTTAAGACAAAACCTGATAGAAATTCAGGTTGACACTACATTCAATAATGAATATTCTGCTGTAAGAGACACAACAATGTTCTACTTCTCTGAAAACCTAAGAGATTGCTCATTTAAAATATGTGAGTGCTGAACTAAACACATATATTCAGAAACAGCAGCAAAGGGGCAGGCTAAGCACCTCCTAATATGGATAAGCTCCAGGTTTCTATGTAATGAACAAAGAAGAACCTAAGAAAAATCCTGCAGAGAGAACTGGAAGAGAGTGTGAGGTTGCAAGGCAGAGTAAACTTGTTAAGAAGTCAAGGGTCCTAGATTATGGTACTAATTCTACTAACTAAGAGGCAAGACAGGCATTTCAAATACAAAACTATGACCAGCCTCCTCCTCACCTTAATCTTCTTGTGTTTCACTACAGCATTAATTTCAAAATCTCCCTTCCAATGCCAGGAAATCTCCTCTAACATAATGAATTTCCCACCCCACCACTATCCCTTACATTTCTTTAAATTCAAGATCACTTTTTTTCTTAAAAAGTAATCAGAGAATTTATAAACTAAGGGTCCTTAGACCAAACCCCAAAATTATGAACAAGAACTCAATCATTAAGTATTTGTACATTCACCTCAGTCCTGAAGAATAGCCAACCTGCCACTATACACTCAAACCACCGTGCTATGTGCTGAGATTTGGGCTTGCCAACTAGAACACAAGAAGCCAACTAATGAAAATAAATTCGAAAAAAAATTACAAGTTACAGAGCTGGGATCCTATTTTCCCCTTTGAAGAAGCAACCTATTCAGTATAAACAGAGGCAGCTTATTTAAAAAGCACTTTGGCAAAATAATTTAGTTTGTAACCTTTGACAAAGTAATCATAATCTTAAGGCATATACCTTAAAAAAGATTCAATGGGTATTTTGCACCATGGGGTGTGTTTTCAGAAGTCCTAACAGCATAATGCACTATCTAAATATAATTGGTTAAGTAACAGGACAACACCACATGCCTCCTAATATAATGCAGTGAGGAGGACACCATATCACTTCCAGGAGTTCTCACCAAAAACTGGCAACCTAAATTTAATCATGAAGAATCACCAGACAGGCCGGGCACGGTGGCTCACTCCTTGGGAGGCTAAGGCGGCCAAATCACTTGAGGTCAGGAGTTTGAGATCAGCCTGGCCAACATGGTGAAACCCCACCTCTACTAAAAACACAAAAATTAGCCAGGCATGGTGGCGGGTGCCTGTAATTCCAGCTACTGGGGAGGCTGAGGCAGGTGAATCGCTTGAACCTGGGAGGCAGAGGTTGCAAAGTGAGCCAGGATAGCTCGCCACTGAAGTCCAGCCTGGGGGACAGAGTGAGACTCCATCTCAAAACAAACAAACAAACAAAAAGGATCACCAGACAAATCGAAACTGAGAGACATTCTACAAAATAACCAGCCAGTACTCTTGAAAAAAGTTCCAAAATCATTAGAGGCAAAGACTAAAACAAGACTGATCCACATTAAAGGAGAGTAAGGAGACATGTAAGCAAAATGCAAAGTGTAATTCTGGATGGAATTCTGGAGCAGAAACAGGAAATTACAGTAAAACAATTTGCTAAATTTAATTAAGATTATAGGTTACATAATAGTTTATCATTTACTTTAATCATTTTCCTGATTTTAATAATTATACTGTAGTTATTAACATGTGGACAATCTGGCAAAATATATGAAAAACTCTTCATATTTTTCCAACCTCTTTCTAAATCTGAAATTATTTCAAAATGAAAAGTTAATACATTTTAAAGAAGTCCCTTTTAATTGTCTTTATTTCTGAAAGATACCCTTTTTCATACCCTTTATATGCTTTTTTTTTTTCAAATTTCCTTATGTGGCTGATACTACTTTTGTATTTAACACAGAAATGGTACAAAAACAATGATACATTTGTAAAGAAAAATATGTGGGGTGGAGAGAAAGTTCTCATCTTGTCTTAAAACAGTATTTCACCAACTGGTCCTAATATTAAATTTAATTCGCACAAAGATAATTAGACATCGAGTGTCATTAGCAAATAGCAAATCCCCCCAGAATATCAAAGCAAAACAATCAACCTCTATTGAGACATTTATGAATTGAAATTTGCGAATACAGCTGGGCTAACTTTGACATGACCTCACCAAATATGTGAGTGGGAGAAAGATCAAGCCTCCATAACCCATTCTTCTGTTTTAGATTGTACTGTCATGGCTCTCTTCCAAAACAACAAATGAAGAGAGAGACATTAGGACACAGACATGCCTGCTTTCATACAAAGCATACACACACCAGAAGTTAAAAGGTTGAGGTAGCAAGTAACTGAGGCATAAGAGCCCTCAAAAGTGATTCTCAGTAAGTACAGCACCCTAATTATAGTCTGAAACAAAAATCGGCCGGGTGCAGTGACTCATGCCGGTAATCCCAGCACTTTGGGAGGCCGAGGCAGGAGGATGACCTGAGGTCAGGAGTTCGAGACCAGCCTGACCAACATGGAGAAATCCCATCTCTACTAAAAATACAGAATTAGCTGGGCGTGGTGGCGCATGCCTGTAATCCCAGCTATCCAGGAAGCTGAGGCGGGAGAATCACTTGAACCCGGGAGGCAGAGGTTGCGGTGAGCCAAGATCATGCCATTGTACTCCAGCCTGGGCAACAAGAGTCAAACTCCATCTCAAACAACAAAAAAACCCCACTGTTTTCAATAAAATTAAAGCCACTTATTTTGTTATTCTGACAACTCCTCATCCCCCCCTACAAACCCAGTATCTTGATAGCAGATTAAATGTCATGTTTCAATCTACAATAAGATGATACTACATTAAGAGACTACAAATATTAATGCTTACTGTATGACCTCATGTAAATAGCTGAACCCCTGAGCTGCAGTGTCTTGATCTGTTAAAATAAAAAGGCTAGATCAGATGTCCCTTTAACCCTAAAATTCAATGACTCAATGAAATTTCTGTATACTTAAACATATTTCTACAAATCTATAAATTATGTAAAACTCCCAGTTTATATTATTCAATTTAAAAACTCACAAAAATACCCCACAAATGTCATTTTAATAACATCCTCATTAATAGATTTAATTCCAACTCTTCAGCATAGTGTAGTTCAAATTTCTGGTCTTGTACAATTCTCTTATGCAGAGATAATTTTCCTATAATTTTTATTCTGTAGAGACACTGGGCCTTGTATAAATCCTAGATCTCTTAAAATTTTAAAAAGAAATCATGCAAGAAGCCCATAATCTGTCACACATTAGGGGCCCATAGATTTAATCTCTTACTCCCCCTTGTGGCCGGAGTGGCTTCCATTCTTTGATTTGCAATTTCCTCACTTGCTTTCAACCAATTAGAAAAGTGCTCCACCAGAAATGCTAATGATTAGGAGGTGTCAAGAACTAATTTATTAAGTCTTTTAGACATTTTGACTTTAAATTATTACCTTTCTATGCAATGTGGCCTAACAGAATAAGATTTTAAGCTGTGAACATATGTTCTATAAATAAGGTCATCTATAAGCAGGCTTGTGCCTAATCACTTAACGCATTTTCCATTAATAGATGGCAAATCTGCACTTTTAATCAACAAGAAATCTGGCAAAGCAAGATGTTCCTGATGTTCAAGAACTGTTAAAGCCAGCCTAAAACTTTATTAATATAATTCCTGTTAAAAGAGTAGCTGCTCCCTGATATTTACCCCAAAACAAAAGATACCTACACTAAACAATGCTGATAGAAAGCCCCATCTGTTCTGTTCTAAAACTTTTTTTTTTTAATCAACTGGGTGAAAGGGCTAGCAGGAAGTGAGAATAAAAACTGCCAAATTAAATCAGGTTCAGAGAATTGTCTCCCTCCGAATCATGAATGCTAGCAAAATAATCCTAGAAGGAATCAGTGTTTTAAGAACATCTAACGCTGGGCACGGTGGCTCACACCTGTAATCAATCCCACTTTGGAGGCCGAGGCGGGTGGATCATCTGAGGTCAGGAGTTCAAGACCAGCCTTACCAACATGGAGAAACCCCATCTCTACTAAAATACAAAAATCAGCTGGGCGTGGTGGTGCATGCCTGTAATCCCAGCTACTCAGGAGGCCGAGGCAGGAGAATCGCTTGAACCCAGGAGACGGAGGATGTGGTGAGCCAAGATCACGCCATTGCACTCCAGCCTGGGCAACAAGAGTGAAACTCCATCTCAAAAAAAATAAAAATAAAAAAAGGAACATCTGAAAACAAATTTTGAAATGTTGTTCCTAAAGATTAAAAGTGAAATACTAGGCCAGGTGCAGTGGCTCATGCCTGTAATCTCAGCACTTTGGGAGGCCGAGGCAGGCGGATCACGAGGTTAGGAGATCGAGACCAACCTGGCTAACCTGGTGAAACCTCATCTCTACTAAAAAATACAAAAGAATTAGCCGGGCGTGGTGGCGGCCACCTGTAGTCCCAGCTACTAGGGAGGCTGAGACAGGAGAATGGTGTGAACCTGGAAGGCGGAGCTTGCAGTGAGCCGAGATCGCGCCACTGCACTCCAGCCTGGGGGACAGAGCGAGACTCCGCGCCACTGCACTCCAGCCTGGGGGACAGAGCGAGACTCCGTCTCAAAAAAAAAAAAAAAAAGTGAAACACTAACAAGTATCAAAAAGAACTTATATCAAAAAGAACTTAATGAGTAGTTAAGTATAAACTTAAAAATTATTGACACTCACTGAAGGCGTTCCTCTTCTCCCCTCCCCCAGGATCTAGGCCTGCGCTGAAGTTTCTCACAAACCAAGGCCCAATTTACCAGTATTTCCCTCACGATGCTTTTTGTTGTTGGTGGTGGTGGTAGTTAAAACGCCTCATTTTTCATAGGGCTTTTTAGCTTGTAAGTGGCACGCTATGTATTATGGATAAACTACATGGGGGACTATATTTTATCAGCCCCTTTTTAAAAAAGGCTAAAGACCAGCTTTTCTATGTTCAATGAATTTGCAGTACTTTTCCCTCTTTGACTTGTATTATTTGTGCACGTCTATTTCCCTCTCCAGACTGAAGAGCAGGGGCTTTTACATTTATTTTTGTAATAGCCCAGGGCTTATAAAATAGCAAGTTGTCAAATATTAAATAAAAAATTTCAGCTTTCTAAAGTTCTCTTAAATTTAATCCAAAATTTATAAATGAAACCACAATAAAGTGATATCACAGAGGTACAAAAGGTAAAGCAGTGTATTTGCTATTTAACACCACCACAGGGGTGTGTTAATTCAACAATTTCCTCAAAACATCCTAGAGGTAGATAGTATTATTCCCATTTTGAAGATGTGGAAACAGAGTCACAGACAAATGCAGTAAAACTTGCCCCAAATCACACAATGAATCAAAAATTCAAAAAGACTGCATGGCTCATGCTAAGTTTTATCACCTCTCTTAAAGTAAGGTAGTATACACTTTAGTATCCTTTATTTTTAGAAATGTTACACAGGGATATGCTTAAAGTTTTATCTCTGCTCCAATTAAAGAAAAAGAGCCTGATGCTAGTCCTCCATTAGATGGCAACAATCAAAGGGCAACTGGGAAGGAAAAGTCGTTACTCTTACAAAAAGCAGATTGCTTGAGTTGTCTTATTTCTAAACATCTTCCTAACACAATGCTAAAGGACTCATCAAATTGTTGAATTGAGAACTTGCCTGTTCTAGGCAAGAACTACAGCTTGCCTATATAATACTACCTTCAACTGTCAATTCCACAGAATCACATTTTAAGTAGGTATTTTGCATAATATTTTCATCAAGTGTCTCTTGGTTGAATGTGGTCCAAGTATGTCATTCTAAACTGGACAATGTTTATTACGTTTAAGGAGCAAAAAAATTATAAGCTGAGTGTTCATAAGTCTTGGATCAACAAATAGGTCTGTCTCAGAAAAGCGTTTGTAATTAATCACTTAGATGAGAAACATTCCGCATACCAGTGGGTTCCTTGGTATAACGCTAATTTTTAAAAACTCTAGATCCCAAAAATTGTTTGCAAGTTAGAAATTAACTGCCACTAAAAAACATTTCTAGGCCGGGTATGGTGGCTCACGACTGTAATCCCAGCACTTTGGGAGGCCGGGGTGGGTGGATCACCTGAGGTCAGGAGTTCAAGACCAGCCCGGCCAACATGGCGAAACCCCGTCTCTACTAAAAATACAAAAATTAGCCAGGCATGGTGGTGGGCGCCTGTAGTCCCAGCTACCTGGGAGGCTGAGGAGGGAGAATCGCTTGAACCCGGAAGGTGGAGGCTGCAGTGAGGCGAGATTGTGCCACTGCACTCCAGCCTGGACGACAAGGTGAGACTGCTATCTCAGAAAAAAACAAAACAAAAAACGACAAAAAAAAAAAAAAACATCTCTAACTTCCCAACTCATTAAACGATTAAAATAAAATACTAATACAACAAAAATTGGGCAGTCCCTGCAAATTTAATGCAATAATCCTTCTTAGATTTTAAAATTCAACACATGCATACAGGCCAACCCATTAAGCAAATCTTATGTTGGTCCGCTTAACTTTATAGATTAATACTTGGCTGAAACTATCCTTATATTCTTTTACCTGTTGTTACCACTGTAAGCACATTTTTATTTGGGGAAGGAAGGCTCACAACAAATCCTGTCAAAAGAAATCCACAAGAGCTTACATGCTGAAACTTTTTAATAACCTATCCAATGTAAACAAAAGGGCAGGTGTCACACAAAATGATCTTACTGATATCAAGTCAGCTATATTCATCCACATGGCTTTGGTGCCTGAATGGCAATAGAAAAAAAAACTAGTGAAATCTGCCAATATGTAAAACTCTATCCTACACTACACTACTACTTCTATCACATTATACCTTACCAGAAAACAAAACTAAATCAATGACAACTGCTATTGCACAGTAACTTTCACATATACAAGCTTTTCATAATTAAATGGAATTACTGACTAGAGAACAAGTGAATGATCGGTTACATAGAAATACACATAATAAAAAAGAGAGAACTGCTGATACGACCGTTCTTCCCACACCAAAATTTACATTTGTGCCATCTAAATATCAAAGCATATACTCCTTCAGTGTACTTTACAAATACACAAATGTTTTCAAGGAGAAAAGAACAGAGCCAATCTTCTGATGCTGAAAGACAGATAATCAAGATTAAAATAAGTCCTAAATCGAGTAATGAAGCAGAAACCCTCAGGCCATAAAGATGGTAATTAGCAACAGTTTGTATCAGGGATAGTGAGACGACCAAACTAAAGCTAAAAGCCTCTTGCAGGGAATTCTGGCAAGGATCAAGCAAATAGATGGAATGAAATCAGCATTTTAGAAAGATTAGAATAAGAAATACATGCAACATAGAACTGAAAAAGGAAAAATAAGAGTAACAAGTCCAAGTGAATGACCACAAGCAGCAGTAAAAAGATGTTTATAATTTAGCTTTTGTCCATTAAAAGCACATCAAGTTTATCCATACAGTATCATTTTCCTATTTGGCAATGTGCACTTTTCTGAGTATAATCCTGGGAACTATACAATTCAGCGTGAATGTAAAGGATAGGGAACCAATGATATGGGAAACATCAACAGCTTGTAATCTGAAAATTAAGTCAAAGTTGAGTCCAACATGTCGTGTGATTAAGTCTAGAAAACATGCTAAAATTGGGTAGTTATAAAGAACAGGCAGTTTCAAAAGGAAAAGGAATGCTGGCTTTGAGTATATTGAAACTGACAGCAGTTCTAAGTCCCCTAAAACCTTGAGCGGTGTTTATTCTCTATGTGGAACTGTCAAGAGTAAAGCAAAAGCTATGGGAACTAGAATGAAATCACAATAGGGAACCAGGAATTCTACAAAAAATTCTAAGAAACTTATTAGAATTTCAATAAACTATATGCTAACTTTTAAAACTTACTTGATATCAGAACACCTGTCATTCTGACTTAAAAATTCTCACACACACATTCAATATAAATATGCCAAGAGTAACTTATTTTGGAATCAAAAATTTGAGAAATTAATCCAAAAGTCCAATGACATTTAATTCAGTATTATAAAGACAGAGCTAGTTTCCCTTCCCATCAAACAGCAAAGGCCTCTACACCTTTCCATTCCCTTTCCTTTATTTTCATCATTTCCACTTCATATACCTCAGACTTTTTGTATTTGTACAAAATATGTCATTGGGTGTGGCACTTTACATTAAAAAAAACTGAACTTTATTACCAAAGACACTGTCCAGGCCGGGCGCGGTGGCTCACGCCTGTAATCCCAGCACTTTGGGAGGCCGAGGCAGGTGGATCACGAGGTCAGGAGACCAAGACCATCTTGGCTAACACGGTGAAACCCCATCTCTACTAAAAATACAATACAATTAGCTGGGTGTGGTGGCGGGCACCTGTAGTCCCAGCTACTCGGGAGGCTGAGGCAGGAGAATGGCGTGAGCCCGGAAGGCAGAGCTTGCAGTGAGCCGAGATCGTTCCATTGCACTCCAGCCTAGGCGACAGAGCAAGACTCCGTCTCAAAAAAAAAAAGAAAAAAGAAAAAAAGAAAAAAAAGACACTGTCCAATTTTTTCCTTCCTGAGACCACAGAACTGGGATTATTTATACTTTGAAACATACCAAAACCATGAAGACATGTAAATATACAGTATATCTTAATAAAATGAAATAGTAACAATAGATATAACCCTACAGAGTTCTTTGGAGAAGCCCTTATTCCAATGAGCTGTCTAGTGATTTTCATCTTAAAAACTGCTAACTCTACATAGCAGTTTTTAAAGCCCAAGGCACGTAATAATATATTCAGACTAAAACGGACCCAAAGCCGCTTGCTTTCTTATTTCTGTTTAATGGTAGTTCTGTGGGCTGGAGATAAAAATCAGTGACCCATAACCACAACTTAAAATTGCCCTGAGCAAATAAAAACGTAGAGCAGCAATAAAATAGAACTCAGTCAAATTAACAGAATCACTATTAAGATTACTCAACTGCAGTTGCCAACTGTTATAAATGTTAGACACACAATTTTACACTGCTTCCTCTCGGAGACCTCCTATATAAAGTCATTCTCTGCCTACAGCAGTGGATTTTAAATTTTAAAATGAAACCTTTGAAAATTTGATGGTTGGCATGGACCTTCTGCCCCACAAAAATACACAATTTTAAAGGCTTCTTCAATCTTCGAAATTCCATTCATGGACTGTAAGTTAAGAGACCCCTGCACTATTATAGGCAGGCTCACACTTTTAAATAGAACTGAAAAGCTAAGATAAACAGGACACAGAAGGTAGTCAAGGTGCTTTACCTGACTCTCATTCCCCACAACCCTGTGGGATGAGTATTATTCCTATTTAATTGAGCTTAGTTTTCTCAGAGGGACTGAGTGATTTCCTCAGGCCATGCATCTATTAAATGGTAAAACTAGTTTGACTCAGTATCTTGAGCTCCATTATTCACCTCGACATACTTCTTTGAGTTTGAAAGAGGCTTCCTAGACTGTATTTCCTTGGTATTCATTTCATCATGTGCAAGATAAAAACTACCCAATTTTTGGCTGCCATCTTTCAGGTTTAAAGAGGTACTAGTGTTGAGTCCCTCCCCAACTACCAAGAGAGCTTTTGTCTAAGCATCTGGCAGGAAAGGCAGATTGCATTAGTTCACATATTGCAGTTTGAAATTAACACGTGGAAGAGAAGAAACCCAAGTTCTTTTACATAATGCAAAGTCCACATTGTGAAGAGCATGCCAGTGACCACTTCCCGCCATAATGCTCTATTTACTCTTGTAATATGCAACATGGTCCAAGCTCTTTGCTTATTAAATGGTTAAACAATAGATAAATACATATAACCAGAATGGGTTACTAAAGAGCTCTTCAGAAAAACTCAGAACTTTGGAGATTAGCTGCTTTTTGTAGGAAGAAAGTTTATTTTCATAGCTATTATAAAATAGGTGCTCAATATAAAAAATCTGGTTATCACTAATGCCACAAGCCAATACTATTATTTCTGCAAAGGGACACCTGCTTATTTTTCTCAAATTAAAAAATATATATATCAAAGCCCAGAAAAGGCTGGAGTAATAAAAAATTATAATTGATTTTTTATCATGTAAGATCTTAAAAATATAATTTAAAATATTTTTACTAATCATTAATAATGATTCAATAACTTTTTCTAGTAGAAATATCAGTTCTGCTACATTTTATTCTTCCATCTCACAGAAAGGGCAGAAGGAATTTTATGCAATATGTTTCCAGAGTCGATGTGACCTATTTGAAAAAGATGGTAGGAAAAAGAAGCCTATTATCGGTAAATATCAAATTTTCCCAAGCAGAAAAAGAAAAAGCTAGGGAAATTTTGCAGTGCTGCTGACCTAATTCTATGCTCTTTCTCTAAAGAAGCCTTTCTGCTTGTTTAACAAATATTTGAGCATCTATTACACGTTGAGTATGCAAAGATCACTAAGTCTTACTCCTGAAAAGACCAAGGCTGGAAGCAAAAGCTTGTTTAGAATTCTCTTCAAAGCCATTTGTATAGTAAAGAAATTAAACTCTCATTTATCCAAACTTTCAAAGTGTAAATACCATTAAAACTTTTTGGGAAGCCAGTGCTATTCTGGAGGGTAACGATGTGGGTAGGGACCAGAGTGAACTTCCTTAATAATCATAACAAGAAGAAACTATTTATATGAAGAGATTATCTTGTTATCCTCATCTACTGGTTCTATGCAAACAAAGTTTCTTCATAAGGAAACTAAAGGGAAGCATAGTCAAAACTGCTACAAGTTGGGCTGGACGTGGTGGCTCACTCCTGTAATCCCAGCACTTTGGGAGGCCAAGGCGAGTGGATCACCTGAGGTCAAGAGTTAGACGTGACCTGGTCACCAGCCTGGCCGACAAGGTGAAACCCCATCTTTACTAAAAGTACAAAAATTAGCTGGGCGTGCTGGTGCACGCCCAGTAATCCCAGCTACTCGGGAGGTCAAGGCAGAAGAATTGCTTGAACACGGGAGGCGGAAGTTGCAGTGAGCTGAGATGGTGCCATTGCACTCCAGCCTGGGTGACAAGAGCAAAACTCAGTCTCAAAACAAACAAACAAACAAACATACACAAAAAACAAACCTGCTACAAGTCTTTTCCTTGGAAAAGACTCACAATGACAGGAACTTTTATACTTTGTATATGGAAAACATGCACATACCTACCTGGTATTGCAAATAAGCGTGTTAGTAAAAGGTAAATGTTACATTCCTTTTTATTCCTAAAATTGACTTTTGTCTTAAGGGAAATGTTAATGTGTAACACACCCTTTGAAGCCAAAATAAAAACTTTTCGATCAGGTGTAATAATTGGGAAAAACACTCCAGACTGAACAAAACTGAATTACACATACACAGATATTAGTTAGTAAGGTGAGCAAAAAAAAAAAACAAAAAAAACAAAAAAACCCAATACATTTTTTATTATAGAAAAAAAAAATCACATTTTCAAAATTTAAATATTTGGCCGGGCGCGGTGGCTCAAGCCTGTAATCCCAGCACTTTGGGAGGCTGAGGAGGGCGGATCACGAGGTCAGGAGATCGAGACCATCCTGGCTAACATGGTGAAACCCCGTCTCTACTAAAAATACAAAAAAATTAGCCGGGCGCAGTGGCAGGCGCCTGTAGTCTCAGCTATTCGGGAGGCTGAGGCAGGAGAATGGCGTGAACCCGGGAGGCGGAGCTTGCAGTGAGCCGAGATCGCGCCACTGCACTCCAGCCTGGGCAACAGAGCAAGACTCCGTCTCAAAAAAAAAAAAAAACAAAAAACAAAATTTAAATATTCTTATTACCTTAGCAAAATCACAAAACAGACATTTGTCACTTGGCCCCAATAAAAGCAAGATATTCCTTTTTTCAACTTAGATACAAATAGTAGCTATCATTCTAAAGGTTTCAATAAGCAAAGAACAAAAAAATGCCCCAAGACAGATGCCTCATTGAGTTTGTGGCTGTGAACCCAAATAAGCATGTTTAAAAAATCACTATTCTTTAAAAAGACAGTGTCAAGTAAGTATCATTTGAGAAAATTACAGTTTAGGAACTGATGCTATTCCATTAGTAAATACAAATGTAAAGAAATGATAGTATCATCACAACTTTAACAAAAACCCCAAACCCACAACCACATCAGACATTATCCTATTGCTCATTATAGCACTTCTTCCATAAACAAGGTTCATATAGTAAGTAACAAACCTGGATTTCCATACTGAGTTCCAGATTCAGTAATCTGTCCAGAAAAATCGAGATGCTGCCCCTCTTTGTATATCAGAGCCCTTCCATACTGGTTAAGTGTAACCATTTAGTAAAACCACTTTAAATATTATTCCAAAAACTGCCAGCTTGGTTGGATTCTCTACTGGTTTATCCTCAAATTTAAACTATTCTTGATCAAAAAGCCCTACTTTATATGACAGATTAAAATTAACCAAAATGTAGTTTAATTCTTTTAAGCGCAGTGCTTCAACACAGTAAGTACTGAATACTTAAAATACTCGATTCAAACTGGAAAATCAAGCTTGAGTTGTTCATAACCTTTCATCATGGTTGTGAGTGTTCAAAATTTACCTTCAAGAATTCAATGCAGGAAGAGGTTTCATAGTTGTGACGCCAGAGTTTTCTGCATGGTTGACTCATTACATTAACATTATAGCGGCTAATCCTGAGAAGAGTACTATTTCTACAATGAGTATCCTATTACATCTCTCTTACCTAAAGTATGTAAAATTCCTTTATCCACAGATGTACATTTAAGATAACCAGCTATAGAGCTACTACAAATATTCTAACCATAAGTAAAACAGTAACACAATTAGTTTATATTTTCAATTAATATAAAATACAATACTAAAGTCTGTTATTTTTAACAAAACTGAACTGTTTCATAATCATTGTTGCAATTATTTTACATACACGTATCTATAATTGTCTTAACATCTTTTTAGTCATGACACCATGAAGACTTTTAAATTTGGAACACACAATGTTTAGAAGGAAAAGAAAAACCAAACAAAAAGTTAAGAGTAATGTAACTGATACTCATAGGGACCCTACAGTATAATGAAGCCAGACTGAATTGATTCTCACCAGTACATCATTGCAGATATCTCTTAGCTCCGTCTCAATTTTCTCTCTGTATTCTCGAGCCATCTGCTGTTTTTTCTCAGCACCTTCCGTCTTTTGTTCAATACTTGAGACGACCCTCCAAGATGACCTACGGGCTCCTACAACATTTTTATAAGCAACTGAGAGAAGATTCCTCTCCTCATTGGATAATTCAGCTCCTTGCTCAGTTACAGACTTCATGCAGGCTGCCATGTCATCATATCGCTCAGCCTGCTCGGCCAGTTTGGCCTTCTGAACCAGCTCATTTTTATCCATGACTGGATGTTCTGCAGGGGGGAAAAAAGGAGTATTTAAAATTTTTCCCATCAAAATAAACAGACTCAAAATTATACCTGTGGTAAATGAGTTTTTTAAACCTGAAACCTAACTGCCTGTGAAAGACTGTTCACATGAGGAATTAAAATGCAGCCTCACAAAAGGATAGTCAAAAAAGGGAAAAAAATTTAGCATACTCAGCATCAGAGGTAAACTTACAGCCATTAACACATCAGTGTAGCAAAACTTAAAATTTGTTCAGAAGACCCAAATTTCACATGTCAAAATTACTTCCAAAAGCTGCCTCAAAAACTACCCCTAATCTTACCTGATCAAAATCTCAACTCATTTCCAATACCACTAAGTGATCCAAAATTAAGCAGCTTTTCTTCCTTTAGTAAAAGCATTGTTTACAGAGAACATCTGGATTTCTATCATATTTCCAGAATCATAATTCATATCAGTTTAATGTAACTCACGTCTTTTTACTTTCATAATACTCTTGTCAAGAGTGATTACATTTTAGCTTTAGTGTTACCCCTACCCCAAACCTACTAGATCTCTGCAACAACTGCCAGCCAATAATAGCATAACAATTTGGGGGGGAATGACCAACTGTTTGTTTTCAGATATTTTGAGTATAAATCCACCACAAAGGATCAATATCTGACCCTAATGTCTCAACTCTTTATCTTGTTATATGTCCACATGCTTTAAAAATATCCGCAAGTCATGACACTTCAACTCTTACTGTGAGTACTAGAATATATCACATTGGAAGTACTTAATTTATAAGTGTTTCCAATGTCATCGCTCCAGTTGAAATGCAGAAGTGCTGCATTTTGCTTCTAGCCATCATAATGTAATTGGATGTTACCACTCAAGCTGTCCTTTACCATGACTACCCATCTAATTCTCTTTCCCTCGCATTTTAGTTTCCTGGACCTTTTCGATTTACCTCAGCTACATTTTTCTGGAAAGATACCCTTTTGCAAGTTGCCGAACAGCACAAAGATACTAATCCACACAGTGACACCACAGAATAAATGACTTCAGAGGAAAATACACACCCTGAATGAAGTGCACTTTTAAGTTAGAAGGTGAACAGAAGAGTCCACCTTGGCAGCTGGCTCCCGAATATTAATCATCTTTTACCTTCCCAGGGAAATCCCACAATATTTTTTTAACCAAATGAGAGAACAGGTCGCCACATTTTAAACAAATAATTAACCACTTTGGATGCAAGGTACTGGCTCAATACGTAAACTATTTAACCTTTATGACGGCATTATTTTCGTCAGGTCTCTAAATTACTGATTTTTCCCTTAGGATCTCAGAAACGCTCTCTGGTTATTTCTGCTTCTAACAAAAAATGATTTAAGCCAGTACAAAGGATTCTCTCCCCAATCACTTCGGTACAAGAGGAAGTGGATAAGGTTTCTCACACAGTAACGAGTGCTCCAAGGCCTCGCCTCTACACTGCGGGCAGGACTCACCGCACCCATTTAACCCTTACCTGACTTGAGACGTCGGTTACTGTGAAACGAAAACGGGCAGACCCGGACTTTAAAGTGCAAATTCTCCGGTCCGCGTATCGCAACCACCCCCCTCCAGGCTCCGCCCAAGTCGGAGCCACGGCTCAAGTCCCCGACTCTCCTCCTTTGTCATGGCGGATCTGTGTCAGGGAGCCCAACCTACTGCAGAGTGTTAATTCCTCCCCCCGACCGGAGCCAGAGGGAGGAGCAGCCCGCGCCCCCGCCCAAGCCGTGGGGGGGGGGGAGAGATGGGGAGCGAAGCCGCCCGACCCCGGGGCAGAGACGCCACAGCAGCCCGCAGAAGCGGAACCACTACCAGCCCCGCCGCGGACACACCCCGCTCTCCCACCCAGCGCCTTCCCCGCCACCGATCAGCGCCGGTGACCGTGTACAGCGTCTCTAAGGGACCGACAGCTGCAGGTGGGGGAGGGGACGAGAGCCACACCCAGCCGAGCGGGCCACCAGCGGCTATGCTCAGGCTCACCCGCCCCCAAAGCAGGATATGCGTCCCCAAACCGAGCGCAGGGACCCTCCAGTTCTAGTCCATCAAGCACGGGAGCCGACTGCGGGCTCACCACCCTGTTCTCTACCCCGACCTGGACTTGCAGCCCCCGTCCACACCTCCCCCGCCCGTTCACAAGGAGCAAAAAAAGTCAGACCCATCCCCCACCCCCACCAGGAAAATTCAAGTCCTTCCTCCCACCGCGGAGCCCAGGAAATTCAGCTCTAGGTCCCAGGCGAGCCCCACCCCAAAACCTCACCCCGCAGTGGACTCCCCTCCCGCCGGCGCGCAGCCTCGCCCCGGTCTACCTGGCGGGCGCCGCCGCGCCAGGCCTGGGCTCCGGCCCGCTCTCGGCCAGGCCTTTCCCTCGCGCTTGGGTCCCCGAGGCCCCCGGCCCCTCCCCGCCGCGCCACCGCCTCCCGGGGTGGGGGAGGGCCGGGTCCCGCCGCCGCAGCGCCCAGCGCGGAGGCTGCGCGAGGGGGAGGGAAAGGAGGGGGCGGCCGAGGGAGAGGGGAGGGGGCGGCCTCACCTGCGCCACTGCGATGCCCGCCGCCGCCGCCGCCGAGTCATTATCTCGGGCGGAAGCGAGAAGGGCGGCGAGGGAGGGGGTGGAAGCCCGCAGAGACAAGGGTGGGGATGGATCGCGGCCGGCGGCGCCCCGGCCATGCCTCGTCCACCTTCGGGAGCCGGCGACAGGGAGATCCCCAGGGATCTCGCGTGTGGGCGCCCTACCCACCCCCGGGGGCAGGACGGGGGAGCGAGCACCGATCGGCGCCGGGGCGTCGATGCGGAAGCAAGGAGCCGGAGGCGGCCGCTAGCCGCCCTCCCGAGCCCAGCGGAAGAGGAGCCGCCGCCCGTGTCCGCTGAGGAGACTCCGCCTCAGCCCGGCGCCGCCACCGCGGGGCGAGTGGGGATGAGGGGACGGAGCGAGGACGGCTCCCACGCGTTCGGAAGGCTGGCCTGGGACAGGAAGCGAGGCGCGGCGGCGGCCGGGTTCCTCACCTGTGTCCGGAGTGGGTGGTGGCGGCGGACGGACGGGCTCAGCAGTCTCTGGGCGGCGGCGGCGGCAGCAGCGGCGAGGCTGAGACTCTGTCCCTGGATCTCGCTGCTCACAGGCTACAGCCGCTCCGCAGACACGGGGTTTCCTCCAATCACCAGCCCCGGCAGCAGGGGCACCACACGCACGATGACGTCAAACGCTGCTATGGCAACCGTTGATTGGTGCCCACAGCGATCGGGGCCCCGCGTAACCGCCGCTCCCCGGCGCTCGTCCTGCCCGCCCGCGCTGGAGGGCGAGCGGAGGCGCGCGCGTCCTCGCCCGCAGCCGCCACTCCTCCCACCCCGCTCGGCTTCCAGCTCCTCTACGCTTGTCCCGAGTGCACCTAGGGCAGGAGGCTGCTTTTTTCCTTTTCCTCCCCAACGCAAATCCCCCACTCCTCGCCTTCCCTTTGGGTCCCCAACGCCCTCTCTCTCCCTCTCCCCTGCAGCCTCTGCCGGCCCACTCTTCCTCTCAGCCGGCGGGAAGGCGTTCTCTCCCTACCCCCACCTTAGCTTTCGCTCAGCCCGTCTGCGCTTGCCCCAGTCACTCCCTCTGGAAGGGGCTCCCGTTCAGCAACATCCGGGACCTTTCACATCCCCCCACCCCTCCCCGAGGCCCGGCCCGCCCCACCCTCCGTGCTTCGCGGTAGTAACTGCCCCAGGGCCGTCCCCGGGCAGGATGACAAGGGTGGCTCGGCGGCTCCGGCATTGTGATCAGGACTTGCGGGGCGGGGGCCCCGGGGCGGGGGCAGGGCGCGGTCGCACGGCAAGGGAGGGTTGTGTGTGGTGCGCTGCCCCCCGCCCCGCCCGCCGCTCCCCTTCCCCGGCTGGGCCGACCGGGGCGCGCGGCCCCTCCCGGCCTCCCTCCCGCCGCCGCGGCTTTACCTGCTGGCTCGGGGGAAGCGGTCCTAGACCTTTTATGGCTCGGAAACGGGAGTGAGGCGTCCAGCCCCTGAGTGTGGCTGAGTGATGGGGAGGCGTTCCAATCGAGAGCGCGGGATCTGCGCTCGGTGACTGCGCGAGGGGACAATGGGTGGGCGCCGAGGTGGGGGCGAGGTGGGCCGGGCCGGGCGGAGCCGGCAGGAGGTGAGGCCTGGAAGGAGGCGCGGCCGCTTTAGGGAAGCCAGAGTTCCGAGGGGAAAGGACAGCCTTCTCGGGCGGAGGGCTGGAGCTGGTCCTGGCAGCCTTGACCCGGAGACAGGCAGTCAGGCGTGACCGCACGGACCCGTTTCTCGTAGGCTAGGTTTTCCTACCCAAATAAAGCTTTCACGTGAAGACCTCATACTGCACATGACGATCATTACCTTTTTATCTCCTAGAAGCAAGGTTTGAGGGACGTCGTAGTCCCCAGGGTTCCAGCTGGCGGTGGGAGTGGGCCACAGGCCGGGTGATGAGCCGGGACGGGAGCCCGGAAGAAGGGGAAGGAGAAAGGCGGAAATTGCAGGTGCCTGAACCGGTAGGGCCTCCGCCCAGTTGACTTCAGGAAGTTCAGAGAGAAACATTCACAGTGTGAATGATCTCTGCCCCTTCCCTCTTTAAATGTGTTCGGGCTAAGAAAAGATTAGTGCTTGGATGACCTGCAAAACCACTTGCAACAGCCATGGAGAGTGTACGGTTAGCAATGAGAGAGCTTGGAACTCTTCATTTTACTCTTGTGTAAACTCCCCATTGATTCTTCCAACGTATCTTTATTGAGCTGACCAGAGCCTCCGTTTAGCCTCATGTTCTCTACAGAATTTAGTTTCTCAGTAGTAGACACGAAATGATTGAGTCCTCGCTCTTCCAGTACATTGTCTTTCCTACATAATACAGTGGACCACAAGGCTGCTCTACAAATTACTTTTTGCCTGACATGACAGCTGGCATTTAGATAGTACAGACCAGAAAGAGGGTTTCCAGTGACCAGTTATATTTTAGTGGGTTTTTTTGTTGTTGCTTTTCACAAGTTGCCAAATCACAGACTCATGGTAGGTTAAATGGATAAACAAATTGGAGTTTTATTTCTGAGATGTTAGGGTCAACTAGCTTTGACTCCCAAGTAAATTCTTTTAGGGCGTGACTCACTTAAAATGAGTAATATTTCAAAAGCTATTTTTTTTACAGTTTTTTCGTAGGCACCAGAAATTTGACAGAGGATACTAAGTTAAACGTTTTTTTAAAATGGAAATTGATGTTTCTTTAATGTCTCAAATATATGTCTATGTAGAGTATATGCCTTTTGTTTTAGAGGAAGTTAAGGGGTTTTTCTGTATAAATATGGATTTACTTCAGGAAACAGCTAAGTTAGGCTTTTGCCTCATGCTTTAATAGCAAGGCATTTTTTAGTGCAACAATAGGCACTGTTAGGTTTTACATACTCAAGTCAATGTGTCTGCACAATAAAGATATAATGAAGCTGCAAGAAAGGAACGGGATGTTATGAAAGCCCTGAGGAAAAGATCTTTTAAGAAATAAGGAATAACCTGTGGCATACAGAGCAGAATAAATAGAACCTATGAACCCTGGGAACTTTGCTGGAGACTTTCACTAATACCCTGACCTGTATTTTCTTCAATGCGCAACTCTTACCTCACTCAAGTTGGTTAACCTCTATGTGCTTTGATAGCCACGGCAATAAAATACTGGCAACAAAAACACTTAACTCATCAGGTGATGCTGAGGATTAAACGAATATACACATACATATATTTCTTAGAGTAACCTAGCTATTATTCATTTGTAAATGGATATATCTGATTGATATCTCTAGTGTTCAAAAGATTGTAAAGATAAAATGAAACTATTTTCTTTTTGATTTTTAGGAAACTTCAGTAGCAGAAAGAAACCATATTTTTAAAGTATCTTTTAGAAATAGAAATGCCTATTTGTGTTTCTTAGTGCTGAGACATGAGTGATGAGGGTGAATATTGATTCATTCCTCTATAGGGGACTGCAATGATCTCTTCAAAGCTATACATCAATATATAATGCTATACATTAAAATGAGAAAAAGCCCAGGCACAGTGGTTCACTCTCATTATCTCAGCACTTTGGGAGGCAGGCAGATAGCTTGAGTCCACGGGTTCAAGACCAGCCTGGGCAACATGGCAAGACCCCTTCTCTACAAAAAATACAAAAAGTAGCTGGACATGGTGGCATGTGCCTGCGGTCCCAGCTACTGGGGAGGCTGAGGTGGGAGGATCATTTGAGCCCGGAAGGTAGAGGCTGCAGTTAGCTGTGATTGTGTCACTACACTACAGCCTGGGCAACAAAGCGAGACCCTGTCTCAAAAATGAAACACTAAAATGGGAAAGAGTTTAAGTGAATTAGCACAAGTCCATCCCTCCAATTGGGAAAACATCTCCAAGGATGGACTCTGTTGATGATGTGGCAGTTATATGATATTTTAAGTGTAATCACAATTCTGTCAGGCTATAATTTCACTTCACTGTGTTTTATTTGGAGAAATCCAACATATTGCAGAAGGTTTTGCAGCAGAACAGGGACTAAATCTTGGTTTGTCATTCAGAACTGTGTGACCTTAGGTTTCTGAATTGGACATACCAATTTCTAATCCCATTATAATGGTTGTTGCAATGATTTCATGAGAAAGTAAGGAAAGGGCTACCTACATGTAGTACACCAGATCATGTATATCTGTTGTTGAAATAATCTGCAGTTAGTAGCAGAGACAAGCTAGCTATTCACCAAACCCATTTTTCTCCTCTTGCTGCCCCAGTTGGACTCCATTGCCCATTCTCCTTTGCAATTACATGTGGCCATGTTACTGAGTGCTGGCTAATGGGGTATGACCGCAGGCATGTGCTCCACTTGCAGGCCTGGCCCATAAAAATCTCCCTGTTTGAATGTTCATTCCATTCCTGTTTTTCCGGCTGAATGGAGAGGATTCCCAGGGCTTAGAGGCAGTGAGGTCATAAAATGAAGACAGCCTGGGTCCCTGGAAGCCTATGAAAGCCTGCCCCAATCATTTTGGAGTTTACTGAGGGATAACTTCTATTTTAGGCCGCCGCAATTGAGAGTTTATCTGTTAAAACAGCTAGCACTATAATGTCCGTGAAAGTAATTGGCAAATCTAAAAGATGGGAAAGATTTTTTTTTAAATGAAAGAAAAGGGGAGGAAAAATGAGAGTAAGGAAAGGGAAACTGATCTTTTGATAAAAGGCAGTTGAAAGAAATACAGGCCAAGTGCAGTGGCTCACGCTTGTAATCCCAGGTCTGTGGGAGGGTGAGGTGGATGGATCACTTGAGCCCAGGAGTTGGAGATCAGCCTGGGCAACATGGTGAAATCCCGTCAATACAAAAAATACACAAAATTAGCTGGGTGTATGTGCCTGTAAATCCAGCTACTTGGGGGGCTGAGGCAGGAGGATCGATCACTTGAGCCTCGGAGGTTGAGGCTGTGGTGAGCTGTGATTGCACCACTGCACTCCAGCCTGGGTGACAGACTGACACCATCTCAAAAAGAAAAAATAAAGAAAAACATAAGTATTCTCAACTATTCTGTTGACTTCTAGAATTGTGTCCAGCATGGGTGGGTTCTTGGTCTCACTGACTTAAAAGAATGAAGCCACGGACTCTCTCGGTGAGTGTTACAGTTCTTAAAGGCGGCACATTTGGAGTTGTTCATTCTGATGTTCGGAGTTTCCTCCTTTTGGTGGGTTCCTGGCCTCGCTAGCTTCAGGAGTGAAGCTGCAGACCTTCGCGGTGTTGCAGCTCATAAATGCAGCGTGGACCGAAGGAGTGAGCAATAGCAAGATTTATTGCAAAAACCAAAAGAGCAAAGCTTCCACAGCGCCAAAGAGGACCCAAGGGGATTTCCACTGTGGTCTTGGGCAGACCTGCTTTTATTCTCTTATCTGGCCCCACCCACATCCTGCTGATTGGTCCATTTTACAGAGAGCCGATTGGTCTGTTTTACAGAGAGCTGATTGGTCTGTTTTGACAATGTGCTGATTGGTGCGTTTGCAATCCCTGAGCTAGACACAAACGTTCTCCACCTCCCCACTAGATTAGCTAGATACAGAGTGTCCACTGGTGCATTCGCAAACCCTGAGCTAGACACAGGGTGCTGATTGGTGTGTATACAAACCTTGAGCTAGATACAGAGTGCCGATTGGTGTATTTACAATCCCTTAGCTAGACATAAAGATTCTCCAAGTCCCCACCAGACTCAGGAGCCCAGCTGGCTTCACCCAGTAGATCCTGCACGGATACACCTGCACTCCTCAGTCCTTGGGCGGTCGATGGGACTGGGCGCCGTGGAGCAGGGAGTGGTGCTCGGTGGGGCGGGGGAGGCTCAGGCATGGCGGGCTGCAGGTGCCAAGCCCTGCCCTGCTGGGAGGCAGCTAAGGCCCAGCAAGAAATCGAGCACAGCAGCTGCTGGCCCAGGTGCTAAGCCACTCACTGCTTGGGGCTTGCACGCCGGCCAGCTGCGCCAAGTGCGGGCCCACCGAGCCCACTCCCACCCGGAACTTGCGGTGGCCCACAAGTGCGCGTGCAGCCCCAGTTCCCGCCTGCGCCTCTCCCTCCACACCTCCCCTCAAGCTGAGGGAGCCGACTCCGGCCTCGGCCAGCCCAGGAAGGGGCTCCCACAGTGCAGCGGCGGGCTGAAGGGCTCCTCAAGCGCAGCCAGAGTGGGCGCCAAGGCCAGGGAGGCACTGAGAGGGAGCGAGGGCTGTGAGGGCTGCCAGCACACTGTCACCTCTCAGAATGACCTTAGAAAAGTAATATTTCCTCACTTAATTCTAAATACATTTAATAGTCTCACTACTTACTTTACTTTTTACTTTATTTGATACCATCTTCTACTATGTTAGCCTTGTTTTTCTTAAAAAAAAAAGTGTTTTAAACCCATACCTATTAACTCGATTCCTACATTGCAGACTCTAGCCCTGTGTTCTATGGTATTTTGGTGACAGACTGGGTTCTTTTGAATCCTGCTTTCAAAAAACAAGAAAGCCATGCTGTGGGAGGATCGCTTGAGCCCAGGAGTTCTGGGCTATTGTGTGCTATGCCAACTGGGTGTCTGCACTACGTTTAACATCAACATGACGACCTCCTGGGAGCGGAGGAACTCCAGGTTGCCTAAGGAGGAGTGAACTTGTGCAGGTCAGAAATGGGACAGATCCAAACTTCTGTGCTAATCCTTAGTGGGATCGCGCCTATGTATAGCCACACTGCACTCCAGCCTGGGCAACACAGTGAGACCCTGTCTCTCTCTCTTTTTTTTTTTTTTCCAGAACGGAGTCTTGCTGTGTTGCCCAGGCTGTAGTGCAGTGGCGCGATCCCAGCTCACTGCAACCTCCGCCTCCCGGGTTCACGCCATTCTCCTGCCTCAGCCTCCTGAGTAGCTGGGACTACAGGTGCCCGCCACCACGCCCGGCTAATTTTTTGTATTTTTAATAGAGACGGGGTTTCACCGTGTTAGCCAGGATGGTCTCAATCTCCTGACCTCGTGATCCGCCTGCCTCGGCCTCCCAAAGTGCTGGAATTACAGGAGTGAGGCACCGTGCCTGGCCAAGACCCTGTCTCTTTAGAAAAAAAAAAAAAAGAAAAGGAAAGAAGGAAAGCCATGCTGACTGTGAGGTCTCATTTCATACATGTTATGAAGCACTTAATGTGGACTCACTGGTCAGAGATCATGCTAGTCGCTGGTGATAAAGTTGGATAAGTCATGGACCTTCCCTAAAGGAGCTCACAGTCCAGGGGCAGGGACACACTAAATACAGTTACAGTGCAGCACAGTGAGGTAAGGGCTAATGGAGGTAAGCAAATTATGCTTTAAGAAATCTGAGCTATGAGTACCAACTATCCATGGAGAGTTTAAGGTTCCCTACAAAAACTCATTCATGTTACAAATTACTGATGTGGTTATCACCAGAGTCAATTTTGCTTTCTTCACTGCATGTTAAATTTTGCAGTTAAATTTTTAGTTTCCTTACATCCTTACCATATAGTTCACTCTTTGATAGATACCGCATGTCCTCACACCTTGTTAAGATCACAAACAGACATTTTCTAAAGTTTTCTTATTTTCCTGTAATCGTTTTCAGATACCCGCTTTTCCTTAGACTCTTCAGATGGTGTCCTATTTCCTTGTACTCCAGAATTTTTGGTAGCTGTTATGTTGTGGTGGTGATTGTTTTTCTGTTATATGTCAATGAGGGAGATTTCCAGTCTCCAAGTTGGCCAACCAACAGATAAAATTTCCTCTGCTTCTCTTTACTGTTCTCTTGAAAACCGATCTAAAGTTGTAGGGGGGTGCAAGTACATACTTTCTTGCCCAAATTCTGGAATCCAGCTGACATTTACATTTATCGCCTGTTGAGCGGATGCCATGACAAGATCTTCCCCTGACCCAATTGTCCAGTTGTCTGCAGTGAGGGGAATTTATGTTGTCAAGAATCAGAGGCTATCTATGGTTCTTTAATCAGCTGTGATTATAAATGGAAAAACTACACACTTGAACACTGTCAGCTGTCAGTGTGTTTCCGCATGCTCCCTTATCAGCAGCTCTTTATTCTAGGAGACTATCCATCACACTTTTTTCCTTTTCTTTCTTTCTGTTTTTGAGACAGTCTCACTCTATCATCCAGGCTGGAGTACAGCGGCACTATCACAGCTCACTGTAGTCTTGATCTCCTGGGCTCAAGTGATACTCCCGTCTCAGTCTCCTGAGTAGCTGGGACTACAGGCAAACATAACCATGCCTGGCTAATTTTTAATTGTTTTGTAGAGATGGAGGTCTTGCTATGTTACCCAGGCTGGTCTCAAACTCCTGGGCTCAAGTGATCCTCCCGCCTCAGCCTCTCAAAGTGGTGGGATTACAGGCATGAGCCACTGTGCCCAGCCCACCACAGTTTTTAACCAGCCACCTGCCAGGCCTTTGTATTTCTGTTGTGCCTTCTCTGGGATTTGTAAATTCTGATTGAATAATAATTTGAAGGATTAAATTCTTTCCTATCAACTTTGCTTTTCTTTTTCAGAGGATAAAGTATCCATGGTAGAGTTTCTGAGTTTGGCCTCCTCTACACTGTAGTCAGTGGAAATTCCACCCAGACTCTTGCAAATGGTTGACTCTTGTTTTTCAAAAACTCATGATATTTTAATGGGAAGATGGGAAAGGGAAAGGTTATAGCAAGAACCTTAGCTTGACACCGTTTTAACATCTTAACCCTTAAGTCTTCAGTCAATTATATTTTGTACTGTATTATATTTTTACATTTTGTAAGCAAAGGTAAATAATTTGATGTTAAGCATTAGGAATAGCTTTTGGAAGTTACTGTTGAGATCAGTGGTACAGAAATAAAGGTGCTGGTTTTTTTTGGGTTTTTTTTTTGTGACAGAGTCTTGCTCTGTTGCCCAGGCTGGAGTACAGTGGTGCGATCTTGGCTCACTGCAACCTCCACCTCCTGGGTTCAACCAATTCTCCTGCCTCCGCCTCCCAAGTAGCTGGGATGACAGGTGTGCGCCATGACACACAGCAAATTTTTGTATTTTTAGTAGAGATGGGGTTTCGGCATTTTGGCCAGGCTGGTCTCGAACCCCTGACCTCAGGTGATCCGCCCATCTCAGCCTCCCAAAGTGCTGGGATTACAGGCGTGAGCCACCGTGCCGGCGGTGCTGGTGTATATACTTACCAGAAATTCTGTTTCAATTCAGAAATCACTTCTGTAGAGGTACTCATACATTTTAAGAAAAATAAGAAAAGGTACAGGTATTACATGTCTGTTCAACCAGTGAAGCTTGCCACCACGTGACAACTCCTTGAGGCGGGTAGCGGCAGGGGGAGCTCACAGTTTCAAAAGTGTGCTTATTTACAATTCAAAAATGATCAGTTTACAATTCAAAAAGGCATCACCACATGAAAAGGTCAGAAGAATTTGTCCCTTTCTAGCCTGTATTTCAGTCCTGAACACTCAAGAATAAGCACAGTGAACACTGGAATTCATTAAAGGTTTAAAATACAGTAAGGATGCATATATATATCAGTAGAAAAAAATTTTTCCCCACCCTCCAACCCCCAGCAAAACAGGTATCTGGAAAAGGAATAAAGGCAATGTGAATTTCTGGCAGCTTTCCTGGGGCCTGATACACATTTTTTCCTGGACCTAAGAGCAGAATTTCTGTATTCTAGCTTCCTTGGTCCTTATTTGGGACAATTGCCTTCAACTTAAAACTATTTTTAGTTTGGTTTTTTGGGTTTTTTTTTTTTTTTTTTTTTTTAATCATATGGGGTCTTGCTATGTTACCCAGACTGGTCTGGAACTACTGGGCTCAAGTGATCCTCCTCTCTCGGCCTCCCATAGTGCTGGGATTACAGGCATGAGCCACCTTGCCTGGCCTAAAACTATTTTTTAGGAGGACTCACCACACTTTCTTAGCCATGAAATCCTCAGGAATCCCTGAAATATTTCAATATTCCAGTGACTGATAAGAAACACAATCCAAACTCACTCTATAAGAAATGAGATGGTTATTCTGGGTAAATCAGATCCATGTTTTTGACATGATTAATTTTCACACAGTTAATGCCTCACTTATTTGTTAAACATGGATTTTTCAGTCAGGCTAATACATTTGGTAGGCTTCAGGCTAGGACAATTAAAAACTGAGTAAAAACCATAGGACCATCCTAATTGATAACTAACAGAAGAACAGGATACATGTGCTGAACTTTCTCTAAATGAAGCACTATTTGTCAAAAGCTCTAAGCAATCTACAGGATGAGATCACCTTTCTTTTGTGACTTTCCTGTCACAGCAGTAGCACCTAGCAATAGCTTATGCATGCAAGCAGCATAAATAAGTGAAAATATATAAGGTAGGCAGCATCTGTAGATATGAGAGAGCAGGGATTGGAGACAGTATGAAGGTCAAGCTTTAGAAAGAACAGTTAACCCCGAGCTGCTGACAAAGAAGGTTTGATTGTTTTATTACAGTTATTTGAGAGTCAGAGGTCAGGGAGAAGTGGCTGTTGGACTTGACCTGAGAATAAAGGGAATACCAAATCCAGGGAAAGCACCTAATAATACCTACTGGAAAGAGACAGAATAGAGAGCACATTTCCTGATGAGGTCTTGGTTATGACATTCTACTGTTCTTTGCTGGAACATCTCATGGGCCTTTCTAGAAGAATCAATAAATAATATCAGAACCAGGGGATGCAAGAATGTCAGTAAAATGTTTGATGACACCTTGGAATATTATGTCTTTTAAAAAACAACACTATCATTGGATTTGGGTTCTGGAAAAACCATATGCATTCTTTCATTCACATGGTCGTTGAATAGATGTTTATTGAATAGCTGTTTAAATGCCAGAAATTACAGGTATTGAGTTTGAAAAGATGAAAGCAAAAAAAAAAAAAAGACACTTCTGGGCTACCTTAGAGTTACATTTGGGGTGAAGGGACAAGTATACAGTATCCATGGGGATTGGTTCAGGACTCCTCTGTGATACCAAAATCCATGGATGCTCAAGTCCCCTATGTAAAATGGTGTAGTATTTGTATATAATCTATGCATATGTTCCCATATACTTTAAATCATCTCCATATTATTGATAGTAATGAATACAATGTAAATACTATGTAAATAGTTGTTATACTGTATCGTTTAGGGAATAATGACAAGAAAGAAGTCTGTCCATATTCAGTACAGATGCAATTTTGTTTCTGAACATTTTTGATTCTTGGTTGGTTGAATCCATGGATGCAGAACTGGTGGATATGGAGGGCCAACTATATTAGCCACCTCCTTATAGGTAATTGGTGAAGACTGGTTGAATGGAAGAATAATGAATAAGTAAATGGATTTTTTTAAGACGAAGATAGCATTTTGGAGGTTATTAATAATGCTACATATGATAATAACATGAATAAATGAAATTCACTGATAAACACATTCTAAATATTTAAACCCAGAAATTTCCAAGTATTTAAACCCAAGAAGTATTTATTTCTCTAATTTTTTAAGACCATTTAAGTGCAGTAGTGAGAAGGGAGAAAGAGTAGAACAAGGAAGTTTGATCTGTAACTGTGAAAAATCAATTGAGATAACTCACTAACTTCAGACCAGCCAAGGAAATGTTTCTTATTAAGAAAAACTGAGTAAATTTTATTTTCCTTTTTTTTCTTTTTTTGAGACAGGGTCTCACTTTGTTGCCCAGGCTGGAGTGCAGTAGCGCGATCACTGCTCACTGTAACCTCGACCTCCTGAGCTCAGGTGATCCTCCCACCTCAGCCTGCCAGGTAGCTGGGACTGCATGTGTTGCCAGTAAATTTTCTTTATGTTCATTTCTCTACCAAAGACCCTGGATAGATTTGCTTAGGAATGAAATAAGATAGGGTGTAAAAGGAGACTTGCATAATCCAATTATTTTATAGTGAAAATAAATGAGACATGATTTTCTTTTGAAGTATTTACGTGATTCAGGGCACAGACTCAAGACATACATTTTAAAAGGGCTATTAAAATTCAAATATTGACCAGGCATGGTGGTTCACAACTGTAAACCCAACAATTTGGAGGGTGTGGTAGGAAGACTGCTTGAGCTCAGGAGTTCACGACCAGCCTGGACAACATAGGGAGACCTCATCTCTACTAAAAATTAAAAAAAAAAAAAAAAAAAAAAAATGAGCCAAGCATGGTGGCACATGCCTGTAGTCCTAGCTACTTGGTAGGCTGAATTGGGAGGATTGCTTGAGCTCAGGAGATCAAGGCTGCAGTGAGCTATGATCTCACCACTGTACTCCAGCCTGGGTGACAGAGTGAGACCCTGTCTCAAAAACAAAACAAAATAAAATAAAATGCAAATATCACTTTCAAGTGTATTTTTTTTCTTTTTTTTTTTTTTTTGAGACATAGTTTCGCCCTTGTTGCCCGGGCTGGAGTGCAATGGCATGATCTGGGCTCACCGCAACCTCTGCCTCCCAGGTTTAAGCGATTCTCCTGCCTCAGACTCCCGAGTAGCTGGGATTACAGGCATGCACCACCACGCCCGGCTAATTTTGTATTTTTAGTGGAGACGGGGTTTCTCCATGTTGGTCAGGCTGGTCTCAAACTCCTGACCTCAGGTGATCTGCCAGCCTCAGCCTCCCAAAGTGCTGGGATTACAGGCATGAGCCACCGCACCTGGCCTCAAGTGTTTTCTGAAAAATATCCAAATAACCAAAAGTTTATATAAACAATAAAACCTAGTGTTAATCTCAAAATTTCATCTCTTGCTGCACAGATCATTTTTATAGAAGTTTAAAATTACAGATAAATAATAAGGGTTTTTTTTCTTTCTCTTCTTTTTTCACACTATGAAGTATCTGTAGCATGGAGTATTTTTTTATTTCTCTTAATAATGAAATGTTTTTTTCCCTCCACAGCATCCTTGTCTTAATAATTTGGCACCTAGTAGTTTCTTGCAAAAATAGTGTTTATGTTTATTACATGAATGATGAATCAATTAGTGAGCATTTGATTATTTTAGACTTTTATAGAAAAGTCATATTTCTCATTCAGAGTTTACAAGAAGATAGAGGTTTGAGAAACTTTGAAGAAGAAAATATAAATATGGCCTGTGGAAGAGTCTACAAGTTTTTTTTCCAATATACTTATTATTATTAATAGAATTTCTAATACTCAGCGGGACACATAGCTACCTAAAATGAAGACCACATTTCTCAGCCTCCTGCAAGGCTAGGTGTGCCATGCAATTAAGTGATGGCTAAAGAGATGTAAGGAGACGTTTCATGTGAAACTTCCAGGAAGTGTCCTCAGAGGGAAGCAAAGCATCCTGCTTTGTCCCTTCCCCTTCTTGATGGCCAGAATGTGGACACGGTAAAGAGCCTGGACAGCCAACTGGGGACAAAGCAGCACAGGAAGGAGAGGGGAGCAGCAAAGTTGAAGGAGTCTGGGGATCTCACCACTTGCAAATGCCAGATTAGCCCTAAATGGTTGACCTCTGCATAGTTATTTTTAATGAATAGAACCTTATGTAATTAAGCTCCAGTTTATTTGGGATTTCTGTCATTGGCAGTCAAACCTAATCTTAACCAGTAGTGACCTAAGTAGCTCTAAAATTGTTACTTAATTTGTATACATTTTGTGGATTCTATGACTCTAGGGCATCTCCTAAGTGATCTAGTATAATGCGTCTTTTTTCAGTAGGCCAATGTATTAGTCCATTTTCACACCGCTATAAAGAAATACCCAAGACTGGATAATTTATAAAGGAAAGAGTTTTAATTGACTCACAGTTCCACATGGCTGGGGAGGCCTCAGGAAACTTACAATTATGGTGGAAGGGGAAGCAGGCACCTTCTTCACAAGGCAGCAGGAGAGAGAAGTGGTGCTAAGGAGGAACTTCCAAACACTTATAAAACCATCAGATCTCATGAGAACTCCCTCACTATCACGAGAACAGCATGAAGGAAACTGCCCCGATGATCCAATCACCTCCCTCCCTCTACATGTGGGAATTACAATTCAAGATGAGATTTGGGTGGGAACACAGAGCCAAACCGTATCAGCATGCTACCTTTTTGCCTGGCTAGGAAAACTGCTGAAGTGATGTGTCACCAAATTTTATCATATTTATTGAGTATACCTACTATGTAGAGTAATTCCTATGTCTTGCTTTCTGAATTCATTAACATAAGAATTAGGTTTCTGAGAGTTGCTTTGTACTTCAGTTCTTAAAAAATTTATTCCTGATATTTTCCTCCAGCTACTCGGGAGGCTGAGGCAGGAGAATCACTTGAACCCGGGAGGTGGAGGTTGCAGTGAGCCAAGATTGCACCACCGCACTCCAGCCTGGGTGACAGAGCAAGACTCCATCTCAAAAAAAAAAAATTATCATACCGTATGTAGTATTCACTGTCTGACTTTTTTCACTTAGCACAATAATACAGAGAGATCCCATGTACACTCTTCCCAGTTTCCCCCGATGGTAATGTCTTACAGAATTATAGTATAAAATCGCAGCTAGTATACTGACATTGATAACACTTAAGATACAGAATATTTCCATGGGGATTTCTCATATTGCCCTTTCAAAGCTACAGCCCTTCCTTTCTACCCCATCCTCTCTATAATCCCTGGTAACCACTAATCTGTTCTCCATTCCTAGGATTTTGTCATTTTAAGAATGTTACATGAATGGAATCACAGTATGTAGCCTTTTGGGGTTGGCTTTTTTCACTCTGCATAATTCTCCGGAGATTCATCCAGGTTTCTGCAAGTATCAGTAGTTGGTTCCTTTGTATTCTGAATAATATTTCATGGTATGGATATATCTAAGTTTATTTAACCATTCACCGGTTGAAGGACACTGGGGTTGTTTCCAGTTTAGGATTATTACAAATAAAGCTGCTATAGGAGTTTGAGACCATCCTGGCCAACATGGTGAAACCCCGTCTCTATTAAAAATACAAAAATTAGCCGGGTGTAGTGGCATGCACCTGTAGTTTCAGCTACTCGGGAGGCTGAGGCAGGAGAGTCTCTTGAACTTGGGAGGTGGAGGTTACAGTGAGCTGAGGTTGCAGCACCAGACTCCAGCCTGACAACAGAGTGAGACTCCATCTCAAAATAAATAAATAAATAAATAAATAAATAAATAATTTTTTTTAAAAGCTGCTATAAACATTTTTTTGGTGTGTGAACATAAGTTTTTCTGTGAATATAGGTTTTTTTTTGGAATAAATGTGCAAGAGTGAAATTGATGTGTCATATGGTAATTGGATGTTTAGTTTTTAGTTTTTAGGTTTTTTTTTTTTTTTTTGAGACAGAGTCTCGCTCTGTTGCCCAGGCTGGAGTGCAGTGGTGTGATCTCGGCTCACTGCAAACTCCACCTCCTAGGCTCTCAAGCGATCCTACCACCTCAGCCTCCCTAGCAGCTGGGACTACAGGCATGCACCACCACGCCCAGCTAATTTTTGTATTTTCAGTAGAGACAAGGTTTCACTATGTTGGCCAGGCTGATCTGGAACTCCTGGCCTCAAGTGATCCACCTGCCTCGGCCACCCAAAGTGCTGGGATTACAGGCGTGAGCCACTGTGCCTGGCCTACAATATTTAGTTTTGTAAAAATTTACCAAACTGTTTTCCAGAGTGGCTGTATCATTTTACATCCTCACCAGCAATGTATGAGTGATCCAGTTTCTCTGCATCCTCACCAGCATTAGATTTTGTCATTATTTTTATTTTAGCCAATCTGGTAGCTGTGAAGTGATAGCTCATTGTGGTTTTAATTTGCATTTCCTGCTGGTTAATGATGTTAAATATCTTTTCAGTGCTTATTCACCATCTGTTAATCCTGTCTGGTGAAATGTCTGTTTACATCTTTTTGCCCATTTTTCTAACTGGATTTTTTTTTCTTACCGTTGAGTTTTGAGAATCTTTTATATATTATAGATACTAAACCTTCATCAGATATGTTTTGCAAATATTTTCTTCCAGTCTCTAGCTTGTCTTTTTATCATCTTCACAGGGTCTTGAACAGAACAAAAGTTTTAAATTTTGATTATATCCAGTTTGTCAGCCCTTCCTTTTGTGAATTGTCCTTTTGGTATCAAGTCTAAGAACTCTTTGTCTGCCCCTACATCCTAAAGATTTTCCCTCATGTTTCTTTTAAGTTTTGTAGTTTTACATTTAAGTTCACGATTCATTTTGAGTAAATTTTTTTGTAAGGTATAAGAATTAGGTCGAGGTTCAGTTTCCTTTTTTTTTGCCTGTAAGTGTCCAATTGCTCCAGCATCATTTGTTGAAAAAGCAATCCTTCCTTTATTGAATTGCCTTTGCACCTTTGTCAGAAATAAGTAGGGCACGGTGAGCAAGGTGGGGCTCACCTAAGTCCCAGCCACTCAAGAGGCTGAGGTGGAAGGATTGCTTGAGCCCAGGAGTTTGAGGTTGTAGTGTGCTATTATTCTGCCTGTGAATAGCCACTGCACTCTAGCCTGGGCAATATAGCAAGATCCCATCACTAAAAATAAAACAAACTAAAAAATTAAGACACAAAAAATTCTGAAAAGGCTCTGGTTGAATTAAAAAAATCAGTGGGGCATATTTGTGTGGGTCTATTTAATTCATTCCTTTTTATTACTGAGTAGTATTCCATCGTATGGCTATACCACAATGTGTTTATACCTTCACCCATTCTTGAACATCTGGTTGTTTCTAGCTTTGGGTTATTGTGAATAAAACTGCTGTGAACATTCATGCCAGCTATTGTGTGGACACATTTTTCTTTCTTTCTTTTTTTTTTGGGGGGGGGACGGAATCTTGCTGTGTTGCCCAGGCTGGAGTGCAGTGGCACAATCTCGGCTCACTTCAAGCTCCGCCTCCTGGGCTCACACCATTCTCCTGCCTCAGTCTCCCGAGCAGCTGGGACTACAGGCACCCGCCAACACGCCCAGCTAATTTTTTGTATTTTTAGTAGAGACGGAGTTTCACCGTGTTAGCCAGGATGATCTCGATCTCCTGACCTCATGATCCACCCGTCTTGGCCTCCCAAAGTGCTGGGATTACAGGTGTGAGCCACCGTGCCCCGCCGACACGTTTTTATTTCTTTTGGGCAAACACCTAGGAGTGAGATTGAGGGATTGTATGGTAACTGTATGTTTAACTTTACAAGAAACTTGATAAGAAATTGCCAAACTGGTTTGCTGGTGAGAATGCTGTGGGTGAAGGATTACCTAGGTGCCGAGGCAAGAGACTGAAGGCAAAAACTGTTTCAGTATAATAAAATAGTTAGAATAAGAACAGTTATAATACAAATTAGATATAGAGATGATCGTGGACATTATCAATAATTAGCATAAACATTATTAATCATTAGTTTTTAATATTACTCTTTGTTGTATTACTAATATAACCAAGGAATAACCAGCGGGTATAGGGTTAGGTGCTGAAGGGACATTGTGAGAAGTGACCTAGAAGGCAAGAGGTGAACCCTCTGTCATGCCCGCATAAGGGCCGCTTGAGGGCTCCTTGGTCAAGTGGTAACACCAGTGCCTTGGTAGGCACCCGTACTTAGCAGACCGTGAAAGAGAGTCTTCCTTTCCTTGGAGGAGTCAGGGAACACTCTACTCCACCAGCTTCTTGTGGGAGGCTGGATATTATCCAGGCCTGCCCGCAGTCATCCGCAGGACTAAACCCCTCCCTGTGATGCTGTGCTTCAATGGTCATGCTCCTGGTCCACTTTCATGTTCCTCCCGTACTCCTGATTCCTCTTTGAAGTTCTTAGAAGATAATGGTAGAAGAAATAGTGAAAGTCTTAAAGTCTGTGATCTTTCTGATAAGTGCATAGAAGAAAACGCTGACGTATGCTGCCTTCCCTCTCTGCTTCAGCTACCTAAAAGAGAAGGGCCCCGTGTCCTACGATCACATGACTTGCTTGGCCTTATCAATCACTTAGATGACTCACCCTCCTTACCCTGCCCCCTTGTCTTGTATACAATAAATATCAGTGTGCCCAGCCATTCAGGGCCACTGCCAGTCTCCGCGTCTTGGTGGTAGTGGTCCCCCAGGCCCAGCTGTTTTATCTTTATCTCTTTGTCTCGTGTCTTTATTTCTTATGATCTCTCATTTCCGCACATGGGGAGAACACCCACAAAGCCCCGTAGGGCTGGACCGTACAGAATGCAAAAACCATTTTGTATTCTCACCAGCAGTAACTAAGAGTTCCAGTTGTTCTACATCTTTGTCAACACTTTTTATTGTCAGACTCTAATTCTAGCCACTCTAGTGGGTGTGCCCTAGTATCTCATATTGACTTTAAAATGCATTTTCCTAATGCTTAATGATATATTGAGCATTTCTTCATGTTCTTACTTGCCATTTGTATATCTTTGCATCTTTTCCTCATTTTTCATTGGGTTCTTTTTCTTATTAGTTGTGTGTTTTTAAAATACCACGTAAGTATTTTGAGGGAGATTATCTCAAAGGAACCCTAAAGTGGTTTTTTCCAGCCTCAAGGAAACTTAGGTCTTTAAGAAAATAAAACTTGCTCCTTATTTTTAAAAAAGAGGGAGAAAAATAAATCTCCTAATTTATTTGGTGTATCTATTTGAATGTCCATGTACAGCACTAAGTTGTTTAAAGAAGATATATGACAAAGTAGCTAAAAAACATGGCTGGATATGGTGGCTCACACCTGTAATCCCGGCACTTTGGGAAGCTGAGGTGGATGGATTGCTTGAGCCCAGGAGTTTTAAAACCAGCCTTGGTAACATGACAAGACCCCATCTCAAAAATAAATAAATAAATAAAAATAAAAAGCATAATGCTTACTATTCATCATTTGGTGAATTAAAGTGAATGCAATATTTTGGTGATTCATTTTGCTGATCCAATGTGAATGACAACTCTTTTAAGCCACATGTTACCATTTATTGAATAACTCTTCTTAATGACTTTTCTGACCCCTCTCAAAGGTAATAATTCATTTCTCTACCTTTGAAAAGCCTCTCTGTATCTTGTTACCATTTTATTGAATAACTCTTCTTAATAACTTTTCTGACCCCTCCCAAAGGTAATAATTCATTTCTCTACCTTTGAAAAGCCTCTCTGTATCTTGCAGTACGCCTCCTCTAGAAATGGCAGGAAGTCCTTGGCCGGCGCGGTGGCTCACGCCTGTAATCCCAGCACTTTGGGAGTCCGAGGCGGGCAGATCACGAGGTCAGGAGATCGAGACCATCCTAGCTAACACGGTGAAACCACGTCTCTACTAAAAATACAAAAAAATACAAAAAGTTAGCTGGGCGTGGTGGCGGACGCTTGTAGTCCCAGCTACTCAGGAGGCTGAGGCAGGAGAATGCCGTGAACCCGGGAGGCAGAGGTTGCAGTGAGCCGAGATCGCGCCACTGCACTCCAGCCTGGGCGACAGAGCGAGACTCCATCGCAAAAAAAAAAAAAAAATCAGTTTTATTTACAGCTTAATGTGATTGTATCACAACTCTTTAGAGGCAGTATGGCATAGTGAACAGGGATTGGGTTTTAGAGTCACTTGCAACCTCTCTGACTTGATCCTCAGTTTCTTCATCTATAAAATAGAGATTATGATACCACATGTAATGTGAAAATTAGGACTAGGTAAACAAAGTGCCTGCTGCTATGTTTGGCTCAATAAATAATAACTATTATTCTCATGTTTTGATCTTCCTAGTCTACAACTTAACCTCTTAAAAATTAGAAATTGGCCGGGCGCGGTGGCTCACGCCTGTAATCCCAGCACTTTGGGAGGCCGAGGCGGGCGGATCACGAGGTCAGGATATCGAGACCATCCCGGCTAAAACGGTGAAACCCCGTCTCTACTGAAAATACAAAAAATTAGCCGGGCGTAGTGGCGGGCGCCTGTAGTCCCAGCTACTTGGGAGGCTGAGGCAGGAGAATGGCGTGAACCCGGGAGGCGGAGCTTGCAGTGAGCCGAGATCCCGCCACTGCACTCCAGCCTGGGCGACAGAGCGAGACTCCGTCTCAAAAAAAAAAAAAAAAAAAAAAAATTAGAAATTGTGAGGCCGGGTGCAGTGGCTCATGCCTGTAATCCCAGCACTTTGGGAGGCTGAGGTGGCCACGTGGATCACCTGAGGTCAGGAGTTCGAGACCAGCCTGGCCAACATGGTGAAACCCCATTTCTACTAAAAATACAAAAATTAGCCAGGCATGGTGGTGAGTGCCTGTAATCCCAGCTACTCGGGAGGCTGAGGCAGGAGAATTGCTTGAACCCAGGAGGTGGAGGTTGCAGTGAGTGGAGACTGCACCACTGCACTCCAGCCTGGGTAACAGAGTGAGACTCCGTCTCAAAAAAAAAAATTAGAAATTGTGATAAGATTTTAACTTTAAAGTTATATTTTGTTATAGATCATTTTCTGTAATTGGACATTTACTATGTGCCAGGCTATAACTGGACATTTACTTGTGCCAAGTGCTTTATATATGAAATCTCACAAGGCAGGTAGGTTTTCTTATTCTTATTTTACAGACAACAGAGACACACAAGGATGAAGTAACTTGCTCAGGATTCTTCAGGAAGAGGCAGAGTTTGAATTCAAACTAAAGCCAGATTCTGACCCTGGCATTTTAGCCACTATGGTTTCCTGCTTCCCACTTTTGTTTTTATTTGCATTCCAAGCTTTACCTAATCTAAAACTCGTGTTACTTTAAATCTAGCCTCATCTATGTTTGCACGTATCCTTGCAGATATTATCCATCTACATCACTGGAATTGTTACGTGTATAAACTTGAACAATATGTGATCTGTTTAGCACATCCAGGTTTTCTCTCCTACAGGACCTAAGATCTAGAAGTTGACTTCATCAAATTCCATTCCATTTCATTCTATTTATTCTATTTTTTTTTTTTTTTTTTAGATGGAGTCTCGCTCTGTTGCCTAGGCTGGAGTGCAATGGTGCAATCTCGGCTCACTGCAACCTCTGCCTCTTGGGTTCAAGCGATTCTCCTGCCTCAGCTTCCCGAATAGCTGGGATTACAGGTGCCTGCCACCATGGCTGGCAAATTTTTGTATTTTTAGTAGAGACTGGGTTTCACTATGCTGGCCAGGCTGGTCTTGAACTCCCAACCTCAGGTGATCTGCCTGCTTCGGCCTCCCAAAGTGCTAGGATTACAGGCGTGAGCCACTGAGCACAGCCCATTCTATTTATTTTAATTTAAAAATATTGCCTGGGCGAGGTGGCTCACACCTTTAATCCCAGCACTTTGGGAGGCCAAGGCGGGTGGATCACGAGGTCAGGAGATCGAGACCATCCGGGCTAACACGGTGAAACCACGTCTCTACTAAAAATACAAAAAATTAGCCGGGCATGGTGGTGGGTACCTGTAGTCCCAGCTACTCAGGAGGCTGAGGCAGGAGAATGGCGTGAACCCTGGAGGCGGAGGTTGCAGTGAGCCGAGATTGCGCCACTGCACTCCAGCCTGGGCAACAGAGCGAGACTCCGTCTCAAAAAAAAAAAAAAAAAAAAAAGCAAAAAATTCCCAAAGATGGTGTATTAGCCATTGTCAAAGAAAATAAATTCTTAAGGATTACTATAGAGAATGAATATTGGTATTGGTTAATATAACTCTGATTTTTAATTAAAATAATAAAAAGAAATGAATGAGTTTGAATATTATCCTTATAACTTTTTATTTCTTTTGTTTACCTTTAAGCCCTTTACAATTGTAATTTCCAAATTACAATTTTGATTACTGTTTCAGAAATTAAAATCCCCTACAACACAGCCTCTAATGATTCCCATTTTCCATTTTAACCTGGCTTCTTCCCCGGGCAAGTGCCCAACGAAATGGATGATTCTTATTTCCATGACCTGAAGGTCAAAGAACTCTAGTCATTCCAAACCTGTAGCAGGAGGGAGCAGATTACAAGAACAAGAGCCTTCCTGCTTCTAAATCACATGCATACATGTTTAGCTCAGTTCTAGTTTTGTTTTTTTTTTTTTTTTTTTTTTTTTGAGACAGAGTCTTGCTCTGTCGTCCAGGCTGGAGTGCAGTGGCACAATCTTGGCTCACTGCAAGCTCCGCCTCGCGAGTTCATGCCATTCTCCTGCCTAAGCCTCCCGAGTAGCTGGGACTACAGGCGCCTGCCACCATGCCTGGCCAATTTTTTATATTTTTAATAGAGACGGGGTTTCACCATGTTAGCCCGGATGGTCTCGATCTCCTGACCTCGTGATCTGCCCGCCTCGGCCTCCCAAAGTGCTGGGATTACAGCGTGAGCCACCGCGCCCGGCAAGCTCAATTCTAGTTTTTAGGTTTGTTTTAAATAATTCACACATTGAGAAGGTACATAGACATTTGATATTGGTAAAATATTGAGATAGTATTATAAAGTTTTATTTATATAATACGACTTTAAATCAAATCTGCTTGAGACAGGGTCTTGCTAACTAGATTGTGAACTATTCAAATCAAAGACAGTTTTCTTCTTTGTATTACCCACAGCAAGTAAATAATGGAATTCTCTTTTTTTTTATTTTATTTGAGGTGGAGTCTCGATCTGTCACCCAGGCTGGAGTCTGGAGTGCAGTAGCACTATCTAGGCTCACTGCAACCTCCGCCGCCCAGGGTTCAAGTGATTCTCCTGCCTCAGCCTTCTGAGTAGCTGGGACTGCAGGTGCCCGCCACCACACCTGGCTAATTTTTGTATTTTTAGTAGCGATGAGGTTTCACCATATTGGCTAGACTGTTCTCCAACTCCTGACCTTGAGATCCGCCTACCTCGGCCTCCCAAAGTGCTGGGATTACAGGCCTGAGTCACTGCACCCGGCCTGGAATTCTCAATAGAATCATAGAACCTGGACTTTACCACTCATGTGCTCCCATTTGGCATTTCAAATAGCCCAGTGACAAGAGTTCCCAATGCAGGCAGCAACTATTTCTACTGTTGAATACTTCTAATTGTTTTTTTTTTTAATGAATGAATGAAAGGACAGAAGAAAGAAAAGAAAAGAATTATAAATTTGAACTCAAATGTGATAATTTGCACACATTTTTCATTTTATTCACAGAATGATTATTGAAGTTCTGAACACATCATTTGTGTTTCCCTTCAGACCTCTCCTCTCCAGGTGAAAAGTCAGGGTACTTTCCACTGTACCTCAAGGACTGGGGAGCCTGTCAGCATCAGTGGGTTGGGTGCAGGGTCTTGGGAGACTTTTTCAAACTACACAACTCTCTCAAACAGTGGAAGCTGACATACCCTCAGAGTTAGGGCAAGGGAGCCCCAGTTAAAGGTTAGGTTCTCCCAGAAGCAGGTGCTGAGAAGGAGTTGGGAAAACAAAAGGTTTATTGGGAGTAAATCCTTTAAAGGGAAAGGGAAGGAGAAGAATTGGGCAAGTGGAGCCATCAGAAAGCACTGCAGACCTGACAGAGTCCGCCATCCCCATGAGGAGCCCCAGTGCAGAGACTGCCTGTTACAGGAGTCTGGCACTAAGCTGAAATGGCTAGGCGTTTGTACCACCCTGTTCTGTCATTGGCTAGGGGTCCTCCCAGGAAGAGCAAGCTCTTGGCCTAAAAGCTGATGCAGATTCTAAAGGAGCTGACAGCTGGAGGCTGTTGGGAAACCACACTCTGTGTAGCTGGGCAGAGAGTCATTTCTTTCCTTTTTGGTAGAGATGAGATCTCACTATGTTGCCCAAGGTGGTCTCAAATTCCTAGCCTCAAGCAATCCTCCGACCTCGGCCTCCTAAATGCTGGGATTACGGGTGTGTGCTACTGCGCCTGGCCATGGGTTATTTCTTGAAGATGGCTGTGAGCAGCACGCATGTCTTTGTCTTCCCTAAAAAGGCAGGAAGGGAAGAATCTGAGAGATAGTTTAGAGAAGTCTTGACAAGGGTTGGTGATTGGTCAGATGTATAGAGGGAGAGGTCAAAGATAACCTTGATGGCTAGGATAGCATTAACTTCAACAAATGTGGTTTGGCTGAGTTATAACCTCTTCACACCATGCCTACAGCTGCCTTTTACTGAAAGCAGCCTGCTTATTTATTACACAGGTTGCCATGGCTTGTGCCATCTGTGTTGAGTGACCAACCACACTCCTTACCTGCAATCGATAGTGCTGGCCAGGGGATTGATCTGCAGGCAAAGGCAGCAAAGAGGCTGGAGGTGGCTTGATGTGAAACTGTCCCATTTTGAATGGGGACAAACCAACTCAATACTCTTTTGGGAAGACTCAAGTGGTAAGTGAACAAGGAGAGATTGAAGCACGTGCCCAGGCTGTGTCCTAAAGAACACTGAGCTGTTGTTCTCATTCTCTCCTGCTGCACTGAGCTGTCTAGACAGCAGTGAGACCTAGAAGCCCTGTTGTTACTTGAAGAGGCAACATATCCTTTGCTGCCTGATATATCCTTGCAGCAAACTCCAGTAATCATAGGTGATCTGGGCATATTGCTTCCTTAAGGAGAGTATCCTCTGAATTTGAAAGTGATAATGCTGATGATTATTGTGTTTTTGTATAATAAAAGTGGGTAAAAGATGAGGATTGACCCTGAACCTCTAAGAACTGTCCCTTGAGTCTCAGTTTTGGCCGACTTGTATAAACTTTGAACATGTCCAGCTTGCCTCTGCACCTCTGTGATTATTTTTCCCATAGCAGGAGCTGTCACCTCTCTCTCTCTCTCTCTCTCTGTCTTTCTTTCTTTCTTTCTTTCTTTCTTTCTTTCTTTCTTTCTTTCTTTCTTTCTTTCTTTCTTTCCTTTCTTTCTTTCTTTCTTTCTTTCTTTCTTTCTTTCTTTCTTTCTTTCTTTCTTTCTTTCTTTCTTTCTTTCTTTCCTTCTTTCTTTCTTTTTGAGATGGAGACTCACTCTTGTCGCCCAGGCTGGAGTGCAATGGCACAATCTCGGCTCACTGCAACCTCTGCCTCCCGGGTTCAAGTGATTCTCGTGCCTCAACCTCCTGAGTAGCTGGGATTACAGGCGCCCACCACCATGCCTGGCTAATTTTTGTATTTTTAGTAGAGACGGAGTTTCACCATGTTGGCCAAGCTGGTCTCAAACTCCTGACCTCAGGTGATTCCTCTGCCTCAGCCTCCCAAATTGCTGGGTGTAAGCCACTGTGCCCAACCACATCTCTCATTTTTGAATGCCAGGCTGATCTGTCTGCTTCACTTTCATGGTCTTCCAAAAAACTGTCAGGCTACCCAAAGTAGCCTGAAGTGATTATTGTCTATATGTTTTTCTGCATCATTTTGCTCCCTTTGAACTCAGTTCCAAAAAGATGGAGTGATTCGTGAAGTGAATTTCTACTTTTGCTTTGCCATAAAATAGTCCTACTATCTGTTCTTTCACTCATTCATTCATTTGTTCATCCAGTTTCCTCCCTGTCTCCACTCCCATTGCCACTGCATGTATCCTGCCCAACACAGTTCAAATGTAGTGAGAAGGTAGGTGTACTTTAGGACCTTTGTGATTCAGCCTGCCCTTACTGTTAATTATGACTTAGTATTTTTAATCATGTCACTCAAGAAACCAGATGTGACACTTAAATGTAGCTTGGATAGGATAAGGATAAGACAAGATAGAATAAGGGATAATTACTTGCTTTGCAGAGGATTCTTTTTAATTTTTAATTTTTAAAAAATAAAAGTATTGGCCAGGTTCGATGGCTTATGCCTGTAATCTCAGCACTTTAAGAGGGAAAGGTGGGTGGATCGCTTGAGCCCAGGAGTTCAAGACCAGCCTGGGCAACGTGATAAAACAACATCTCTATGAAAAATACAAAAAATTATCCAGGCGTGGTGGTGCATGCCTGTAGTCCCAGCTACCGGGGGGCACTGAGGTGGGAAGATCACCTGAGCCTGGGAGGTCGAGGCTGCAGTGACCTATGATTGCACCACTGCACTCCAACCTGGGTAATGGAGTGAGACCCTGTCTCAAAAAACATAAATAAATAAAATAAAATAAAAATTAAAACTATTCACCACAGGGTCATCTCAGAATGTCTCCATGATGCATTTAAACTCTGTGATTTACAATACTTAAATTTATACTTCATTTTCTCAAAAGCTAGCTATCAAGTTAAGTAGACATATGTCCTGAAATAATTGTTATTTATAATTATAGGTTACACATCGTGATAGCTTTACTTTTTTTGCATAAACATGGCTGAAAATACATGAAAAAAATGAAGAAACACTGAAGTACAACTTAAAAGAAGCCAAAAGACTCTCAAAATAAGGAATGATCATCAAAAACAATCTGTCACTTTACTTTGCACAAATAACAACAGAACTCAATTTTACACTAAGGATAAATAAGATGTAGTGAACATGACTTTTGAGTATGATACTTATGTAAAGTAACGGTGGAGCAGACATTATACATCCCCATTTGGGGGAAGGAGGGAACTGGCCATGTCTTTCTTCCTTTCTTTCTTTCTTTCTTTTCTTTCTCAGGGTCTCAATCTGTTCCCCTGGCTGAGTGTAGTGGCAAGATCATGGCTCACTGCAGCCTCAAGCTCCCAGGCTCAAGTGATCCTCTCACCTCAGTCTCCTGAGCAACTGGGACTACAGGTGGAAGTCACCATGCCCAGCTAACTTTTTATTTTTTGTAGAGATGGGGGTCTCACTACATTGTCCAGATTTGTCTCAAACTCCTAGACCCAAGCAATCCTCCCACCTCAGCCTTCCAAAGTGCTGGCGTGAGCCAATTTTTATATTTATTTATTTATTTATTTATTTTTCAAAATGGAGTTTCGCTCTTGTTGCCCAGGCTGGAGTGCAATGGCACGATCTCGGCTCACCGCAACCTCTGCCTCCAGGGTTCAAGTGATTCTCCTGCCTCAGCCTCCAGAGTAGCTAGGATTACAGGCATGAGCCACTATGCCCTGCTAATTTTGTATTTTTAGTAGAGACAGGGTTTCTCCATGTTGGTCAGGCTGGTCTTGAACTCCCGACCTGAGGTGATCTGCCCGCTTCAGCCTCCCTAAGTGCTGGGATTACAGGTGTGAACCACCGCACCTGGTTTACCTGGCCAATTTTTAAATGTTTTAAGTAGCTATTATTTTCACATAATTCAAAATTCAAAAGCTATAATACAATATGCAGTTAAAAGTCTCCCTTTCAGAAATAGACCCACATAAAAACAGTCACCTGATTTTTTTTTTTTTTTTTTGAGATGAAGTCTCACTGTGTCGCCTAGGCTGGAATGCAATGGTGCAATCTTGGCTCACTGCAAACTCTGCCTCCTGGGTTCAAGCGATTTTCCTGCCTCAGCCTCCTGAATAGCTGGGGTTACAGGTGCACACTACCATGCAAGGCTAATTTTTGTACTTTTAGTAGAGACTAGGTTTTGCCATGTTGACCAGCTGGTCTTGAAATCCTGACCTCAAGTGATCTGCCTGCTTTGGCCTCCCAAAGTGCTGGGATTACAGGCTTGAGCCACTGCACCCGGCAAGTCAACTGATTTTTAACAAAGGAGCAAAGACAATACAGTGGAGAAAAGAGAGTCTTTTCAATAAGAGTGTTGGAACAACTGGGCATCCATGTGCAAAAAAAAAAGAAAAAGAATCTAGACACAGACTTTATACCTTTTACAAAAATTAGTTCAAAGTGAATCACACACCTAAATGTAAACTAAAATAGTATAAAACTCCTAGAAGATAAGAAAGGAGGAAATCGAAATTTCCTCTAAATCTAAAATCCATTTGGGGGAAGGAGGGAACTGGCCATGTCTTTCTTCCTTGGGTTTGGCAATGACCTTTCAGATATGACATCAAAGGCATGATCCATGAAGAAAAAATTGATAAGCTGGATGTTATTAAAAATCTCTGCCCTGTGAAAAGCACTGTTAAGAGAATAAAAAGCCACAGACTTGGAAAAAAGTTGCAAAAGACATTATCTGATAAGGAACTTTTATCCAAAATGTACTCTTAAAGCTCAACAATAAAAAAACAAACAACTGGCAGGGTGCAGTGGCTCATGCCCGTAATCCCAGCACTTTGGGAGGCCGAAGCAGGTGGATCACCTGAGGTCGGGAGTTCAAGACCAGCCTGACCAACATGGCGAAACCCTGTCTCTACTAAAAATACAAAAATTAGCCGAGCATGGTGGAGGGCGCCTGTAATCCCAGCTACTCTACTCAGGAGGCTGAGGCAGGAGAATCGCTTGAACCCGGAAGGCAGAGGTTACAGTGAGCTAAGATCATGCCACTGCACTCCAGCCTGGGCAAAAAGAGTGAGACTCTGTCAAAAAAACAAAACAAAACAAAACAAACCTGACTATAAAATGGACTAAAGACCTTAACAGAAACTTCACCAAAGAAGGTATACAGATGGCAAATAAGCATTATGAAAGGATACTCCACATCATGTGTCATCAGGGAAATGCCAATTAAAATAACAATGAGATCTCACTATATACCTATTAGAATGGCCAAAGTCCAGAACCCTGACAAAACTAAAGGACCAAGATGTCCTTTGATAGGTGAAATTGATTGATAGATAAACTGTGGTCCATTGAGACAATGGAATATTATACAGTATTAAAGAGAAATGAGCTATCAGCCATGAAGAGAAGTGGAAGAAACTTAAACGTGTATTTCTCTTTAGGGAAGACTTTTTTTTTATTGTCTCCTGTATCCTTGCACCTGGGAATGGTGCCTAGTGCTAGGTAGGTGCTTAATAAATATTTGTCAAGTAGGGCATGCTGGCTCATGCCTGTAATCCAAGCACTTTGGGAGGACAAGGTGGGAGAATTGCTGAAGCCCAGGAGTTCTATACCAGCCTGGGCAACAGAGGGAGACATCTGTGTATGGGTTGTTGTGTAAACATAAACGTTCAACTCTTTTGGTAAATACTAAGGAGTGTGATTGCCGGATTGTATAAGAGTATGTTTAGTTTTTAGCTGGATGTGGTGGCATGTGCCTGTAGTCCTAGCTACTTGGGAGGCTGGGCTGGGAGGATTATTTGAGCCCAAGAGGTTTCCTGAACAAGGTAGAAACCATATGACTCTCTTGAGAAAGCTTTTGGGCCAGAGGGAACAGGAAATGTAAAGGCATATTCTAGGAAGACTTGTTTCTTTGACTGATCTACTGTCAGGGTAACTTCTGTTCCTTTTCCAAAGAAAGACTCAAGGGAGAAATCACCTTCTCAGTGTTGTATTTAATAAGAGGTTAAACGTGAGTTGGTCATGGTGCCATCTTTTTTCATACCTAGCAACAATCTGTATTAATTGGACCATTTACTTTTAAGAAAGGATTATTTTGGCTGGGCGCGGTGGCTCATGCCTGTAATCCCAGAAGTTTAGGGTGCCAGGGCGGGTGGATCACAAGGTCAGGAGTTCAAGACCAACTTGGCTAAAATGGTGAAACCCCATCTCTACTAAATATACAAAAATTAGCTGGGTGTGGTGGCGGGCGCCTGTAATCCCAGCTACTCGGTAGGGTGAGGCAGGAGAATCGCTTGAACCTGGGAGGCGGAGGTTGTGGTGAGCCGATATTGTGCCACTGCACTCCAGCCTGGGTGACAGAGTGAGACTCTATCTCAAAAAAAAAAAAAAGAAAAAAAGGATTATTTTATGTATAAATATATTTTGCTTAACTAAGAACTTTTTTGAAAAAATAATGTACATGTTGATTGGATTTTTGTAAGCCAAATATTTTGAAAACATTGTATCATTTTTTAGCATCTCTGGACCCAGCTAGTATTGTGAGTACTTCTACTCTCTTTTCAGTGACAACCTTAGAGCAGTAGCTCTTAAGTGGGGGCAATATTGTACCCCAGGGGACATTTGGCAAATTTGGTGACATTTTTGGTTGTGACAACTTTGTTGGAGGAAGGGGTTGCTTCTGGCAGCTAGTGGGTAGAGACCAGGGATACTGCTAAACATCCTCCTACAATGAACAGGGCCACCCACCCTCCCCCACAAAATATTATGTGACCTCAAAGAAAAATAGTGCTGAGGTGGAGAAATATTGCTCTAGGATCTAAAACTTACAGAACAGAGGAGAGGACTGTGGCACATGCATCCTATCAGGTTAAAACAGAGGGTGTCAGCCAGGCATGGTGACTCATGCCTGTAATCCTAGCATGTTGGAAGGCTGAGACAGGAGGATCACTTGAGCCCAGGAGCTCAAGACCAGCCTGGGCAACATAGCAAGGCTCCTTCTCTACAAAAAATAAAAAATTAGCTGGGCACAGTGGTGAGCACCTGTAGTCCCAGCTACTCAGGAGGCTGACACCGCAGGATTGCTTAAATCCAGGAGTTTGAGGCTGCAGTGAGCTATGATCGTACTACTGCACCACTCCAGCCTGGTCAACAGAGAAAGACCCTGTCTGTAAATAAATAAATAGAGGGTGTGAGGCCATGCCCTCTGTTGCTTTTAGTCTAATTCACTCAATCATTTATTCATTCATTTGTTCAATAAATATTTACTGAGTGCTGAGTATTTAAAAAATATTACTGAGTACAAATTACTTCAGAACTTAGCAATTTAAAACCACAAAAACCAGGAGCTTTTTCACAGTTTCTGTGGGTCAGGAATTCGGAAGAGATTTGGCTGGGTGTTTTCATTCAGGGTCTCCCATGAAGTTGCAGTCCAAATGCCGGCCAAGATGCAGTCATCTGAAGGCTGGGCTGGGGATGGAGCCTGCTTCCTGGGCGCTCACCCACAGGGCTGGAGAATGGATGCAGGCTGCTGGCCAAAGGCCTCCGTTCTTTGCCACGTGGAGCTTTCCAAGCCTGCTTGAATGTCCTTACCACATGGCTCCTCTCACAGCAGGTGATCCTACAGAGAGCAGGGCTGAAGCCACATATTTTATTACCTAATCTTGACTGTTACACACTGTCATGTCTGCAACATTTTACTGGTTTTACAGAACAGCTCTATTCCATGTGGGAGGGGACTGCACAAGGGTATGAATACCAGAAAGTGACAATCACTGGACAGTATATTTCAAGCTGGCTACCACAGTGCCTAGACATTGCAGGACTATGGTCCAGGCTCTGGTCCAGGGCCATGGACCAGGCTTCATTCCTGGTGAGGAGAGATAAGCAGTTGATAAACTAATGAATGAACGGGGTAAGTGCTGGAAAGGAAATAAATAAAGCAGAATGGTGCAATAGAGAGCAATGGGCTAAGGAGGCAGGAGTGCAGATGTAGATGGGGTGGTCAGGGAAGGCCTCACTGAGACCTGAATGACAAGGAACTGGCCCTGGAAATACCCAGTGATAGAGTGTTCCAAGGAGAGGGACCAACACCTACAAAATATTATGAATAGTCATTGGTGGAGGCCAGGTACAGTGGCTCACACCTGTAATCCCAGCACTTTGGAAGGCTGAGTTGGGAGGACTACTTGAACTTAAGAAGTTGAGACCAGCCTGGGCAACATAGTGAGACCTCACCTCTACAAAAAACTAAAAAATTAGCTGGCCATGGTGGCATATGCTTGTAGTCCCAGCGTTGGGAGGCTGAGGTGGGAGGATCACTTGAGTCTGGGAGGTTGAGGCTGGAGTGAGCTGTGATTGTATCACTGCACTCCAGCCTGAGTGGCGGAGCAAGACTTTTTCTCAAAAAGAAAAAAGTAACTAGTAGAATCTTGATATGTACATGAGGGCTGAGAATGTAGGCTGACCAAAAGAAGGTGTTTTGTTTCATACCTATAAGTTATGTCTTACCCACTGAAGGCAGAAAGTAGTACGAAGTAGTGATATGAATATAAAATGGTAGAAACACTTTAAAAAAGTGTCCAGTAGTTTCCACTACAAGCTGAAGGCATGCCTCTTTTATGGTTGAGGAATTCCTCTTATCCCAAGAGAAATGAATGCATAAGTTCACCTAAAGACATTTGGATACATGTTCAAAGCAGCTTTACTCATCATAGTCCCAAATTGAAAACAACCCAAATGTCAACAACTGAGAATAAATTGTGATGCATTTTCCCATAATGGAATATTACACAGTAATTTTTACAACCCATACTACTGCTCTACGCAGCAACTTTCATGAATCTCACAGACATAATATTGAGTGCAACAGCCAGGCACGAGTGAGCACCTACTGTGTAATTCTATTTAAACAACGTTCAAGGGTAGGCAAATCTAACTGATGGTGACAAATGTCAGAACAGTAGTTTCCTGGTGTGGGGGTAGAGTGTTTTGACTTGGGAGGGCTAGAAGGAGACTTTCTGGGGAATTAAAATTGTTCGGTATCTTGATCTGGGTTGATTATGGCTGTATCCCATATGTAAAAATTCCTAAACCCAAGTGGCAAGGCACATATGTAATTCTTATTGAAATCAGAAACAACCAGGTCAAGGTTGATACAGGAGGATGTCAAGGACTCAAGTGAAACAAACACAAAGTACCTGGGTAGAGTCCCAGGTTTGCCCTAAGGGTCCAAATTTTCTTTTCTTTCTTTTTAAAATTTTTTTTTTAATTATACTTTAAGTTCTAGGGTACATGTGCACAACGTGCAGGTTTGTTACATATGTACAAAATTTCATATAATGCTCAAGTCGGCCAAGCAAGGACACTAATCACTAATGACCCAGACGCTACATCTGGCCTTGGAAACTCTTTCTTTTTTCTCCCTTCCCTCTCTTCTCTCTCTCTCTCTCTCTTTCTTTTTTTGAGACAGGGTTTCACTTTGTCACCCAGGAGGCTGGAGTGCAGTGATGCTATCACAGCTCACTGCAGCCTCAACCTCCAGGCTCAAGCGATCCCCCTGCCTCAGCCTCCCAAGTAGCTGGGACCACGGGCACCTGCCACCATGCCCGGCTAATTTTTTGTATTTTTTGTAGAGACAGGGTTTCGCCATGTTGCCCAGGCTGGTCTCGAACTCCTGAGCTCAAATGATCCTCCTATCTTGGCCTTCCAAAGTGCTGGGATTATAGGCATGAGCCACCGTGCCAGCTTGGAACACATTTCCATTCTTTTCTTTTCTTTTTTTTTTTTTGAGACAGAGTCTCACTCTGTTGCCAGTCTGCAGTGCAGTGGCTCAATCTCGGCTCACTGCAACCTCCACCTCCTGCATTCAAGCGATTCTCTGCCTCAGCCTCCAGAGTAGCTGAGACTACAGGTGCGCACCACCATGCCCAGCTAACTTTTGTATTTTTAGTAGAGACGGGGTTTCACCATGTTGGCCAGGATGGTCTCGATCTCTTGACTTCATGATCTGCCCACCTTGGCCTCCCAAAGTGTTGGGATTACAGGTGTGAACCACCTCACCCGGCCTGGAACCCATTTCTTTCAGAGGTCAATCCCCATGTTGACAAAGCACCCCAGCCCCTAGAAACTCAACCCCCAGGAAGTTCAGCAAGGCCCAGTGAATCCTGCTGACTTCTCTAATTCCTAGCTCCTTCCTTCTTTCCCTTTTATTTTGTGCCTTTTTATTCCCTTCCTCTGCCCTAGAGAAAAGTATTCTCTTCATATATTTAAAAATATGTCTCTATGCACTCAGAAAAGAAGAAAATGCTTTAAGTAGATGGCTAGAGCAGCTTGTAAGATTGTAGATTAAGTTGTTCCGCAAAAAGCTTTTTCAGCCTTAGTAATGGGGGGTGAGAAAGGAGTGAGTATGGAGAAGAGGGAGAACAGGCTAACGAGTCAGTCACCCAGGTAACCACATTCTAGTGGAAGAAAATCATCATGGCTCCTGGGTAGCAGGAGGAAGAGGAGAGGCAAATGAGTTCTCCTTCTGCCCAGCTCCCTAGCAGGCTTAGGAAAGCTTGGAATAGTCATATTTCTTGGCACCTAATTTGTGTTCAATGCAGTGCCACTTTGTATAGGAATAAAAAGCTAGGGAAAAACTGGTTTGGGCAGTACCCGAAACTACATATATACTCTTAGTGGTGTGGTATCCCCACCCTCAGCAATATGGACGTGTAAGGGTATGAGCTCTGTTTTTTGCTGTTGTGACCTGACTTTAAGAATAGCTACCATGGCCGGGCATGGTGGCTCACGCCTGTAATCCCAGCACTTTGGGAGGCCAAAGTGGGTGGATCACTTGAGGTCAGGAGTTCGAGACCACCTTGGCTAACACAGTGAAAACCCGTCTCTACTGAAAATAGAAAAATTAGCCAGGCGTGGTGGCGGGCGCCTGTAATCTCAGCTACTCGGGAGGCTGAGGCAGGAGAATTGCTGGAATCCAGGAGGTGGAGGTTGCAGTGAGCTGAGATCATGCCACTGCACTCTAGCCCGGCTGACAACAGTGAGACTCCGTCTAAAAACAAAACAAAACACAATAGCTACTTTTTTTTTTTTTGCAGGCTTAAGAGGCAGGCGCTATGTTAAACATTCTACATTTATTTTCTCATTAATTCTTGGACACCTCTACAAGGTCTGTATTATTACAGACCTCCAAGGAAGAGTGGTGGGGAGTGGGGAGGGTTCACTCTTCAGAGAGATAAGGTCATGTCACAGCAGAGCCAGGAAAAAAACCCGGAACCAACTCCCCACACCTGAGTTCTTCAGCACCTACTGCCTGTCTCTGGCCACTAGGATAGAGGATTCCTTTCATGTTCTAAGGAGGTACTGAGAATATTCCGGATTTTCTCCCTTTCCATATAATATAACTCACTGAAGGAATGAGCACTTTAATAAGCTTTACGGGTGGAAAGCGTCAGATTGTCCCTCCATCGCCCCACCACCACCAAATGACCAAGCCCTTTTTGAACTCTGCTATTTTATCTACTTCAATCTAAAAGCATCAAACTTCTCTTTGCCTCTGACTTTTACACACACACACACACGCACACACACGCACATATGTACACAATGACTCCTTAGTTTCACGTGGATTCTTGTAATTCCATTGCACTTGGTCCATGTTTCTGATACTGCACTCATCACGTTGCATTTCATTGTCTGAGCCCTCACGTGACAGGCAATGTTCAGGTACTAGGGATTCAGCTATGATCAATACATGAAGATCCCTCCCTCATGGAACTTGGATTCTAGTTAGAAGACTGGTGAGAAAATATAGGGCCTTTCAGAGGGTGAGGGGCGATAGGGAGAAAAACAGTGCAGGGGGAGGGTAGGAAGCACGGGGGAAGGGAGGCCATCTGATGGGCCTTTTTATTGCTTGTTGACTCATGCGCCTTCCCAAGGACACACACCAAGTCGGTCTTGGTTTCTTGAATTAATCATCTTTCTAACTGCCAGGCCCTGTGAGGCTCAAGAAAGATTTGTTGATTGAACACAGGAGAACGATTTCATTGAGCTCATTTGGTCTACAAATAGTTTGCTTTCCACAGCTTTTGACAAAAGAAGTGTTCGTTGTTACGACTCACTAATGGCCCTTCTAAGAAGGAAGTGACTGTTTATTTTTGGGGTGGGTTCTCTGCTTTCCATGGTTTTATCAGGGCCCAGTGTACCCTGGCAATTTTGAGCAGAGCTTCAGCACAAGCCCACAGAGAAGAAAAAATAGACAGTCTTGGTCAGCAAGGAGGAAACTTATTCCTTTTATGGAAGAGATTAGACATGGGAAATTAGAAGGCAAAAAATAATGCCAGGGGCAGAAAAGGAGACATGAAAAGGCAGTGAGAAGAAGCAAGGAAGATATAGCGAGGGAAAAAATATAAAGGAAATGAATTGGTAGAAAAAGCCAAAGCAAGGATAGGAGGAACCCACAAATCCCCAACTCTGAGGACGCTGGAGAACTGGAAGGAGGACCACAGGGCAGGGAGAAGGAGAAGCTTTCAAGAGTGAACCCAGGCCAAGGAATCTCAATTTATTTCTATTTTCAATGACTATAAGTATCCCTGAAAGTCTGGGGAGATCTTAGGTCTCCTCCCACTGGTATCACTCTCCCATTTAATCTTCACAGTCCTCAACATCAGAAGGATGCACTTCCAAGAGAAGCGCCTCAGAGACAACCCTTCTAAGTGCTGGGTGAACCTAGACTGTGCTCAGTGCAGTGGGTTCCAAATAGTGCCAAAGCCAAGTCCGTTCTCGTGAAAGTTAGCAGTGGAAAACACAAAAAGGCCATGTGAAATTTTACTCGATCCATAAGGAAAACTTTGGTTATTCCCCATGAAAATACTCCTCAAAGCCTGTCTTTACCATACAGACTAAATAAATAAGTAAACAAATAAGCTGAGGGTGGTGGTGTGAGCCTGTAGTCCTAGCTATTTGGGAGGCTGAGGTGGGAGGTTCACTTGAGCCCAGAAGTTCAAGTCTGCAGTGAGCTATGATTGCACCATTGCACTCCAGCCTGGGTGACAGAGGGAGATTCTCTCTCAACAAAACAAAACAAAAAACAATAACAAAAAAACTTCAAAAACAAAGAGTCAAAAGCCAAAGGTGTGGTCTCGTTCTAAAGACTTCATGGCAACTTGAATTTTGGTGTCTGTCTTACAGGGGCTAAGGGTTCTTGTCTATCTATGGTGGCATCAACCACTCCTGCTTTTTGATGCCTCATTATCCTGGGAGAAGGAGAGGCGAAGAAATGGCAAGTGATTGCCACTAAGGTGGCTGCAAGTGAATGGCAGTTGAGAGCCAGGCGGTGGAGCCTGGAGGTGAGTGTAGGTAAGCACTGATAAAGGCTCCACATTGCCCATGTCAACATGCCAAAGGCACCTGCTCATGGTAGTGCTTACATCCTCTCCCTAAGATGATACATCAAGCCCGAGATCCCTAAGAAGCTCTCACAGCCTCTCAGAGCCATCACCATCTGCAAGGGACAGGGACTAGCCCTTACTGTCTACTATGAATTTATTCCAGTAAAACCAAGTATTTTCTCTTTTTTCATTCTCATATAAACTCTAGGAGTAAATGAAAGCAGAAAGTTGTCAAGCAATTTGCTTTGGGTCTCACTGCCAATAATTGCTGGAGTCTGAACTTGAACATAGCCCTGACCTTTTGTTTGTGCTCTTCTCACTACAGTGGCTACTTGGTGGTATTCACATGAAGGCAACAGCAGAGCACTGAGTGTGAAGACCTGAGAATAGGGCAGGGAGACATTGATGATTGTTTCCTACATTTTCCTCTGAAGACCTCTTCCCCAAAGTAAAGCAAAACAAAACAAAAAGATATGTTTTGTGTTGGAATATTTTTTAAATAACAAATACAATTTAAAATCAGATATTTGTAAAGATTTTCAGCTGTATCTTCGACAAAATGGAAAATTTAAATGTTACTAGGCCTGACGCAGTGGCTCAGGACTTTTTAACCCCAGCTCTTTGGAAGTCCGAGGCTGGAGGATCGCTTGAACCTAGGAGGTTGAGGCTGCAGTGAGCCATGATTGTGCCACTGCCCTCCAGCCTGGGCAACAGAGACCCTACAAAAAAAAAAAAAAAAAAAAAAAAAAAAAAAAAAAGAAAGAAGGAAGGAAGGAAAGAAAGAAATAGAAAATGTAAAAGTTACTATAAGATTCTTATGGTGAATAACATCTTACGTCCACCCATTTACTTCTTCCAAGTGTACTTGATCTAGAACTCAAGCTGCTGCTTCTTTGCTTTTTTTTTTTTAAAGCTTCATTGCAAAGAGCATCTAATCATTAGCCTCAAGAAATCAAATATTTGAAGCTGTGAAATAGGAAAACACTACCAGCTTCATTGCTGATCCAGGGGGAGGGGAGAGAGTAATGAGTAGAACAATCTGTGTTTTCTGGAACACTTACAGTCAACAACTAAAAATGCATCCTGACAGGAAGGGTTTTAATAAGATCAGCATAGTGTTTGTCCTGCAGACATGCTCTGAGCAAAGTGTCTCTTAGAACCAAGTATGATTAGGGAAGGGAATCTGCTCAAGTAGCAATAGGTGGGCTTTTATTTTTCAAAATCTTTGCAGATTAATAGACAGAGGGGTCATGGTTTATATGGTACCAACACCCCAATGAGTTTTTGGTTGGCTTATTTCACAGAGAGCAGAAGACAACGAAAGATTGCAGGTACCAGTTATCAATGTGGGAGGCCCCACAAAAGACTGGGAGAGGTGACTTTGGTTTGCTGACTCTGTAGGAAACAGGGACGCAGTAGGAAAGGCCATACAGGATAAGCAATTACAGATTACCACAACGAGATGCGCTTTTCTCTTTTCATGGTTCAAACTTGCTCACTTGTGACATCATGAAGTTGGGTGCTCTCCAGAGCTGCAGGAGATCCAAGAACGGGATAAGGAATATAAAAAGCCATTCATGGGAAAGCTGCTGTCTTCAAAAGAAAAGAATGCGTAGCATAAAACGATGCCATTTAAAACTCTAAATTCATAGAGCAAGTGCGATCCTATCTTTAGGGTTTTCTTTTTTTTCTTTTTTCTGAAGATGAGGTCTTGCTGTGTTGCCCAAGCTGGTCTCAAAGTCCTGGGCCCAAGTGATCCTCCTGCCTTGACCTCCTAAAGTGCTGGGATTACAAGTATGAGCCACCGTGCCCAGCCCTTTATGGTTTTCTGAAAAATGAAGAGGCTATTTAAGAAGACAGGAATGGATGACTATCTTTAGTTCCTTAGTTTTAAGGATCACCATACCAGATGAGGATGTTGTCTGCCAGTGACCCTGAAGACTTTAAAGCCAGTTTTATGCCATAACCCTAAGGGAAGCAGGAGGGGAGCTGTATTAGTCCATTTTCATACTGCTATGAAAAAATACCCAAGACTGGGTAATTTATAAAGAAAAAGAGGTTTGATGGACTCACATGTCTGGGGAGGCCTCGTAATCATGGCAGAAGGCAAAGGAGAAGCAAAAGCATGTCTTCCATGGTGGCAGATAAGACAGCATGTGCAGGAGAGCAGCCCTTTATAAAACCATCGGATCTTGTGAGACTTATTCACTATCATGAGAACAGCACAGGAAAAACCTGTCCCCATGATTCAATTACCTCCCACCAGGTCCCTCCCACAACATATGGGGATTATGGGAGCTACAATTCAAGATGAGGTTTGAGTGGGGACATAGCAAAACCGTATCAGGAGGTTTGGGTTGGGACCTCAAATTTATGTTTAAGAGCTTCACCTTTATCTTCAGATGAAGTTAAACATACAGAGATGCCTGACAAGATTAAAGTAAAATGATCCTTGTGCAATTTTGGCTTGAGTCCCATAACAAGCCCACCAGTAGTCATGTAATATGAATTAACCTTTTAATAAATTCTGGAATTACCTAGCCTTATTATACTGCATTGTATTTTGGTGTGCATATACATTAAGTCTTCACTTGTTAAAACTATGTATTTTAAAAATGAATTTACCCTATTTTGGATTGTCTTCATTAAAAGAAAATTAGAGCTACAGCCTAAAAGAATAGAAGGGACTTCCAGGCCTTTTTTAACCTTACAGAAACCTTGTCTAAAAAACCAAGTGCCCATTTGCCAGCTATCCCTCAGACAATGACCTTGAGAAATACAACTTTATTTTTACTTTATTTTTATCTATCTATTTAGTTTTTTGTTTTTTGAGACAAGAACTCATTCTGTCACCGAGGTTGGAGTGTGATGGCACAATCTTGCCTTAATGCAGCCTTGACTTCCTGGGCTCCAGCAATCCTCCCATCTCAGCCTCCTGAGTAGCTGGGACTACAGGCTTGTGCCACCACACCTGGCTTTTTTTTTTTTTTTTTTTTTTTTTTTTTTTTTTTATAGACACGGTCTAGCTATTTTGCCCATGCTGGTCTGGAACCCCTGAGCTCAAGCAATCCTCCTGCCTCAGCCTCCCAAAGCACTGGGATTACAGGCATGAACCACTGCACCCTGTCCAACTTTTTTTTTTTTTAAAAGACTTCAGGTTCATTTCCACTTGAAAGCAATAGAAAGAAGCAAATGAAAATGCTTATTAAGAAGCAGGAAGTAGTCAGAGTGCTGCAAAACTCTTGGATTCAAGGCATGAGCATAAAATCGGATGCTTCTGAATTTGTTGGAATTACAAAGCACACTTGGCCATTGCTGTACAGGAGGTAGTTAAATTTTTGTAGAACACGAAAGACTTTGAGGCATTTTGTTCACTCGCGTCGTCTGGGATCCTGCGAAGCACATCCCTTTCCCCCCAAGATGGATGGCAGGTCCGTCGGAGGGCTCGCTCTCCGACCCCTTCACTTCCACCCTGTAAAATATGTGCAGGAATCTGCTTCTGTCTGTCCACACTTATGAGGAAGCATGAAACAGTTTGGCCTTTAGAAAGGTAAAGACATGTGGCCGGGCGCGGTGGCTCACGCCTGTAATCCCAGCACTTTGGGAGCCGGAGGCGGGCGGATCACGAGGTCAGGAGATCGAGACCATCCTGGCTAACACGGTGAAACCCTGTCTCTACTAAAAATACAAAAAATTAGCCGGGCGTGGTGGTGGGCGCCTGTAGTCCCAGCTACTGGGAAGGCTGAGGCAGGAGAATGACGTGAACCCGGGAGGCGGAGCTTGCAGTGAGCCGAGATCGCGCCACTGCACTCCAGCCTAGTGGACAGAGCGAGACTCTGTCTCAAAAAAGAAAAAAGAAAAGAAAGGTAAAGACATGTCCCAAGAGAAGGGTTCAGTATGTCAAGGTCCTCTGACATGATTAAAATAAAGCAATAGTATAGGGACTCTTCTGGGATAGTTTAGAAAAATAAGGGATATGAGAAAGTTACTTGTGTATGGCAAAACTTGTATTTGGTGAGGCGTTTTCCTCTCTTTTTTTTCAGTCTGTTTCTGAAAATGGATGGGTACTTTATTTTTCCTCTCTTCTTACTTTTTACTTGGTTTTTAGTGTGCATGGGTGGGTACTTCTTGTATCTTTAGAAACGTAAGGAATATACAATATTTTTTATAGTGTTGATGGTTTATTCTTCTCCTTTTTTTTTAGACTGGGTCTTGCTCTGATGCTCAGGCTGGAGTGCGGTGGCATGATCATGGATCACTGCAACCTTGACCTCCCGGGCTGAAGCGATCTTCCTGCCTCAGTCTCCTCAGTAGCTGGGACCACAGGTATGCACCACCATATCCAGCTAATTTTTCTGGTATTTTTGTAGAGATGAGGTTTCACCATGTTGCTCAGGCTGGCCTCAAAATCTTGGGCTCAAGCAATCCTCTTGCCTCGGCTTCCCAAAGTGCTGGGATTACAGGCCTGGGCCAGCGTGCCCAGCCAATGGTTTATTCTTGACTTGGTGCCATTCCTCATAAACTGGCAAAGCCTAAAAGACACCATCTATCAGAAACTTAGAACTTCGTTTGTGTTAAAAGTGCAAACAATTTAGAACAAAAATTAATCAGCAGTTTGTAATTAATAATGATGACTGTGTTTTTAGAGACAGGGTCTCACTATTTTGCCCAGGCTAGTCTTGAACTCCTGGGCTCAAATGATTCTCCTACCTCGGCCTCCCAAACTGCTGCAATTAAAGGCATGAGCCACTGGGCCTGGCCAACAACAGTAAATTTTAAAGGGAAAATATATCAAGCACAACAATAAAATTCAACAATGATGAATTTTAGGGGAAAAATACACCAAGCACAATAATTTTGTGGTGAAATGAAATTACACACAATATCATTCATATTTTAAATAGGTTGATTTTGACTTGGAAAGTATTCAAATGAAACACTGACTTAATTTAATTTTTTTTTGAAAATTCTCTATCTCCCTTACTCTAAAGGCCTATACCATTTTATTTCTGTAAAAGCAGATGAACTTCCTTTCTCATGAATGCCACTTTCACTCCCCTGTGACTTTGGTTCTTATTTTCTTTCCTTTTTTTTTTTTTTTCCAGCCAGGCTGGAGTGCAATGGCGTGATCTCGGCTCACTGCAACCTCCGCCTCCCGGGTTTAAGCAATTCTCCTGCCTCAGCCTCCCGAGTAACAGGGATTACAGGTGCCTGCCACCACGCCCAGCTGATTTTTGTATTTTTAGTAGAGATGGGGTTTCACTATACTGGCCAGGCTGGTCTCAAACTCCTGACCTCAGGTGATCCACCTGCCTCGGCCTCCCAAAGTGCTGGGATTACAGGTGTGAGCCACTGCGCCCGGCCTCACCTTTGGTTCTTCATGCTGGCAGAGTTTCACCTTCTAGAGATGGTATAAAGACTTGAACCCTCACGCAGTGGGGACAATCAAGTGCGGAAGCCTCCTCTTTATGTCTGGAGGCCTCTGCAGGACCCAAAAGAGCAATCTCTTATTTGTCCCTTAACCACAGCCACATACCGGGTGAAATGCCAAGTAAATGTTTGTTAACAGAGGTGTCCAAGCGCAAGTCACTCTTTTTTTTCTTTTTTTTTGAGGCAGAGGCTCCTTCTGTTGCCCAGGCTGGAGTGCAGTGGCGCAATCTGAGCTCACTGCAACCCCCACCTCCTGGGTCCAAGTGATTATTCTGCCTCAGCCTCCCAAGTAGCTGGGACTACAGGCATGAGCCACCCCGCCCTGCTAATTTTTGTATTTTTAGTAGAGATGGGGTTTCACCATATTGGCCAGGCTGGTCTTGAACTCCTGACATCGTGATCCGCCTGCCTCAGCCTCCCAAAGTGTTGGGATTACAGGCGTGAGCCACCGCGCCCAGCCTATGCAAGCCATTCTTTAGGTTCTCTGGAAGTGTGCTTGTTATTTATTAAATGCCCACAGTAGGTCAGAGAGTCAATGAATTTCAGAGCTGGAAGGGATTTTAGAGGTGACTTGGTCCAAACCCTTCATTTTATAAATAAGGAAACCGAGATCCAGAGAGAAGGGCCCTGCCCAAGGTCAAACACGTAGTGCTCAGTAGAACTGGAAATAAAACTTCCAGCCCAGGGCTGTTTCTGCCTACCACAACTGCATTATGCCTTATCAGACCTGATCTCTGCTCTCTAGAAATTTATAATTTAATTATATCAAATATTTGTAGTTTAAGGTATTTGCATAATCAGAATGATAGAGCTGAGATTTGCTTTTGGATTTAGGGAGAAACTGTGATAAGATGACCAAAATAAGCAGAAAAATGAACACTCCTAGTATTTTAAAAAGTGATTTGACATTATTTATATTCTACCTTGTTCCAAAGAGGCTTTAAGAAGCTTTAAGACGGAATACAATGTAACAAGATAGAAGAAAAGTACTATAAAAACAAGAACAATGGTGAAAAGAAAAACAAAGGTAAAGTCAGTTGGGAACCACAGGGAGATTTGCATAGCAAATGCATGCCATAAAGCCCTAAATATTCGCTAGAGGGAGACCACAAATTCGCTAAGCCTTGTGGCAAGAAGGAAAGTGTCAACTGTTGCATGATTCCCAGCTCCCAGAAAAAAACCACACCAGCCCTGGAAAAGCACAACTCTTTTTACTAACGAGGCCTGGGAGAAAGTTCTCCCCTATGTCCTCATATACCCTGAAGTATATTAGGGTAAACTGGAATTGTAATCACAGCTTGTCTGAGGGCTTGAGGATCATCCAGTTCAACTCGCTCTCCAAGAACTGGAACAGTCGCTTCTCAAGGTCACACCACCATACTGGGTGTCTGCATTTGAAGAAGGAAGCCAGGGAAGCTCTTGCACACACAATAGACCTCAGAAGGTCAGGATGTATCTGGGTGTAGACACAGATGCCCTTTTACCTGACCATGGAGTCCTTTTCCTTCCCTTACGGCATCCAGGTCCTCCAAGTTGGTGCCCCACCCCCAGCAGTCAAGAAGACTTCCCAAGGGAGTCCCCCAAGGCCCCAGAAGGGAGGCTGTCAAAGAAGGAGGATAGAACCTGGGGCCAACTTCTAACATGGGTATTTATCCTGACCTGCTGGCAGGATTGGTTAAAAAAATGTAGAAATTATTTCCAAGGGCAAAAGGCAAAAGCCCATTTAGGGCTCTAAATACCCAGTATATCATAGAGGGAGGCCAAATTACTGCTTGAGGAGGGAAGGGAAGAGACAAGGGAGGATACTGGGGAGGACAGAGGAGCCCATTCTACCATTTCCCCCTTAGAGAAAACACAAAAGAAAATACCTGTGTGTCTTTGACATAAAAAGGTTGGAAAAAAGGTGTGTTTAAGTTGCTTTGCAGCAATGGTGGGGGGAAACCTATTAATTTCAGAAAGGTGATTTATATTTTAGTTTCTATTTCTCATTTTGTCTTCTGGTCTACCTAGGATTTCTATTGAGAACAATAAAGTGGAACTTGGATCAGCTCAAAAATATTTAGGATGATAGCCTACCGTATTGGGGAAAAGAAATACATAGCCACATAGAAAAATTATGTTTTCAGTTTTAAACTTTTTTCTTTGCTCTTGGTTACCAAAGTACTACATAATTGCTGTGGGAAATGCAGGAAATAAACTTTAGAGGAGTACAGGATAAAAATCCCCTGTAATCTGATCCATAAAAATGTTCTAGTACATTTTTTTTGTTTTTGTTTCTATGCATTTTTTTTAAATGAAATTAAGATTCAGTTACAGAATTAATTAATTTGAAAATCAATTTCAAGTTGCAGGACAGTTATTGGATTTGCTTCTTGTTATCCTTCTCTAAGCCTGGAAGATTGGATTTCCTCTGGAAATTAGTTTGTGAGGTTTGACTATACAGTAATGATGCTGATTTATAGCAAGTCTCCTAGCACTTAACTGTCTAAATTAGCATGTCCTCTTCCAAGTAACTTGGGAGACAGTGATAGGATACCACCATGCATTTATTTTAACGTAGCTGACTTTGCTTTTAATGTTTTGGAATTCTTCTTTTGGTACATTACTTTCTGAGTCTATGGCACTTTGTTTCTGTGTGTGTGTGTGTGTGTGTGTATGTGTATGTGTATGTGTGTGTGTGTGTGTGTGTGATGGGAGTCTTGCTGTGTTAACCAGGCTGGAGTGCAGTGGCATGATCTTGGCTCACTGCAACCTTCACCTCTGGAGTTGAAGTGATTCTCCTGCCTCAGCCTCTCGAGTAGCTAGAATTACAAGTGCGTGCCACCACACCTGACTAATTTTTGTATTTTTAATAGAGATGGGGTTGGCCAGGCTGGTCTCGAACTCCTGACCTCAAATGATCCGCCTGCCTTGGCCTCCCAAAGTGCTGGGATTACAGGCATAAGCCACCACACCAGGCCTGTCTATAACACTTTCTTTTGCGCATTGTCAGATTGACAAGTTCTCCTCTTTTGAGGGTGGGTTTGATATTTAGAAACTGCCAAAAGTTATCAGGGATCAGGTTGGATGAATAAGGCAACTGATCCCTCAAACTGGGCAATATTGTTTTTGGTTGGGTACATGTTGGGTCCAAAATGCCATGAAACTGACTTTCTCATGCAGTAAAGCATTTTGAAGAGGAAATGTTTTAGTGGAAAGATTTACCCTCCATGAATCCCAAAGACTTCTATAGTGTAGAGTGAAGATTGTTTCTGCAGGACTAATTCACATTGGGTTTTCTGACTTGTAATTATACTTTTGGTGGCCCAAAGCTATTTGTTTTACATGCTTCATGATAATTCCATTCTCAGCTTCTAGCAAAGCAAAAGTATTTCATATTTAAATGTAAGACAGTCACTGATGCAAATTTGTTCTTTACCAATTAATTAGCTAAAACTACATTTACCATTACCATTATCTTGAGACGTAGAAGGCTGCTTCATGCTTTAATTATCCTGTTACTCATTTATAATGTTCTTTCTATTCATTTCAGCTTGAACATTCTTTCCCTATTTTCTTCATCAATCTGGTAGCGTAAAAGAGAAAATTAGATGGCCCTGTTGTCAGTGGATTAATATTTCTGAAGTTTGCAGAGTCATGTGTAGTTTTTTGACTCTTCAAGCTTGCGTAATATTTTAAGCGCACAGTATAACTCTTCACAATGTTCTTTTATCATGTTTCTTATATCTGACAGCAGATTATAAGCTTTTTATAAAAACAATTCAAGGATCTTAGTAAACACCTAGAAGAGCCAACGATATTTCCCTTTATATATATATTTTCCCTACAAACTCTTCTTTCTTCCTGAGAAGTTGAGTTATTATATATAAACAGTGTGGCTGGGGAAAAAACCAAATATATACATATATTAAAAAAAATTTTTTTGCTGTCTCATTGCTGTTCATTAGTTTTCTTATTCCTTAAGACTAGCTTCCTTTTCTTCACTTAAATTTTTTTTCCTTTCTTGATTTGGTCAATTTTAAGAATTCTGTAGCAAGAAAAAACAAGTACTATATTGTCTGTGTGCATATTGTGCTGTGATTTTGTTCCTGAAACACCAGGGATTCAGTCTAGGCCCTCCTGCTAACCGCACAGAGAGCCAATCACTGAGATGACAAGTATTGCCAAGGAAGAAGGCTTTAATCGGGTGACGCAAGAGATGGGAGCTCAGCCCCAAATCCATCTCCCTGACTGATTAAAACCCAGGGTTTTACAGCAGAGAAGAAATGCAACAATGTGTAAGAAAACAAGAACTAGGGGAGGGGCAAGGAGGCATCTGGTGCCTCGATCTGGTGAGTTTTAGTTTTTGATACTTTCTTTGAGAGGCCTGAAGTTCCTTTCCTGAGGAAGGAACTCAGATAAAACAAATACCAGTTTCTGTGCTTCTCGCTGCACAGAAAGCCAATCACTGAGACAACCATTGCCAAGGAAGAATGCTTTAATCTGGCACTGCAGTCAAGGAGATAGGAGATCTGTCTCAAATCCATCTCCCTAAGCGACTAAAATGAGGGATTTATATAGCTGGGAAGAAATGTAGCTATGCGTGAGAAAACGGGAATTTGGGAGGGGTAAGGAAGCAATCATGATGAATGAGGGGTCCAGCATCTCATTGTCTGGATAAAATGATCTGGTGAGTTTTAGTTCTTTGATACTTTTTGAGAGGGCTGGGGTTCTTTCCTGAGGCAAGAACTCAGATAAAACAAATGTAAGTTTTAAGCTTTAAGACCAGAAGGGTCAATTTCTATGTTTATCCAAAACAACAACAACTACTATTACTATTATTACTACTACTACTACTACTACTACTACTACTACTACTACTGTGTATGGAACTGCTGGGTTGGTTTCACATAGATCTCTGGAAATATAAACAAAACCTGCTTACATTGCTTGTCTTGGAGAGAAATTGTACAGCAGGAGGTGGGGAGGGAAGGAAACTTGACCACATATCTTTTTTGAACCTTTTGAGTTTTGGACCATGAAGAATGCAATGCCAATTACTAATTTAAAAACCAAAATAACTACCAGTTTAAAAAAAGAGAAAAATCAAGGAAAAAGAAAAAAAATACTCTCTCTGTTGGTCTGAATCTGGAATTTGGAGTGAAGATCAAAAGAAAACCATTCCCTTTCTTGCTAACTCCATCTCTTCTTCTCTATTTCTCTTTCACTTTGGCCAATAACTTTTAGCTTTGACTGATGCAATGGGAACTGAGAATCCACAGGTAGTGAAGGCATTAAGAGTCCTCAAGCTGCCACTAACCTCTGCAGGCTCCTCGGTAGACAGATATGAGTCCTTCACAGAACACAGACACAGGCCAGCTCCTTTGGCTTGCTCATCATGGCCTTATCCTGTACATGTGGCAAGTAAATAGCTTCTGTTCAATGTGTTCAAAGCCGTGCCCTTCTTGAAGTTCTCTAGAAGTGTTCTTGTTCTTTGCTATTCACATTACCTGTGTTTTTCTCACCTCTGTGCCTTCCAGCATGTGATTCTCACTTTGTCCAGCTATTACCAACTCTTAAGGTTGCCTTTCTTTCTTTCTTTCTTTCTTTCTTTCTTTCTTTCTTTCTTTCTTTCTTTCTTTCTTTCTTCTTTCTCACTTTCTTTCTTTCTCTCTCTCTTTCTTTCTTTCTTTCTCTCTCTTTCTCTATTTCTTTCTTTCTCTTTTTCTTTTTCTTTTTTTTTTTTGAGACGGAGTCTCACTCTGTCGCTCAGGCTGGAGTGCAGTGGCATGATCTCGGCTCACTGCAACCTCTGCCTCCTGGGTTCAAGCGATTCTTCTGCCTCAGCCTCCTGAGTAGCTGAGACTACAGGCTTGCACAACCACTCCCAGCTAATTTTTGTATTTTTAGTAGAGATGGGGTTTTCACCATATTGGCCAGGCTGCTCTCAAACTCCTGACCTTGTGATCCGCCCTCCTCGGCTTCCCAAAGTGCTGGGACTACAGGCGTGAGCAACCGCACCCGGCCTCTTTCTTTCTTGACGGTCTCTGTCGCAGAGGCTGGAGTGCAGTGGTGCGATCACAGCTCGCTGCAGCCTTTACTTCCCGGGCTCAAGCCATCCTTCTGCCTCAGCTTCTCGAGTAGCTGGGACTACAGGCACGTGCCACCATGCCCTGCTAATTTTGTTTACTTTTTGTAGAGACTTGGCCTCACTATGTTGCCCAGGCTGGTCTCAAACTCCTAGGCTCAAACAATCCTCCTGCCTTGGCCCCCCAAAGTGCTGGGATACAGGTGTGAGCCACTGTGCCTGGCCCAGAGAAAGTATTATAATTATAAGTGACTCAGATGCTCAGTCAACAGTGTGATAGTGTGAGTTTAAAATTCAATGCACATCGATTACCTTAAAATAAAGACACCAAGTTTTGGAATCAGGAAGTAGAAGCTCCTTTTGCTCACTCAGATCAGCCTGCAGTATCAGAACAGTACCTTCTAAGCACATTTACAGGTCAGAGTGCATCTGGAGCTGTGATTTTCAAACTATGAGTTGCTACCCATGAATGAGTATGAATCCCATTAAAAATGGATAGCAACCAGCATTAAAAAAAATAGTAAAAGGGCCGGGCATGGTGGCTCATGCCTGTAATCCCAGCACTTTGGGAGGCTGAGGCAGCCGGATCACGAGGTCAGGAGATCGAGACCATCCTGGCTAAGACGGTGAAACCCCGTCTCTACTAAAAATACAAAAAAATTATCTGGGCATGGTGGTGGGTGCCTGTAGTCCCAGCTACTCGGGAGGCTGAGGCAGGAGAATGACGTGAACCCAGGAGGTGGAGCTTGCAGTGAGCCGAGATTGTGCCACACTGCACTCCAGCCTGGGTGCAGAGCGAGACTCCGTCTCAAAAAAAAAAAAAAATATTGCACACAATAGAGTAGGATAGAGTTGAATGAGAAAATATATGAGTTTATGGCAGCTAATGAGGCTAAATATTGTTTTATGAAACTTCTGTTTCAGTTCTATGTATGTTTATGTGTACCAATCATATATAAAATGAATTTATTTCTGTAGGTCATAGTCAACAAAGTTCAAGAAACACTAATGTAGAGAAAAATATCCTGATGGTGAGAGAGACAGGTACCTGGTTACTTAAGAAACAGTTGCAACCATCAGGAATGTTTAGCTTGAGGAGAAGACTAACAGACAAAAAAACTGTCTTCCATTAGTAGATGGACTATCATGAAAAGAACGACTTTGTTCTCTGTTATTTCAGGAGATGGGGGTTTAGGGGAAGGAGTTTTTGTTCACTATCCAGACGAACTATCTGACAATTGGAGCTGTCCATCAATGGAACTGCAAAATAACACACTGTAGGAGTGCTTAAGCACAAGACAGGAGACCATCTGTCAGGGTTACTTGGCAGAGATTTCTACATGGGGAGAGAGGGTTGAATTAGACATCCTTGAATGTCCCTTTCAACTCAAAGTTTCAACTATTCTATTTTCTCCTGTGGGGGTGTTTGAATTTCATAAGTTTGTGCTTCAGATCAGGTGATTAATTCAGCAGACGCTTTAAACAAGTAGTTATGGCCTGTGAGCGGAAACACACAAAAATGCAATTCACTAATTTGCTGATTATTCTTATAACATCATGCATCACATTCAATTTTTAGCAATGACATATCTGTTTTACTGGTGAGATTACTGAGGTCACTTGGATACTTGGGTAGAAATAAGAATATAGTCCAAGCTTCCTGAATTCTAAGTTTTACACTTAACTATGGCAGCCTCTCAACCTTGAACATTAGCACTGACATTAGTCAGGTTGTGGCAGAGACCCCTGGATTCTGACCTTAATATCTGTTCTCCTTGCTTGTAGCAGAACTGCCAGTTTTTACCTCAGCCGATGACTATGCACTGTAAATACCATATTTCCCAAGCTCCCTTGCAGCTACATGTTGTTGACTGGACTCAGTGGTGTCCAACATAATATGAGTGGAAGGCAGTGCCTGGGAAACTTGACAGAAAGATGGCTGATATATGCTCTTAGTCTCTTTACTTCTTCCCCTTTCCCTTTATTCTTCCTCTTAAGTGGGTTTTGAGCAGCCATCTTGAACTGTGAGGTGGGAACCATGTGCTGAGGAGAGTGGAGTGTGGGTGGCCAAACCCCTGCAATAGCTGTACTAGCCCTACAGTGGATCTTCCACAGGACAGAGAAAGAAAGGAAGAAACTTCTGTCTTATGTAAGCTAATGCTATTTGTTATGTGCAAGGTTAATTGATAATTGTTATGTGCAAGGTTAATTGAGAAAAACGTTTTGTTTTCTCCTACAAAAAACGTTTTTTTGTAGGAGAAAGATTAACCACTCTTTCTCACTTGTGGATATTGGGTGCCCAACCCTTATTTGCTGCAACAGTGACAGGAAGTCAGATTTTAGGTGACTGTGATTCTGGACAGAACCCAGATTTCAGAGAACTCAGAAAACTTCTACAACCCTTCTCATTGTCTCAAGACAAGGGGAGTCTGAGATGTTCTGCCTGTGTTCACACAGTCTGGCTGAAAGGATATTACAGAGTCCTTGTGCAAAGAGCACGAAGATGGAACTTTCCCATTCTACTGCTACTGTCTCCTTTTAAATTTGCAGTAACAAGTACAATCTGCTAGATCTTCTGGTCAGACTGATTCTATAGCCAGACTTGTAACTTCATCTGGTGACTCAAAATCCCTGTAATATTTGAGGATAACAGACAGTAAACTTTTTGAGTCCTGATTCTGTGCTCTACCCATAGTGGTATTCAGTGGTCCTCCTTGGTGATCCTTAGGAATAAATGTGATATATTGGAAGTTGGTATGACACATATATGTCCTCTATTAATGTATAATGTTAGAACAGAGAAAAAGTATTAGAAAGGTAAGTCATGGTTTTAAGGATGTGATTTATATAGGAACCAAATTTGAAGGGTTTGTGACATTATGGAGCCTTGATCTAAAGTATGAGGTTCTGCTAAGAGTTTCTTTAAGAAGTTCATTTTGTGGCCAGGTACGGTGGCTCATGCCTATAATCCCAGAACTTTAGGAGGCCGAGGCGAGTGGATCACTTGAGGTCAGGAGTTTGAGACCAGCCTGGCCAACGTGGCGAAACCCTGTCTCAACTAAAAATACAAAAATTAGGTGGGTGTGGTGGCAGGAGCCCATAATCCCAGCTGCTTGAGAGGCTGAGGCAGGAGAATCACTTGAACCCAGGAGGCAGAGGTTGCAGCGAGTTGAGATTGTGGAATTGCACTCCAGCCTGGGTGACCTGGAGCGAGACCTTGTCTCAAGGCAAAAAAAAAGAAAGCAAATGATTCCTTAAATAGTCACTTATAGTAAGAGGCATCAAAGAAAATTAGCATAGACCTCTAAAATTTGACTGTAACACACACATCTTCTTCTTCTGTCTCTCCTTTAAAGTGAGCCACCAGGCTATCACTCTCATAAAAACAAAGAGTAATCTCTACTACACTATTGAAGCAGAATTGCTTTATTTACTTTTCGGAGCAAATTCTTTCAGAAGGATTTTTTTTTTTTTTTTGGTGAATATCTTTAACATGAGAGATACGTGATGAAACCACAATCACTAAATATCCATAAAGATGAAATGTGTCAAGTGATGAGAACAGGAATCTCTTGCTTCATATTTGGGCTCCCCCTGTGTCACTTTGGGCCGATCAAGTCTCACAATGCTTCAGTTTCACCAACTATCAGGGGAAAGTAGTACCTACTTCTCAAAGCTAGAAATGCATTATTGTCTTGATTTGAAGTCCATTCTCATTACCACAAATATTTTATGAGAAAAAGAATCATTTTGAGCCTTGGTAGCTAGTTGTTTTGATAAAATTCTGGAGGAACAAGGCCGGGCGTGTTGGTTCATGCCTGTAATCCCAGTACTTTGGGAGGCCGAGGCGGGCGGATCACGAGATTAAGAGATCAAGACCATCCTGGCCAACATGGTGAAACCCCGTCTCTACTAAAAATACAAAAATTAGCTGGGCATGGTGGCGCATGCCTGTAGTCCCAGCTACGTGGGAGGCTGAGGCAGGAGAATCACTTGAACAAGGGAGGCAGAGGTTCCAGCGAGCCGAGATAGCGCCATTGCACTCCAGCCTGGCGACACAGTGAGACTCCATTTCAAAAAAAAAAAAATCTGGAGGAACAAGATAATTTGGGTAAACACACAGATGCTTATTGAGATGAAACTTACTTACGTTTGGTTTGCACTAAATCATCACAAAGGCCAGATCTAATTTAAATGAGATGCCTCTAAAATTCTGCCAGCTTGACGAACTTCACTTACAGGAGTTTGCTGACAAAGAGGTATTTCTCTCCTGCCCCAGCAGAACGCTGCATTACTCATTCTCAGCCTTTCCTCCCAGGTAACCCCACCCAGACTTCACCAAATAAGGCAATCCTTCGAGTGAGCTTTCCTCCTGTTGACTGGAATTGTTTAGTGAACAGGAGGATTTTTAAAGGGGTAGCTGGTTCTATTTAGAGGTCATTTCCTTTTTGATATTTTGGATTCCTTATCCAGAGAGAAGATTAGCAGCATGTAGGATGCTGGTTCTCAGAAGCTTGGGGCACAACAGAATCACTTGGGGAAATTTAAAAATATATTGGCCTGGGCATTGCGGTTTGTAAATGTTGCCCAAGTGACTAATGTGTGTGTCTGTTGGGGAGAGAGGAGTTGTTAAGAATTGATGTTACTTGTGCTCTCTGAATTCCAGAAGCCACAGCCAATAGTAAAATTAGCTGTTACTAATTAAGCACTTGCAGGGCCAAGCACTCTGGAAAGTGCTTTACATACATGATGTCATTGTATCCTCACCACAACTGAGTCAAGCCCTGGTGATAATCTTCATCATCTGTCTAATACAGCAAATATTTATTGAACACCATTATTGTTCTAGGCATCACTGTGAATACATAGATGAGTAAGATGGGTCATGCACTTGAAAAGTTAATAATCTAAGATGGGATGATAATCAGGGTTCATTATAACTATAATATAATGCAGAATACTTTTCGTGAGAGAATGTAAGTTACTAACAAAGTTCAAAGCAGGGAAAGTATACTATAGATTGGAGATGTCAAGACCAGTGACGTTTGAGGCTCAGTGATGTGCTAGAGCCAGCTCATACTAGTCTTTGAGAAATGATAGCTAATTTTTTCAGAAATTTTGTCATCCAGTTGATATCAGACTGGTAGCTCGAAATTGGCTGTGGCAAACCAAAAGAAAAATGGACAAACACTACAAATCAGAGTTTTACCTGCCCAGAGAGCTGGTTATTAAATATGTACCAGAATACCAGCAATGGACCTTAAAAGATGTGTAGCACTGCACCTACCCTGGTGATGGGGTTGGGAGATGATGGAGAGAGAGAAGAATATAATTGAAGATATGCAGTGGGGAGAGAATGCAGGCTTGTGCAAGTAAGAAAGTGTGGCCTATTGACTAGGATGAAAGGCAGCTAAAAAAGAAATATATGGCCAGGCCAGTTTACCTGGAGTAAGATACAAGTAGAATAACAGGAGTTGTAATTACAAAGCTTGGTGGGAAGGCTATGTTAGATCTAACCTTCAGTGCAAATGCCTAATAGAGCTAACACACAGTAAGTGCCTTAAAAAGTTAATAATCTTTCCTCCTCTTCATTTCTCAAATAAAGTTCGAACTCTGGAGTGTAGTGGTGAGATCACAGCTCCCTGCAGCCTCAACCTCCCAGGCTCAAGCGATCCTCCCACCTCAGCTTCCCGAGTAGATGGGACTACAGGTATGCCACGCCCAGCTAATTAAAAAAAACGTTTTTTTGTAGAGATGGGGTCTTACTCTGTTGCACAGGTGGGTCTCGAATTCCTGGGTTCAAGCAATCCTCCCACATTGGCCACCCCCTTCCCCAAATCTTGGTATTACAGGCATGAGACACCACACCTGGCCAAAGGTAGGTATTTTATTTATTTATTTATTTTTGAGACGGAGTCTCATTCTATCGCTCAGGCTGGAGTGCAGTGGTGCAATCTCAGCTTACTTGCAAACTCCGCCTCCCGGGTTCACACCATTCTCCTGCCTCAGCCTTCCGAGTAGCTGGGACTACAGGCGCCTGCCACCACGCCCAGCTAATTTTTTGTATTTTTAGTAGAGATGGGGTTTCATCATGTTAGCCAGGATGGTCTCCATCTCCTGACATTGTGATCCGCCCGCCTTGGCCTCCCAAAGTCCTGGGATTACAGGTGTGAGCCACCGCGTCTCACCAAAGGTAGGTATTTTTAAAAATAGATGATGAAGCCAGCCACAGTGGCGTTCATATGTAGTCCTAGCTACTCAGGAGGTTGAGGCAAGAGGATTGCTTAGACTAGGAGTTTAAATCCAGCCTAGGCAACATAGTGAGACCCTATCTCTAAAAAATTTTTTTTAAATTAGACAATGAGACAGGATTGAGGAGATTTAGAAACTGGACCAATTAGTTGCGTACAACTAATTATTGAGCCTTATGGCAGTCAAATGAGGTGAATAGTGACACTAAGACGTGGCTGGGAGAATAGAGAATGGCAGTGCCATCTGTAGAAATATGCAAGAATTCAGAGTTGGCTCGCTGAGTCTGAATACACACATGGGGCAATTCCTGGAAGCAAAGGTGGAATTTGGGAGAGAAGCTGGGGCTCGCAGTGTGGTTTGCAGGTCACTACCCAGGTCTGGTAAGCACAAGCATCTCTTGCATTTATTTTGATTTATTGGGCTTTAGGGGCCTGGTTGACACTCTTTGCTTCTATCTGCAGCGATCTCAGGGATCACAGATCAGCTCCAGCTCACTAAAAGTACTAAGAATTCCGTGGACTGTGCAGAATGTCCATAGAGATTCAGGCCAATCTCTAGAAGCTGGGGCCTTCTCGGGAGTCTCAAACCTCCCCAGGCTCTTGAACTTTCAGTTATGATTTCAGTTCTCAGTGTGCAGGGACTCTGAAGTTCACTTTGGTTTCTTTCTGGCTCTCAGAACCGGGAAAACCTGGCCTTTGGTCAAGGGAATGAGGCAAATTTCCTGAATGCATCTCAGTTGAGGCCTGACCATCTGATAAGAGCTGGTGGGATGGTGTGCAACCTGCCCTTCGTCTCCCTGTAGCTGGCCTGTGGCAGACAGTCAACCCCAGCAGAGCTTAAGGAATAGATGTGAGGGTTAGAATAGTTCATTTTAGAAATAGCTACTCTGTCCACTCTCATTGCTGACAGATGTACTGACCTGAGGATTCTCCTACCACATCTTGCCTCTCCGTTTTTTTGTTTTGTTCTGTTTTTGTTTTTTTGTTTTTTTTTAAACCAAACCCTTGCACGCTCTGAGGAACATCTTTTAATTCTAGACTGCATTAAAAAATTTCTGAGTACAGATTGTTCCAATTAAATTCTTAAATGTCAAAAGTTTCTTAAAATAAAACTCCTTAAAATAAACCAAATCAGCTGTTCTGGATCACAGCCAACATAAATCAAAGTATCTAACCAGATGGGGATTCTGTAAACTAAAGGTAAGAGCAGTTGTTCACAGCATAGGGCCCAATGAGAAAAGCTAAAGGCATCAGAGGCCATTTTGCCTTTCAAATTGTTTTTCAAAACACAGGGTAACATCCTAATAAACAAATGAATCATGCTTCCTGCAACACCTTTTCACAAACAGAAACCCCAAAATATGCCTGCAATGTTCTGACAAAAAAAGAGGCCATTGTCCAATTAGCAAAACACCTGAATTTATTCAGAGTGAGGGAGGAATCCAGCAACTGCTTGGATGTTACCTGGAGAGAAGGCTGTGGGAAACATCACTCGTTGCAGGCTCCGTTTAGCCTGTGTGAGGCCTTCAGCAAGATGCAACCTGCCCTGACCCATCAAGCATGGTTCTGCTCACCATGCCACCGAGATCCAGCAGGCTCCTTGGCAATGAGAAGATGCAACTGTGTTAGTTGTGGTCTCCTGCAGAAGGACTGGCCCCCACCACAAACATAAACCCTGCATTGAGCCTGAGTTATTGTCCTGGTGCTGAGAGCAAAATTAATTGTTTGAAAAAAAAAGTGCTTTCTAATAAACTAAGAGGAAAGTGATGCCATCCCATATCTTGCTACCCAGCTGGGTGGGGACTTTGTAAGCTGTCAGCACCAATATGGGAGACGTGGGATGGAAAATAGCCCAGGCCAAGGTCAGATACAGACAAGAACAGAGGCAAGTCTCCAAGCCTGGGATGTGGAGCTGTCAGCACTACAGGGCATCGGGCAAGCTCAGGATGGAGTCAACAGCTGGAGATGCCAAGTTGGAGCAGGGGCATTCCATGGGCATCCAAGAGTTGAGCTGGCAGGATGGGGAATGGGGCCAGCAGAGAATAAGGGCGTGCTCCCCTCTTCCTTTGCCTGATTCACCACTACTTATCTTTTATACCTTGGCTCAGACATCATTTTATCTCAAAGAAGGCCATCATCCTGCAATTCTCCTCAATAGCACCTACCATTGAAGTGAGTCAATGGGTGACTGATTTTGGAGTCCTGCCTGCTAGAACATAAACTCCACGAGCTAGACCCCCATCTGTCTTCTTTATGGCCACATCTCTGGTACCCAGCACCATGTGTGACCCATTGTCAGCCCTCAATACATCTTACTGGGAGGAAGGAAAGATGAATAAAGGGCACAGAAGAAGAAGGAGGTAGGGAGGAAGGATGGGAAGGACAAATCGGAAGAAGGTGCACACTAAGCTGTGTCTGGTTCCAGATCCTGTTTCTAAGGAGCTGCTGGTGGGCTTGTAAATGCAGGTGGGCGTGGCCGACCCTGAAGGCATAGCACCCCCAGCCCAGTGACTGACCTGTGTGGTAGACATTGGAGGTCACATGGTTTAAGAACCTGGCACATAAATCCTTCCTGGAAAAATAATCACATTGTATTTCTTGGTGTTTCATCTCCTGACAGGGGTTTTTCTTTCTCTGGTGTTTGAGATGAAAACAAGCTGTGACCTGAAACTATAGACACTTCTCAAGGATGATGGTATGTTGATAGAATGTAGTTAAAATGCTCATTAGGGATCATCTACTATTGTAAAGAACAGGGTAGAGGAAGAGTAGGGTAGGCAGAGTCTCTTAATCCTTGGATTTATTCAACAGGATTTTACCAAAACAGGATGAACCTCTGAAAAAAGACAAGCATTTACAATAACATTGTAAATAAAACCTAATGAAAGACATCTGAAGTCTACAGACAAATGAACAGCCTTAAGAAGCCTGAATCTTACAGGCAATGACCTTTGCCAATAGCTTTAATACCAATAGAGTTGCTGATATTGATTATCCAATCTGTGGCAGGTAGGAGTCCAGGAGTGCAAAGGCACTTGGGACAGTGGGTTTGGGAATATTAGCTGGGTGAGAGGAAGCAGTGGTCCTGAAACTTAATGTTCCTATGATTTAACTGGGGCTGAGTAGGTCTGAGATGGGGCCTTAGATTTTGCTTTTTTAACAAGCAATGTCTATGCAGGTGAGTATTAAGAATAAACTTAAACAGTTTTTCCTCTGCTCTCACACTAACACAACAACAGTTATCAACACAGACAGGAGAATTCTGTTATCCCCAAATATGAGGGGGTTTCTCCCCATCAGCAAGCAGCCCATCAGTTCTGCAGTGGACACCAGCTGGTTGCCCTCCGATTCAATTCTGACATCGTCTACTGGAAGATAGTGTCAGATCCCACAGGTCTGACTCTACAGAGACCACAGGTGCGTGCCACCATGCTCCCCTAATTTTTAAAAATGTTTTGTAGAGATGGGGGTCTCACTATGTTGCCCAGGCTGGGACTCAAGTGATCCACCTGCCTCAGCCTCCCAAAGTGCTGGGCTTACAAGTGTGAGCCACCTGGCGCAACCTCAACACTCATATGTTTCTATTTGACTAGATTCTTTGAGTTGCAAGGAATGAAGAGGTCACTCAACCTAGTTCAAGCGATGAGGTTTATGGTGAAGAAATTGCAAAGCAGTGAGAGTGATGGAAACTTCTGGAAAACAGGATTGTGGAGTAGCCAGGCCTGGAAGAGACTGGAACCAGGTATCATCCTGAGTCCAGGGCAGCTCAAGGCACCTCAGGGGCAGAGGTTTGTGTAATTCTTTATTTCTTGCTGTTCTTCGAAGGGCTTTCTTTTATCTCAGAGCTTCCACTACCCCATGCTTCTCCTAACTTCTGCCAGCTCGCCGCCTCTCAGAGCCCCTCGTCTGACTCAAAGTCTCTGTTTCTGCTTCCTTTCAGCATTTTCCCCACTGAAGACAGGACCCTTGCTAGTTTCTAATTCAGGCCTCAAGAGCAAGAAGCTGACCCGCCCCTCCTGGCAGGCAAAGCACATCACCCAGGCGCCCCAGGGCCCTGCCAGCCTGCAACCAAGCTTCTTAGTCAGGCTAGGTGTGCCCCAGCTTTCTAAACACCTGGGGCCAGGAAGGGGCAGGATGGGCCTCATGGTACAACCTCGCTGCCAGGACAGCAGGTGCTGCCTCCTGGGAAGGGCCTTTTAAAGATATGGTGGGTGTGGTATTTGCCTCCTCTGTGAAATCCACGGCTGGCTGAGCTCCAAGCTTTGTAGTCCTTGGAGAGTTAATCTTGGTGGCTCTCTCTTATGCAAAAAAAAACTTCAGAGAAGTATTGGGAGACTTCCTATTTGGAAATTTCTAGTCTGTACTGCTAAAGGGAGTAGGGGTAGGGGAGTCATTTTTCAGTTTTTTTTCTTTTTCTTTTTTTTTTTTTTTTAGGCAGGGTCTTGCCTTGTTGCCCAGGCTGGAGTGCAGTGATGCAATCACGGCTCACTGCAGCTCGACCTCGCAGGCTCAAGCGATCCTCCTGAATAGCTGGGACCACAGGTGTGCATCACCACACCTGGCTAATTATTTTGTAGTTTTTGTAGAGATGGGGTCTCACCTTATTGCCCAGGCTGATCTCAAACTCCTGGGCTCAAGTGATGCTCCCTCCTTTGCCTCCCAAAGTGCTGGGATTACCCATGAGCCACAGCACCTGGCCCATTTTTCAGTTTTTAAAGGTCTGGTGGTTTTCCGAAACCTTCACTTGGGATTTGGCATGTTAATTACGACTAAACCCCTGATCCTTCCCCACACCTCCTGGGGGATGATTAGGTCAGGGCCAGGCCATCCCCGCTCCTCCTGGAGGCTGCAGGAGGCACTCCACACATCTCCCCACGGGCAGCATCTGCTCACTCCCTCTGCTCATGTTTATTGAGCACTCGATGTGCTAGGTACAGTTCTCAGACCTGGGGGTACAATACTGAACCCAAAAGACAACCGTCTCTGTCCTCATAGAGCTTATGTTCTAATGAGGAGAGACAATTCATAAATATAACAAATGTGTGAATTATAGCTTCCGTTAGAAGGTGATAAGTGCTTCAGGAAAAGAAAATATGTCAGAGTAAGTGGGGTAGGAAGTGCGGGTGAGGAGAGGAGGTAGACAGATGAAATGTTTGATAGCACAGGGAGGGTAAGTCATTGAGAAGCTGTTATTTGAGCCAAGCCTCGATGGAGGTGCGGGAAGCTTTGAGAATTTTGTAATATCCCCCAGCACAAGACACTAGAGGCACCTTGGAGTCTTGTGAAAGCAACACTGAAAACTCTGGGAATAAACAGCAGAGAAGTAAGGGTGTGACAAGTCAGGAATATTCCATGGCTATGCACCAAGAATGGCCCTGCACAAATATTTAGGAGGAGTGGCAGTGAGAGGATTTGAGGGTCAAAAGTGTTAAAGTAGAAATATGAGAAATTACAACAAAGTCCAGGTTCACTTCAGTGTATTATTATTTTCATTTTTTTGTAAAATATTTTGAAAAATTTCAAAATAAAGTTGCTAAAAGACTTTGTCGTGATAATGACGTTGCAGTTATGTAGGAGAATGGCCTTATTCTTTTTTGTTTTGTTTTGTTTTTGAGACTGAGTCTTGCTGCGTCACCCAGGCTGGAGTGCGGTGGCACAGTCATGGCTCACTGAAGCCTTGACCTCCCAGACTCAAGTGAACCTCCCGCCTTAGCTTCCTGAGTAGCTGGGTGTACAGGCAAGTGCCATCATACCCAGCTAATTTTAAGATTTTTTGTAGAGATGGGGTCTCGCCTTGTTGTCCAGGCTCCTTGAACTCCTGGACACAAGTGAACCTCCCGCCTCAGCCTCCTAAAGTGTTGGGATTATAGGCGTGAGCCACCATGCCCGGCCACTTTATTCTTCAGGGATGAAATATTTAGGGATAATATGTCATGATGTCTGCAACTCTTTTTTGTTTGTTTTGTTTTGAGACTGAGTCTCACTCTGTTGCCCAGGCTGGAGTGCAGTGGCGTAATCTCGGCTCACTGCAAGCTCCGCCTCCTGGGTTCATGCCATTCTCCTGCCTCAGCCTCCCAAGTAGCTGGGACTACAGGTGCCTACCACCACGCCCGGCTAATTTTTTTGTATTTTTAGTAGAGACGGGGTTTCACCGTGTTAGCCAGGATGGTCTTGATCTCCTGACCTCGTGATCCACCTGCCTCAGCCTCCCAAAGTGCTGGTATTACAGGCATGAGCCACCACGCCCGACTGATGTCTACAACTCTTTCAAATAGTTCACAAAATGTATTTTATAGAGACAGAGAGATAAGGCACATATGGCAAGATGTTACCAATTGAGGAATTCAGGTGAAGTATATATGATGTACCACTCTTTCAACTTTTCTATGGTTTTGAAAATTTTCAAGATAGAAAGTTGGATTCTACTCAGGTATTTACTCAAGAGAAATGAAAATATATGACTACACATAGACTTGTATGTGAATGCTTATGTAACATTATTCACAATAGCCACAAATTAGAATCAATCCAAATGTCCATCCACTGTTAATGGGTAAACAAAAAGTGGCATATCCATTCAATGGAACATAACTCGGCAAGAAGGAATGATCTACTGATCCTAGCTACAACATGGATCGACCTCCGAAACATGCTACATGCAATAAGCTACAAGCAAAAGACTACATATATATAATTTCATTTATGAAATGTCTACAAAGGGAAAATCTATACAGACAGCAGATCAATGGTTGCCTGAGGCTGGAGGTGAAAGTGGGGTTGACTGCAGATAGGCACGAGGAAAGTTTGTGGGGTGATGAAAATGTTCTAAAACTGGATTGTAGTGATGATTGCAAACTCTATAAATGTCATGTACTGAATTAAGGACGTTTCAGTCAACAACAGACTGCATATACGACGGTGGCCTCATAAGATTATATTGCCATATTTTTATTGTACCCTTTCTATGTTTAGGTGCACAAATATTTACCATTGTGTTACCATTGCCTACATTATTCAGTACAGTAACATGCTATACAGGTTTGTAGCCTAGGAGCCACAGGCTATAGCTTGTAGCCTGGGTGTGGGGCAGGCCACACCATCTAGGTCTGTGTAAGTGCACTCACACAACGATGAAATCACCTGATGACACATTCTCAGAAAGTAGCCCTGCCCAGATCACCTGAGGTCAGGAGTTTGAAACCAGCCTGACCAACATGGTGAAACCTCATCTCTACTAAAAATACAAAAAATTATCTGGGAGTAGTGTCTCATGCCTGTAATCCCAGCTCCTCAGGAGGCTAAGGCAGGAGAATCGCTTGAACCCAGGAGGCAGAGGTTGCAGTGAGCCGAGATCGCGCCATTGCACTCCAGCTTGGGCAACCAGAGCAAAACTCTGTCTCAAAAAAAAAAAAGAAAAAGAAAAAAAGAAAGTAGTCCTGCCATTAAGTGATGTGTAGGTATACTAAAAATCATTGCATTGGATATTTACAATGGTTAACTTTTATGGTATGCAAATTATGCTTCAATAAAGCAGTAAAAAATACTTGAGAAAAAAATATCAAGGTTTATTTCTCTACCTGGGAATCTAATGATGAGACTTCATTCGACAAATATTTTTTGGAACCCTTACTATGCCAGGCACATAGTAAGGGTTCACAAAAATATTTTTCACTGTCTGCTGAACCCTGGGAATACAATGCTGAATAAAACAGGCGCTGAAGTTTGATAAGCCTTATGAACTATTTGTTTGGTATTTTTTCTTCTCTTTTCTTTTTTTTTTTTTTTTTGAGACAGAGTCTCACTCTGTCACCCAGGCTGGAGTGCAGTGGCGCGATCTCGACTCACTGCAACCTCTGCCTCCCAGGTTTAAGCGATTCTCCTGCCTCAGCCTCCTGAGTAGCTGGGATTACAGGTGCATGCCACCACGCCCGGCTAATTTTTTGTATTTTTAGTAGAGATGGGGTTTCACTGTGTTAGCCAGGATGGTCTCAATCTCCTGACCTCATGATCCGCCCGCCTCAGCCTCCCAAAGTGCTGGGATTACAGGCGTGAGCCACCGTGCCTGGCCTTTTTTTTTTGTTTTTTTTGAGACGGAGTTTCGTTCTTGTTGCCCAAGCTGGAGTGCAATGGCGCGACCTCGGCTCACTGCAACTTCCTCCTCCAGGGTTCAAGTGATTCTCCTGCCTCAGCCTCCAGAGTAGCTGGGATTACAGGCGCCCACCACCATGCCTGGCTCATTTTTTGTATTTTTAGTAGCAATGGGGTTTCACCATGTTGGCCAAGCTGGTCTCGAACTCCTGACCTCAGGTGATCCACCCGCCTGGGCCTCCCAAAGTACTGGGATTACAGGCATGAGCCACCGCACTTGGCCTGTTTTGTATTTTTTCTATGAGACATGCCTGGTGGTAGAGAGATTTGGACTGGCTAACCTGTTTTTCTTTTGCTGCCACTTTGTTTGGGTTCTATCCAAAGCAAACCTTGGGATCAGAGTTTGAGTGTAAGCTGTTTATTTGGCAGATGTAGTGGGTTGAATGGTGGCCCCTCAAAAGATATATTCATGTCCTAACCCCCGCAACCTGTGAATGTTACATTATTTAGAAAAATAGTTTATTGTCAATGTAATTAAGTTAAGGATCTTGAGATGAGATTATCCTAGATTACCCAGGTGGGCCCTAAATCCCATGACAAATGTCCTTAGAAGAGACAGAAGAGGAGAAGGCATGGACACAGAGGAGGAGAAGGCCGTGTGAAGATGGAGGCAGAGATTACAGTGATGCAGCCACAAGCCAAGGAAGCCTGGAGCCCCCAGAAGCCAGAAGAGGCAAAGAAGGATTCTCCCTAGAGCCGTCAGAGTGAGTGCAGCCCTGCTGCCAACTGGATTGTGAGCTTCTGGCCTCTAGAACTGCAAGGAAATTAATTTCTGTTGTCTTAAGCCACCAAGTTTGGGGTCATTTGTTAAGGCAGTCTTAGGAGAGGAATACAGCAAGTGATTCCAGGAAGCAGAGGCATGGAGTGGGAAAGTGAGACGCAGTGGGATGCAAGCCAATAAAGGGAATGCTCAGGGGTGCATCGCTGCCCTGGGGAGCTTCTGAGAGGAGTGAGAAGGCCGGGCTATCCCCCAGCTCCATTCTTGCTGGTTGAGGGTCACTCCTTTGGGCTCAATGCTCAATATACTCTTGGTCTGCAGAGCATGCTCCTAAGGTATTGTGTGTAGGATTTTGGAGTGGACCAAGGGCTCTGGACAGAGTGGAGTGGACAGCAGCTCCTCTGCCCCTACCCTTTGGCTGCTCATTGATTAGCTGAAAGCCCTACAGGCATAGGTATGGGAAGAAAAAATGAGGTTCAGTAGATAGAGAGTAACATACTTTGACACCCAAAACAAATTAGACTGGTGGACTCCAGTTAGAATGTCCAACTCCAAGACCTGATCAGTTCATGTATCCACCTCTGGCAAATATGTGACAGGTGACTCCTTTCTGCACAGCATGGAAATATTAATCCACTTTCTTTGGGATATTATAGTTGGAATATGAGTTTTTTTCAGGTTTATTTTAGAATATATTTGATAACTTCCTGTTTATTAATATTGAATGGAATGTTCACATGTTCCCATTATATTTGTCTTACATGTAAAAGCTCTATAATCGTGCATTAAATCAACCTGCCTTGTAGTATAAGCTAGAAATGCTGCTAGATGCTCTGTGTGGAGACTGGATCTCCAATGACTCTGGCACCTCACAGCACCCAGCACAGTGTAAGAAAACAGCAGGTGCACAATAAAGACATGCTGTTAGGTTTATCCCTCTCCTTCCTGGTCTCTCCTTCCAGCCCCTGGGCTCCATCACAATCATTTCCAAGCAGTGCTCCTGCAGCTTTCATTTCTTGCTCGTCTGTTATTTGTTGCTCCCAGCCAGCAATGTTCTTTTCTTGTCTCTTTTCTTCTAGTCTCTCTGGGTAGATTCCTGCAGTGCTTTTTGGCACGGCTGGGTGGGGAACTCTCCGAGACTGTCTACATCATTTTTCAAAGCTCCCACCATCAGACTTGGCATTTCATATACAGCTTTGAACACTGTCAACTGGTGCCTTCACCTTTTCCCTTAATGAGGGCTCAAGGGTACCCTTTAGCACAGAATAAATGTACACATCTGAAATTGAACATTAAAATGTATCTGCTTGTTTTAAAACTCAGTTTTTCCTTTTCAGGTTGGAGAACGTCTTGGAAATGGCATGCCTTTACTTGTGGGTTTCCATTAGGGCCTCCTGGGTATGATCCTGGCTGTAGCCTCCTTTTTTCTTAGCTATTTATTTCTCTTATGAGCTGGAACTGAGAGGGAAGAGGATCCGGAGGACTAAGGTAGTTTTGTTCCTAGCCATCTTTGGCTTGAATCCTTTTGGCATCCTCTGATAAGCAGAAATAGCATCATCTGTCTCTACTAATGGCATTATCTTAGCTGGAAGAAGTGATTTATTCAAATGCTCTAATAATTATAGCTCACATCTATCGAGTGCTTACCACACGCCAGGCTCCTGTGCTAAGTGCTTGGCATTCTTTATCTCCATTTTCATCTTCACAACAACCTTCTGAAGTTGCTCCTTTATCATCTCCATTTCACAGATGAGGAGACCGAGACTTGGGAAGTCTAAGTGCATGCTGGAACCACACAGGTAGTGGAGCTAGGATTCAAGCCCAGGTCTGTTTGACTTAGAACATGTGACTTAGAACATGTGAGTTAGAACATGTTCTGAACACAACTTTCAGGGCACATGGCCTTGGATCGCAAGACTCCCTCATCTTCTGCTTTTTAAAACAGTTACATGGAGAAGTGACTCCATGTTGAAAAGGCAACCACAGCTTCTGAAAGTGTCCTTAGGGAACCTCACTATTAGGAGCCAGGTCTATCCAAGTCAGTACAAATGAAGCGAGGGATGCTGGCCAAGGCACAGGGTGGGCTTTTTCTGTTCAGGAAAACAAGGTTGTTTTTAAAAGGAGATTTGTTGAAAGGGACATTAGAAGGAGAGTGTGAACACTTTGGAATGTGGAGATGGACGGGGAGTAAGACCCAAGCATCTCACACCATTTGGGGCAGCATCAAAGCTTTTATGAGTGTCCTCTCCCATAGCAACTCGGCACCTCTGCTGGTTCCTGCCTCACCTGTCCTTCAGCTTGTACCAAGTCATCCACTCAGGAGGCGGAATTGTGCTTTGCTGTCATGAAATCTCTATTGGGGAAGATCAATGGAAAAAGGACTACTCAGAAGACAGGGATCAGCTCAAACCATTCATTCCTGGTTTTCATGGGGGTATGAGGAGAGCAGAGCAAAGTGTGTGTGTGTGTGTGTGTGTGTGTGTCTGTGTGTCTGTTATTGTGTGTGTCTGTGTCTGTTATTGTGTGTGTGTGTGTGTGTGTGTGTTTGTAGATGGGGTCTCTGGCTCTATTGCCCAGGCTGGTCTTGAACTCCTGTACTCAAGAGATCCTCCTGCCTCGGCCTCCCAAAATGCTAAGATTATAGGCATGCCATCACGCCTGGCCCAGAGCAAAGAGTTTTGACCGCTGAGCATCCAAGGATTAACAGGGGACTGAAAGCAGGGAAGAAACGGGTCTCTGGTGCATGGGGTGCTGGGGAACAAGGAAAGTGGTGGCCTGACCCTGGTCTAGTCAGATGGGCAGGTGTTGCCCTGGCCCCAGGGAATTCTGGCCCAGCATGGTCCTGCCTGAAGTGTGTCCTGGCTTCCTGTCTTTCCTGGCTGTCTGGCTTTTATCACACAGGAACAGAAGACATAAATAAATTGGGAATATGGATACCATTTAAGTGACTCTGAAGAGTTTTGTGGCAACATGGACCTGTTTCAAGAATTATTTTTAACTGCAGACATTTGATCCTAGTGGGAAATAAAACTTAAAAGGACAGTTATAATTAGGTCACATTCAGAGAAACTTATTACATTTTGCTGTATGTCCCAGGAGTCATGTATCTTAAATGATTTTAATATTTAGATTCGATCATGGTGCAGAATTTCATTTTTCTATGTAATAACGGGAAGCAACCAAGAGAAATTGTGGTAGCAGTATTAGATAAAAGTAAAGGCAGGAATGCCTTTAATTTGGGATAGAAGAAAGAGAACCAGCGTACAGTTTGTCTCCTCACCTCCCCCACTCTCTTTTCACCTTGGCTGCATCCTAAGATATTGTTTGTGAAGGGAGCCTGGGTCCTTCCACCTATATTCCCCATTAAGTATGCCTTTATTTCTGCTTTGGGTGAAAGTTTGACCAAAAACAACCCTATCATTTCCCAGGTACAATTTAGTGAAGCAATTTAGTGGAGGAAAGGCTGGTATCTCATTGAGAACAAAATAAACATTAACAGTGGTTGTAATATTGTTGCTATGATCTCTGTGCAGGTTTCAGAGCTGATGGCCAACTGGGGACTAGTTACAGAACCCTTGGGAGTGAGGCAGGCAGGAAAGGGGGAGAAAGGTTGGAGGTGGGTTAAGGAGAAGACAGTAGCCAGAACGGGGGTCATGCTGTTCTGTGGAATGTGTTCCATGAGAGCTTTATTAGACTGCAGACTGGCAGTAGTCAAGGCTTTTTGCTCTATATTATTCGGATGCTTAAACAACTGGTGAGGTCTGGCCAATCTCTTTTTCCTCAGACTATACTATCCACTAAAAAGAAGATTTAAAATAAGGAACACTAAAATTTATCTGTATAAGAGTGAATTAAAATAGCCCAGAGCTGTTCTCTTGCTCTGATAAATACATAATATATTGTTACAACTAAGTACCTGTCCACATAAATGATTTTACCAGATGTTCCCTGGCCCTTTTCAATATTGAAGCTCATAGCAGTGGCTCAGACTCGGCTTGCTGCAACCTCTGCCTCCCAGGTTCAAGCAATTCTCCTGCCTCAGCCTCCCGAGATGCTGGGATTACAGGCCTATCACACCCGGCTAATTTTTGTATTTTTAGTAGAGATAGGGTTTCACCATGTTAGCCAGGCTGGTCTCGAACTCCTGACCTCAGGTGATCTGCATGCCTCAGCCTCCCAAAGTGCTGGGATTACAGGCGTGAGCCACTGTGCCCGGCCAATCTGTACTCTTTATCATTCATCTTGGATTAAATTATGATGTGTCTTGGATGAGTGGGTGTGTAGCTATTTACCAGGTTAAATAAGATCGAAGAATTGTATAAAGAGATCAGAGCTTGCATTTGATGCACAAGGGACGTTTCTCAGGAACAAATGACCACAATGCATCCCCTCCCTGACTGTGGTGAAAGTGGTGAGGAGTCAGCCTTGGCTATCAGCTGTGTGAGGGTGAGTGGCAGCCATTGAGGATGCCATGGCTGTGGTGACAGGCAGCTCACACTGCGTGTCCTCTCTGCATAGCAACTCAGCATCTCTGCTGCTTCCTGACTCATCTGCCCTTCGGCTTGTACCAAGTCATCCACTCAGACATGAGAACTGTGCTTTGCTGCCATGAAATCTCAACTGGGGAAGATCAATGGAAAAAAGACTACTCAGACATCAGGGATCACTCTTCAATCTGCAGTCAATGCAGACTTCTTATCTTCTAGATCCGACAGTCTCACTGACCCAGAGTCCAGCCCACTCCAGTTCACCCTTTTTCATGTCCTTCTGAAAGGAATCCTTCCCCCTTTATGTGCTCCTGCCCGACAGACCTTCCTATGATCTGGTGGACTAATCTGTTATTAGTTAGTGATGAATGTGTTAACAGCTTCCAGAGCACCTACCAACAGTTTAACCTAGGTGTCACCAACTGCAATGCTTATGGGAGCCAGGCAAGTAATATAAGTGAGCACAGGCTAGGTGGGAACCAGGAGAACTGTAGAAAAGATGCTCCCTTCATAATTCAGGTATATGGGGCCGGTGTTGCCAGACTTCCCATTTTTTTTTTATTATTATACTTTAAATTCTGGGATACATGTGCAGAATGTGCAAGTTTGTTACATAGGTATACATGTGCCATGGTGGCTTGCTGCACCTGTCAACCCGTCATTTAGGTTTTAAGCCCTGCATGCATTAGGTATTTACCCTAACGCTCTCTCTCCCCTTGCCCCCAACCCCCTGACAGGTCATGGTGTATGATGATCCCCTCCCTGTGTCCATGTGTTCTCATTGTTCAAGTCCCATTTATGAATGAGAACATGCAGTGTTTGGTTTTCTGTTCCTGTGTTGGTTTGCTGAGAATGAAGCCTTCCAGCTTCATCTGTGTCCCTGCAAAGGACATGAACTCATTCCTTTTTATGGCTGCATAGTATTCCATGGTGTATATGTGCCACATTTTCTTTATCCAGTCTATCATTGATGGGCATTTGGGTTGGTTCCAAGTCTTTGCTATTGTAAATAGTGCTGCAATAAGCATACATGTGCATGTGTCTTTATAGTAGGATGATTTATATTCCTTTGGGTATATACCCAGTAATGGGATTGCTGGGTCAAATGGTATTTCTTGTTCTAGATCCTTGAGGAATCGCCACACTGTGGTTGAACTAATTTACACTTCCACCAACAGTGTAAAAGCATTCCTATTTCTCAACTTCCCAATTTTTTAATGATAACTTGGGAATCTGGGTTTGAATGTGATCTCCTAATATTGGGTAATTCATTCAAATATCAAATAACTCTCATAAGTTAAATGAACAAATTACACACACACACACAAAAGCCAACTTATTACATCTGCATTAACTCAGAAGGCATTAGTCTGCGTGGTAGAAAGTTGTCATGGCACACCAAACTGTTGTTGGTGGTTACTTTTGGGAACAGGAGTGGGAGTTAAGTGGGAACTTTTACATTTTTCTCAGTGTACTTTTCTATTGTTTGGATCTTTGGCGATGAGAATACACATATATTATTTAGGGAGTTATTTTTAAAAATTGACAATCTGAAAAATATAAGAGAGACTGGACTTAGAAGACTCCAACATTTAAGAATGATTGGAGAATTACATTTAACATGGTAGATTGATTGCCTGAAAGACAGAAACAAAAAGAAAAATGAAAAAGAAACTTGGAGGAAGCAGCAAAAAGTCAAGGAGCAAAAAAATATATATGTATCAAAAGGACTATCATTCATGAAAGAACAAGATCCTACAAAAATCAGAGAACAAGAAGGAGCTATTAGAAACTAAAAGTATAATAACATTCAAAAGAAAGTTTAGGCCAGGCACAGTGGCTTACGCCTCTAATCCTAGCACTTTGGGAAGCCAAGGCAGGCGGATCCCTTGAGTTCAGGAGTTCGAGACCAGCCTGGCCAACATGGTGAAACCCCGTCTCTACTAAAAATGCAAAAATTAGCGGGGTGTGTTGATGTGTGCCTGTAATCCCAGCTACATGGGAGGCTAAGGCAGGTGAATTGCTTGAACCCAGGAAGCGGAGGTTGCAGTGAGCAGAGATCGTGCCACTGAACTCCAGCCTGGGTGACAGATGGAGGAAAAAAAAAAAAAGGAAAGTTTAGAAGATAAAGTTGATAAAATCTCGGCCGGGCGCAGTGGCTCACGCCTGTAATCCCAGCACTTTGGGAGGCTGAGGCGGGCGGATCACGAGGTCAAGAGATCAAGACCATCCTGGCCAACATGGTGAAACCCTGTCTCTACTAAAAATACAAAAATTAGCTGGGCGTGGTAGTGCGTGCCTGTAGTCCCAGCTACTCGGGAGGCTGAGGCAGGAGAATCACTTGAACCCGTGAGGCAGAGGTTGCAGTGAGCCAAGATCGAGCCACTGCACTCCAGCCTGGTGACAGAGCAAGACTTCATCTCAAAAAAAAAAAAAAAGAAAAAGAAAGTTGATAAAATCTGATAGTGTAAATAAAAGACACAGGTTTGGAAAGTAGGAGGGACATAATATGGAATTGAGAAGGTTGAATCAGGAGTTCCACATTCAACTGATAGCATATTCAGAAAGAACAAAGAAAACTGGAGGGGAGAAAATTATCAAAAGAGTACTATGAGAACCGTTTTCAGAACTGAAGGACATGAAAGTCATAATGAAAAGATACCATGAAGTTCCCAAACAACATAATTAATAAGAGTAAAATAAAATCAAGGCACGTTATCATGAAATTTGAGAGCATCAGGAATGAAGAGAAGATTCCTAGAGATTTCCTGAGAGACGAAACAAGCCACAACAAATGGACAGAAATAGAATGGCATCAGACTCCTCCACAGCCACATGGATGCTGGGAGGAAATGGAGCATTTGGAAAAAAATATTGCCTAGCTGGTATACATAGCCAAAGTAACAACCAAGTGTGAGGGTATAACGAAGGCATTTTCACACATGCAGGGCCTCAGTTTTTTTTCTGGACTGGGTGCAGTGGCTCACTCCTGTCATCCCAGCACTTTGGGAGGCTGAGGCAGATGAGCCCAGGAGTTTGAGAGCAGCCTGGGCACTGTGGTGAAACCCTGTCTCTACAAAAAATATTTTAAAAATAACTGGGTGTGGTGGCACATGCCTGTGGTTCCAGTTACTTGGGAGGCTGAGGTGGGAGGATCACTTGAGCCTGGGAGGCAGAGGTTGCAGTGAGCTGAGATTTTGCCACTGCACTCCAGCCTAGGTGACAGAGTAAGACCCTGTCTCAAAACAACAACAACAAAAATTAGCTAAGCATGGTGGCATGTGCCTGTAGTCCCAGGTATTTGGAAGGCTGACCCTGTCTCAAAAACAAAACAAAGAAAAAACAACGAACCCCATCCCTACACATACACACAAAAGAAACTTTTTTGAGTGCCCTTTTTTAAGAAGCTACTAGAGGATCTATTTTACCAAAATGAATGAATGAATCAACGAGACCTGGGATCCAGACCCCACAGTGGATTTAGCATGTGAGATGGAGTGAGCAAAGGAAGTTCTCAGGATGAAAGTACAGATAGATTTTAAGGTGGCAGCTATGCAGTATGCTTAGAAGGAAACCAGTTGCTATGGTTTGAATGTGACTCTCAAATTTCATGTGTTGGAAACTTAACCCCAAAATGCATATGTTGATGGCATTTAGAGGTGGGACTTTTGGGAGGTAATTAGGATTAGATGAGGTCATCAGAGGCCCCCGTGATGGGACTGGTAGCTTTCAAAGAAGAAGAAGGAAGTTCTGAGCTGGCACACTCTTGCCCTCTTACCATGTGATACCCTCTGCCGTGTTATGACACAGCAAGAAGACCTTCACCAAATGCCAGTGCCATGCTCTTGGACTTCCCAGCCTCTGGAATCATGAGTTAAATAAAATTCCTTTCTTTATAAATTGCCCAGTCTGTGGTATTCTGTTACAAAAATAGAAAATGGATTAAGGCATCAGTGTATAGTAGATCAATAACATGAAGGGTAATCATAGTAGTATCTCTAGGGGAAAATGGAACAGACAGGTGATTCAAAATGTGTGATATATAAGATATTTGAAGGAATCGTTATTAATAAATACATTTAAAATGGTAAATGGAAAACAAGGCAACTATTAACTCTGGACCAAAAAAATGTTTTAAGAAAGGAATGTTAAGGCTGGGCATGGTGGCTTACACTTGTAATCCCAGCACTTTGGGAGGCCGAGGTGGGCGGATCACAAGGTCAGGAGATTGAGACCATCCTGGCTACAATGAAACCCTGTCACTATTAAAAAAATACAAAAAATTAGCTGGGTATGGTGGCGGGCACCTGTAGTCCCAGCTACTCAGGAGGCTGAGGCAGGAGAATGGCATGAACCCAGGAGGCGGAGCTTGCAATTGAGGTGAGCTGAGATAGCACCATTGCACTCCCGCCTGGGTGACAGAGCGAGACTCCATCTCAAAAAACAAACAAACAAACAAAAACAAACAAAAAAAACCGGAATGTTAATCATGCCATACTATGTGTTTCAATCGTAAACAATATTTGAATACTTGTAATATTCAAGTACTGAATACTAACTTAACAAAAAAATACAATGTAATCATTTTGGAAAAATGAAGACAGTGAGTATAGCTCTGTGTGTGTGCAGTAGGAGTCAGGGGGATATATAATATCCCTACACACTTCTGTTCCATATTAAAAAAAAAGTCAGCAGGCAATGCTTAAATTGAAAACTGAGAAATGGAGATAAGGATGAGATGCAGCAGGGGATGGATTTTTAAAAAATTTAAACAAGTCTTTGGCTTTTTTGTTTTAATTAGTATTTTGGTGTGTTTTCAGTCTTAGTACCAAAAGTGCTGAAATGAATAACCTTATACATACGTTATTTTGTTTGTGTGCAAATATAGATGTAAGATTAATTTCCAAAGGCGAAAGGGCAAACACATGTGTACTTTCAATAGATATTGCCTAATTGCTCTCTCTAGGGGTCATACCATCTTATTCTCCCACCAGAATTGTATGAGAGTGTTTTCCCATAGCCTTATCAGAAGAATGTGTTGTCAAACTTTTGGGTTTTTGCCAATCTGACGGATGAGGAAAGAACTCTCTGTATTATGAGTGAGGTTAAGAGTCATATTTATTTTTTTTTTTTTTTTGGAGACGGAGTTTCACTCTGTCGCCCAGGCTGGAGTGCAGTGGCACAATCTTGGTTCACTGCAACCTCTGCCTCCCGGGTTCAAGCAGTTCTCCTGCCTCAGCCTCCCAAGTAGCTGGGGCTACAGGCACAGGCCACCACACCTGGCTAATTTTTTGTATTTTATTTTATTTTTTATTTATTTATTTATTTTTTGAGACGGAGTCTGGCTCTGTCACCCAGGCTGGAGTGCAGTGGCGCAATCTCGGCTCACTGCAAGCTCCACCTCCCGGGTTCACGCCATTCTCTTGCCTCAGCCTCCCTAGTAGCTGGGACTACAGGCGCCCGCCACCACGGCCCGCTAATTTTTTGTGTTTTTAGTAGAGACGGAGTTTCACTGTGTTAGCCAGGATGGTCTCGATCTCCTGACCTCATGATCCACCCACTTCTGCCTCCCATAGTGCTGGGATTACAGGCATGAGTCACCGTACCCAGCCGAGGTAAAGAATCTTTTAAATGTTTAAGAGCCATTTAAATTTCCTTTTCTCTGAACTCTTTTATTATGTCCTTTACCCATATTCCTACTGGGTTTTTGGCTTTTTTCTTGTTGATTTTTATGAGCTCTTTGTATTTTAGAAAAATTAACCTTTTGTGCTGCAATTTTTTTTTTTTAGTTTTTCATTTGTCTTTGCTACTGTTTTCTGCTAAGTTTTCAATTCATATGTAGTCATATTTACAAGTAATTTCTTTTATAGATTCTGGATTTTGAGTCATAATTAGAAAGACCCTCTCCACTCAAAAGTTATAAAGTTGGGCCGGGCGCGGTGGCTCACACCTGTAATCCCAGCACTTTGGGAGGCCGAGGCAGGAGGATCATGAGATTGGGGGATCGAGACCATCCTGGCTAACACAGTGAAACCCTGTCTCTACTAAAAATACAAAAAATTAGCCGGGCGTGGTAGCAGGTGCTTGTAGTCCCAGCTACTCGGGAGGCTGAGGCAGGGAAATGGCGTGAACCTGGAAGGCGGAGCTTGCAGTGCGCCGAGATCGGGCCACTGCACTCCAGCCTGGGCGACAGAGTGAGACTCCGTCTCAAAAAAGAAAAAGAAAAAGAAAAAAAAGTTATAAAGTCATTCATCTGTGTTTTCTTACAGTGACTTTAAGTTTTCATTTTCTATATTTAAATATTTGATCAATTTGGAATTTATCCTCATATATTGGTCCAGCGTCATCTTTTCCAGATGGCTACCCAGTTATTCCAACTTTCTTCCTTTCTTTTTTTTTTTTTTTTTTTAGACAGGGTCTCACTTTGTTGCCCAGGCTGGAGTACAGTGTCATGACCATGGCTCACTGTAGCCTCCACCTCCTGTGCTCAGGTGATCCTCCCACCTCGGCCTCCCAAGTAGCTGGGACTACACCAGGCTAATTAAAAACATTTGTTTGTGGAGATGAGGCCTCCCTACATTGCCCAGGCTGGTCTTGAACTCCTGGACTCAAGCGATCCTCTCACCTTGGCCTTCCAAAGTGCTGGGATTACAGGAATGAGCTACTGTGCCCAGCCTCCAACATTCTTTATTACTATTTGAATCTCACAATTAAGTACACATATTACCGTGATAAAAAAAATTAAATACATTTAAAAAAGAGTGCCAGAGGCCAGGCATGGTGGCTCACGCCTGTAATCCCAGCACTTTGGGAGGCTGAGGCAGGTGGATCACCTGAGGTCGGAGTTTGAGACCAGCCTGGCCAACATGGTGAAACCCCCTCTCTACTAAAAATACAAAAATTAGCTGGGCGTGGTGGCATACGCCTGTAATCCCAGCTACTCAGGAGGCTGAGGTGGGAGAATTGCTTGAGTCTGGGAGACGGAGGTTGCAGTGAGCCGAGATCGTGCCACTGCACTCCAGCCTGGGTGACAGAGCGAGACTCTGCCTCAAAAAAAAAAGTGCCAGAGAAGCCCTCACGATGGCCTGTGAAGAGGGCGGAGAGGAAGTGGGAAGGTCGCGCCCTCCCCCAGCCTCTGAGTCCCTGGCTCCCACTCGGATGGCCGTCTTTGTAGAGGCGGCTCCCCCATGGCTGTTTTGTTAGGCAGGGACACTTGGCTGTAAACAGTAAAAACTGACTCTGACTCTGATGGATGCTAATGAGGGGCTCACTGGGGGGATACTGGCCAAGCCCAAACTCTGGGAAAGCGAGCTGGACACCAGACCCTGTGAGGGACGAAGAGGAGCAGCTCCGGGAACTGCGTGGAATTCCCTGTCCCGGGATGACTCAGCGCCAGCTAACTTCCTGTGTGTCTGCGTTTGTCTGTCTGTGTGTAGGGTTCCAGTCCCTGGGAGAGAGATTTTCACTGGCCAACTTGGTCACTTGCCTGTCCCCTGTCACGAGGGGTCCAAGTCCTGGGATTAGCTGGACACCAGAACCATGTATCTGTGGGAGGGGGCGTTGAGGAACTGTTTCTACAAAGGAAGAGACGCTGGGCAACAAAACCAAACAAAGCCCCACAGCGGCTGTCCCTCCACAACATTTGTAAAAATAGCAACAATAAAAATAGCAACTATGTGCTGACTACTTCCCAGGGGCCAGGATCTATGTGAAGTATTTTACCTCATTTACTTTCTTAGCAGCTCTGTGGGGTGGGAATTGTTCTCCCCCCGACAGGTGAGGAAGTTGCGACTGAAGAGAGGATAAGAAACTTCTCTGAGACACAGCTAGTCAATGGCATAACCAGGATACAAATCTGGTTGTGTCCAACCCAGCCTCTGCGCTGTAACCATTAGGCAGCATCGCCTTCTGAGTGGGGCTGAGTGTACTCCATGGTGAAACTCAGCTTCTGCACGCTGTGCTGCTGACCTTCGGGCTCCACGGGCTTAAAACACAGCTCTGTATGTAGCTCTGCTATCCGGGGCTTCTTCATGTCACCAACGCTTGCTACATGCACAGATCTCCTTGACCCTGCAGCCAATGCCTCGGTCAGCCAGTGCACCTGTACTGTCTCTCCTCTTGGGATAGGGTCCCTCTCCATCAGGTACAATATATGGGAAATCGAGGGGTGGCCTTTGTCCCAGCTGTCTTAGTCACCGCATTCTTCAGGTCACTAACCGCCCCATTGGAGAGGGTTCACGCAGCTCACGTGTAAACGGACCCCTCTTTCCACCTGCCCTGAGACCACTCGGCTGTGTCTGGATGGCTGAATCAGAACTGGGTGCTGCCCCTACTCCTCACGCCGGAACCCACCCCACACTGCTTCATCCCTAGCTCCCCCAGCTTGCCCGGCACCCCTGCCCGTCAGCAAGTGTTTCCTGAAAGACTCTCCAAGTCCAGCAGTGTGCTGACTCCCCTGGCCACACCCAAGTCTGGAATGTCTTCTTCCAATTCCCTCCCTTCCACGACTCAGGGATCTTTGAAATTCTGTTGTTCCCTGGGCTGGGCAGCTCCTGTTGGGGTGTGGCCGGCAGCTGGCCTCCAGTCATAGAAACACCATGATTGATTTAAATACTAAATTACACACTCAGCGTGGCAAAAGTGCTGCTCCTCCTTATGTGACCTCTTTAAAGCTGAGAGAGTTGTGTGTCTTTCTCCCTTGGAAGCATGGTGTGGGGGGCCCAGGCCCCCTGCAGCAGCCTTGGTGTGCACAGCAGCTGCCTCTAAGTAGTCATGTGGGCCATGCAGCTGAGGACGGCCACAGAAGCGCTTTCTCCTCCAGGTGATCTGGGGTGGGGAATGCTGGCAGCTCTCCAGTGGACAGCGGAGAAACCTCTCTCCCCATCTGCACCCAGCAGGGAGCATGGGAATGATGACCAGCGTTCAGAGGGAACAGCTGGGCCTGGTGGTCATTCCTTGCCTGGGCAGAGGCCGTACACAATATGGCCCATGACTGCTCCAGATGGCTTTCTGCTACTCTCTCTTCTCAGAGGACAAGTCTGATGGCCCAATTTAAATTATAACCTGACTCCAGGATTCTCCCCCTGGTCTTTCCATCCTCCAGCACACTTGAACCTGCAACACAGTATTAAATGTACTTTTCATGCTTATTGTTTATTCTCTATCTCTCCACTAGACTATAAGTCCGCAAGGGCCAGGCTGAGACTTTTGCCAGTTTTGTCCAGAATGTATTCCAAGCGTCTAGAGCAGTGTGGTTGTGTAGTAGGTGCTCAGTAAATATTTGTTAAATGAATGAAGGATTCACCCATATCCTTTAAAACCACCAGGCACTGGTGGATCCCAAATGAAGGATCCACCTGTGTTTGGTGGTTTAAAAACATGTTCAAAATCCTGTGACATTGCTCCTTTTAAAAGTGGAGCTAATTCCCTCTCCCTGAATGTGAGCTGACCCGAGTGACTGACTCTCTTCCAGTGAATAGAATGTGGCAGAAGCCATCCTGTGTGACTTCTGAGGCTGGGTCATAAAAAGGACAGTGTTGGCCTGGCTTGCTGTCCATGGGCTGCTCACGTGGAGGATGTCAGCAGCCTTGTGAGGACACTCAAGAGCCTTCAGAGGCCTTAGTGGGGAGACAGTGAGGCCACGTGAATGAGCCATTTTGGAAGCAGTGCCTCCAGATGACTGCAGCCTTAGCCGACATCTTGACCGTAACCTCATCGGAGTCCCCAAACCAGGCCCACCCAGCGAAGGCACTCCTGAATTCCTGACCCACAGACATCGTGATGATAATAAATATTTAGGATTGTGTTAATCTACTACGTTTTGGGGTTAATTTGTTACACAGCAATAGAGAACGAATAGAATTTCAAAGTCACCTAGTGCATTTGAAATATGACTTGCTTTACAAAAACTTAATACGTGCCCAACTTTATAGCAAAGCACTGTGCAAAGTGAACTACAGCTGCTGATATGGAAATAGAGGTTGTGTAGGTTTGGTGGAAAGAGAACTGGTTTGGGGCTACAAAAAATAAAAAGATTATCATGGTCCCAAATCTGGAGTTTATCTTTGGAATGTTACAAGGGGGGGCAGTGAGTCCCTGGGAGAAGCCTGTGTCTGTGGCAAAGATGATACAGGACTTGCTCCCTAACCCAGTGGTACGTGCTCAGTGAAGACACTTGTCCACCAGTTCAAGCGCCCATTGTTGGTTTATTAATAGTGCTTGCACATGATGCAGTGTGGGGCTGGGGTCTGCACAGCAGCTCCCAAACTCGACATAACAAAGGCTGCAGCTGTTGTTGCTGTCTTCACTTCACTTCAGAGTGACCTTAAATTATATCCCCTAGTGATGAAACAGCCAGAATAGTATACTTGAGGAGGTTAATTAACCCCCTACAGGATATACAAGCTAGAAAATCACCACTTGGAGAGCTGCACAGCCTCCTGAATCCTCATCAGCTCCACACAGCCGCCACGGCTCTGTAGCGCATTTCTATTTAGTGCCACAAATGGTGCCAGACGAGAGGCTCTGGGGGCCTCCTGCCCTTCTGCTACCAAGGATCACCAGCCAAGGCCTGGCTACTTGATCTGGCAGAGATGTTTGGTCCCTACAAGCCACTCCTACACTGACGTCTCTGCCTGCACGCCTCACACAGTGCAGATGTGGCCAGTCTGAATGGCCATTATGGCAATGTAAAGAAATTTGACCCTTATGAGAGAATAATTGGCTTGGCTTTTTTTTTTTTTTTTTTTTTTTTTTTTTTAAGACAGGGTCTTGCTCTGTCACCCAGGCTGAAATACAGTCATGATGGTACCATCATGACTCTGCAGCCTTGACCTTCCAGGCTCAAGCAATCCGCCTGTCTCGGCCTTCCTAGTAGCTGGGACTATATACGTGTACCCTGACGCCCCACACTTGGCTAGTTTTTTTTTATTTTTTATTTTTTGAGACAGGGTCTTGCTCTGTCACCCAGGCTGGAGTGCAGTGGTGCAATGTCAACTCACTGCAACCTCTGCCTCCTGGATTCAAGCTGTCCTCCCCACCTCAGCTTCCCAAGTGGCTAGGACTACAAGCACATACCACCATGCCCAGCTTTTTTTTTAACATTTTTTAAATTTTTTTGTGGAGACGGGGTTTTTCCAGGTTGCCCAGGTTGGTTTCGAACTCTTGAGCTCAAGCAATCCACCCACCTCAGCCTCCCAAAGTGCTGGGATTACAGGCCTGAGCCACCACACCTGCTCTGCTTGGCTAATTTGTTTTGTTTTGTTTTGTTTTGTTTGTAGAGATGGGATGTCACTATGTTGCCCTGTCTGGTCTCAAACTCCTGTGTTCAAGCAATCCTTCCACTTGGCCTCCCAAAGTGTTGGCTTAGCTTTTGACAGGATGATTGGGTTCTCCTTTGGCTCAAATTCTCATCTCTGGAACCCACCAGATTATGGGGGAAAACGCAGGGGGCTTTAGTCACTTTCTGCTCAGGCAATTCCTTCTATCAGCTTTATTTAACGGATGGAAGAAGAGCGACCCAGAAAGGGTGGGTGTTTAGGAGGGCTGTGGTAGGGAAGTCTGAATTTCCTGGAGGCCTTGCCTGCTAGTAATAATAATAGTAGTAGTAAATATTTATTGAGCATTTGCTTTCTGCCAGTGGCTGCTAAGCATTTAACGTCTATTTTCTTGAGACTTGTGACTCCCCTATGAGGTAGGCACTGTTTTATCCCCGTCGAATAGATGAGGAAGCTGAGGTTCAGTACAGTCATTTGCTCAAGGGTAAATGGCTGAAGTAGGGTCTCATTCTAGGTCCACCTACCGAATAACTCATATCTTTAACTAGAATGTGGTCACTGTCATGAACATTGGTGGTTTCTGAGTGGCTGCCTGTGTCCAAGGTTGGTGAACATGTTACATGTCAAGACTGTGATATCCAGACAATGCCTGCCATCAAAGAAGGAAAAGGCAGAAAAACCAAAAAGTAGGCCTGCCCTGAGCCACCCCTCCTTGCTGCAACAAATGTTCATAATGATGGATCCTGGGTTATAACAAAAAAGTTAAATCATGTTCTCTGCTTTAAAATATAGAGAGGTAAATGCTATGTTTTAGAGTGGTTACCTCCCATCCCCAGAAATAATTACAATTTTGGGAAAAGTATTGGTTCTTAAGTGAAAACTTCGGTTATGTATGCCGAACCATAATCCCCAGTGCTGGTGGGTAACCGAGACATTCTAACATTCTAACATACTGGCATACTTTGAGATGATGCAACTTTTCCCATTTTGCATAGGTGGACTAAAAGAAGAGGAACTTCCAGTGTGCCATTAATATGGTTTGGCTGTGTCCCCTCACAAAATCTCATCTTGAACTGTAATAATCCCCACATGTCAAGGGGGGAGCCAGGTGGAGAGAATTGAATCATGGGGGCAGTTCCCCCATGCTATTCTTGTGATAGTGAGTTCTCACGAGATGTGATGGTTTTATAAGGGGCTTTTCCCCATGTGCTTGGCACTCATTCTCTCTCCTGCCGCCCTGTGAAGAGGTGCCTTCCTCTTACCATGATTGTAAGTTTCCTGAGGCCTTCCCAGCCATGTGGAACCGTGAGTCAATTAAACCTCTTTTCTTTATAAATTACCCAGTCTCAGGTATTTCTTCATAGCAGCACGAGAACGGACTAATACAGCTACCACTGGCTCTTCTCTGCTCTGATTAAAACTTATTATGGGCTCCTGCAGGCTCAGCTGTCTGGTTCATATAGACATATCTGAATCTGTATCTTGGAGGAATGATAAAGCAGGGTGTCCTTGGACACCACATCCACACATTGATAAGAATCATGTTTACATTAGTATTAGTAGCCTTTACTGAGTGTCAGCTTTGGGCCCAGGTCCTGCACTAGGCACTTGCACATATTATTTGTTTAATCTTTTTCAGTTGCTCCATTGGGGTAGTATTGTTTTGCTCATTACACAGATAAGAAAACAAATGTTTAGTGAGTTTAAGCAACTCATTCAGGATTACAGAGAAAATCAGTAGTTGAGGAACAGATTTGCTCATAGATTTTTCCAAAATCTACGTCTTTTTCAGACAACCTCATTGCCTTAAGTCATGACAAGCAGGAAGAATACCCTGGTCAGCTGGGTTTCATATATGGGGAGAATTGAGAACTACTTCTGTGAATATAATATTATAAAGTTATGTTGATTTTTCTTTAAACCCACGCATATGTAATCTATTCACTCAGAATGAGAGCTGTCCTTTTACAGTCATCTTGGAAGACTAACATCTCTCAAATATTATCTAAATGCTTGCAGTTTCTCTTCGAAAATAGCATTTACAACTAGTTTACACTCCCCTCCACTCTTACTTTCCTTTGGCTTCAGCCAGGTTTGACCAAATACTGTAATGATAATTCCCAGCTTGATCACATACTTTGGCCATCAGATTTATTTTCAAATAATTTCAATTGTTTCCAAATAATGAAATCCACTCAAGGAAGAAGATTTGGCACTAAGGAGAATTTCTTCATAAAATCCGTAGCAGGCTCTAGGGGTGTTTTTAAAATGTAGTGAGTATGGCAGCATAGAAGGGAGAAAAAAACACCACTTGAGTGTGTGAACTCTGATGCATTTGTTCAAATAATGAATAAAGTCAGTCCTACTATCTGAAGTCACCCAGCATGTTGTACTAACCCCTCCTGGGCTCAGCCTTCTTCCCTTACACTTTGTTGACTGCCATGGGTTTCTCAGTTGAGATGGAATTCAGAAGCCCATGAATGAGACTGTGTCTCATTTGGCACAACAGTCATTGCAAAGGACAGGATTTCATGATACCCTAGTATCTTGATTCTCTTGTGAAGACAAACCCTCCTTCGATATTCATAGAATCACTCCTCCTCTGAAGGGCTTTTCATAGCCTTCTGATTTGGATGTAGGAACATTGGAATGGGGGATGGGTGAGAGAAACATGGGCTTAAAAGAACTCTATTGTTAGGGGTTTGAGGTTTTCCTTAGATTAGGTGAGAGTAGAAAGAATAACGGAAGAGGAAGAGGTAAGTGTAGCCAAGAGAATGGATGCTGTGATAAATGTTTGTAGTATCTTCTTTTTGTCCTCCCATTGGTTCTGCCATCATGGGGCTTGAATTATCTCTGGGTGGTGTAGGCTTTGGTGTTGAGAAGCTAATTTTTCTTGGTGCTTCTCTTAACTTCAACAGATCAAACCTTGATTCTGTCACTTACAATCCATAGGCATTTTCTCTACCCCTCACATCTAGAATGGAGCCAAGAACTATCTAATACCATGGTAGTAAACCAGCTCAAGGTTGGTTCGAACTTGATGTCACTAAAACTAGGGACTATTCAACTGGTAATTAGGATAGCATCAGCATTCAGCATCATTATCAAACAACATACATTTATTTATTTATTTATTTGAAACAGGGTCTTGTTCTGTTGCTCAGGCTGGAAGGCAGTGGCATGATCATAGCTCATTGCAACCTCAAACTCCAGGGCTCAAGTGATCCACCTGCTTCAGCTTTCTGACTGGCTAGGACTACAGGTGGCACTACTATGCCTGGCTAATTTATTTTTTATTTTGTAGAATGGAGTCTTGCTATATTGCCCTGTCTTCAAGCAGTCCTCCCATTCTGACATCTCAAAGTGCTAGGATTGAGCTGTACATGGTGGCTTACACCTATAATCCCAGCACTTTGGGAGCCCGAGGTGAGTGGATCACTTGAGTCCAGGAGTTCGAGACCAGCCTGGCCAACATGGTGAAAACCCATCTCTATTAAAAATACAATAATTAGCCAGGGGTGGTGGTGCACATCTGTAATCCCAGCTACTTGGGAAGCTGAGGCACGAGAATCACTTGAACCCAGCAGGCAGAGGTTGTAGCGAGCTGAGATCGTGCCACTGAACTCCAGCCTGGGCAACAGAGCGAGACTCTGTCTCAAATTTAAAAAAAAAAAAAAGAATATTTTAAAAAGTGCTAAAATTACAAGGATGAACCACCATGCCTGACCAGCATTTATTGAGACACCAATGAGCAGATAACATTGTGCCACCTGTGAGGCATTAAGAAATCATACTCATGACTGGGCTCAGTGGCTCATGCCTGTAATCCTAGCACTTTGGAAGGCCGAGACCAGCGGATCACGAGGTCAGGAGATCGAGACCATCCTGGCTAACACAGTGAAACCCTGTCTCTACTAAAAATACAAAAAAATTAGCTGGGCATGGTGGCAGTCACCTGTAGTCCCAGCTACTCGGGAGGCTGAGGCAGGTGAACAGCAGGAACCTGGGAGGCAGAGCTTGCAGTGATCCAAGATCATGCCACTGCACTCCAGCCTGGGCTACAGAGCAAGACTCCGTCTCAAAAAAGAAACAAAAAAAAAAAAAAACAAAAAAAGAAATCATACTCATTAATTTATTATATTCTTTTTTTTTTTTTGATATAGGGTCTCACTCTGTTGCCCAGGCTGGAGTGCAGTGGCATAATCACAGCTCACTGCAGCCTTGACCTCTTGGGCTCAGGTGATCCTCTCATCTCAACCTCCCCAGTAGCTGGGAATATTAGCATGTGCCACCACCACCAGCTAATTTTTTGTGTTTTTTGTAGAGACGAGGTTTTGCCATTGATATGGTTTGGCTCTGTGTTCCCACCCAAATCTCATGTTGAATTGTAATTCCCACATGTTGGAGAAGGGACCTGGTGGGAGGTGACTGAATCATGGGGGTGGACTTCCCCCTTGCTGCTCTCGTGATAACAAATGAGTTCTCATGAGATCTGGTTGTTTTAAAAGTGTGTAGCACTTCCCCTTTGCCCTTCTGCCATTATTGTAAGTTTCCTGAGGCCTCCTAACCATGCTTCCTGTACAGACTATGGAACTGTGAGTCAATTAAACCTCTTTTTTCCATAAATTACCCAGTCTCAGGTAGTTCTTTGTAGTAATGTGAGAATGGACTAATGTTGCCCAGGTTGGAATTTATTATGGTCTATTTAAACAAGAGATCCTAAAACTTTAGCACAAATAACAATTACTTATTTGAAATGCACACAACTCAGCCTCATCCCTTGAAATTCAGGCCCTTGGTGAGCCTGAGCATCTTCAGGATTCCACAGTTGATTCTGATTCATACCTAAGTCCGAGAACCAGTGGTCTTTGTGGAGTACTGGGAGCCTGTGGAGCCTGTGGAGAAAACTCAGGAACTCGCCGCAGCCTCCGCCTCTGGGTTCAATGAAAAGAAATAATATGAAAAGAAATGATAATTGAAAAATAAAATTAATACATCTTTACTCCCATTATGTATTCTTTTTTCACCTAAGGGAGAATCAATATTTGTTGAGCATTTGAAATGCATTTAGTGCATTGCATACTGTATCAGTCAAAATCCAATTAGGAAAAATGGAAATCATGCCAGGTACTTCAACCAGAGGGTATTTAATACAGTAAATGGATTTCACAGGTGTTGGAACAACCAAAAAGGGGCAGGGAGATTAGTAAGTACAGGAAGCCATCTTAGAGCTGGAAGAGCAACAGGAATGAGGCCCAATTAGAACCTAGGAATACAGAAGTAGGGTCAACATCTTAGGAGCTGGGCTGCTGCACAGCCATCGGGTATCTGGTACTGGCACTGCCAAGGGGGCACTGTGTGGCTGGTGATGGGAGAGTAGCTTAACCCTGATGCTAATTGTGTCAAAAGATACTAGAGTTATAGCCATCTAAAAGGAGGTGGAAGGAGGAAGAGTCCTTTCTTCTCTCCTCCTGCCTTCTAATCTCCCAGCTGTGCCTCCCAGTTGCAGACCCTAACTGGAAAGAGGCCAGCAAGGGAATTTGGAAAATGTAATTTTCAGACTCCAAGCCCCCAGCAGTCCAAATTGGAATATAGAAAGGTATGCACAGAACTGAGAGAGAATAGATAATGGCAAGCACACAGTCCATTTATTTAATACTCTGCAACACTGTCACTAGTAAGAACAGCCAAAGTTCAAACCAGAAAGTCAAATACCAGAATCTTTGTTCTTCCCATTGCAGCAAGTTTTAAACACTTTAACTCAGTTTACATTTATACTTTGTCCTTGACTTTTTTTCCCTCTTAACATTTATTTACACTGCCAGATCTTATGCTAAGTGCTTAGATTATACTTATCCTATTTAATTTTTAAAACAGTGCAGGTAACATTGATGGAAAATTGCCCAGTAAACAATTGAATGAGAAAACTGATTTCTTGAATTGTGAAATGTGTGTGTGTATGCGCCATAGGAAAGATTAAATATGCAGAAAATACCATAACGAAATAAGAATATTGTCCTAAATTATTCAGCTTACTATTTTAATCAAATTCAACTTACTTCAGAGTGTAATTGTTAAACACTACAATTGTGCTCAGCACTGGGCTAGAAACCATAGAGCATACAAGCAAACCATACAATGAGGACCCTGTTCTCCAGAAACTTGCTGCTTAGGTCTGAAATGAAGACGTAACTACATAGAATAGCATGTGTGTAAGGAAAACTTCAAGGCCAAGGAATGTTATGGAGAAGGTCATTGTGAGCTGGGGTTGTCAGGGAAGGTTTTGAGGAACAGATGAGATCTGAGGGAATGATAAAGGCAGGATGGGTATGGAGAAGTAGATAGAACATTCTATGTTATGAAGAGCTTGAGTAAAGGCTTAGAGGTGGGGCATTAACACATCATTTTGAATGACAGCAAAGAGATTGGGGAGATTGGTGAGAAAAAGAACACTGATTTGGCTGTGGGCATGAATCCTGTGTCTTTCCCAATGTCCATCCTCCCCTTTTTCTACAATGATAGAAGTTAAAGCTGGGCACACAACCAGCTTCCCTTGCAGCTGGATGTGACAGTGTAGCTCGATTCTGGCTCATGGGGTATCAGCAGTAGTGAAGTGTGAAATTCCCAGGTCGTGTTCTTAAAATGAAATAGAATTGTCTCTCATGGTGTCTCTTTCCCCTTTTCTGCTGGTCAGAGTGTGGAAGTGGTGTTAGCCATCTTGGACTGTGTGGGTAAGGACAGAATCCTAGGGTGAGCAGAAAAACCATCTGGAAGAAGCCTAGATCCCTGACATTGACAAAGTGTCCTACCAGTTCTGGACTAACCACACTGAGAGATAAGTGAGAGGGAGGATTTGATCTGAGAGCATGGGGGAGTCATTTGCTGTCAGGCATCCACAGCACTGAATTGGAGATTGTGGCATTTGTGCCATGTGACATAGAGCTAGTTTCTCCAAATGTAACCTTACCTTATCTACACATTTGCATAATTGCTACTAGGAATATCTTTTGCAAAGACCTTTTAGAGAATGGGTACAGCAGTGGGAAGAGTGATTTTCTTTCCATATGTCAGGCAGGGACAGACACTCAAGACTTTGGCCAGCCATGTTCTGAAAGAATCAAGGACTCGCTGCAAACCCAGAAAGCTGCTATGAGATCTTACAGTTGGTGTGGGGGAGGTATTAAAAACACTAATATTTCTGGAATGGAAGCTTTAATTGAATGCAAGAAAGATACCATAACTTAGAACAAATTGCTTTTGAAATCAAATACATCTTTTGCAAATGACCTGACCTGGGTTTTTGGTTGGCTCTTTTCACAATAATCCCCATTAAAGGATGAGTTATTGCATGGGCTCCAAATCTGCAACCTCTTTCTTTTCCCTTGGCAATAAGCAAAGGATCCTAGAATCAGACACGTGGAGGACAGGACAGAATTAATGGTTTTCAGGCTCTGGGTTCTTTCATGCTGGAGGTTTGTGTCTTTTTTTTTTTTGAAAATTGAGTGAAATTTACATAACATTAAATCAACCATTTTAAAGTGAACAGTTTAGTGGCATATAGTACATCCACTATGTTGTGTAACCATCACCTCTATCTAGCTCTAAAACAGTTTCATCACCCCAAAAGAAAACCCTGTACCCATTAAGCAGTTACTCCTTATTCTCCCCTCCCCCAGCCCCTGGCTATCACCAATCTGCTTTCCATGTCTATGGATTTACTTACTTTGGATAGTTTATATAAATGGAATCATACAATATGGGACTTTCAGTGGGTGCCTTCTTTCACTTAGTGTCATGTTTTGAAGGTTCATCCAAGTTGTAGCATGTATCAGTACTTCATTCCATTTCATGGCCGAATAATATTCTGTTGAGTGTACATACCGACTTTTGCTTATCCATTAGTCTGTTCGTGGACATTTGAGTTGTGTCCACCTTTTGGCTATTACGAGAAGTGCTGCTATGAACATGTACAAGTATTTGGGTACTAAGTGTCATTTCTTTTTTTCTTTCTTTTTTTTCTTTAGATGGAGTTTTGCTTTTGTCACCCAGGCTGGAGTGCAATGGTGCAATCTCAGGTCACCGCAGCCTCCGCCTCCTGGGTTCAAGAGATTCTCCTGCCTCAGCCTCCCAATTAGCTGGGATTATAGGTGCCCCCCTCGACCAAAAATACTTAAAAAATTTTGTATTTTTAGTAAAGACAGGGCTTCACCGTGTTGGCCAAGCTGGTCTCGAACTCCTGACCTCAGGTGATCCTCCTGTCTCGGCTTCCCAAAGTGCTGGGATTACAGGTGAGCCACCGTGCCCAGCCTCAGGTGTCATTTCTAATGAATTTCAAACTTGGGACTCCCACAGGGGAGAATTAGGAGCATCTAAAAATCCCAGTTCTTATTCTTCTTCAACCTGTAGGAGAAGAACATTGCATGGGTCCAGCTCTCGCCATTCCTGCAGATGTGGAACGAAGTGATCTGAGCATGAGGTTGGCAGAGCTTTGGACCCCGGCTCCCTCCTAGCTGCTGTCACTTCCTTTCTTTGAGAGTCCAGGCTGGCCTGCTGTTGACTCAGGCCAGCAGCCACACTTTTTCCTTTATCTGTGGTGCCCTGTCTACCAGGTTGTTTTTTCATTGTTCTTCTTTGCAGTTGGCTCAAGGTCAATTGTCCTTACATATTCTGTTTAAAATTTATTTTTATTTTTAATTTTTTTGAATATTATTTTTAATTTTAATTTTTAAAAAAAATAGAGGCAGGGTCTTGCTTTGCAGGCCAGGCTGATCTCCTGGCTTCAAGCACTCCTCCTGCCTTGACTTCTGAAAGTGCTAGAATTATATATGTGAGCCACTGCACCTGGCCACCTCACACATCCTGAAAGGTGCCTTCCTGGTTCATATTGGAAAAACACAATTTCTAAGGTTAGAGCAGAAGAGACCCCAGGCCTCCTGATGGGAGACAGAGGACAACTAAGAAATGGACCACTTCTCCTAAAATAATCATAGCTATTATTTAGGAGGCACTGACTGAAAGCTAGACACTACCTTATTTAATTGAACTACCCTATGAAGCAGACACTGTTATTCCCATTTTATAGATGAGGAAGTCAAGGCTAAGAAATAATACATACTTCTCTAAGTTTACTGAGCTAGTAAATGGTGAGGCCAGGGATCAAACTCAGGCAGTGTGACTCCATGCTGGGACACTCAGTCTCAACTCCCACAAGGGATCTACTGCGAGCTGGGCCTGGGAAGCAAGGGCTCTGGCTGGGAATGGATTCTGGGGACCAGATGGGTGATACTGGAGAGGATCCAGTGAGCCGAGAGAGGAAGGTGGTGCAGCAGCAAACTGGAGCAGAAGGCCAGGCTGGGCCCATCAGGGGGAAAGAGCGGTGCTGGATCTGACTGGCTCCAGCACAGAGCACTGCACACAGCACAGCTCACCAGATGGTTCGTTTGTTGATAAGGATTGACCTGGACCAAGGGATGCTGGGGACAATCGGCTTTGAAACTGCATCCTCTGCTCATCATAGTATAATAAGCAACTAATACGATGCGGTGGCACATGGTGGGTGCTCAATAAAGACCTGTTGAAGGGATAAATTAACACATGCGGCTTCTATATGTCATTGTCGCTCTATATAGCTTCTATTTGCATATAGCTTCTCTCTCTGTGCAGCTTCTATACAGTGAGGACACTGCATTTGCTTTGCCTCTGGCCGCTTGATAGCTTTTATGTTACTACTCTCAAGAGCCTGGATCCATAGTGTCTCAGACAACTTTAAAGGGCCACCAATAGTGTGTATTAGTTTCCTGAGGTTGCTGTAACAAATTAACACACATGTGGTGGCTTCACAGAAATTCATTCTCTTTCAGTTCTGGAGGCCAGAAGTCTGAAATCAAAGGTGTCTAAGGCTCTAGGGAATCCCTTGCCCCTTCCAGCTTCTGGTGGCTCTGGGAATTCCTTGGTTTGTGATGGCATACCTCCCATCTCTGTCTCTATCTTCACAAGGTCATCTTCTCTGCCTCAAGTGTCCCTCTGTCTTTCCCTTACAAGGAAGCTTTTCACTGGATTTAGGGTCTGCCTAGATGTCAGGATTATCTCACTTTGAGATTCTTAACTTAATTACATTTGCAAAGACTCTTTGGCTAAATAATGCAACATTTGCAGGTTGTGGGGGTTAGGGTATGAGCATACCTTTTGGGGGTCACTATTAAACCTACTACACAGGCCCTGAAGCCCTAGACAGAGGAGCCACTAGTACCAGTGGGGTTGAACTTCCTCTATGTTCAATGCTTGCCCTCTTATGGTTGTTGCAGAGTGGGCTGCCTGCCCCAGAACTCTCCCCTGTAACCACTTTGTAAACCTATGAAGAAGAGTGACAGACAGGCGTGAAGAGAAGAAAGTCCAGAGACCCTGGGCTGATGGCTGGGTCCCCATAAGGGTAGTTCAGCTAGGCAAGGTCACAGTGAGCTATCTTGGCACATTTAGGAATGCAATAAAAATTCCTAGAGCAGTCTGGAGGCAGCACAGGTGGCAAGGTTCCCTAGAGAGCAGAGAGGGTCATTAGAGGAGCAGGACAGGGGAGTAAGAGTAATAAGGCTCAGCTTGGATTCCCCTAGCCGCCCTTCTGTGTGGCCACTCTGAAGCCATGTTTTCCTTTACCTTCTCCCGGTACCAGCCTTGTTTTCCAGCTGAAAACTCTGGGCCCTCAACTTGCTGGCTCCTAAGACCCAGGCTATAGTCCTGGGAACATGTGATGGTTAATTTTATGTGTTAACTTGGCTGGGCCAAGGTGCCCAGAACAAACTTGGTTCTGGACGTTTTGGGGAGGGTTTTTTGGGGAGGATGAGTTTCACATTAAAATCTATGGACTTTGAGAAAAGCAGATCACAGAAGCTCAGCAGGGTCGGGCCTGGTTAGCACTTGGATGGGAGAAAAGCAGATCACCCTCCATAATGTGTGTGGGCTTCATCCAATGGGTTGAAGGCCTGAACGGAACAGAAGGCTGACCTTCCCTCCTGCCACCAGCAAGAAGAGAATTCTCACTTGAACAGCAACATTGCAACATCTCCCTCCTGTAGCTCCCGCCTGCTGGCCGGTCCCACAATTTTGGGTTTGCCAGCCCCTGCAGTCTCTTAAGTCAATTCCTTAAAATAAATTCTCTCTCTCTCTCTGTTTCTCTCTCTCTGTATTCGTCCTATTGGCCCTGTTTCTCTGGGGAACCCTGACTAATACAGATCGTTTCCACCTTCCCAGTCTAGGCAGCAGCCTTCGCAAGAGCGGGAACAGCCTCTCTTCTGGGCTGTGTACTTACCTTACGCACCTTCCCTCTGCCTCTGATCTCTATCCAGACCCCACCTTCAAGTTCAGAAGATTGGCTTTTAACATGGATAAGAAACTCATTTGGGGTCTCTAGTATGCTTCTCTTTGTTTCAAACAACTGATTACAATTTTACCCCAGTCAGGAGCCATCCCACCCACTGGCTCAATAGGATTCATGGAGGGGAAACATTTGCATGATGGGGAATGTCAGGGGAACAGAATAATGGTACCAGCCCAGCTGGGGGGCAGAGGGGTCAGCCAGGCTGAGTCAGCCAGGATGGCGGCACCAATGCAAGTGAACACAGAGATGCAGCTGTGGGCGACAGCTCATCAGGCTCTCCCAGCAAGCAAGGCGCTGAGGCCAGGGCGGAGCAGAGCCCAGGAACGTCAGGGTCATGTGGATAAAGACCTGCCTTGCAGGAACCAGAAAGAGGTCATGAACCAGGGGGTATGAAGAGACAGGAGCAGGGGGCCTGACAAATTTTACTGACAAGGGGAATTGTTTCAGCTGCCTTTTAGTCCTGTTTTTGCCACTCACTTAAAGGGAAGTCACCATGTGGTGGTAGGAAACCTTGTTGTCAGTGCTGGGAGAAAAGCCCTTTGACAGTCTGGCACAGGGAAACGCAGGAATCGTTTTTCTCACCTGCAGGGTGAAGTTATCTTTTCTACAACCCTGGAGGGACACAGCGGCACCCTGCAGGCTAGACAGAGGCGCTCTGCGCAGCACAGCAGAGCCTCATGCTGTGCATTTAAAGCATATCCAGACTTTCGAAATCTAGGAAAAAATTGTGGCTGGTTTTGAAATTTACTGGGTGTCCTGGCTAGCTCCACCCTCTGCCTTCATCTTTAACGAGGCTGTTTTATAACTCTGTAGAGATAGATATTTGCCTGTAGGAAACTAATGGTCATAATCCCTGTCCATAGGAATGTAAATTGTGTCCAGTGGAATGCAGCTGATGATCACCCTGTGGACAGTGAACAGTTTTGCCAGTTTTTCAGCCATTTGTCAATGCATTTCAGCATTCCTCATCTGACTATAAATGTGAGGAATTTTGAGTTCTCTTTTGAACTCTCTTTTGTAATAGCTACAACATCACCTGCTTTAAATGCTGGGTTCCCTTGTTAATTAATGAGTTAAATAAAAAATCTTTGACATGTGATCATTTTATATTTGTATGAAAGTAATGATTTTACCTTTTTATTACATATACTTTTTAAAAATAAGGTTCTTTCGGCTAATAATTTTTATTTATTTATTTATTTTTGAGATGTGCTCTTGCTGTGTCACCCAGGCTGCAGTGCAGTGATGCAATCGTAGCTCAGTGTAACCGTTAGCTCCAGGGATCCTCCTGCTTCAGCCTCCCAAGTAGGTGGGATTACAAGTGTGTGCCACCACACTTGGCTTACCTTATTATTTATTTATTTATTTTTGAGATGGAGTCTCAATCTGTCACAAGGCTGGAGTGCAGTGGCACGATCTTGGCTCACTGCAACCTCCGCCTCCGGGGTTCAAGCGCTTCTCCCGCCCCAGACTCCCAACTAGCTGGGATTATAGGTGCACCACCATGCCTGGCTAATTTTTTAAAAAATTTTTATTAGAGATGCGGTTTCTCCATGTTGGCCAGGCTGGTCTTGAACTCCTGACCTCAAGTGATCCGCCCATGTCGGCCTCCCAAAGTGCTGGGATTACAGGCATGAGCCACCACACCTAGCCTATTTTTTTTAAAGTTATCCCTTAACAGAGGCTGACCATTCTCAAACACACTCCCAAAATTAGACTGCTTTGTCTAGTTTAATTTCCTCCACAACAAATACTGTACATTAACATGTATTAAGATCATATAATTGAGGTTTATAGGTGCACAGAATGAGACTAAACCTTGCAAACAAATAGAAATACTTTCAAAATGTCCTCCCCTCCCTTATCTTGAAGGGAGAATATTGAAAAGGCCCAACCATGTGCATATAAACTTGCCTTTCCCCTTCTTTAGGCCTAGCTGAACTCTGAGATACATCAGAAGTACTGTATAGAATTTTATACTTAGCGCTGGGAATGTTATTTATGAAAAAGATTTAAAAGACTTACTGTATTTTAAGAAAGGACGGTGGTAATGTTGACAGTATAAAGATTTTTGACTCCCATGATTCTGAAACTACCAACTGCCTCCTTCTCCCCCTAAAGATGACTGCACTGTACTTGCATTCAGCACCAAGGTGCCTGGGCTCCTACAACTGTCGGTTGCTTTGACTTCACATTGCATCTCCCTTGAAAGGCAGGTCTCAGGTGACCGAGGCCTTAAAAATCTGTACCATTCAGTGACAGTGCCTACACAATATTGAGCAGCTACCACTTCAATCAAGTTCCAAAACATTTTCATCTTCTAAAAAGAAAACCTCGTACCCATTAAGCAGTTGCTCCCCATTCTGCCCTTCCCTGGCAACCACCAATCTACTTTCTGTCTTTATGCATTTACCTATTCTGCATATTTTATGTAAATAGAATCGTATCCTATGACTCAGCAATTCCACTCCTAGGTTATACTCCAAATAATTGAAAACAGGTATTCAAGCAGATACTTGTACACAGATGTTCATAGTGGCTGTAACTGTTAAGTTTGTCCTGGTTTTCCCTAGGCACTCTGCCTGCTTCTTCGTGCTTCCACAGGTAAATCTTTCTTCCTCTGAGCTGGAAAGGCAAAAGCCAAAATAAGGGTGTGGACAGGAGCAGCACCCAGTTACCCCTGTCAGGGTTCTACCTCCTGAGCATGACAGTCCCAGGGATGGGTGAATGCTGTCCACTTAGGGGTACTGACGTGATGAGGCAAACATACCCAAAAAGGAGAGGTCTAGGAGACACCGTCAGGTGATTTACTGAATTCAGAAGACTGGCAGTGCCTGCCGTGGCAGCCACGGAAGTGGGACTTGTCCAGGGTCCCTCCAGCTCAGAGGTGAATGCTGCAGGGAAGCTTGTTATATAAGCCAGCTGGATTTCCCGCTTAAGGCAAAAAATGTGCATGAGAACCTTCCTAGGGGTGGGGGGCATGGTTCTTGTGGTCATCCTGGTCACTACCAGGAATAAGCCTGAGGCTGGGCGACCCACGGGTAAGGCAGATTTGTTTTTAAATCTGAACCCAGCGCATGAATTGCAAAGCATTTTATTCTAACTGTCTGTGGGCTCAGGGGCTTTTGGCATTATAGTCCTTGGTTTGCAAATGAAGAAACTGGAGCTGAGGCCTTTTCCAGTATTTTCTTCCTTGCTCTCATTTCCGGCAATCATTATAAAGTGCACTCATTATCCTTACAATGGTTTGGAGATTAAAGCTTAATTTGGTTTGTTATTTCTGTGGCTTTGCCTAATAACATTTGTACCTGTACCAGCCCCACTAGGCTGTAAAGCCAACAGCTCCTTAAATCACCAGGGGCTGCAGTTTGCATCCTCAACTTTGTTCCTATTGGTCTGGCCAGAAGCAGTTTTCATGAGAACATTTTAATGGGTCACCAGGGTTTTCTGTGGGGACAGCTGCCTCTGTAACAGGCAAAATGGGACTTTCCGAAGAGAAAAGCTGGCCTGCAGGAAGAATGATCAGGCTCAGATTCTAAAATGCAGTAGTTGAATCATTTGCACCCTTTGTTGAAAGCAAATGAGAATGAAGCCACTCTCCTATTCAGGTGAGGTACCCTAATGTACTGTTGGGAACTAGGCAGATCTGCGTTCAAATCCTGACTCTGCCAGCTTTCTATGTGTTATTAGGACAGGTCTCTAAACTCCCTGCACATCAGTGTACCCAACTATCGAGTATGGTGATAAAACTAGAGTTACTGTACAATTCAATGAGATAATTTTTGTAAGTAGCTAATACGTAAAAGGTGTTCAAGGATGACAGCATTATTATTCATTTAGTACTAATAGCTGCCTCCAGTCTAAAACTGGCCAAAAAAGATCAGGCAATTTGGGGATTTTTGCAATCTTAGAAGATGTGGCTTATGGGACATCAGGCCTAAGAGAGCTTTCCAGATCTCAACTTGGCAGTGATCTGGGGTTCTCTCCTATAATAGTGAGCCCTCTACTCATCCAGCCATGTGGTTTATTTAATCATTCGGAGGCTTAGCCAAGTTAAAGCAGTATTTTCAGATCCACAATTCTTGGGGGGACAGTGTCTAGAGAAGCCACAGGGTGAGTAGAATGGGATAGGAGAGTGGGGAAAGAACAATCTTTTTTTCTTCTTCTTCTTTATTGCATTTAAAGTTCTTTTGGGTCTATGTGAGTTATCCAGATACTTTTCTGTGTCAGTCATTCAACAGATGTCAACTGGGCACCTGTCCTGTGATTGGCTGCTATTCCAGTACCTCCTAATACACACATTCCTACCTCCTTTCTTCCTGCTATCTTAGGAAGATCACTATAAAACACTATTTCCTTCCTAAGAAGAGGAAGGGGTATAGGGAACAGCTGGAGGACAGTGTGAACAAAGAAGGTGTCTGAGAGGGGGAAGACAGACAGGTTCAGAAAGGAGATGGGAGAATAAAGAGAGATGGCACCTGTTTATCAAAAATGCCGGCTGCCATGGGGCACCCTTCTCTCCCTAAGCCTGTGCTGTGGAAATCACCCCCATGGTAGCTCTGCCATGAAGGCAAAGGTGATGGAAGTCTAGCTGAATAACTCTGGCCAGAATTTCTTAAGGGTTTAGAAAATTGCACGTTGCACGTGTACATGTGTGTGCGTGTTGCAACCTTTCTCTGTCCTCTGGCATAAGAGATGCTTCCCTTTAGCCCTACTACCCTTAAGTTTCCTTTGCACAAACTGTCCCTTGGTCAGGCTCAGGGGACTCTGGAGAGATGTGGCGCTGCCACAAAAAGCACAGCCAGAGGCCCAAGGGGGCCTGGGAGGCACCAGGCAAAGAAAAAGACAAATCTGAGGAAGAAGGGAGTCGGTGCCTTCCTGCCTGGCTTGTTTGTTATTACAGCTTAGGAAGGAGGAATGTGCAAGCTGTTCTGTTATGGCAGAAACCATGCCTGCTCAATTCTTCCCCCTCTTTTCCTTTCTCTCCAGCATTCTCCTCCCTCAATTCCCCAATAGCCCAAGACAAATTCCAGCTACCAACAATGCCCTTATATTCTCAGCAAGTGAGAAGAGAATTGCTAATACCCTCTGGGTAATTCGTTTAATTAAAGCTCAGGACATATGTTGGTTCCTGGTATAGGTGAAGACATGGGGAAAAAAAAAGAGAGAGGTCAAGTGAGTTAATTACCCATGGCCAGATCTGTAAGTCTCCTGATTTCTCATATCTTTTCTTCACCGAAGAAAGGAGTGAAATGGAGAATGGTGGCTAGATTGTCAGTTCTGCTCAGCAGCACACATGCAAAAGTTCTGGATTGATTGTGGTGCACAGTGTGAAGCAAAATGCTTGACATATCTTTTTACATGTTACATTCCTACTTGATTAAAATGGCAATTTAATTTATGCCGCCTTTGTTGTTTTTTCAACCTTTTTTTTTTTTTTTTGAGACGAGTCTTGCTCTGTCGCCCAGGCTGGAGTGCAGTGGCGCCATCTCTGCTCACCGCAAGCTCCGCCTCCCGGCTTCACGCCATTCTCCTGCCTCAGCCTCCCGAGTAGCTGGGACTACAGGCGCCCGCCACCACGCCCCGCTAACTTTTTTGTATTTTTAGTAGAGATGGGGTTTCATCGTGTTCGCCAGGATAGTCTCGATCTCCTGACCTCGTGATCCACCCACCTCAGCCTCCCAAAGTGGTGGGATTACAGGCGTGAGCCACCGCGCTCGGCCTTGTTTTTGCAACTTAACCAGACCCGCTGCCTCACTGCGTCAGCCCCTAGAAAATAAGCTTCTGAGACTTTGGAAGCGGGTCCTGCTGTTATACTGTGATTATTTCTACGGCATCAACCATTAAAGGGAAGGAAGTTGGTCATCCAGTTGGGTACAGTATTTAGTACTGAGATGTGTTTAATATTATTCATGGATGTCTTCAGACATTCAAGAGAAAGGGCTGTGCGAAACCATACAGTTATGCCCGGTGTAATCCTCCCGATACCCCCTGCCCCAAGAACACCTGGAATCTGCCAGTTTTGAAATTTCTGTATACCCATAGATTCAATGTGATGTTTTCTAAATCTCGAAGTATGACTTTTTAAATGATGAGATACATAGTTGTAGTACTATATCATACTTATAAATACCCCCCCTTTTTTTTTGAAACTGAGTATCGCTTTTGTCGCCCAGGCTGGAGTGCTGGAGTGCAGTGGCGCGATCTTGGCTCACTGCAACCTCCGCCTCCCGAGTTCAAGTAATTCTCCTACCTCAGCCTCCCAAGTAGCTGGGATTACAGGTGCCCACCACCATCCCTGGATAATTTTTGTATTTTTAGTAGAGATGGGGTTTCACCATATTGGCCAAGCTGGTCTTGAACTCCTACTTCAGGTGATCTGCCTGCCTTGGCCTCCCAAAGTGCTGGGATTACAGGTGTGAGCCACTGTGCCTGGCCTAAATACACGTTTTAAAGCCTTCATTCACTGATTCGCTAGGCAGCTGTTGAATGCCTGTTCTATGCAGGTACTGCTGTTGGTGCAGAAGACACAAACTTACATCCTTCTGGGTCACTCTCTTCGTCTCTTCTTTAGCCAGTCAGCCTCCTGGTAACACCTTGCACCTTGATATTCTATCAGAGATACTTGATGAAAAAGTGGCCCCTGGAAACTCTAGACTTTAATCTATTGGCTTGTCAACCCCATGGAAATAGACTGTCTGCTCTCTAATGGGTCCAGCAAAAGCTTGGGTGTGATTCTTATGGGTTGGCCCAGTTTGGGTCACATGAACACACCTGACCTGTCTCTGTGGCTGGCGGTTGGTGGGCTCTGCTTGGATATGTTTGGGTTAAATGTCTACACTGAGAGGTTAAGGGGGTTATTTTCTCACAACTACATGGTTTTCTGAAAGGGTAGCTCTTTCAGAAACAATATAACAAGATAGGTAGGATGGTCAGGGAAAAAAACCCAACCAAACACAAATCCCAGCAGATGGCTGCTGCCCAGCCCAAACCTCCCTTATGAGGACCAGACTTCGATCTTGCAGTTGCTTACTCGGTGTCTCCACCTGGATGCTCCACACACACCTCCAGGTTACCATATTGAAATCTGACTCATCTTTCTCCACAAATGTATGTCTTTCCTTGTGTAGCTTATCTTGGTGAAGCATACAGCAATCCTCCCAACTGCTCAAGCCAGGACCTGCTCGTTGACTGATAGGCCTCAATCCTCCTCTCTCCTGGTCAGTGTGTCATCAGGCCTCAAACATTTCTTGTCTTTGTTCTTCTCTAGCCTTACTGCCACCTCCTCGGTTCAGATCATCACCATTTCTTCCCAGATGGCTGCAGTGGCCTCCTAACCAGTTTTCTTCTCTGTAACCTTGCCCCTTTCCAGTCCATGTGGATCTTTCTATAATTTAAATAGGACCATGTCCACTCACCTGTTTTAAACCACTCAATGACTACCCGGTGCCTTCAGGATAAAATGCAAGCTTTTAAAACTCGGCGTACAAAGAAAGCCTTTCCTTCTTTCTTTCCTTCCTTCCTTCCTTCCTTCCATCCTCCCTCCCCCCCTCCTTCTTTCCTTCTCTCTTTTCTTGCATCTCCTTCCTTCCTTCCCTCCTTCCTTCTCTTTCTTTTTCTTTCTCTCTCTTGCTTTCTTTCCTTTCTTTCTTTTTCTTTCTTTCTTTCCTTCCTTCCTTCTTTCTTTCTTTTCTTTCTCCTTCCTTTCTTCCTTCCTTCTTTCCTTCCTTCCTTCCTTCCTTCCTTCCTCCCTCCCTCCCTCCCTCCCTCTCTCTCTCTTTCTCTTTTTTTCTTTTGGAGTCTTGCTCTGTTGCCTAGGCTGGAGTGCAATGGCACCATCTCAGCTCACTACAACCTCTGCCTCCTGGGTTCAAGCGATTCTCCTGCCTCAGCCTCCTGAGTAGCTAGGATTATAGGCATGTGCCACCAAGCCTGGCTAATTTTTGTATTTTCAGAAGGGATAGGGTTTCGCCATGTTGGCCAGGCTAGTCTTGGACTCCTGACCTCAGGTGATTTGCCCACCTTGGCCTCTGAAAGTACTGGGATTACAGGCGTGAGCCACCATGGCTGGTCTCTTTCTTTTTTGAGACAGGGCCTGGCTCTGTCACCCAGGCTGGAGTGCAGTGGAAAAATCTCAGCTCACTGCAAGCTCTGCCTCCCGGGTTCACACCATTCTCCTGCCTCAGTCTCCTGAGCAGCTGGGACTACAGGTGCCCACCACCATGCCCGGCTAATTTTTTTGTTTTTTAGTAGAGATGGGGTTTCACCATGTTAGCAAGTATGGTCTCGATCTCTTGACCTCATGATCCGCCCACCTCAGCCTCCCAAAGTGCTGGGATTACAGGTGTCAGCCGCCACGCCCGGCCCCAAGAATAAATATTTCAAGGCAAAAGTTACAATAAAGTTATGTGCAAAAGCTATGAAAATGTGAAGATGGGAGCACTAGAGACATTCCAGGGAGGGCAACATTTGAGATGGCCCTTTAGGAATGAGTAGCAATTTACTAGCTAGACAAGGAGATAAAGGCAATTCCAGGTAGGGGAATGGCTATGCAAAGACACAAACATATGCGGTGGTAGGACGTGATTTGAGAATGGGTGTGGTTGCCTAGGATATTCCAGGTAGTCAAGAGATGACAATGGAAGGGAGGGAAGCCAGGGTTTGAACAGCAGCAACAGTTACAGAGGTGAGCATTTCTGGTACTTTCTAGACACCTGATACGGAAACTATGTTACTTATATATGTTATCTCATTTAATCCCCGTTATTATTATTTTTATAGGTAAATAATGTAATTTAAGTTTTTCATTTTGCATGTCAAATGTGAAAATCTGTAAGAGTAAGTAACTTTGATTGTACAACACGTAAAGATCCTTGAAATTAGTTGTAATTAAAAATATTTTGCTCTTTTAAAAATGGGAATTAAACTTTGATTTTTTGTTCTAATTAAAAATGACCATTTTCTTTTTTAAGAATAAAGATATTAGACACTAGTGAACTCATATAATTGCTTTGCAGTTTCCATGGTTGAATATTTTGAAAGTGAAATAAGTTTTCCAGTTTTAAAGTACGGTGTGAAATAGAAGTATTTTATAAGAAATTAGATTATTTAGAATATATAGAATAAATTATATTGTGTCTAATATTAATCGTCATTCCTGTTGATAATCTCAGTTTATAGGTTAAGTGACTTGGCCAAGGTCATGGAATTGCAAGTGATAAAACTTATATTAAAAATATGGGGCAATGATTGTTTGCTTGGCTGATTCTCTCCCTCATCCTTGCTTTAAGATCAAGGATATTGTAGTTTTGCTCATTTGATACCTGTCTGTGACTAACATGCTAAAGAGTTTAGACTTGATCCTCAAGTTAATAAAACCAATGAAAGCTGGACAATAATATGGATATGAGTAGATCATTGTGGCCAAAGGATTGGAGAAGGGGAGCTTGATTGGAAGGGCATGTTAAGAGTCTAGGGGAGATGATATCAACTTCAACAAGTCAGGGATAGTGAGGATAGGGAGGATTGAATGTAACTGATTAATATCTTAGAGGCGCAATAGACAAAACTTGGAGACTGTGCACATGTTGCAGGGTTAAGGGTGAGGCCAAGGCAGGGGCTTGGGCAGCTGAACAGATTGTGACACCAGTGGTGAAAATAGAGAAAACAGGTGAAGGAGCCAGCTGGGTGTTAACGAATGATTTTGGTTTTAGATACCTTAAGATATGATCCCTTCAGAACAATAGCTTGGAGATCACCGTCATCAAAATATCCACTTGCCCAAATCTGTAGTCCCCAGGCCCCTGGAGCAAGGCCTGCTGCCCTGGGTGTCTTGGCAGTTGTTCAAGCACGACTGGAATCTGGCTTAGCATTAGGCCAAGTGAGCACAGAGACTTGCACTGCTGCATATTTAAAATTACTTGTCAGGAAAAGGAGCTACAGAGAAGAGGGGCTGTGACAGGGGAAGGCAAACATCCGCACCGTTCAATAATTCAGCGCAGAGCCGGTCTTGGCTGCTAAGTTACCACCACAAGGAGCATTTTTAAAGTCAAACCGAATTTCCATGAGAAGTCATGCCTGAGCAAGCTGGATCGTTGCCAAAAGACAAGAGAAGACTCCAGACCTTTCTGTAAACAGGCCCTGAGAGATACGGGGTACTGCATGATAAAGCTGTCAGTCTGGTCGCAGCAGCCTGGCATGTGACTCATTTGCATATGTCACTTCCTTTAGCGTAATCCAGTCCATGGGCCTCTAACTTCCAATCCTGTGGGCAAATAAAGCTGTCCAGCACAACCTGTGACGATCAGATTCAGGCTGTATTTAGTGGGGGAGGGATCTGGCCTCATATCCTTCATCTTTATGCTGCTCCACTCCAGCTCACAGCCCCTCCAACTGGATGGAGCTCTTCGAAGGGAGGGGCATTTCAGAGGAGGGTCTCAGGGATAGCCCCTTTGTGGGGCTGGGCCACCAGGTTGGGGAGAGTGGAGCTGCTGGAACTCTGGAGGGACTGGCTGAGCCAGCTTTCCCAGTGCACCCCTCTGGGAGGGCAGGCTCTCGGTGTAGGCTGCCCATCTCCTCGCTCTCCTCTGGCACTGCTCCTATGCCCCCTTGGTTAGCCTGGGAGCCCATACTACCCAGACTTGGGGTCAATAAGCAGAGGACCTGTAAGGAGTCCTTGATGGGATGTACAGCACTGCCCAACCCTGCACAAGGTAGGGTATTGCTGTTTGTTGTGTGGTGAGCTGCCTGCTTATGGCTGGGTTTGGGCCTCCATCCATTTTTATTTTCTTTGAGTTGGTCTCTGGGCAAAGCTTCTCCCAGCAGGCGGAATCTGGCCTGGGGGCTCCAGCTTCTCTCACCTGCCTGGCCTCCCAAGAGCTAGAGAGCTCCACATCTCAACTCATCTATAACTCATTAGCAGAACCATCAGCTAGCAGAAACTAGGAATAATAAAAATGTGCCGTATTTTCACAAGCTGGATGCCAGGCTTGGTGGTCAGGACACAGACTGCTTTCAGCTCCCACATGCCCCTCCTGCTAGCTGCTTTGTGCAGAGTAGTGGCTACATGGCTGCAGGTGAGAGCCCTGCCTGTGAACAGGCCACCAGGATGCTGGGACATACGAGTTGGTAAGTTCGGCTTTACAGACCCTTCTGCCATCCTCCCTCTGCCCTGCCATTATGTAATTCAAAATAAAAATGATACTAACACTTAAAACACAAAACTGATATAGATGCTGAGATTAAAATGATTTCACTTGAGATATCTAGATTGTAAAATTTCAGTTCAGTTCTCACTGAAGCCAAACATTTTTCAGTTTTGTGGGAGATGCCTGCTGGGCTGGGTCTCCAAATCCGTATTTCAGCTACCTATTGAGTCATCCAGCTCTGCACCCAAGGGCCCCAGACCCCAAGACTGCTTTCTTGCCCCTGCCAGCCCCTGTGGCTGGGCCTCTCTGATGCTGCCTGCCTCTCAGGGCCTGCCCATCCCTCCTCGATTCTATCATCCTGCTTAAGGAAACTCCTCAGACGCTAGCTAACAGGGCGTATGTCTGGCTTCTTCTTTCTCTTTCATGCTGGTTCCCTGAGTTTGGAGGAAACGTCTGGATTCACTCGAGGGCTCCATCCCAGAAGTGACACAGTTTTGCCTGCGCTCTTTTGTGTTTAGATTCCAAATCTTTCCTGATAATGTCTGAATCTCAATTTTAGTCTTGCCAATAACTGGATCCATAGTCATCCATCACACTTGGGGAGTCAGGACAGTGGAGAAAGAAAGTTTAGGAACTCTGGCTTCCTTTGTTCCCTTTGGTGGCTTTAAAATAAGTCCATGCATTATTTGATACTCCTCCCTTCAAGAGATGGAGCTGAATTCTCCTCTACAGTATGGGCTAGACTTAAGAAGTTGCTTCTTTTAAACAGAATGTGGCTTCTTTCTTGCTCTTTCTCTTGGATCAATCATTCTGGGGGAAGCCAGATACCATACTATGAGGACACTCGAATAGCCCTAGGGAGAGGCTCTTATGGTGAGGAACTAAGGCCTCCTGCCAGCAACCAGCAATGGACAGTCATACGAAAAAACCACCTAGGATTGGGAACTCCTGTCCCAGTCCAGCCTTCAGATGACTACAGCCCAGTCTTTTTTTTTTTTTTTTGAGATGGAGCCTTGCTCTGTTGCCCAGGCTGGAGTGCAGTGGCATGATCTTGTCTCACTGCAACCTCCGCCTCCCGGGTTCAAGCAGTTCTCCTGTTTCAGCCTCCCGAGTAGCTGGGATTACAGGCATGTGTCACCATGCCTGGCTAATTTCTGTATTTCTGTTTAAATACCTGTTTAAGTTCATGTATTTAAACATGTTCTAAAAATACAGAACATGTTTCAACATGTTTCATCATGTTGGCCAGGCTGGTCTCGAACTCCTGTCTTAAAGTGATCCACCCTCCTTGGCCTCCCAAAGTGCTGAGATTACAGGCATGAGCCACTGTGCCTGGCCCCCGTCAACATTTTGAGCACAGCCTAGTGAGAGATCCTGCACCACAGCCTGCCAGCTAAGCCACTTCCCAAATCCCAACTTTGTGAGATAATAAAATGTTAACTGTTTTAAGCTGCCAAATTATAAGGTAATTTGTTGCACAGCAATAGATAACTAATACATGCTCAAAAGATTCGACTGGAGAGAGGGATGGGAGGGGTCTCACCAAATACTTTTCTGTACAAGGAGCTTTCATTTGATTTCATCCCCCTTTCCCCTGAGAACATCACATCCTAATGGCTTATTTACTTCTCTGTCTCCCAGATAACCCATGGGCTCCTGAGAGCAGAGATTGTGACTTACTCATCTTTGATGTAGCCAAGTTCTAACAAACCTAAATGTGCAGGTAATGTAAAATTCTTTATTTTTCTATAACTCTCCGAATATCTATTTTGAGTATCTGCTCCAAGTGGCAGAAACAGCCAATTCTGGGCCCTTTACCTCTCAGATCTGACGTCACTCACTCCTTCCATGCCCTTTTGAGCCATGGGAAGCACCTGGCTGCCTCTGTACCCTGCAGGATGGGGAAATTCTCCCAGGAGTTCTCAGATCTGCTGGGACTCTATAAGATCTGCCACTTCCAGGCCACTTCTCTGGACAGGAGGCTAAAATCCCAGCCCCACTGCAACCTTAGGACTCACCACAATGGCTAATTCTTTTGCTTTCATCTTTACTCTTAGTTACTTGCCTCTGATTTCCAAATCTATTGTTTAGGGCCAGGACCAGGGACATTCAGGGCCGTGTGTGTGAGTGTGTGTATGTGTGTGTATGATTTTAAAACTTTTTAACAAATTATAAAGAAAATTTTAATATACAGGCCAGGCATGGTGGCTCACACCTGTCATCCCAGCACTTTGGGAGGCCAAGGTGGGCAGATCACTTGAGCTCAGGAGTTCAAGATCAGACTGGCCAACATGGTGGAACCCAATCTCTACTAAAAATACAAAAATTAGCTGGGTGGGGTGGTGGGTGCCTGTAGTCGCAGCTACTTAGGAGGCTGAGGTGGGAGGATTGCTTGAGCCTGGGAGGCAGAGGTTGCAGTGAGCCGAGATCACGCCACTGCACTCCCGCCTGGGTAACAGAGCCAGACCCTGTCTCAAAAAAATTTTTTTTAATATACAGAAAGATCAGAAAATAATATGACACTTTTGTACCTACTATCAAAAGTAAACAGATGTTCAAATTTTGTCATGTTTGCTTTAGATCCCTCTTTTCTTAAAAATAAAATAAATCACTATAGATAGAGCCAAATACTTCCACTCTCCTCTGCTCCCTGGAAGTATTGACTATGCTGAAACTGGCGTTCATCTGTCTCTTGTAGATTTTTGTTCTGTTATTATTTGTTTATGCATTTAAAAAGAATATGTTCTATTATATACATCTAAAAAGTTTTCTTATTGTATGTGTCACTTTTTTCCTACTCCATATTATGTTTATTTTCCTAATTTTAAGGTAGTAACTTACTTATAGCGAATTTTACTCTTTTTAGTGTAGTGTAGACTTATATATGTTTTGACAAATATGTCCAAACATGTAATTACCACCACAAGTAAGATATAGAACAGATTTGTTACCCCAAAAAGTTGCTACTAGGACCTTGATATTTGACATATATATACTAGGCTCTAGAAAATGGAAAGCCTACCCTTGAATCTCAAGAGTGTTTTGTCTGCCATTCTGCAGTGTTACTTCCTGCTTGAAGCAATCAATGCCTGAGAACTGAGGGGGAGATGGTGGCAGAGAGGTATGAAATTCACAAGCAGGAATCTCAGTTAATATGCAGCCACCCTTGCTCGCCCCCAGTCGAAGTCCTAGTGCCTAGTCAAAGCTAGATCCACGAGAAATATTGGTCATCTAGTGAGTAAATAAATGAATAAATGAAGCAACTTATATAGGAAGGTAGATAAGGGATTGTTCTCTTCTCCATCCTTTCTGAGTACTGGGAGTTACCAAGGAGGCTTCAAGGTTGGGCTTTAGCCCTGTTCCTTTGGTCTCCAATGCTGGGGGAGATGCGGATTGATTTCAGCCCCAGGAGCAAGGCGTCCTGCATTCCTATCTCCAATATTGCTCAATACAGTCTCGTAGGCTCTTCCTGGGTTATGTGAGTATCTCCTTATGGGATATCTGAGCTCTTGCTTGCCATCATTCACTCAGTGAACCAGCAGCTCAATGCTTTTTTTCCCCGTGAGAAGAATGAATTCACTTGGATTGTTAAGTATAAAAGTGTTAGGGAAAGACTCTTTTAAACTGCTAACCGTAAGGCTTAACCTCCCCGGTAATGGAGATCAGTGCTCCTTTCTACTTTCTTTGCAGCCCAAGGATCTTCAGTAACTATGGCTCCCCAGATGGTACATATTTTCCAAAGGAAAAATGGGTTATGATTGATTAGTTATGTCTGTACAAAAGATGGACAGAGATAGCAAGAGAGTAAATATAGCTGTGCTGTATTCACCAACCCTGAACCATGCCTTTGATGATGCCATATTACTTTTCCAGGATGTTGGTAAAACAAGACCTTCTATGGCAAAAAGCCTCTTCGCCCTTCTAGGATGCCCAGTTTCTTTTTCTTTTCTTTTTTTCTTTTCCTTTTTTTTTTTTTTTTGGAGACAGCGTCTCACTTTGTCACTTGTGCTGGAATCCAGTGGTGGACCACAGTTCACTGCAGCCTCGATTTCCTGTGCTCAAGCAATCCTCCCAGCTCAGCCTGCCAAGTAGCTAGGACTACAGGTGCACAGCACTGCACATGGCTAACTTTTTTTTTTGATATGGAGTCTTGCTCTGTTGCCCAGGCTAGAGTGCAGTAGCACCATCTCAGCTCACTGCAACCTCCGCCTCCCGGGTTCAAGTGATTCTCGTGCCTCAGCCTCCTAAGTAGCTGGGATTACAGGCATGTGCCACCACACCCAACTAATTTTTGCATTTTTAGTAGAGATGGGATTTCACCATGTTGGCCAGGCTGGTCTTGAACTCCTGACCTCAAGTGATCCACCTGCCTCAGCCTCCCAAAGTGTTGGGATTACAGGCATGAGCCACTGCACCTGGCCAATAACTTTTAAATTTTTTTGTAGAGAGGGGGTCATGCTATGTTGCTCAGGCTGGTCTCAAACTCCTGGGCTCAAGTGATCCTCCTGCCTTGTCCTCCCAAAGTGCTGGGATTATAGGCGTGAGTCACCATGCCCACCTGCCCAGTATGTTTTGGTGTCCCACAGCTAACTGACCTAGACAGACTCTATGTCTGGAAGCAGCAATGATGGAGGTGTTCTTCTTGTGGCTAGTCTGAGAAGATAACAGCAATGGAGTTGGCTTAGCACTCCTGCAGACCCTCTGTGCCAGAGGCAAACCAATACAGATGTCTGAACTGGCCTTCATTTCTTATTGAAGGTCTTGGCAGCAAGTCCCAGGGTATTTTCATTATTTAGCATCCTGATTGAGGTGTGCGTCTGTGTGAGAGAATGAAGCACACAGGTCCTGCATCTCATTGCTTCCTCTGCTGAAAGAAAACAGGCAGCCTAGCCTTGGGAATTCTAAGTCGCAATGGAAAAAAGAGCAGTCTCAACTCTTATCCACTTTTCTGTTGCATGTGCTGGCCCTATTGGGGTGGGCTGTCCATTGGGGGTTTGTTGACTTTTTGCTTCTGCTAACTGTTCACAAGAAAAAATCCAAGCAGAATCTCTGTGTTTTAAAAAGTACTTAGCTAAAGTATGCAGCAGATCTCTTTCTTCTGCCCCACGGGGGACTGGCAGGTCTCTACCAGTGCCCAGTGGAAGCAAAGCCGCTGCACAAAGAGGTGATGCCTTCACCCCGCAGGGCTCCTGTGGACCCCCTGGGGGAGGGGCAAATTCGGGGAACAGCAGCTGCTGAGGGCCAAGCTCCAATGATCTTCAGTTCTTGCTCACTGCAGATCAAAGAAGTCTTGCTGTGTCCAGATCATATAAATATTGAATAAGGCTGCTTGGAATCCTTAAAGGAGTTTGGAGAGGAGGAGGAGGAGTTCAATGCAGAAGATGGTATCAGAAAATGCTGAACTTCAGCTAAGAGCTAATACAAAAGTCAGCAACAAAGGAATGAGAATGGATCCTATCAGGCATGGCTTCTATTTTTGGCTTGGAATTTGCACACACATTGCTTTTAAGGTATAAGTCGTGCAAGAATTTGACTGTCTGGGTCAGAACAATGAGAAGGAGAAAAGCATTTATCTCTTGATTTGGTTTTCTAAACTTTCCTCCTTTATTTGGAAGTCCAGTATATTAACTTGAGGCTCCTGGCCTCACGCTGTCTTTCTACACTTGCTGCAGGAGAGTTCTCTACCCACTCCTGGGGCAGGTGGTCTCAAGGGTCTTTCATGAGTAGGCTATTCTCCAAATGACCCCTGTTGATTTAGGAGTCATGTTTGCTGGGAAGCCTTCCCTGACACCCCAAAAGTGGACCAGGCCCCTCTCTCTGCAGCCCCACAGGCCCCAGTGCTCACTTTCACCAGAGCACACGTAACACTGGCTTGTGTGAGTGTCCATCTCTCCCACTGCACTAGAGCAGCTGGGGCAGGCTCAGTGCCTTAGTCACCAGTACATCCCCAGCCCCTAGCACAGTGCCCAATACACAGCAGGTGCTCAAAAAACATGTGCTGAATGAATACACGAGGAGAAGTGTATGAGGGAAGTTCCCAGGGCGGCCCTCCAGCCAGAAGCTTCCTGAGTTCTTGTTGTGGCTTCTCTAGGTAATCGCTGGTACCACCCAGGAGATCAGAATACCGATCCCCCAACTTGTCTGCCCTCAAGTGTAGCACATCCAGTAGGCTACTTTATGAGACACGAAACTCTTTTCCCATGGTGTGGTGAGTCTGGGTGCAAATCTTTTTGGAGCAAGTGGTGGGCACGTAGTCAGGCATGAATTCTACCCCGTGGTTTAGAGTTAAAACCTGATTTCATGAGTCTCTTCACAGGCTTTTCAAATTCTCTCACCATCTCTGGCTGCTCTAAGCCCAGATTCTTGAAGTTTAATGTCTTTCTTCACATCTTACCTTTTTGTTTGTTTATTTATTTTGAGACAGGGGCTCATTCTGTCTCCCAGGCTGGAGTGCAGTGGTGTGATCACGTCTCACTGCAGCCTCGACCTCCCAGGCAATCCTCCTGCCTCAGACTCCCACGTAGCTGGGACCACAAGCACACACCCCTATGCCCAGCTAATTTTTTATTTTTGTAGAGATGGGGTCTCACTGTGTTGTCCAAGCTGGTCTCGAACTCTTGGTCTCAAGTGATCCGCCCTCCTTGGCTTTCCAAATTGTTGGGATTACAAGTGTAAGCCACCACACCCAGCCATATTTTACCTTAATTATTTTCCTTGTCAGAGGCTGGGACATCTCTCACTCTTTCTCTTCTTTATGGGTTTTTGGAAGATGAGGGCATTTTGGAGTCAAGGTCCTTTGGTTTCCAGTTGAAATTCCTCTCCTTGCAGCCCCTTGGAAGATTCTGTAGCCTGGTCTTGAGTCCCCTGTATTCATACTTTGTGTCCTTCCCCGTGCTCTGTTCTCCGTCCTCTCGTCCTCTCTGGAAGCTCTGTCCACTGAATGCATGTGCCCAGGCCTTGTGTCCCATTGAGGCTCACCCCCCAACCCATCCTCCACAGCCCCTGCCCTGCAGAAGATTCCTCATTCAGCCACATCCTCACCCGGGCTGTCATCAGCTCCACCTCCCACCAAGGGTCTCCCACTGACCTCCCTCAACTTCCCAACTTCCACCGCTTCAAAATTGTTTGCCCAGCCTGGGTCTCCCCTCCATGCACTGTGATTCAGGGAAAGGACTTGCGGTTTCAGATAGTCACTCACCTCTGTCCTCACTTGCTCTTTCTAATGAGAAGGTGCCATAGGCCTTGAGAAAGTGAGCAGGGATTTACCAGGAGGACAAAGGGAAAACCTCATTCCAGGAAGAGGAAATAGCCAATGCAAAGGCCCAAGGAAGAAAAAGAAGTGAAAAAAAAAAATGGCCAGCAACCTGGTGTGACGTGGGGTGGCGGGGAGCCTGGGGGACAGGGCTGAAATCCTTGCCTTGAAAATAATTTTACAGGGAATCATCAAAGTATCTTTGGCTAAGACTGTTATTCATTAGCTCTGTGTTTATATTGTATTCCTCAGTTCACAGACAAAGGGCTAGTCTTGAAATTGATAAAAACATTGATGAGCAAAATTAATTAGAAACTGATTGCTAAAAGTAGCCAAAGACCCATAGAATGAGTAAAAGATATGATTAGAAGTTCACAGAGGCTGAGTGTGGTCGCTCACCCCTGTAATCCCAGCACTTTGGGAGGATCGCTTGAGCCCAGGAGTTTGAGACCAGCCTGGGCAACAGAGCAAGACACCGTCTCTACAAAAATATATTTTTTGAGACGGGGTCTCCCTCTATCACCGAGGCTGGAGTGCAGTGCCAGGATCTTGGCTCACTGCAAACTCTGCTTGCCAGGTTCAAGCGATTCTCCTGTCTCAGCCTCCTGAGTAACTACTGGGATTAAAGGCGTGTGCCACAACGCTCAACTAATTTTTATATTTTTAGTAGAGACGGGGTTTCACCATGTTGGCCAGGCTGTTCTCGAACTCCTGACCTCAAGTGATTCACCAATCTTGGTCTCCCAAAGTGCTGGAATTACAGGCGTGAGCCACCGTCGTGCCCGGCCACTACAACAACAACAACAACAACAAATATATATATATATATATATATATATATATTTGTGTATATATATATATCTCACCTGGGCATGGTCACACAGACCTGTAGTCTTAGGTACTCAGGAGACCAAGATGGGAGGATTGCTTGAGCCGGGGAGGTCGAGGCTGCAGTGAACTGAGATCATGCCACTGCACTACAGCCTGGATGACAGAGCAAGACCCTGTCTCAAATAAATAAATAAATAAAAGTTTTAAAAATAACTCGGATGGGTGCAAAAGAACGTAATAGTGGTTGCCCAAGTGCAGGTCGGAGAAGTGTGGGAACTAGGCAGATAGGCAGCAGGGGCAAGGCAACTGTTCACCGTGAACCTTTTAATACACATTTCCTCAGATTTGAATCACGCAACTACGTACCCTATTCAAAACATCACATAAAAAATGAATTGCTTATTCCCACAGTCTTTTTTTCAGAATAGCTCTTCTGTAGCTCAACTGCCCGGGGAGCCCAGCATCCAGCTTTATGACTCACAAACCATCTCTGGTGATCTCAAGTGTTAAAAAATAACTCCCCCAAACAAATTCTTGGACACCTTTAGCGAGCAGCTGCCAGGGGTCACCCATCTGTGAGCCATTACAACTCCTTCCAGGTTGAAGATGACCCGCTGGTCTCTCTGGGGGCTCTGAGTTACGTGTCTGCGTTTCTCTACCTGCTTCTCTCCCACACAATTCATCAGTTTCAGGTGGTGTCTCCATGCCCTTTATTTTGGTATCTTTCTTCCCTGAGCATCTCTGCCCTAAGATGACCTGGCTGAGAAGTTCTGTGAGAGGTTCTCACCCTCTCTGGGCTTTGGGATCCCTTTTCCAGACGCTGTACTTGGTGCATATCCAATGTGCTTGCCCAACTTGAACACCTTATAAAAACCTTTGAAATCACTCTGTGAAAATCTTGCAAACAAGGAGCAGCTGGATTGGAGAAAGAGCCAGCCAGTTGCTTGCTACTTTCTCAGAAGTACGGTGGAAAGCACCACGTCCCAGAGTTCCAGGAGGTGAATGGCAATGTTAGCCTTTGCAGCCCTGGGATATGACTGCCTGAGACAATGGCCCTCTCCTCTACCAGTGGTGTTCATGCAGTTGCCCTCCTCAGGATGCATAGTCAGAAATTTCCCAGGAGAGCTGTGGGTCTGGACTTTCCTCCTTTTGGCCTAATTGCCCTGTGTCTGTCACATCTGTCACTCAGGTCTAAGCTAACTTACTACCCACACTTCCTTAGGCAGATGCTAAGTAAAAGATTAATAATCTGAAGTCCAACCAGGCCGACTCATTTCCCTCCTCTTCTTTTTGGAAGCTGACCTTTTAGAAGCATTCTATTCATTTGTGTATCGCTTGTTTCAGTCCCAGAATGAAAGAGTTCTGTATCTTTGGTTACACATTTGAATTCCCAACCAGTTATAAACTCTTAGAGTGTGCAGGGACCACCTGTTTGCCATCTTTGTTCACCCACAGCCACTAAAACACAGCCGACCCTCTGTAAATACTTGAGTAAATGAATGAATGAGAAGTTGAGTGGATCTCTAACACTATGTATTTGGATTACCTCTGTGCAGTGGAAATGTCTGTGATGATAGAGATGTTCTATAGCTGTGCTGTCCAATGCTGCGGCCACTGGCCGCAGGCAGCTACTGAGCTCTTCAAATGTGGCTGGTATGGCTGGAGAACCAAATTTTACATTTTAATTAATTTTATTGAAATGGTCATGCGTGGCTAGTGGCTATCATATAGAATGGTATAGATACAGGTCATTAGCTTTATAATTTGGTCATCCACATTGATCTACTATGGAACCTTCTTAATTAACTTTTCTTATTTCACAAGGCCCAAAAACTTTCAGCAACAGTTTTAGAAGCAGTGAAAAAGCATATAAGCACTTCCTATGATCACCACAGGCGGACAGAGGCCAAAAGGAGAAAGAGTGAATAGAAGTTCATTCTGCCTGCTTTTTTTCTGAGAAAGTCTTGGGTCCCTGGGAGTATAAAGAGTCAGCCTCTTGGTTTCTGACTCACCCAAGAGCCACCCCCTAGATTGCTCCAAGTCCCCACCAGCAGGCCAGGCACAGAGTCAGGGATGCATCTGAGGAAGAGTGCCACTTGCTGAGTCATCGGCACCATTTCTCCGAACAGGTGTTCTTTGGCCAACCTCCTGGGAGGGCGCCCCACCCGTGGTGCCTTCACCTGCAGGGTGACTGCAGCCCGTGGACAGGCATGAGGTTCATTCCTGCTCAGGAATGTTGGAGGTGGCATGGAGCTACCAGAAATGCATGCCCAGAGACCCTAGAGGAATGAGATCCAGAAACTGGTTTTGTGCTACGGCACAGGGGCTCTGCCAGAGGCTGAGTCCCCTGCAGCAACTTTAATGCCACACAAGGACCTTTTCTTCAGTACTTGGTCCACCTGGCTACACCCAATGTCTCTACTGGCAGAAGGCAGAGTACTTTGTCATGCAGGGTATGTGGGGCTCAACAGTCACAGTACAGGGTGGCTGGAGAGGAGGCACTTATGGATGTCTGTGTTTGTGTGTGTGTGTGTGTGTGTGTGTGTGTGTGAGATAGCGGGGGGATCCCCTAGATGCTACTGTCCTCGAAGGGCTAGAACAGGACAACCTCTCCACACCCAAGGTGAGCAGTGCTCATGCCTGTCTGCCAAAGGAAGGCAGTCCCCCTTTGCTTTCTGGGTTAGAGAATGTTCACAGAGCAAGTTATGAACACTCCCGTGATGCCAGGTCACTAAGCCAGAGTTCCCAGGGCTGCCCGCATCCTCTGCTCTCACCCCTGAGGGATACAAGCAAAAGGTACCTACCACCTAGCATGTCCCAGTCCTGAGTTATGCCATCCCCTCTGGGGAGCCCAACCTGCTTACCAGGTCTCATTTGGAAGACAAAAAGATTGCAGCGCCGGGTCCCTGACACAGCAGAACTCCCAGGGTGCCTGAGGCCTAGGGTAGTGTCTGGGTGCAGTCTTGTTTCGACATAACCTACACACCCTACAGGCCCAGCAGGCAGGGCGGGTGCAGCCCAAACTGCACATGACACACAGGAGAAGCTCCGATTCCCAGTTGCACAAACAATCCCTCATTCAGGGGCTCAGGGAAGTGCAGAGGTAGCTGTGACTCCGCACTGATGTGCCTCGCCCTTCTCTCACTCTGACTCTTCTGCCAACCACATCTTCAAAATCTTCGGGGCAGGGGCAAGTGTAGGTTTGGAGAATAACTGGTGTCCAGGTATCCAATTGCTGCAGGAATAAGATGCTGACATAATGGCAGGCTAGTGTCAGCTTGTCATCCGGGACTTTGCTTCTTGAAATCCCATCCAGCTGTGTCTAAAAGTCCTGTGGTTTCTATCGCCCTACTTTTTCAGAGCAACTTATCCCTGCAGACGGTGTGGCTATTTCTGGGTCAGGTGTGACTGAAAAGGCTGGTGTGAGCAGACCAGCCCGGCCATTCCAGAAGGCTCCTTTCGTGTTTCCTGGAGAAGGATTGTCTCAGTCTACAGCTGTGGCTTTGTCCATTTCTTGGGATGCTGAAGGTTAATACCTCCAGAAATTGTTCCCTAAATAAAGAACACTTAATTGAGGGCAAAGCTATCTGTGCAGCATAGTCAGAGAATTTTAGATTTGGATAGCTAAAGAGAACGTAGAGATCACAGCTTCATCTGAAGGGTGAGGAAAACAATACCAAAGAAGTTAGGTAATTTGGCTAATGCCACTCAGCTTATAGGCAGAGCTACCAGAACCTTGAGGAGGCAGTTGATCAAGACAATGCTTAAGTTCATGAGCTGAGATTGGCTTTGAATGGACATAGGAGACTTACTCTGGACTCCTCACTTAGAAGAAGGGGTATGGAGTCAAAATTATTTTGGTGAATGTTTTCCTTTTTCCCCCAGTATCAGACCCTAAATTTTAGCATCTATTAAGTAGGGTAATAACTTGTCCTCCTCATCAAATGTTTTGCTTTTTCTTTTTTCCTAGATTGTACTTACTGGATTTATGTAATTTGTGATTCACTTGATTGACTGAATCTGATTGCAGGGGATGACTCAGATCCACCTTCCCATCTCCAGGGAAGATGGTGCTGGGGTCAAAAGATGCCAAGACCTCTTGGGGGGATGACCTCCAAGGTTGAATAAGGGGCAAAGCTTAATCTGCCCTTTCTCCCTGATAACCTGCCTGTCAACTCTCAGGGAATTTGGACTGGTATGTACTGAGATGAGAATGAGAGGGTGATACCCTCTTATGCTTTATGTAAACTTTGGTCAGATGAACCCCTCTGGCCTGGGGAGAGATGTGCAGAGCCTCATTGCCATGGACTGGGATATGCCAAGAGATGAGTGAAGCCTCTGCATTTTCTGTGAGCCAGATATTGTCTCTTTTCTCTATCTTGCCCTGGAAATGCAGGGGCCTCTCAAAATAGGGTCTAGTAAAAGGATCAGCTAATGTTTTCCACAATTTTTTTTTTTTTTTTGAGACTGAGTCTTGCCAGGCTGGAGTGCAATGGCACGATCTTGGCTCACTGCAACCTCCACCTCCCGGGTTTAAGTGATTCTCCTGCCTCAGCCTCCCAGTAGCCACCACGCCCAGCTAATTTTTGTATTTTTAGTAGAGATGGGGTTTCACCATGTTGGTCAGCATGGTCTCAATCTCTTGACCTCGTGATCCACCTGCCTCAGCCTCCCAAAGTTCTGGGATTATAGGCATGAGCCACCATGCCCGGCCCATAAGGTTCTTTAAAGAAAGTTTTTAAAAGAACGTTCTTTAAAGAAAGTTTTTAATTGTTCTGCTGGAGGTCATTCCAGTTCCGTTTCCGAAATAGTTGCTGGTTAAGAATCTGGTGTCCACCCATTCTCCATGGCAGGCCAGTTCTGTGGTGGAAACACTGCTATTCTGGACACGTCATGGTTATAAACTGGTTCTGGGGCTGATGGTTGATGTACCCCACTGAACTAGGAGTGTATTTGATACTATTTGGTAAAATTCTCTCAACAAGATTTTACATTCCAGGCTGAGTGTGGTGGTTCATGCCTGTAATCCCAGCACTTTGGGAGGCTGAGGTAGGCGGATCACTTGAGGCCAGGAGTTCAAGACCAGCCTGACAACATGGTGAAACCTCATCTCTACTAAAAAATACAAAACTTGGCCGGGCATGCTGGAGCATGCCTGTAGCCCCAGCTACCCAGGAGGCTGAGGCACAGGAATTGCTTGAACCTGGGAGGCAGAGGTTGCAGTGAGCCGAGATCGTGCCACCGTACTCCAGCCTGGGTGACAGAGCGAGACTCTGTTTCAAAAAACCAAACAAACAAAAAGAGATTTTACATTCCTTTAGCCCAAATAATGCAGTTTATATTTTCTTTGATTTCCCTTCTAGTACATAGCCTGAACATATTGTAGACAGTAAAATTTAATTTGAGTTTTTAAAGGCTTAAATTAGGCAGAAACATACATGTGAGTAAAATAGCCCATGTGTTGAAAATAGAGTACAGATTTATAGTAAAAATATAGTGTTACTTATTCAAGTTGACAATGAGAAACAATGATTTTTTTTTTTAACAAAAAGTTATCTTGGTAAAGAACTGATTCAAAAGTCCAAAAGTTTTCAATAACATTCCTCAAAAAATGTGACAGTAAATGTTGCAGACAGCAATTATTTAGCTTGGAAGGTGTAAACTTTGCATTTATATACGTAAGGAAGACAAATAACACCTCTGAAAACTTAAAACTAGTATGAATAAAAGTGTTGATAGGCCAGGCGCAGTGGCTTATGCCTGTAGTCCCAGTACTTTGGGAGGCTGAGGCAGGTGGATCACTTGAGCCCTGGAGTTCGAGACCAGCCTGGGCAACATGGTGAAACCCCATCTCCACAAAAAATACAAAACTTAGCTGGGTGTGGTGGTGCATGCCTATAGTCCCAGTTACTCAGGAGGCTGAGGTGGGAGGATCACTTGAACCCAGGAGGTGGAGGCTGCAGTGAGCTGTGACCACACTACTGCACCCCAGCCCTGGGACAAGCAAGACTCTGTCTCAAAAAAAAAAAAATTGTTGAGAAATGCCACAGATATTGAAGTCATCCTTGAGATGATTTATTATTCTAGCATGCGTTGAAAGGATAAACTGGGCAAACATGTCAGGTTTGAACAGATCAGGGGAAAGTGGGTCTTGAAAGTGCCCTCGCAGAGCTGGAGAGCCGGGGCCAGGATGTCACCGAGAGCCACCACGTGTCATCCTTTCAAGGGGCTTTCCCATACCTGAGGCCTGATGCTTGCTCGAGGAAGCTGAGTCCCCAGAGGCATTTGCAGCCTGTGTACACCTGGAAATTAAAGGTAGTATCTGGCTCCTTTTCTTTTAGCTGAGTCAAAGGCAGAGTTGGTGCCTGATCATTTACTTTAATTTCTAACAACATGGGGGCTTATGCAGTCCCTGCTACAATCACATGATCTCCAGCTGATAGGGGAGAGGGCAGGAGGCAGGAACTCAGGCTCTGGAAAGCAGCACTTCACTGGGAGACAATGCGCAAGAGTAGCTGTCATTTTTATGTCCAAATTGCTCAGCTCTGGAAGGTTCTGTCAGGGCAGGAGGCCGAGGAAGGTTGAAAGCAGGAATTGTTTTGCTCTCTTGGGCATGGTAGCAGATTGAATACCAACAATAGCACATACACTTAAATCATTCCATTGGGCTGGAGATGTTTTAGCCCAAGGTCACTTATTTCCAGTTTGAAGTAAAATGATCTAAGTTGTTGCCTTAACATTTTCAGATGCATTTTTGAGTTGAGCTTTGGCCATGCTGTCAGGCAGGAGCTTTGAGAAATGTTGTTAGCTTTGGAAACTGCTCCTTCTGCAAGGACCTGCGTGGCCTGGAGAGGTTAACCCATTTCCCAAGGCTCCTCTTTGGGCCGGGAGACCTCGGTGCCCCTCTGACCTGCTTTTGTCCTGGTTCCTAGTTCGAGCCCACGGAAGTCTTTCACCTTTGCTTTTCTGAAGGACTTTCAAAAGTCTGGAAAAAAACAATAAACAAAACCCAAACACACACACGTGGGGTCAGATTTCTGCATTTGGATGCTGCTTTGACCACAATAATGTCTATTCCTTAGAAATGTGCCACTGCCTTTTATTTTCAATGGTCAATTTTAACACAAGGAGATTTGGTGTCTGAAATACTAAATGTTTGCAGGCTGTGATGATCTCAGCCCAAGAGTGATGGGAACAGGCCCAGAAGAAGGGGTGCCCATGGGCATGACCCCTGGTTCACTCCCCACCCCTTGGGAATAAACTTCCATCCTCGTTTCTTTGTTGGGGACTCCACAAGCAAATGGAAGGTGGTAAAGTTTGAGCCTCCTATAAAAGTCTTCTTCCCTCTCCTGGGTGAGACAGGCCTGGAGGGAGGAACTGCTTCATTGCTGAGTTATGCAGCACACACTTGCTGTGCGTCCGGAGCTGAGCTGAGCTATGTAAGATCAAGAGCAGAGGGGGCTTTGTTCTTGGTCATTGGGAGCTCCATGCAGAGATATGGAATCCCAGAGGCCTCAGATGCAGATTGAAGAGGATTTAACAAGGCCCGTGACTTTCTGGGGACATCTCTTGCCAGGCTCAGGTATCTGGTGGGCACTAGGTATGTATTCACTCCAAGAGTGGTACTGAGAATGTCCCCTTTAGGCCCAAAGATGAACTTTGAATTTTGAAATGAACTTCCAAAACATATGTTTAATGTGTAACAACCAGCTCTTGGGGTTGGGGAGAAGCCCTGATTTTGTATTGTTTGCCAATTTCTGTGGTATAAATACTCTCACCATGGCTGATTTGAAGCTAGCAACATCATGTCAACTGGCTTGCAAATTTTCTGAAAATTAACAATGGGCTTTTGCAAGTAAAGTCCAGCTGCAGCTCACCACTGGCTCTAGCCCAGCATGGTATTACCGAAACTGACCTGAAGACACAGAGCTTTGGAGCCAACAGACCTGGAGAGGACTCCAGGTGCATTCTAATTCTCCTCTCTGTGTTTCATCAAACTCGTGAATAAAACCCACCTGCATGTGGGAGACATTTTAATGGGGGGACAGACTCCCTTCACTGAAGATAAATTATTATTTCTTGGTACAGTGGAAGGCAAAGAGGGAAGTGGGAATTCCACTGCACGCGTCTTTGCGAAGCACATTCTGTGTATCAGAGTCTGTGTGAGGAGCTGGGAGAGATTCATGAGGAATATGACCTGCCCTTGTGGAGCTCCCAGTCTGAGCGGAGAGACAGACAGGACAACCAGTAACTGCAGAACAGAGCAACGTGGAAAATGTCCTGTAGTATTTGATCTAACAAAGAACTAAGGGAGGGCAAAGGAGAAATGATCAATTCAGATTTATGGAATTGGAAAAAGGCATCGTGTGTTTGATGAATGGATGTAAGTCTTCCAGCAGAAGGTCAGATGTGTAGCAGGAGTTCCCCAAACATTGATTCCCATCTAGGGTGCTTTCCACTCTAAGAATTCTGTGTCCTAGTACCAGTGTGCAGAGAAAACTGAGTAGATGCTGGATGAGCTGTGCCTACAATTATCTGCAAAATGAAAGCTAAAAAGCCAAAGGCCTATTTGTAGCTGAATTACCAAACGCTGAGAGGATCTGCCTGGCAGGATCTGGGTTGGCTGTCCTCGCTGCCCAGAAACAGTGCACAGTTTTCTGCTATCCATCTCACTAGAGCTGGGGACTGTGGCATCCCAATCACAGGTACTAGAGGGCTGGGGGAAGTGCTGAGATGGGGGAAAATAGTGGGGGTGGTTATCTTTCCAGGAAGGATCCAGAACACAGTGGCATTTTCAGTACCAGCTTCTGCAGTCTTTGTAGATGTGCTTCCTGCATTCCAGTGCCCTCCTGAAGGGAGGATTGGGGAACGGGCTCCAGCAGGAGGATGCAGACATCACACAGATTGGCAAGGCCCGCTCTCCTATTTATGGGGGAGAGAGTGTGCTGTGGAACCTGATGGCTGAGAACTTGTTCTTAGGGTGTGCGAGGGGGTGGGGGAAGGAGAGAGGAAAGGGAAACATCTGATTATTTGAGCCCAAGCCCAGCACCACCAAGTGAAGCCCGCCCCGCGAAAGGCAGCGTGAGCCTTCCTTATCTTGAGATTTAGGGGAGCTCTTGCAGCTTGCACCCTGGGAATTCTCCTCAACCCTCCCACACAGCAAGGAAGATGCCTGGCAATGTGTGTTTGCCTGCCTGACTGTCTGCTGCCTGGGAGAGGCTCCCACTTCAGCATCTCTGCCAGAATCTGGAGCCCTGGATGGGTGTGTGGGAGTGGGGCAGGGAGGGGGTGCTGGGGAGGGTATTTGCTGCTCTCACTGGCCAGGGTGGGGGACATCTGTTTGGGGATGAGAGACAGAGTGAGAAGGTGCTTGAGCTATTAGCTGGTTCATCCAGCTCACTCACTCTGAGGGGGCCAGGAAGCAATGATTTGTAAGTTCTGGTGTGTGTGTGTGTGTGTGTGTGTGTGTGAGAGAGAGAGAGACAGAGAGGGAGAGAGAGAAGTCATGAGAAAGCAACTTGGGGTAAATAGGCAATACTTGTCCTTAGCAACCATTACCTTAATCCAAAGTAATTTAAATTATTTTACAAATGTTATTTATTTGTCAAATAAATTTACAAGTATAATTACGTATAAATTGGATTGTTGGTTTTGTTGATGGCTTGTTTAAGGGATTATTGAAGAATGAAAACACTCGCTGGAACAATCTGGCCCTCCCTCCCCATTTTATTCAGAAAACAACAAGAAAAAAAATCTTTAGAGAAAAATGTTCTGTCTCCCCATTTTTTCCCACTTGTCCATTACCTCTCACCACTGCAATTTCTCTCTCTGCTTCCCTTTGATCCCCATGCCAGTTCACTCTGTTTAGTCATTCATTCACTCACTCATTCATTCAATCAATCAGTCAACCAGTTGGTCAGTCAACAGACATATCTCAGGCACACGTGCCAGGCATTAGTATCTATGGGTGGAGGCTGTTAAGTAAGCTGATTTTCATTTTCATTTAGTCTCAGAGTTTCCGAACAGTTCATTTCACTCCCAAAAGGAGTGCACTTGCAGTCTTCTCTCGGGGAAAATGTCTGATTATCTGAGCCAGCAAAGGCAGCTGGGATGCCCTGGAGGTTTCCTGCATCCTGCCGGGCTTGGCCAAGATGACACCAGGGGCTCTCGCCGATGCTGAGATTCCATGGTTTTGTTGTTATAATTTTTAACGTAATTGAATAGACACGAAGGAAGGACTGTGGTCCCTAAATTAGATTTTCCCCCTTAACTCCCAAGTGATCAATTCCAGTAAAGTCAAGGCCAGACAGGCTCCCTGACTCACGACTCACGCTGAGCTCTGCCTTCTCTCCAGTGTTTGACTACCTGAGAGCTGTCTAGATTGAGCTGAAGGAATTCAGAAAAGGGCAGTATGAATTCTTCAGCGTGGAGGCCGACTTTGTGGAGAGGAGGCAGGGCCTATGTCGATGCTGCTCGCTCTATTTTCAGGGCTTGGCACCATTCATCCTCAAAAAGGCTACGGGTCCTCACTCAGAATTAAAGGTAATGATTAAAAATTACGGGCAGGACAGGCCAGGTGCGGTGGCTCACGCCTCTAAGCACTATGGGAGGCCGAGGTGGGCAGATCACGAGGTCAGGAGTTCGAGACTAGCCTGGCCAATATAGTGACACCCCATCTGTATTAAAAATACAAAAATTAGCCGGGCGTGGTGGTGTGCTCCTGTAGTCCCAGCTACTTGGGAGGCCGAGGCAGAAGAATCACTTGAACCCGGGAGGCAGAGGTTGCAATGAGCCGAGATCATGCCACTGCACTCTAGCCTGGAGGACAGAGCGAGACTCCATCTCAAAAAAAAAAAAAAAAAAAAATTATGGACAGGACAAAAAGGCAGAAATCAAGCACAAGGCTAGTTTCTCATCGGAGATCCTGCAGCCTCGCTGAGTCACACCAGGCAGAAGGAAGCAGAGTTTCACTTCAGGCCACATCGGTTCGCTCTAACAGGCAGGTTTTGGCATCCCCACGAGGCGTGTCTGCACTCTGGGAACCTGCGAGAGTAAGCTCCATGCTGGCTACCCTGATAATGTGAACCCTCTGCCTGCTGCCCCAGCTGCACTGGTTGCTGGGGAAAGCCTGCGTTTTGGGTGTGCCTAGGGCCAGGGCTCAGACCATTATCTCCCTGCAGCCTTGCATGCCTTCCCTTGCCTGGCTACCATTCTCATCAGAAAAAGCAGGATTCTTGCTTTAAGTCCTGGTGATTTACATGGAGAATAATAAGTTCTGGTTTAATCATCCCTCCAAAGATGAAGAAATTCTCCACCGAGCCCACTCTTCTCTTGACTTCTGTTCAGAAATCAAGTATTAATATAAATCGAAGCTCTCTCCTTCCTCCCATGCCAGAGGCTGTTCTGCAAAGCTGCCATTCATAGGGAGAACTGGCGATGAAGTGTCTGTCAAAAGGACTGTTTTTACAATTGGGACCTGCCTGTAGTGGTGATGAGGTAATTTCTTCTTAAGCTTCTGGTATCCAAGGAGAGAAAAAAGAACAGCAAAACAAGCTCTGTTAATAAAGGTGTGAGAGTCTTTGGGTGTTTGCTGTTATTAAAGAGACCTTAAGGAAGGCTGCTTCTGAGCTAAAAGCAAACTTTTGTCAAAGGTTCATTTTAGAAGGTTCAAAAGACACCAGAGAGAGAGAGAACAAGAGGCAGGAAGAGGCAGGCACAGAGAGAGGGGATGAGAGGAAGAGAGGGAGCGGGCAGGAGAGCCACGCTGTGCTGGGAGTCACACATGCGGGCTTGGGCAGTTTGATCACTGGAAAAATGTTTTCTGTTAAGGGTTGGTGCAATGGAAGAGAGAAATCTCTCGATTTTTTTTTTTAGGATGTGCTTTTGCTGCTGCTGCTCTGTCCGCCTAGAATGCTCTTTTCTGCCCATCTTTAACCCATCTTTTCTAAATGGCTCAGTTCAAATGGCCCCTCCTCTGTGAAGCCTTCTTTGATATCCCCAGTGAGATACATAATTGTTTCACCTTCTGTAAGTCAATAGTAGTTTTTTTCTTTAAAATTTTTGTATTTATTTTTATTTTATTTAATTAATTAATTTATTTTTGACACAGAATTTTGCTCTTGTCCTCCAGGCTGGAGCGCAATGGTGCGATCTTGGCTCACTGCAACCTCTGCCTCCCAGGTTCAAGCAATTGTACCTGCTTCAGCCTCTCCAGTAGCTGGGATTACAGGCATCTGCCACCACACCCAGCTAATTTTTGTATTTTTTTTTAGCAGGGATGGGGTTTCACCATGTTGGCCAGGCTGGTCTCGAACTCCTGACCTTGGGTGATCCACCAGCCTCGGCCTCCCAAAGTTCTGGGATTATAGGCATGAGCCACCGCGCCTGGCCTATTTTTATTTTTTGAGACAGAGTCTCTCTCTGTCACCCAGGCTGGAGTGCAGTGGCATGATCTTGGCTCACTGCAACCTCCACCTCCCAGGCTCAAGAGATTCTCACGCCTCAGCCTCCTGAGTAGCTGGGACTATAGGCATGTGCCACCATACCTGGCTAATTTTTGTATTTTTAGTAGAGACAGGGTTTCACCATGTTGGCCAGGCTGGTCTTGAACTCCTGACCTCAAGTGATCCACCCGCCTCAGCCTCCAAAAGTGCTGAGATTACAGGCATGAGCCACCATGCCCGGCCCAAAATTTTTATTTTTAATTGTGGTAGAATACACATAAGATAAAATTTACCATCTTCAATGTTTCTATGTGTACATTTCAGCAGTGTTAAGTGTATCCACATTGTTGTGCAACCACCCTCCAGAACTTTCTCATCTTGCAAAACTGAAACTTTATCCATTAAAAAACAACTCTCTATTTCCCAATCCCCTCAGTCCCTGCAACTACCATGTTATTTTCTGTCTCTTAACTACTGTAGGTACCCGGTAAGTGAAGTCATACAATAGTAGTCTTTCTGTGACTGGTTTATTGCACTTCATATGATGTCCTCAAGGTTTACCCATGTTGTAGCATGCGTCAAAATTTCTTTCCTTTTCAAGGAATAGTAATTTAATTTAATTTTTAAATGGCATTTATAACATGCTGTCTTATTTTTAAGCTATGTGTGCATATTATATCTCCCCTGTGGAATTTGAAATTCTGAGTTTCTCTCCCTTTGGAGTCCCATTGTACCTACAGCCCAGTGCTTGGCAGAGAGTTTGTGCTAAAGAACATTAGTTGAGAGCATCAAAAGACCAATGCTACCTTATTGTCTTGAGTGGGCACTCCTAGACCTCTCTCTCCTTCCATACCATACCCCCAAAAGGCTCAACAGCAATGTTTTGTTTGTTTGTTTTCTTACAGACAGGGTCTTACTCTGTCACCCGGGCTGTAAAGTAGTGGCATGATCATAGCTCATGGCAACCTTGAACTGTTGGGCTCAAGCAATCCTCCTACCTCAGCCTCCCGAAGTGCTGGGACTACAGGTGTGCACCACCACACCCAGCTAATTTTTAAAGTTTTTTGAGAGATAGGGTCTTGCTATGTTGCCCAGACTGGTCTCAAACTCCTGGTCTCAAGCAATCTTCCTGCCTCAGCCTCCCTAAGTGCTTGGATTATAGGCATGAGCCACCATGCCTGGCATCTAGGGCAATTCAACCTAGTCCATGTTGTCAAGGGGAGATGAGCACAAAGGGATTGGTATCAGCAATTTTAGGCTTGTCTTAGCCTTGAACGAGGCCCTCATCTTCTCCTGGCTTGAGCCTCTGCTTCCTTTTGGGAAACACATTTGAAACACCTTTCCTGAAACAGAAAAGCTGACCCAATCTTAAAAGAACAGAAGGCCAGGACAGAAAGAGTGAGGAGTGCAGGAGACAAGTCATGCAAGAATGGAAGCTAGTATTTAGATTTTTTATCCTGTTAACTTTCTGGATGTGTGTGTCATCCTTGTTAGTAGGCATCTTCTGATAAAGGTGGGGTTGGTAATGGGGTGGGGGTCAGGGGACTGTGGAAGTCTTGCTATTAATCATACTAAGCATCTTTTCTCACCTTCTTCCCCCAAGTCGTCCCTGTGGAAGATTTGCCTATTATGCAACTCAGGAACAATAAGGGAAGCCTGGCTAAAATTTGGCTTAGAATCTTGGAGAACTAACTGTAACTTTATGCTTGGTCTGTAATAGCTATTTTTGGAGTTACTTTAGTTAGCTTGGCTCCTAACCCTGCCCTTTCCCTTTGTTCTCCTACAGCCATTTGTAAGAGAGGATCATGGAATGAATACGGGCATTGAGTCAAGCAGTCTGTGTTCCACTGGCGGTGTGACCTGGGGCAGGCCATTTCACCTCACTGAGCCTTAGTTTCCTCACCTGTAAAATGTGAAAAATATCACCTTCCTTACCAGGCTTTTCTGAGGATTTAATGACATCATGTTCAGTGCCCAGTATGGGTGGATAATACCCAGGAGTTTCCTCCTCTTCTCCTCCTAAGTTGACTTGATGCCCCCCGCTGAAGATCATGGCTGAACTGGCTCAATTCGGATCCAGGACTCCTGGCTTTGTCTCTTCCCTAGTTGCCCACCACACCCATGGACACCCTTAGGTAGTTTATCCTTTTGGGACAACTGGATTTATTAGAAAAGGGTATTCTGGGGTGGAATAAGGCCCTTTTCAGTCCCCATGGAGCCTTTTTGGAAGATGAAGTTCTCAAACCCACAAGAGAATTCATAAGACGAGCACACCACCCACAGTTAGGTTTCCCTCTCAAGTGCTTTATCTCCACGTGGGGCAAATAGCTCTTTGTCTGCATATGTTATTGGAGCTTTTGGAGTCCAGCCTTCAGAAGAGCTCTAATTTTTGGATTCATATCAGTTTATTAGAGAAGCCTAGTTCTAAGGATTAGCAAATGGGTAGGTGCTCAGCCAGCCCAGAACAAGCAGAGCCATGACAGAAGTTTCTGGAATCTCACAGAGTCGGTGTCTTCATGGACTCAGGGGGCCTAAATCCAATAGCCTGGATTTGTCACTTTCCCTTATTCCCTTATCAAACTCTTCCCTTTTGGACATCAGAGAAGGAAAGTACTTCCTGTAAGGGGGCAATTTGCAAAGCTTCATGGAAGTGGCATTTGAGTGTGGCCTTAAAGGATGTGTAGGATTGGGAACCATAGATATTTAGAGGAAGGCATTCCTGGCAGAAGGAACAGCAGCAAAACACAGAAGTGGAAATTAGTAGCAGCATTAATGGAGAATAATTTGGGGAATAAGATATACAAATGGAATAATAAAAATAGCATTAATTAAACATTGTGGGAGTCATTCTGTAAGATGGCCCCTGGTGATCTCCGCCTCCTGTTCTTCATGCCTTATGTAACCGCTCTCCTTGAGTGTGGTCTGGAATTACTGACTCACTTTCAATGCACAGAATGTATCAGAAGTAATGGGATATTCCTTCTGAGAATAGATTATAAAAAAAGAGTGTGGCTTCCTTCCTGGCATTTTCGCTTGCTCTCTCTTTAATTGTGTGCTCCAAACAAAGCCAGCTGCCATGTTGTGAGGAAGCCCTGTGTGGAGGACCACATGGTGAGGACGGAGGCCTGCCAACAACCACATGGTGAGCTTAGACGCACCCCTCCCCAGTTCCAGCCAAGCCTTCAAATGGGACCACTTGACCAACTGCTTGACTACAGTCTCATGAGAGACTTTGAAGCAGAAGCTAAGCTCTGTCCAGATACCTGACCCATACAAATAATGTGAGATAACTGCTTGTTGCTTAAATCACCAAGTTTGGGGATAACTTGTTTGCAGCAATAGATAACTAACATAAACACTTACTATAATGTGCCAGACACTGTGATAGGTCCTTCATAGATCTGATATTTAATCAACAATATTAGGTGGGTATTATTATCCCTTTTTTTTTTCAATTGAGAAAACTAAGGTTTAGGCATCTGCCTAATTCCTGTTACTATCTAGTAAGTGAAGGATCTGGATACGAACGTAGGTCGTCTTATTCCTGGGTATATGCCCTTAACATGGACTCTCTACATTCTACAAGCAGTGCCCATGGTTACAGTTTGGTCCACTCCTGCTGCCCCCTGTGTTGCCCCGCCCCACCTTCCCTGAAGTCTGAAGCCACCCAGCCCTCATGTCTCAGCAGGGCCTGGAAGGAGCCCTGGGGATTCCTCTTAAGTGTTTTGAGCAGAGTCTCACTCTCCATGCTCAGCTGCCTCAGCCAGGCTGTGCCACCTACATCCAGCTCCATCCCTCCGTGGACAGCTGTGGCCTGGCCCCTAGGAACATAGCCTCTTGTCCTTGCCTCCTTGCCACCCCTTACCCTTGGCACTTTCTGGGGTCTTAGAAGCCCTGGATAGTGGTGTAACCCTCGGGTGGGGTAACGGTACCCTTTCTCTGACCCTGGGCTGGAGGTTACTTCCTTGGAGGCCATATCATCTCTTTTAGGACCCCCAAAATACAAATTTTCCATGGATTTATATCATGGGGCTAGGGGAACCCAGAGGGTCCTGCTCCCACTCTAGGGGACAGAGAACCCTAACCCTGTGGGTCCCTCCCTGGTCTGCCCAGCCTTACTCTTCTTCCTCCACAGTTTCACTGGATAGTGGTTTGTTTCAGGGCATTCCCGGGAGACTTAAGCTTGCCACTGCCCCTCAGTCATGTGAGAGATCCCCTCCTTGGGCCTTTGCAGGGAGGCAGGGGTGGAGATGTATGGGATGCTACGTGCTCAGTCCTGGGAGACCGTGGAATTCCTTCAGATCACAATATCTATTGGCAATGTCATCAAGACCTTTGGCACATTGGCTGAGTCTCAAGAGGTCTATAAATGAATGATTATATCTGGCTAATATTAAAAACAAAGAAACATACTAATTAAACCGAACCTGAAGAGTTAGAACTGACCCTTCCATCTCTGTTCTCTGTTAACCCTTGGCAGGAATGAGCAGTGCCCTATGGCACAGAATGAGCTTACAATGGGCAGATCAAGGTCCCAAGGCAAGCTTTCCCTGGTGGCAGGAGAACTGGGCACTTGTCCCGGCTCCACCACCTGCTGTCTGGATAATCCTAGGAGGTTCACCTCACTCTCTGAACCTGCTTCCTTTTATATTAAACAGGAGGCTGGAGCAAGTCACCGCCAAGGTCCTTCTAATCTCGACTCTGCGGTTTTATGGGACTTTGTTTAATAATTGTTTCTAGGGCTGGCCGATGAGCAGGGTACTCCCCTTTCTGTTCTGTGATCCTCTCCTCTGCTCACGGGCTCCCCGATCCCTCTGCCTCTACCAGAACCAATGTTGCTTTATCTGAGCCACGGTTTCACATTGAAGTGCTCTGTGAGTCAGAGGCTGAAGCACTCAAGGCCCAGCAACAAAGTCTTGGGTAAAGGAGCAACATCTTCTGCTTTCCCGGATCATTCTCAACAAGCCAGGTGTTTTCTTTCAGAGGCACACACAATGTACCAGTCTCTAAACACCTGCAACAGCCCTCCTAACGCCCACTGGGAAGTGGGGAAAGGTGTGGCACAGTGACTGACCTTTAGCCAGCTCCCTCCTTCTAGGAATCAGGTGCCATGCTGGGGACGATCCTATGTGTAGACTCCATTTTATAGAGATGGGAAGTCAGAAAATGCTAGAATCAAGACTTAAAACTCAGCTTTTTGATTCTCAAGTTCATGAGAGCAGACATTATTTCATTAATTCACTCCATACATGTTTATTAAAGGAGTCTCAATGGATAATCTGAGTTGGCTTCAGGGTGGTTTATGAAGCAGAGAAGTAAAATGCTTTACTAAGTCACATGGCTAGAGAATGCATTTAACTTGCATTATACATTTAGACACCTTTCTCTGGTAGGACTGACTCAGAGCCCATTTAAAATAAATTCAAGGCCGGGTGTGGTAGCTCATGCCTGTAATCCTAGCACTTTGAGAGGCCAAGGCAGGAAGATAGCTCGAGTCCAGGAGTTTGAGACTAGCCTGGACAACACAGTGAGACCCCCGTCTACAAAACAACAAAATAAAATAAAATTAGCTGGGTGTTGTGGCATGCACCTGTGGTCCCAGCTACTCAGGGGGCTGAGGCAGGAAGATCTCATGAGTCTGGGAGGTCGAAGCTGCAGTGAGCCTTGATTGCAACACTGCACTCCAGCCTGGGCAACAGAGCAAAACCCATTTTGAAAAATCAAAAATAAAAATAATAAAATAAATTCAAGAAAATGACAGTTGGGCTCCTCTGTCTTCGTCTGGTTTCTAACAGGACTTCTCCTATTCCAATGGATGTTCTTTGGCCTCCAAAACAGCAGCCCCACCTGGTATTGAAGGGCCGGTGTGTAAACAACCTTCCTTCTATCTTATCCTGGCTGGGTTTATCAGATTTGACTCACTCCCTGGAGCCCCTTGCAAGGACTGGGCTGGGATTGCAGGGCTGAGCAGGAACCGGCTTCTCTAGCCTCTTCAGGGAAGGGCCTTCTAAACTCCACTCTGCCCCATACCCTCCAGCTAGAAACCCAGCCTCCTGCCTTTGGGGAATATAGCCCCAGTAAGGGCTCAGTGTCTTTTCCACAAGCTCTTTTCCTATGGCCTTTAGGGGCACATGACTTTGAGGAAACCAGACAGCTGGGGGGGACATGAGAATCAGGGCCAGTGCTTGCAGGAAAGAAAGCAAACGCTCTGAATGTGAGCCAGATGGCAGGTCCCCCACACAAGGCAGGGGGCTCAAGAACACTTCCTTTCATGCTAGCAGTACTAGCTGCTCCCACCTTTGTGAAATGCATTTTTGAAAGCAGAACAAATGATCATTTAATTTGAGAAGCCCACACCTCTTAATACTCATAGTATTTTCACCATCATCCTGGCCCCTGGTCAGCTGGAAGAGCAGCAGGGGAGGGGAAGCATCACTTTGGTTTCTACCTCCCAGCTGGGGCAGGTGCAAGGCAGCGCACTCCATCAGCTCCTTGCCCAGAAGGGCAAAATGATGTCTCCTTTCTCCCTCTCTTCCTCTTTCCCTCTCTCCCTCCCTCCTTCCTTCCCTCTTTCCTTTCCTCCCTTCCAACATTTTTTGAGTGAGGATCTTCTGCCAGACATTGTGCAAAATTCGGGGAATCCAAGGTACAGAGAGGAGGCCTGGCTCTGCCCTCCTGGCCCTTCCAGTCCAGTGGGGAGGAGAGGCCTCTTGCCAAGACATGGCAGCTGTGAGGAATGCTACAAAGAGTTTCTGGGTCCTGCGGGGTGGAGTGACTGGAGTGACTGAAGTTACCCGCCTGGGTGGGGTGGGAACAGGACAGGCTGTCCTGGAAAAGTGATGTTTGGGCTGATACCAGAAGGGGCAAACGCGGGATGGAAGTGACGGCATCCCAGGTAGAGGAGAGGGCCTGGGCAATGGCTGTGAGGGAGAGCTCAGGAAATGGGAAGGCCACCAGTGTGGCCCAGGGCAGAGAGGTCAGGGGACCAGGCAGGAGACAGGATGTGGGGGGAGGCCAGTGCAGAGCACCTGGGCCACAGCCACGGGTCAAGTTCGTGTTTATGCTGGGAGCCTGGGGAAGCCGGCGAGAGACTGGAGTAGGAGTGGCCTTCAGGTCTTGGGGCGCCCAGTACAGTGCAAGTGATGGGCTGGGGCCCCTCCGCCCTCCTTGTCAAGCAGTGTCCACGGATAAGGGCGTCCCGGGGCGGGGGGGGGACGTGGGCGAGGAGATGGTGGAGCTGGGGGAAGGGACAGGGACAGAAGGCAGAAGAGTCACCCTCAGCGTCACCTTCTCTCCCCTCCCTACTCCGGAGGCCAAGCGCCCCAGCGGGAGGCTTCCCTGCCCGCCTCGGCCTCGCTTACACCGCAGGTGCTGTGAGTCACCCACCTGCGTGGTGAGTCAGGGGAGGAGGCCGAGAAGGCAGGTGGGCGGCGCGGCAGGGCGCCGGGCTTCGCGGGGAGGGGAGCGCTGTCTCCCCACGCGCCCCTCCCCCACGAGCGGCTTCCAGAAACCCGTTTGCCCATCCCCGGCAGGAGGCCTCCGCCCGGCTTCTCGCTCCCTCTTCCCTCTCCCCGACCCCCTCCCGGGCTGTCAGCCGACTGCCACCGTCACCATGGCTACGCGGCTCCCGCTCAGTTCCACAGTCAGCAGGAGTCGAGCAGGGGAGGCGGCTGTCTCCTTGGTCTTCCTGCTGCACCGGGTTCTTTGAAAATCAGCTCCTGACTGCATGTTGCGGATTCCAGGCCCAGCCCCCTTACCTGGAAGGCTCACCTTGAAAGACGGCAGGATGAGACCAGGAAACGGGGCCACAGGCATACCAAGGAAGCTTATTTTGCCTGGCTTCCCTTTTTAAGCACGGATGCATACCGGTGTGTTGGACATGACTGATGAACCAAGATTTGAGGAAGGCCACCCACTGAGTGACTGGAGGTAGACGTGGAAGGCTTTGGTTGCCATAGGCAACTTGGGGCCAGAAAGACCTGGATTCAAATTCTGGCACTTATCAAAGGGATAAAGTGGGACAAACAATTTTACCTTGCTGGGCCTCAGTCTCCTCATCTGTAAAATACGGATAATCCCCCCTTGGTAGATTGGGATGAGGATTAAAGATAATGCATGCAAAATATTTGGCACGTAGCAGGTGCTACCAAATGCTTATTGTTGTTGTTATTACGGAGTTCAGAGCCCTTTGAGATGCTCCACAAGTGTTTGCTGATTTGAGGGTGGCACAAAAGGCAGTTTTCCCCAACACCAATTGAAAGACTCCTTGGAGTGTGAATTTCAAGATGGTGGGGTACAGCAATTTCTACCCTCTCGTCGAAAGTCTCATCTCTGCTGGGAGACTGTGTGACCCAGAACCACAGTATAGGAAGATGGTGGAAGGTGAAGGCATGAGCAGAGAAGAAGGGAGGTCCAAGCTGAGTGCCTAGGAACAGGGGTGGCCTACATCAGAGAGGCCAGTTGCTATGGCCCATAGAACCTTGCTAGGTCTCAAGGACTGGGGCATTAGCTGCTGTGGAAGGGAGTAAGGTGAACACAGAGGCATTATTTAGAAGTGTTTACAAGTATTTACAACAGGCAGACAGACTTGCAGGTCTCAAGCCCTACCCACTTCTGCAGGAGAGGAAGTTTATTTTCTAGAGAAATTGGACCAGAGACTTCGTGCTAATAATACCAGGTTCAGAGGGAGGCTGCGATGGGGTGAGTTTGCACAATGAGTGAGTGCTTCCCTGACCTAGCCTTAGAACAACAGGGGCAGGAGATTGAAGGATTTCTTTTCTGCAAAAACCGGACCCACTTAAAAAAAAAAAAAAAAAAGACTTACATACATTGACATTTTAAAAAATGTTTTATTGTGGGTACATAGCAGGTGTATATATATATATATATATATATAGAGAGAGAGAGAGAGAGAGAGAGAGAGAGAGAGAGAGAGAGACATTTGGAGGCTCCTAGCAAAAATGCCCATTATCTATCTGATCACCCTGGAATAAAATACTATCCACGTACACAGAACTTCCAATCAGCTCTCAGCACTTCCAATCAGCTCTCAGCTCTTCAGGGCCTCCTTAAATTTGAGGGGCAGTCAGGGGTCATCACTGAAGAAACTGTCCAATATCACAGAGAATAAAATAATCAAACAGAAAAACAAAAGCATCTAATGAAGGCAGCAGAACAATGAAAAAGCAGGAGAAGCTGAAGATAAATTATAATTAATATCTTTAGAGGTATAAGGGAAGATGTTATATCCACAGGATGTGGTGAAAAAGGAACAAGCAGGGCAAGAAGGAGTTCCAGGAAGTTAAAAATATGAGATCTAAAATTTCAAAAATTCTATAGCAGTGTTGGAAGATAAAGTTAAGGAAATTTCCCTGAAAGTAAAGCAAAGAAGGGCAATAGGAGAAAAAAAGATAAGAAATCACAAGAGCAATTCAGGAGGTTCAATATCCAATAGGTAGTTTTAGAAAGACAGAACAGACAACATGGTGGTAAGAAAATTATTTAGAAAAAAATACCAAAAAAAAAAAAAAAAAAGCCGTAGAAGAACACAAATCTTCAACTGAAATGCTCCAAATGCCCAAGGTAATAGCTGACAACAGCCCCGTACCAAGATACACTGTTGGGATATTGCAGAACTAGAGATGGAAAGAAGATCATAAGAATTTTCAAAAAGAGAACTAAAACGCTTACATAGAAAGGATCAAGAATTGGAATGACACTGGACTTCCCGATAGCAACATGGGAAGCTAGAGTACATCAGAAAAATGCCTGCAATATCCCTAGGGATATTTATTTTTGGCCTAAAATTCTATTTCAGCCACACTATCAATCAAATATGATTGATAGTATCAGTCATTGCCAATCCATAAAGACATTTGCAAAATACAAAAAAAATTAAATGCAAAATACAAAAACATTTATATCCAGCGTATCCTTTATTGGGAAGCTACTGGAAGATGCTCTACCACGAAAAAAGAAGGCTTCTAATCTTTTTGTTTGTTTGTTTTGTTTTTTGAAACAGAGTCTAGCTCTGTCGCCAGGCTGGAGTACAGTGGCATGATCTTGGCTCACTGCAACCTCCGCCTTCCTGGTTCAAGGGATTCTCCTGCCTCAGCCTCCCGAGTAGGTGGGACTACAGGTGCCCGCCACCACGCTGGGCTAATTATTTGTATTTTTAGTAAAGATGGGGTTTCACCATGTTGGCCAGTCTGGTCTTAAACTCCTGACCTCATGTGATCCGCCCATCTTGGCCTCCCAAGATGCTGGGATTACCGGCCTGAGCCACCTCACCTGGCCAGAAGGCTTCTAATCTAACAAAGGGGAGAGGCACAGGGAGGTTCCAAGATGAAGCTATGGACAGGCCCTGGGACCAGCCGGTCCAGGTCAGCAGAGTGTTGCAGGGCTCTGGGAAGAATTTCTCCAGGGAAACAATGGAATGATTGTAGCCAGGTTTGAGATGTCAAAAATTGTATAAAGTGTTGATTTGCAGACTTCTCAGAAATATGGAAAGACTCAGATGTTTAGAGAAAACAAAGCAAAAGAAAAATGTGAAGGAATTATCAACTCCAGGAAGAAGAAAATGTGGAGAAAAAGAAATGTACTATCATTTCACTACTTGGCTCAGCAGTGAACAATGTTTACTTTACATTATCATAATAATGAAAATGCTACATGTAGATTTAACAAAAAATTGATACACAATTGGAAAGAAAGAAAGTGAAGGAAGGGGAGGAGTAAGTCATCTAAAACATTCACTTACTATAGTGGGAAATAAGTGAATCAAGAGAGAGGAGTATTTGCCTGCTATCTAAAAATATAAATGTAAATATATATATAAAAATCTATGAATGTTGCTTCTGGGGAACAAAAGGAAGATGGGGTAGGAAGGTAGTCAAGGGACTTCTACATGTATTTTGTTCTTAATTTTTTTATTTTTTGAGACGGAGTCTCGCTCTGTCGCCCAGGCTGGAGTGCAGTGGCGCAATCTCGGCTCACTGCAACCTCTGCCCCCTGGGTTCAAGAAATTCTCCTGCCTCACTCAGCCTCCCTAGTAGCTGGGACTACAGGCATGCACTACCACTCCCAGCTAATCTTTGTATTTTTAGTAGAGAGGGGGTTTTGCCATGTTGGCAAAGCTGGTCTCAAATTCCTGATCTCAAGTGATCTGCCTACCATGGCCTCCCAAATTGCTGAGATTACAGGTGTGAGGCACCACGCCCTGCCAATTTTTTTTTTTTTTTTTTGAGATGAAGTCTCGCTCTGTTGCCCAGGCTGGAGTGCCATGATGTGATCTCGGCTCACTGCAAGCTCCGCCTCCCGGGTTCATGCCATTCTCCTGCCTCAACCTCCCGAGTAGCTGTGACTAAGGCGCCCGCCACCAAGCCCGGCTAATTTTTTTGTATTTTTTAGTAGAGATGGGGTTTCACCATGTTAGCCAGGATGGTCTTGATCTCCTGACCTCGTGATCCGCCTGCCTCGGCCTCCCAAAGTGTTGGAATTACAGGTGTGAGCCACCGTGCCTAGTCCCTGCCAGTATTTTCATAGAATATAAATAAAAATTAAACATCCAGTTAAGGCAAGAAGGCTGGACCTGCATTGGTCAAATGATGGCTTTACCTCCCCAGTACACCTCTGGGGTGATTTTCAAATTCCTCAATCATCAAGTCAGCAAATACAAAGTGACAGACATGTGCATGCCAATAGGAGAATTTCTGGAACTGGGACTGCCATTCCTCCTGGGAAAATGCCAACAATAACAACTAGCAATGGCTACCACAGGTTTTCAAGGCACCCTGGCAAGTTAGACACCATGCTATTCCCTATTTTCAAAAGCAAACACCAAGACATAGACAGATTCAGGATTTCATAGACGTCTCTGATGTAGTAGGTGGTAGAGGCAGGACCTAATACCAGGTCCTCCATGGCAGATTATCTTTTCAAAGATGGACCCATCCCTCATGCTCTTCTCCTACCCCTTCATCAAAAAGTGGAGTCTGTTTCTCCACCCCCTGGAATCCGGGAAGTTCTCATGACAGCATTGACCAATACAACAGAGTAGCAGTGATGCCGGGGACTTCTAAGGCAAGTTATCAGAAGCCTTGCAGTTCTTGCTTTGTTCTTGTGGAATGTTCCCCCAGAACATTGTCTTTTGGAAATGAGCTGCTATCCTGGGAGAAGCCAAAGCCATGTGTAGAGGCCATATGGGCACTCCAATCTACATTCCTGCTGGGCCAGGGTCCACTGCCAACCACATAAGAAAGTGGCCATCTTGGACACTCACCCCAGCTGAGCCTTTGGCTCACTCCAGCCTCAGTCACTGACTAAACTACATGTGAGACCCCAAGTGGAGTCACCCAGTTCAGCTGCCCACCCACAGCACAGTGAGATGATAGGAAGATTGTTTGAAGCCACTGTGTTTCGGGGGATTTGTTATGCAGCAACAGATAACTAGAACATCATCTGACACCAAGGTCCATATTCTTTCCTGAACACCATCCTATAAGTGGTTCTCAGCAGACACATATGGGACAATTTTTATTTTGCAGAACTTCTCTGCACCCTGTAGGACTTCCAGCATTCCTTGTCCACAAATACAACGTCTCTTCCCCCATACCATTGTGATAGCTAAAAATGCCCTCATATTTTTCCAACGACTTCTAACGGTAACATCCCCAGGTGAAGTCTCTTAAGTAGACAAAACCACCTTGAGCTGGTTTAAAACTGAATTGAAAACCTCCAGGTGGAAAAGACAGAGGGTTTTGTTGTTGTTGTTGTTTGTTTGTTTTTTGAAGACAGGGTCTCACTCTGTCACCCAGGCTGGAGTGCAGTGGCACAATTACAGCTCACTGCAGCCTCTGCCTCCCAGGCTCAAGTGATCCTCCCACCTCAGGCTCCCTAGTAGCTGAGACCACAGGCATGCACCACCTCACCTATTTTTTTTGTATTTTTTGTAGAGATGGAGTTTCACTGTATTGCCCAGGCTAATTGCAAACCTCTGGGCTCAAGTGATCCTCCCACCTTGGCCTCCCAATGTGCTGGGATTACAGGCATTAACCGTGGAGCCTGGCCAACAGAGAGGTTCTGTTAGCAGGGAAGGATAGAAAGGAAAAGCATGTAGGGTATAGTTACCAAAGTTCGACTGCAGGGCATCTCCCTGCCCTCCCCCTGAGATCTAAATTGCTGGTTGAAACCTCTTTGGCTCTCCTCTCTCTAAGCCTGGTGGAAACTGTTGTAACTATGCCCATGGGGGGAAAGGGTGTTGATGTGGGAGGAAGCTGGGAGATCATCTAGTCTAACCCCCTAACTTCACTGAGCCAGAGAGGGGATGTGCCAGGACCCCCCAGTGCAAGTCCCACATTCTTTCCACCACTTCAACAAGGAAACAACTGTGATTGAGGTTATTTAGGTGGCAAATGGACACATTTACCTTTGGCATGCAGGATACAGTTGTCCACGTTGGCCTAGCATGATTGCTGGTTGTGTGAGTTTGCTAGGGCTGCCATAACAATGTACCACACACTGAGTGGCTTAAACAACAGAGATGTATTGTCTCTCAGTTCTGGAGGCTAGGAGTTCATGATCAAGGTGTCAGCAGGGTTGGTTCTTTCTGAGGACTGTGAGAAAGAACCTGTCCCATGCTTTCCCCTAGCTTCTGGTGGCTCACTGGCAATCTTTGCCATTTCTTGGCTAGTGGATCTCTGCCTTCATCTTCACATGATGTCCTCCCTGTGTTTGTCTATGTCCAAATGTCCTCTTTTTATAGAGATAGCACTCCTATTGGATTAGGGCTCACCCTGCCTCAGTACGACTTCATTTTTGTCTTAACTAAACTAATTGCATCTGCAAGGACTATTTTCCCTCCCTCCCTCCCTCCCTCCTCCCTCCCTCCCTCCCTCCCTCCCTTCCTTCCTTCCTTCCTTTTCTCTCTTTCTTTCTTCTTTCCTTCCTTTTCTTCAGGGTCTCACTCAGTCACCCAGGCTGAAGAGCAGTGGCGTGATCATGACTCACTGCAGCCTCAACCTCCTGGGCTCAAGCAATCCTCCTACCTCATCTTCCCGAGTAGCTGGGACTACAAGCACACACCACGACATCCAGCTAATTTTTTTATTTTCTATGTTTGTACAGTTGAGGTGTCCCTATGTTGCCTAGGCTGGGCTCGAACTTCTGGGCTCAAGCGATCCTCCCGCCTCAGTCTCCTAAAGTATTAAGATTACAGGCATGAGCCACCGCACCCGGCTGACTATTTTCTTTAAATAAAGTCTTATTCTGAAGCACTGGGGGTTAGAACTTCAGCATATAAATTTGGAGGGGGGGATACACAATTCAACTCATAACACTGATGTGATAAACTCAGGTGCTGTATGTTTCCCATGGGAAGTGTAACCTTGAAGATCTTCCATTTGCATCTTGCTTTGATTCTTGGCTTAAAACTCTGTGTGAAGCAGTGGATCTACCTGAAAAATTTTATTAGCCCAGGTGAGACCAGGAACCTGTCTCCTTTTTCCTGAGACGGCATGTTGCAGCCTGAGCTCTGCTATGGCAACTATAGAAAATCTTTGACGGGCCTCTAATCTGCTTCAGTAGACACACCTGTGTCAGCTGTGACCTACCTGTGAGTCATATTTTGCCTTCAGAAGGATCCCAAAGTGTATTAGCTGGCTGAAAACTACTAAAAAATGTAACCACCTGGGAGGATAATGCATCTTACAGCTTTAGAAGCACAAGGTATTTGTGGACAGACAATGGAATTCGAGAGAATATGGGAAAAGCTTGATGTCATTGCAAGTCCAGGGAGATGTATTCAGTCATTTATTTATTCATACTTTTTTTTTAGCAAGTTCTTATTGAGCACTCAAGATGAGCTAGACACTGTGAAAATCTAGTGGGAAAGAAAACCATATGAGCGATTTCTAATTGTGGTAAATGATGCAAGGCAATTGACAGTCTGTGGTAATAAGGCACAATATGGATATTGAGTTTTAAAGGTGTTCCAGGAGCCCTCTGTAATGAGGCACCATTGAAGAGTTTAGAGATGCATTCCAGGTGGCAGGGCAGCTTGTGTGCCGGCCCTGAGTTGGGGATGAACTTGGTGTGTTTAAGGAAAAAGCAAATATTCAATGGAGGAGGCAAAAGGTGAGTTGGAGAGCAAGGTGTGGGCATGGACGGGGAAATAGGATGTTATGGGATAGATGAAAAGCCCCTGAGGAATTTCAAGCAAGAGAGTGACATGATTTGACTTCTGTTTTGAAAACAATGTCTCCCCACCCATCAGAATGGCAAAGATTAAAGTTTGAAACACACAAAGATGTGGGAAACAGACTGACTCATCTATTGCTGTGGAAGTATAAACTGATACTGACCCTAAGGGGAGAAATGTGGCAGTATTTATCAGAATAAAAAATGCACATACCCTTAGACCCAGCAACTTTTCTTTCATGAATTTATCCTGCATGTGTATGTTTTAAAATCAATATATGGAAGGTTACTCATTGCAACATTGTGTATAACTACAAAAGATTGGAAAAGACCTAAATATCAATGAAGGACTAAATCTAACAATATCAACCAATGAGGATTTGGATAAACATACATTGTTTATCCACACAACGTGCTGCTGTGCAGCTGTAGGGATTGAGTGAGTTCTTTATGTACTGATACTAGTCAGTCTCTGAGATATACATATAGTCAATTTTTAAAACCACTTGTATAGCGTATATATCATTTGTATAAGTATAGGATGTGTGAGTTTGCTTGTGTGTCTACTGGGTCCTCGAAGAAGCAGACACTGGGTTGGAATTAGAAATGCAAAAGATTTATTGGGGGAAATGACCATGCAGGAAACAGGGGAGAGGGGGCAAGCAGTAGGGCAGGAAGAGCTGTTAAATCCCAAGGCTGGTCTGAAGCCTGGAAAAGGATTGGGAGAAGGAAGGAGGATGGGGTAGGAAGAGCCTCAGACTGCAGTGCAGCTCTAGAGAAGATCTCAGCCATAGAGCCAAGAGTACCATTAAAAGAGCCTTGTGTCAGGCAGAACTGGCCCTGCTCAAGGCCTTCCGCTGGGTTGTCATTGGCTGGGAGAAACCTGGGGAGAATGTGGCCTCAGTATGACCACTGTGGTGGGTTCCTAAGTGCAGCAGCCAGAGGCTGTCAGCTGACACTCCTCACTGTAGGTTCTCTGTTGAAGACAAGTCTGTGCTACCCCTCCATGGCTGCCACAGATTTATATGCACGGAGCCCCTCAGGAAGGATGTAAGGTACAACACTACATACCAACTACTCCGGAAGAGAGGAACTGGGTGGCCGGACCACAGAAGTGGGAGGCGGACTTTTCACCATGTCCTCCTCCCCACTATTTGAATTTTTTTTCAACATTTAATTGAGTGGCATTTAGTGTGTTCACAATGTCATGCAACCACCACCTCTGTCAGTTCCAAAACCTTTTCATCACCTCAAAATGAAACCCTATACCCACCAAGCAATGACTCCCCATTCCCTCTTCTCCCTCCCTCCCTCAAATGCTGGCAACCACCAATCTGCTTTCCATTTCTGTGGATTTGCCTATTCTGGGTATTTCATATAAATGGAATCATACAATACCTCACCTGTTTCATCCGGCCTCTTTCACTTAGCATAATGCTTTCAGGGTTCATTCATATTGTAGCATATATTGGTACTTCATTTCTTTTTATGGCTGAATAATATTCCACTGTATGAATACATCCCAATTTGTGCATCCATTAATTCATTGATGGACATCTAAGCTATTTCCACCTTATGGCTATGTGGATTAGCGCTGCTAGGAATATGCATGTCTGTGTATTTGTTTGAATACTCACTTTCAATTCCTTTGGCTATATACCTAGAAGTGGAATTGCTGGATCATATGGTAATTTCATGCTTAACTTTTAGAGGAAATGCTGAACTATTTTCCAAAGCGGCTGCATTGTTCTACACTCCTATCAAGGTTCCGATTTCTCCACATCCTCACCAACACTTGCTATTTGTTGTTTGGTTTTTGGATAGTGGACGTCCTAATGGGTAGGAGATGGTATCTCATGGTTCTGAGTTGCATTTCCCTTATGATTAGTGGCCTTGAGCATCTTTTCCTATGCTTATTGTACATTCGTATGTCTTCTTTGGAGAAATGTCTATTCGGGTCTTTTGCCCATTTTTTTTAGTTGGCTTGCTTGTCTTTTTGTTGTCAGAGTTCTCTATATAATCTGGATACTAGGCCCTTATCACTATTTGAATTTTATTCCATGTAAATTTGTCACTGGCTCAAAAAGGAAATAAAATGTAAGATGCAAAAGAATAAAAAAGTCTTGGCTGTGGACAATAAGTGCGTATGGAAGCCAGGGGACTAGTCACTAAGCTATCTCAGTGTCCAGGCTGGAGACAGTGGTGGCTTAGGCATGGTGGGGACAGTGGGGATGGAGAGAATTGGGAAATGTGAGATGGGAATATGGTTTGGATGTAGGGGTGTGAAGAGAGAAAGGGAGGAATCAGGGTTCTTATTTGAACTTCTGGGTGGGGGTGCCATTTACCTAGAGGAGGGGCAGGCTCCGGACAGAGTGTAGGAGTAAGGAATGAAGGGCTTGGCTTTGGGCATGTTAGGTCTGAGGCGCCTGTGAGTCACCTAAGTTGTGAGGCTGCACGGGGAGTGTGATCTGTGAGTGTGCAGTTTAGATTTCCTGCTGATACTTTCCCCTCAAAATACTGCCAGTATCTGTAGAGGACAACTGGCCATTTCCAGGTGGGGAGAGGAGACAGACACGCTCCTGGGAGGCGAGAGAGGAGGAAAAAGGCCTGACGGCAGATCGCAGTTGATTCAAGTGTCCACCCGAGGGGGCTTAAGCCTGAGAATGACATGACATGGTTTGCATCATGGAAAGATCTCTCTGGTGGCAACAGGACAGACAAATGGGAGGGAGGTCAGAAGGAGGCACAGTGGGGAGTATGGGAGCAGAAGCAGCGCAGAGCCGGTGGCTGTGGAGATGAGGGTATGGCCTGGATATGGCTGGGATATGAGATGGGGAGGGGTCGGTGGGCTAGAGCCACTCCCAGCTTTCTGGCCCAAGTTTCTGTGCAGGCGATGGCACCAAGTCCCAAAAGCAAATGGAGGAGGAAGGGCAGGCTGTGTTGGAGGAGGAAGAAGGAAGCCAATCCTTAGGAAGCGTAAACCTGACTCTGTTCTCAGGGACAGGCCTGTTGTGGTGAGAATCTGTTTCTCATGCTGGCTCTCGTCACACCCCATGGCAGCCCTGTGCCGGGAACGTCAGGAGATCCTCATTCAACCAGGGTCAGCGACTCTTCCCTTCCTGGCCCCCACATCAGCCCTGTCACCTTAAACATGCTGCCATCACACATCTCGCTTCAGCCACCATCCTGCCCCTGTCTTTCGACCTGTCCCCACCTTCAGTGCCCCCATCTGTCCTTGACACAGAGGCCAGTCTATGTCCTTACATTCTGCCATCAGTTACTGCCTTCTCCCCCAACTCTCACATTACTGCCTTCTCCCCATCCTCTTGTCAAAATCCAGTGGCTTTTGCTGACTGAGAGTTAAGCTTCACGGTCCTCACATTCTGAGCTCCCCCTTCTTTTCACCTGTTAATATATTTATCTTCTTTGCAGACCCAGCCAAAGTCCTTTCCTCCCGCAACCCTCCTCCCTCAAAGCAGCCCTCCACGAAGCCTTCTCGGGCCACACCGAGCTCCTTTCCCTGAGCTCCGCAGGTCCTGGAGTCTGCCGCAGAATCCACACTTCCTGACATGGGGCCCTGGGCTCTTCATTGCCTTCCCCACTTGGCTCTTGGAGGTGGACGCCAAGACTTGTGTCTAGAGCGTCCTTCACAGAGAAGCCAGGTGGGAGGGAGACAGTGACCATCTGCCTCCACTGTCCCTGTGCCACAGCTCTGTGTTCTCAGCTCCCAACCTATCCTCCCTTGATGCTTGTCTTGACAGACAAGAAAGACTGCCCACCATAGCCCTTGGCCTGGCTCTGCTGTTCCTGAATCCCCACGGCCAGCCGTTCATTCTGAGCAGCCTTGGCGGTGTGCGAGCAGGCCCGATGGAGGATCCTACACTGGGATCCCCCAGACCTCACCAGGGAAGTTGGTTGCCATTGGTGGTGCGGAGCTGCATGGACAGGGATATGGCTGAGATCATCCTTCCCTTTCCTTCCTGCCCCCTTCCCATCCTCCTTCCTCACAGCTGCAGCACCTGGCTGTGAATCACAGGAAGGCAAGCACTGGTTTGTGGAAATACCTAAGAAGGCCGTTTCTCTCTTTTCTTTTCTTTCCTTTTTTTTCCTTTCCTTTCTTTTTCCTTCCTTCCTTTCTTCCTTTCTTTTTTTCTCCTTCCTTCCTTCCTTCTTCTTTCTCTCTCTCTCTCCTTTCTTTCTTTCCTTCCTTCCTTCCCTTCCTTCCTTCCTTCCCTCCCTTCTTCCTTCCTTCCTCTCTCTCTTCCTTCCTTCTTTCTTCTTTCTTTCTTTCTTTCCTTCTTTCTTTCTTTCCTTCCCTTCCTCCCTCCCTCCCTCCTTCCTTTCTTTCTTTCTTTCTTTCTTTCTTTCTTTCTTTCTTTCTTTCTTTCTTTCTTTCTTTCTTTTTCTTTCTTTCTTTCTTTCTCTCTCTCTCTTTCTTTCTTTCTTTCTTTCCTTCTTTTTTTTCTCTAAATATTAGCTGAAAGAGCTTAGGCTCAAGAGTTCTGAGAAAATCATTACTTTTCTAAGTAAAACTAAAGCTCAGACCTTCCAGTCTTTGCTACAAAGGAAGATTTTCTACAAAGATGGTGGGGGGCATTTTCACTTGAATCTCTGACTCTTGTTCCCAGGATCAGTTTTCACTGGGTTCTCTCTTTCCAAATTGACCACAGAAGAAGTGTGTTTAAACAAGAAGTGACTGAAGGCTCGGGGATAACTAAGAGTTAATCTGTTTACACAGTGAGATGGCTCAGCCTGGCTGTGTAGACATCACCTGCTCATTGACCCTTAGGCCAAGGCTTACTGGCGCTACCAAGGAGTCTAGAATCCTCCAGTTCCCCGCTTGGATCTCCATATGGCCCCCCACCCCCTGGAGGAGGAACCCACAGTGCACCAGCCATTTAGTCCTCACAAGCAGGCAGGGCGGAGTTGGGCAGGATTCAAAATGAGGTGGCCTGACACACACCCCCTGAGCTGACTCCCTGCAGAGGATGAGGGGCTGTTGTCCTGCTAGTGTGACATGAGGGTCACTGGACAGACCCTCTTGTCCTCAGATCATCTTCTCTCCCCCTTCTCAAGGTGCCTAAAACGGCTCCATTCAGGATTCACACTGCTGAACTTACTACGTTTTGGCCTTCAAAAATTCCCTAATAAATGCAAATACTCCATAGTCTGGTAACATTTTTCCTTTGATTGATAAGTCTGGATGAGGCAGAGAAGAAAAGAGAGTTTTATTTTAACCATTTTAAAGTGTACAATTTAATGACTTCCAGGACATTGACAGTGTTGCACAACCATCACTTCTAACTCCAGGACATTTTCATCACCCCAAAAGAAACCTTATACCCATTAAGCAGTAACTATCTATACCTCTCCCCTCCAAAGTTCCTGGCATCCACAAATCTAGTTTCTTTCTTTCTTTCTTTCTTCTTTTTTTTTTTTTTTTTTGAGACAGAGTTTCGCTCTTGTTGCCCAGGCTGGGGTGCAATGGCAGATCTCATCTCACCACAACCTCCACCTCCCGGGTTCAAGCGATTCTCCTGCCTCAGCCTCCCGAGTAGCTGCGATTACAGGCGTGAGCCACTGTGCACAGCCCACATATCTAATTTCTGACTCTATGGACTTGCTTATTCTGGCCATTTTATATAAATGGGATCCTATAATACATGACCTTTTGCATCTCACTTTGACTTAGCATCTTGCTTTCAAAGTTCATCCATGTTGTAGCATGTATAGTACTTCCTTTTTTATGGCTGAATAATATTCCATTGTTTGGATATATCACATTTTGTTTATCCGTTCATCAGTTGATGGACATTTGGGTAGTTTCCACATTTTGGCTCTTAGGAATAGAACTGCTGTGAACTTCCATGCACCAGTTTTTGTTGGAATACCTGTTTTCTATACTCTTGGATCTATACAGTACCTAGGAGTGGAATTGCTGGGTCATGTGGTAACTCTACCTTTGACCTTTTGAGGAATTGCAGACTGTTTTCCAGGAACAGAGATTTTTAAGAGTGAAATGTTTTGAGAGTGGAGAGGAAGCCCAGACATTGGTGCTGCCAGGGGGTGAGAAGGTTAAACAAGGAGCTCAAAAGGGGGAGAGGGGAAGGTTCAACACAAATTACCCAACTTTCCAGTCTGTCCCAGAAGCTGGATGACCATGGTAGTCAACAGCCACGTTTCTCCCCAGATCTTTCTCATCTCTCCGCCTACCACCCAGTGCCTGGCACAGAGCGCTTGCTGGTAAACACTGGTTGGACGCATAGCTGTCTACCGAGCACCAGCTCTGACCCTCACTCTAGTCCCTCCATCCTCCCTTCCATTTTCTCCCAATGTCTCCATCTTCGCCTCCTCTGATTTGAAGCAGAGCTTTGTTCCAATGTCCTAGTTTTGTCTCGGGCATACGAGTGCAGCAGTCGGGGACCTCCTTACCCTTTCCAGAGCATGCATGGTGCATTTGGAGGCTGGGCGCTTACAAGGTGAAGGCAAAGATGCAAGCCAGGGAGCACATATTGAGGTGGAGGAAAGAGACCGTGACTCGGAGCATAATTACTCACAGGAGTTATGGCAAGGGGGCATCCCGGGCAGCATGAAAGGTAGGATTGCTTTGCAGTGCTTAACTGTGAGGCTGCGCCATGAGGGGCCCCTTCCTCTTCTGGCTCTCTTCAACCTGTCTGTCTGAAGAAATTGCCAGCTCCCTCCAGGGAAGAGCAACAAGCAGCCCAGGATGGAAATTGAGGGGAAGACACAGGCCTCAGAGCTGGGGAGTGGGGAAGGGTGAGGGGAGTAGGAGGGTCTGAGAGAATGAGAACTCAGAGGGAAGGAGTAAGGAGAGAGGGAGATCTCGGGTGAGGGCTGGCAAGCTGAGGGTAGGACCCACACACTGGGACACTTGGATGGTCTTCCCCATATTTACTGGGTCATTGTTTCCTACAGCCTACGTTTCTCAGGACATCCAAAGTGACTCTTCTAGAATAGGACCCAGATCATGCCACTCCTGCACTCCAGTACTTCTGCGGTTTCCCATCTCAATCAGATTAAAAGCTAAAGCCCATAAAACGGCCCACCGGGCCCTACGTAATCTGGCCTCCCACCCAGACCCTCCACTCCTTCTCTGACCTCTTCTCTGCCCTCTCCCCGTCTTTCCCTCAGCTCCAGCCTCCTTACTTCCTGCTGCTCCTGAGACCTGCCTCAGGGCCTCTGCATGCCCTTTTCTCTGCCAGCTCACCCTTCCCCTGATGCTCATGTGGCCAGGAGTCTCACTTTCTGCACTTCTCTGCTCAAATGCCACCATGTGGGCGAAGCCTTCCTTTACCACTGTTTATAAAATGGGAACTCTACCCCCACCCTTTGCACCTTCTAATCCCCATTCTCTGCAGTATTGTTTCTCTACAGAATGCACGATCTGGCACACTTTAGATTTCCTTTGCTGTCTCTTTTTTTTATTAGGATGTAACTCCAGAAAGGCAAAGAGTCTGTTTTGTTCTCTGATATATTCCCAGTCACTAAACCAATATTGGGCACATAGTAGGCCTTCAATATTGTGAAATGGATGAATAAACAAATAAATTATTGAACACATTTTTTCCCGAAATCAATATATTTATAAAGGAAAAGTCTCAAAAATCACTTGGATTCTTAGTGCATTGTTTCGTTTCAAAACTTATCATAGAAAAATAATTTTATTTTCATGGTTGGGAACTACAATGACAGGAGGTGGCCAGAATCTCTGGGGACCTGTCGCTGACCACACTGTGCCTTTCTCCAATGTCTTAGCAGAGGCCTGGTCCCACAGTAGAGGCTACTGTGCGTGAGGTGCTGCTGCTGCAAGCTGCCTGTCGACTCTATAACCATCACCAGGAGTTTTCCTCCTGCTAGCGTGATGCCAAGTATTGTCTCTTCTCATAGATCATGCTGGCTAAATCCGAGGTCAGAATTCAGGGGAAATTCCTCTGAAGTTTTGGAACCAGGAAAGACTACATGGCTGCCCACCCCAGAGAGGGCCTAACCACAGAACCCAGAAGGTCTGACACAGTGAGCCTTCTTTGCTCTGGGGGACCTGCTACCCTCTATGGGTCACAGAGCCAAACTGTAGCTTAGCTCCCTGCTTTGCATTTGGGGAGAGTGTGAGATTTGCATCCAAACTGGCCAAGATGCTTAATGCTGAGGCCAGCTAAGAGAAGTGAGAGGAGTGTGTGGGGGTGGGGGGTGGAGAGAGAGAGAAAGATTGCGAGAGCGTCTATGTTCAAGTGGTCGGGTGGGGGTGGGTGGTGATCGCTCAGGGCTGGGGAGGAAGAGCACATGGGTTTGGGAGTTAGGAGTCAGTGAAATGTGGGTTCAAGTCCTAGCCAGCCCCCTTATGATGCATACAACAATGGGAAAGTCATTTCACTTTGGTAAGTGTCCCATTCATGAGCTGTCAAATGGTAGGCGTTTGGCCAAATAATGCTTCAGATACCTTCTAGTTAAAAAAGAAAAAAAAAAGCACAAAAATTCTATAGCTCAATATCCAAGGCTGTATTTAGGCCACTACACATTGCCCACTAAAGATTTTTTTAACATGTCTTTGGCCATGTTAAGCTGAATATTTCTACTGTCTCTGGAATGGAGGTTGCACTTTGGAGAACTGGGAGGTTGAGGGGGAGTCTTTTCCCTTCCCGCTCACCCTGTCTGGGTCCACTGACGCCCTGATTATAAAGTAGAGTGTGTGTGTGTGTGTGTGTGTGTGTGTGTGTGTGTGTGTGTGTGGCAGTGGAATGTGGCAGAATGACAGGCTCCCACCCATGGTCTCTGGGTAGGCAGAAAATGTGCAGAAAACACGATGTCCATCGGCCATGGCTCTGGCAAGGGGAGCTAGCCCATGCTTCTCACACTCAGTGTGCTGCTTCTCCTCAGGACTGGCTGCAACCTGAGGCTGGGCTGGTGGCCTCTATTGTTTCTCAGGATCCCAGTAAAGCGGCTGGAAGGTGAGGGAAAGAAGGGAGTGGGTCTGCCTCCTCCTCTGTTTGACTCATGGTTGTAACTTGTCAGCACATTGACAGGTTTTTTTGTTTTTCAGTCAAATGCCGCTTTTGTTGGATGTCTGAGTGAAAAGCATGGTACACTCACATAATCAAAGCCCTGCCGTGTGTAGGGGGCGGTGGGGGGGGCAGTCAGTCTTTATTGTATGAGCAATTGTATATTCCCGAAAGCCAGAATAATTTGAGGCACAAAATCTAAATAGATTTCTGCTACTATTAGATTGCTTGAATGCATTTTACGAGAGAGAGAGAGAGAGAGAGAGAGAGAGAAGCTGCTTTTGCTCCTCCTCCACCCACCCTCTGAGATGGGTGGCGGCTGACCTCGCAGGGGACAGTGGTTCGGGCAGGAAGGAGCTGAGTGGCGTGGGCGTGGGAGGCTCCATGCTCCTCCAGGACAAAGGCTCTGTCTTCATGTCTGACCTGCAGTGTCCCGTGTCGTCTGGGGCTCACCCTGGGCACTCTGGAGGTGCTGGTGAAGGAGTAACTCAGGAAGGGCAGGACAAGTGATGAGCGTGTGCATATCTGGGGCCCCAGAAGGCTATGGGGGCAACTGTGTGGCTCTTGCCTGTCACCAGTAGGCTTTCTGACCCCTGGGCTCTATCCATCAGGGTCACCAATGAGACTTACTGACCTGAAGCTCTCAGAGTTGAAGCTCACGTCCTCAGGCCACATCAAGGTGCAGCCATCCACTAACCCCAGCATCACCCTGCTTTGTTTCCGCACTGAGTACCTGCTGCTCCGTCACCCTCTCAACTGTGCCAATTGCAATTCTTCAGCATCCATGGTGATTTCAACATCCATGGGAGATGGTCTGTTAACACCCTGTCCTCTCGTTCCTTGGTCCCCTCTCCCACCTAGATCCTAGACCTTCCTGTTACTGAGAACTGCAAAACCTTCATAACTTCTTCACTCACCTCCCAACTTCTCAGCTCTGCCCACTCCTTCCAGAACCCCAGTTCCCGCTATTCCTCAACTGGATTGTGACCTAAAGTCACCAATCCTACCACATTTTAAGTGTCTCTCATCACTCTCATGTTCCCCATTTCCCGCTTACCCAACATAAATTCCATGGTCAACCACCCTTACAATGACTCATATTACACATGAGTCATTGGAATGGTGAGTGCAATGTAACTGCATATCAAATCTGTAACCTCACAGGCACATTAACTCCCCAACCCTCTCTCGCCTTGTGGTGCTCACAAAATTGCAGTCCTGGTTGAATCCAACCCTCTGTTTATTTCATAGCTGTCTGACTCCCCCATCTCAGCAATCCAACCCCACAGTTGAACATGGACAGAGAAAGACGTTACAAGCACGCTGGTTGGTTTTATTTTGAATTAAAATGAATCCTTGGTGCTTACTGAAAATGCAACCATGCTCCCTCATCCATTCATTTTCTTATTTTCCTACACGACTACTTTTTCACTGTCTGTCCTCCAACCTCTAGCATCTCCATCTCCATCCTCACTTTCCATTGGTGACATTGCTTCTAATTTCACTTAGGAAATAGGAATATTAAAGGGAATTGCAATCGGTCCATGTATCATATCTACTCATCCAATGGCAACCAAACCCACACATTCTTCCTTCCCTTCTGTGTCCATGAATGACCACCATGCTCCCTGCTTGTGGTAGAATGCCTATGTCCTAATGCCCAGAACCTGCGAATATGTTAGCTGACACGACGAAAGGTATTTTGCAGATGTGATTTAAGGTAAGGGTCTTGAGATGGCGGGATTATCCTAGATTTTCTGGGAGAGCCCATTGTAATCACAAAAGTCATCATTAGAGGGAGGTAGGGTCAAAGTCAGAAAAGGCCAAGTGCAGGTAGAAGCAAAGGGAGAGATTTGAAAATGGCCAGGAGCCAAGGAATGCAGGTGTCTTCTAGAGGGTGGAAAAAGCAAGGAAATAGATTCTCCCCTAGAGCTTCCAGAGGAAATGCAGCCATCTGGATACCTTAATTTCTGACCACCAGAAGTTTAAAATAATAAATTTATGTTTGTTTTAACTTACTAAATTTGTGCTAATCTGTTACAGCAGCAATAGGAAATAATACATCATTAAAGTCGCCGGCTTCTCTTGTACTCCAGCCAGCAATTCTGCCCTCTCTCCTACATCATCAAATTTTCCCTCTTTTGGATAATCTTATTAACACATACATATACTGATTTTTTAATTAAAAAAATAAGCACAGAACCTCTCTTGTCTCTACATTCTGCTCTAGCGATGAGTCTATTTCTCTGCCACTTATTGTAGAAAACTTCTGAAGAGTCTGTCCTCTCAATCTCTGTTAAACCTTCACCAGTCAGGCTTTTTACCTTCCACTCCTGCTCCATTGAAATTGCACTTGCCAAGGTCATGGATGACCTGCAGTTACTACATCTAATGATCCATTCAAACTTGTCTATTTTTATTTTTATTTTTTTGAGACAGGGTCTCACTCTGTTGCCAGGCTGGAGTGCAGTGGTGCAATCACAGCTCACTATAGCCTCAACCTCCCCAGCTCAAGCAATCCTCCCACCTCAACCTCCCAAGTAGCTAGGACCATGGCTGCATGCCATCATGCCCAGCTAATTTCTGTATTTTTTGTAGAGATGGTGTCTTGGTATGTTCCCTAGGCTGATCTCAACTCCTGAGCTCAAATATCCTCCTACCTTGGCCTCCCAAAGTGCTAGGATTACAGGCATAAGTCATTGTACCTGGCCTGACTTATCTTTTTCTTTTTCTTTTTTTTTTTTTTTTTTGAGACGAAGTCTCACTCTTGTCACCCAGGCTGGAGTGCAATGGCGTGATCTCAGCTCACTGCAACCTCCATCTCCCAGGTTCAAGGGATTCTCCTGCCTCAGCCTCCCGAGTAGCTGGGATTACAGGCACCCGCCACCACGCCTGGCTCATTTTTGTATTTTTAGTAGAGACAGGGTTTCACCATGTTGGCCAGACTGGTCTCAAACTCCTGACCTCAGGCGATCTGCCCGCCTCAGCCTTCCGAAGTGTTGAGATCACAGGCGTGAGCAACCTCACCCGGCCTGACTTGTCTTCGTAATGGACCCATCACAGCATTTGACGTAAGCTGTTCTTCACTTCTTGCAGCCTTGCTCCATTGTGTCTGAGACGTCACACTCACTTAGTTCTCTTCTTTCCTCCCTGGCTTCTTTTCTGTCTCCTCTGTGGGTTCTCCCATTTCTTGGATCTCTAAATGTTGGGGTGCCCTGGGCTCTATCCTCTGATCCCCCTTCTCTACCTGTCCTCAGTGATTCCATCCAGTCTTACATCAACAAATGCCATCCTTAGGCTCCTGATTCCCAACTTTATGTCCCGGCCAGAACATCCTACTCCAGGCTTGGACATCCAACCCCGCACCTTGTATCTCAACCGCACGTCTGATTCGTGTTTTACACTTCCCTCTCTAAAACAGAACTTAGTCTACAGCTGTTCCTCCCTCAGGCTCTCCCAGCTCAGCTCATGTCCCACCATCCCTTTAATTTCTCAGGGGAAACCCCTTGGAGTCAGTAATCCTTCACTGTCACCAGATTCACCCCATCAGCAAAATGCTTGACTCCTCCTTGAAAACACTTTCAATGTTTGACATTCTCATGTCTTCTTCCACTTCCACCACATTTCCAGTCGCCTTTATCTTTTACCTGTACTAAAATGAAGATCAGACCACATCACACATCTGGTTATTTCCATGGATTTTCCATGGGTTTCCCATCTGAGTAAAGGCCAGAATCCTTTCTAGGCCTGACAGGGCCCCACCTGACCTGGCCCCCTCCCCCTCTGAGTTTATCCCCTGCCACTCCAGCTAGTCGGCTTCACTCCACCACCCGGCCCCTCGCTGATCCCAGGGCCACCCCCGCTCAGCACACTTCCACTCCCAGCCTGCTTAACTTGCTGTAACCCTGTCTTAGCCTCCTGGGGCTACTGTAACAAATGACCACAAAATCGATGCCTTGAAACATCCAGAATGTATTATCTTATGGTTCTGGAGAGCTGAGGTCCTAAAGTCAAGGTGTCAGAAGGGCTGCGTTTTCTCTGGAGGCTCTGGGGGGCAGTCTGTTTCCTTGCCTTTTCCAGCTTATTAGAGGCTGCATTCCGTGGTTCCTGGCTGCTTCCTCCATTATCAAAGCCAGCAGTGTAGCCTTTTCCAATCTCTCATTTTGTCATCACTTTTTCTGACTTTGACCCTCTTACCTCCCTCTTTTTTTTTTTGAGATGGAGTCTCTCTGTCGCCCAGGCTGGGAGTGCAGTGGCACGATCTCAGCTCACTGCAACCTCCGCCTCATGGGTTCAAGAGATTCTCATATCTCAGCCTCCCAAGTAGCTGGGACTACAGGCGTGAGCCACCACACCCGGCCCCTCATACCTCCCTCTTATAGGGACGCTTGAGTTTGCATTGAGACCACCCAGATAATCCAGGATAATCCCAGTGTCTCAAGAACCTTAATTTAATCATGTCTGCAAAGTAAACCAACATATTCACAAGTTCTGGGGATTAGGACATGGACATCTCTGGTAGCCATTATTCAGTCTGCCACACTCCTCTATCTTGAATATTATTTCTCTAATTATGATTGATTATTGTTTTTGAGACAAGGTCTCCCTCTGTTTGCCCAAGTTGGAGTGCAGTGGTACAATCACAGCTCACTACAGCCTGGACCTCCTAGACTCAAGTGATCCTCCTGCCTCAGCCTCCTGAGTAGCCACCAGCATGCCTGACTAATTTTTTATTGTTTGTAGAGGCAGGGTCTCACTATGTTGCCCAGGCTGGTCTCAAACTCCTGGCCTTTAGTGATCCTCCCACCTCAGCCTCCCAAAGTGCTAGTATTATAGGTGTGAGCCATCACAATCGGCTCTTCTTGTAATTATAAATACATCTCCCTTGCTTCCTTCAGGTCAACTTAATGTCACCTTCACATCAAGACCACCCTTGACTATCCCATATAAAACAGCCATTGGCCAGGTGCAGTGGCTCACTCCTGTAATCCCAGCACTTTGGGAGGCAGAGGCAGGTGGATCACTTGAGGCCAGGAGTTTGAGACCAGCCTGGCCAATATAGTGAAACCCCATCTCTACTAAAAATACAAAAATTAACCAAGCATGGTGGTGCATGCCTGTAATCCCAGCTACTCAGGAGGCTGTGACACTAGAATCGCTTGAACCGGGAGGCAGAGGTTACAGTAAGCAGAGATCAAGCCACTGTACTCCCGCCTGGGTGACAGAGTGAGACCCTGTCTCAAAAAATAAAAAATAAAAAAAACCCCAGCCACCTCCCACCCCAACCCTATGCTCCCTTTCCTCCCTACCCTGTTATTTTTTCTATAGCATGCATCACTCCCTGACGGACCATGTATTTTCTTGTTTGTTTTCTGTAGTGAACGTAAGCTCCACAAGGACAGGGATGTTTTACTGCTAGATGCCCAGCAACCAGACTATGTCTGGCACATGTAAGTATTCAATAAATAATTGCTGAAAGAATGAATGGCTGACAGCAGTGCCAGTCTCCCAGCATTGGGTACTCAGCTGGGCCCTTAGGAGACCAATGAACACCAGCAATGAACTTGTTTAAGGCAAACTCCAAAAGGAAAGGGGCCAAACTGTGCAGCCCACTTTAATCAGGTTCTCCATAACAGTTGCCAAGTAATGAACACTTACTCTATGTGCATCCCTGAGACTAACACCGTGCTGTGTTGTCTCACTGATTGTCGTACCAGCAAATGTGGGTAGTAGTGGATGCCTATTTTTCAGAGGAGGTCCCTGGGAGTTCAAGCTGCAAAGGACCTGCCCCATCTCTGCTGAGACCAGAACTCATGTTCTAAAGCAGATGGGAGTGTCCTTCCACTGAAGCCAGAAACCGCTTCCCCTCCGCCCCTGGACACAAGAGCGGTTGTGCCAACACTCTTAGTTCTTGCCGTAACTCCAAGAAGGTGGGCCAGTCAGATGCTCCAGCTCAAATGAAATAATAATTTTATTCCACTGTTTCTGACCTTGTGTAAGAACCTGCCTCCTGTCCACCCCTCCAGAGTGCCTGCCCCTCCCCCAGCACACAGTGTTGGCGGCCTTCACTCCTCCCAGGATGCCTAAGCTCCTCAGTAAACGTTTGAGTGACAGATCAAACACCCCGCAGGAGTGCTTTATTTCATTTTTAAATAGCTTTGATTTTTCAATCAATTCCCTAAATGTCACCAGAACACAAAGAAATCATGGGATTCCAGGAAGTTCCAATGGTTTATTGAACAATGTGCTCCTGCGACTGGTGGCTTCTTAGATTCTCTGTGAAGCAGGCCTGGGAGGTGGTGAGTGTATCTTCTCCCTCTCTCTCTCCCAGAGGTCTCAGCCTTGCTGGCCTTCCGCTCCCCCGTCCAGGAAGGCCACCCCACAGCCTTTAGGCCCAAAGAGGAGCAGAGCGTCAAGGCACTCACATCGCTTTCTGTGCGTACATTAAACTGAGCCCAGAAACACAGAGCTCTTAAATTGCAAAGGGCAATAAGTTTGAAGAACAAAAACATTTCCTTGGACCTTTTATATTTTTCTAAATTGATCTTGATTTTTCACTTCATTGTGGTGTTGGGGGATTTTCTTTCTTTCTTCATAATGGTTTTATTTCCCATAATCTTAAGAATGAAAGGCATCTCTAGTGCTTGTGTATTTATTTCTGATTCCTATAAACTTCTCTCGCTCCTGACTTAACTCACCTTGAGCCACAAGCCCAGAACACCAACGATCAACTAAAACAGGGGAAGCAGCAGCAGTGGCTGGCGTGCACCCAAACCAGGAAACAGGCTATAGAAGAGCATCTTCTTTCAGGCTTCAGGCTGTTTGTATTCCTTCAGGAAGCTTCAATCAATCAATCACTCCCTCTTTTCCTAAGAGAAAGGGACTCCAGCCTTTTCTTATTAACTCATTCCTCATTACGACGATGGCGTTTCTCTTCACCAACAAAATTGCTCAAGCTGCATCTCCAGCCTGTTTCCTTGACATTGTTTTCTGTCTCCCAGGTGAGCCTTTCTTCGGTAGATTTGGATTGTTTTCCCTTTGTTTTTTCTATTTTTCATCATTATAATCCTTTCTTCACACTAGTTTTTGGGTAACCCCTCCATTTTCCCTCTCTTTTCTAATTCTCTTCACTTCATAGTCAGAGCACCAAATGTGAATAAATATGTTAATGTCATTAAATAGTTTTAACATACTAAATACTTATTTAATACATTAAAAATATGTGTGTATTAAATAAATAGTTTACATTAATAATCTTTAAGTCACATGTGTTGTAATTAACAGCTCATGTCTACTGAGCATTTACCATATGCCAGTTTGGTGCCAAACACCTACAATGCATTTTTCTGCTGAGTACTCCAAGCTACCGTGTAAGCTTGTTGGGGAGGATGTGAGGGGGAAGTAAGGCACTTGGCACAAAATTTAAGGAGATATTCATTTTCAGAGTCACACAAGTGCAGCATCAGCACCTGAGAGTATCAGACCCTGGTCCCAGCCCTGGTCCTTACTATTATCTCCATCTCCATTTTAACATATAAGGAAATTAGGCTGACAGAAGTTGGCTCTCTAGCGCAAGGTAACGGAGCTAGAGGATAAACAAGATGAAGATAGGACTAGTTGACTTCAGAGCCCAAGCTGTAAGAATTATAATAGCTACACACCCAGAATATCCAAATAGTTTTTTTTTTTAAAGGTGCCTTTCTTAAATATGAAGAGAATGAAGGACAGCCAAGCATCTTCAGACGTATGTTAGGCTCAAGGAACACCTCTAACACAAATGCCAGGGATCCAACTAACCAAACAGAAAAAGAAACCCGGAAAACCCTAAAGCTGAAATAATGCAGGAAGCGGAAGAAAGCTCCAAATAAACTAAAATCAATATCCTTAAGGAACTGGAAGATATTTCATACATGAAACAAGAACAGGATAAAAACAGGAGCATTTATAGAATAAGAAAATGCTTGTATAAATTAAGGAGTTCATAAAAGGAATGAATGCTTCAGTAGAAGAGTTGAATAGCAGTGTTGAAAAAATAGCATAAAAAGATAAATGAGCAATAGGAAAGAAAAGATAAAACAAAAACAAAAAAACCCCAAAAACCATAACAGAGAATCAACTAAAGAAGTCCAGCCTCAAACTAATAGGAGTTTCAGAAAGAAAGGAGAGCAAAAATGGAGAGTAGAAAACTACTAAAGAAATATCATAAAATTTGCATGAAGTGCCTGGAACATTGGATAAAACATAGATAAATCAATGTACATTTTTAAAACACCAGGGATAAAGAGGTGATTGTAAAACTTCCAGAAGAAAACATGTAGGATCAGGAATCAAAATGGCATTCAGATGTCTCAGCAACACCATTGGAAACTAGAAGACAACAGAGCAATGCTTTCAGGATTCAGAAGGAAAATGACTTTTGCATCATCAATTAAATGTGACGATGAATTCAAGAGTTTTTCAGATAAGAAAAGTCTAAATAAATTCACTTTCTGTGGACCCTTTCTCAAGAAGTTACTAAAGGTTGTACTTCACTAAAACAAGGGAGTAAACGAACAAAAAGTGACACAAGAAACAGCTAGTTCAACACAGGAGAGAGGTGAAGGAAATTTCAGAGCAACATAGCGTAGTAGGTCTAGAGCAGCAGTCCCCAACTGTTTTGGCACCAGGGACCAGTTTCACGGAAGGCAATTTTTCCATGTGCTAGGATGGGGTTGGACAGGGTTGGGGGATGGTTTTGGGATGAAACTGTTCTACTTCAGATCATCAGGCATTAGATTCTCATGAAGAGCGTGCAACCTAGATCCCTTACACACACAGTTCACAGTAGGGTTCGTGGTCCATGAGAATCTAATGCCGCTGCTGATCCGACAGGAGGCAGAGCTCAGGCAGTAATGCTCAATTGCTGCCACTCACCTCCTGTTGTGGGCCTGGTTCCTAACAGGCCATGAACCAATACCAGTCCATGGCTTGGGGATTGGGGACCCCTGGCCTAGACACCTATCAGTTCAGAGTGAAGCAGCAGGATGAAGGACACTAGACATCTGGATTCAAACATAACAAGGACAGAAGATCTGATTGCTTACTTCGTGCTTTTGCCTATATTAAGAAGAGTTTTTAGAAGAGGTTGGAAGAATTCGTGAAAGGTGCCTAAAAATTTGAGCAAACATAAACACTGTGATTATTAACTCCAGGAGAAACAAAACATTGTACCAGAAAGGAAATGCCACTATAGTAAACTCTGCAGCTTATCTATAAACAATACTTCTATTTACAGAGGCATATCAACATAAATTCTGAGTTTTAATTTATCCAGAAAAGGTGAAATACTATATTGAAGAATGATTGTGAACGTGCATGTGTGTATATTATGTAAAAGCAAAACTCTCCTCTTCCATAGGAGGAAGTTATTATGTGTGTAAAATGAAAAGAATCAAGAAATATATTACTTAAAACTATGGAGAAAGGCTGAGCACAGTGGCTTATGCCTGTAATTCCAGCACTTTGGGAGGCCGATGGAGGAGGATCATTTGAGGCCGGGAGTTCCAGACCAGCCTGGGCAACATAGTGAGACCCTGTCTCTACAAAAAATTTTAAAATTAGCCAGGTGTGGTGGCATGCACCTGTGGTCCCAGCTGAAGCAGGAGGATCATTTGAGCCCAGGAGTTCAAGGCTGCAGTGAGCTGTGATCATGCCATTGCATTCTAGCCTGTGTATCAGACAGAGCAAGATACTATCTTTACACACACACACGCACACACACCCCTATGGAGGGAAATATCAGAAAAGTGTCTAAAAAGAGTTGAAAGTGCTTATAAAGAATCTCTGCTTTTCATGATAAACCCTGTAGTACCTATTGATGTTTAAACAAGATATGCATAGTACCCTGATCAAAATTAATACTAGGCCAGGTGCGATGGCTCATGTCTGTAATCCCAGCACTTTAAGAGGCCGAGGTGGGAGAATCACTTGAGCCCAGCAGTTTGAGACCAGCCTAGGCAACCAAGTCAGACACTGTTTCTACAAAAAATAAAAAAATTAGCTGGACATGGTGTCACCTACCTGTAGTCCCAGCTGCTTGGGAGGCTGAGGCGGGAGGACTGCTCGAGCCCAGGAGGTCGATGCTGCAGTGAGCTGAGATTGCGTTGCTGCCCTCCAGCCTGGGCAACAGAAAAAAGAAAGAAAAGAAGAGAAAAAAAGAAAAAGGAAACAAAATTAATAATAAAAGATAATTTTAATATAAGCTTATTTACTTGCCTTTTTTCCCCCCTGATAAAACTAGAACCTAGAAAGGAAGCATATCACCTCTTTGAGCCTTGTTGCTCTCTGAACAGAATAGACTCTCTGACTCTTTCCTCTCCTCTTTTGCTGTAGAACAGAGCAGTAATTTTAATAACTCCAAATAGCACATAATCCTCAACCCGACATTTGACTTTGAAATTAATTTTACAGTTACATTTGACTACGTGTAAGTCCTAAATTATATTGTGAAAAGCCAGATGGTGACAAACTGAAACACTGTCCCCCTTGTCCACTGAGCCTCCTCCAGGTTAAATGTTTGCTTTACGCGTTCTCAGGTAAAAAGCATCTCTTGCAGCAACACAGTTCCCTCTCTCCACTTTTGTCCTCATTGAGTTTCTACACCCTGCTTGGTACCAGCTGTCAAATTGAGAGGTCCCAACCCTTCAATCACCTTTCAGCCGCTAACTCAAGAAGTGTTTACTATGCATTCCATGATGCTCAACACTGACTCAGCTCCTAGAGACAGCAAAATACCAGAAATAATCCCTGCCTTCAAGGAACTTAAAATCCAGTTAAGAGAGGAGGCCACGGGCAAAACAAAACAATAGCAACAACCAAACAAACATTGCTGAGCAAAGCAAGACAGAACTGTCTGCAGAATTGAGTGCAGCTGTGGCGTGGAGGCTGATGTGCTGTTTGCATCTGAACAGGGGAGACCTGGGATGGTGGGAATGGCCTGATCAAGCTTCAGGGAGGAGGCTAAGCTTGGCCAGTGTGCTCAGAGGCCATGTCCTATTTAAAATGATCTTTCTGGAGTCCCCTGACTCAGCACCCCACACTACTGCAAAATTAGCCACACCCTTTCTGGGCTACCGCTGGAGTTTGAATATGCTTCTGATATTGCATGACAACTTGTAACTGTTCACTTACTCCACTAACCACAAGATGCACCAGCTTGCTGGCTGTGTATTTTGGCAGCCCCAGCCCCCAACTCAGCCCAAGGGCTCATGAATGTAAACCGAATGAAAGAGTGAATATTGTTTAATGCAGAGAGGAAGATGACGTCTACGGCATAGCATGTGACACCGGAAGTGGGTCCTTCCTGCCCTGCTCTGGCCTTCCTTTCCCACCCCGCTGGGTTTGCATCTGCAGGTGGGAGCGATGTGGGAAGGCTTGTGGAGGAGCAGCTCAGAAAACAGACAGGACAGGGAGTCCTTCCTAAAGGTCATCGGGAGGAGAAGCCGAGGTCCCGCTGGGTCTGGTACATGCGAGACCCCCAGGGTATTCGCAGACCCCCCCCCCCCCTCCGCCCAGGTCCTGGAGGGTCTGTCACATCCGCCACGTGAAAGCACAACAGGTTGACTGTTCTCTCCTGATTGCTCCAAACCGCAGAGCAGCCTAGGGGCGGAGGGAGACCTTCAGCCGGGCGGAGCTCTGTGTGCGGCCAGCACTGGCTGGCTCCCAGTTCTGGGGGTCTCGGGTCACCTGAGTGCAACCCGTGAGAAGAGACAAGACCACCCAGAAGATATGGCCAAGCACACCCCCGCTGAGGCTGTGCGCGGCTGTGCCCCGGGCAAAGCTGGCTCGCTTCCTAGTGGTCCGCCCTGCCAGTTATTTCATGGCAGCCTCTTCATTTGTAAAAGGGCCTTAATAATAGCTAATCACGGGTCGTCCACGAGGCCAGGCTGAGATGATGCAGGAGTGCAGCCAACACGGTGCCTGGCACGCGATGCCGCTGTCGGTGGCTAAGTGGCCATTGCTGATGCTGCTGTCACTGTTGTCCCATCCCCCTCACAGTACTACTGGCTCTCACATGTAGGGGACGCAGAGCAGAGCAGCGTCCTGAGCACCACAGGAGTTCTAACCATGACTTGCATTTTTTATAATTCTGTTTTTCTCTTGACCCAATTAAAAAAAAAAAAAAAAGGAGACTTTTAGTCTGTTTTCTCTTGGGCCTGGAGGCTGTGCTAGTTTGCCCGGCTGCAGGTGGAATGTGTTAACCAGAGAGTGTGCAGGGGGGCCCTCTGGGCAGCTGCGAAAGGCCATGCTCTGCCAAGATCAGGGTGCAAGCCAGCGTCCTGAGGGGGCAGGGTGGAGGGAGGGAGGGGCTCAGCATGGGCAGCCCCTTTCCCCCATGCAGCCTCGGGGGCCCTTCCTGACCACCCCCTGGCTGTCCTGAAGCCACCTGAGACATTTTTAGAACATGTCCAGTTGGGTGGCTCGCAGACCCACCTCCCCCTAGGATTCTGAGTCCCTTGGCCTGGGATGCAGCCCAGTCATTGGTATTTTTGATTGTGATGTGCCACCAGGGTTGAGGTGCTCTGGCCTAAGGGGACTCGGGTGTCGAGTTAACCCCTTCTTGTAAAGTGCTCCTTGGCCAGGTCACTCTGCACGTGGGAGGTGCTGCACTCAGTCAGGTGGCTCGGGTGTGCTCCTGGCTTTGCCACTCCAGGCTGTGTGTGACCATGCAGGTCATCTGGCATGTATGAACCTTAGTTTCTTTATCTATGAAATGGAGAAGATAACAGTCCCTCTCTGACAGCACTGTAATGAGAGCTAAATGAGGCCAGGTGCGGTGGCTCACGCCTGTAATCCCAGCACTCTGGGAGGCCGAGGCGGGTGGATCACCTGAGGTCAGGAGTTTGACACCAGCCTGGCCAGCATGGTGAAACCCCTTCTCTACTAAAAATACAAAAATTAGCTGGGCATGGTGGTGGGCGCCTGTAATCCCAGCTACTTGGAAGGCTGAGGCAGGAGAATTGCTTGAACCTGGGAGGTGGAGGTTGCAGTGAGTCGAGATTGTGCTACTGCACTCCATCCTGGGTGACAGAGTGAAACTGTGTCTCAAAAAAAAAAGAAAAAAAAAAAGAATTAAATGAGATGAGGCATTGTATTAAGGTTCTCCAGAGAAACAGAACCAACAGCATGTATATATATTATAGACAAGGGGTGGGGGAGAAATGTATTATAAGGAATTGGTTCATGCTATTATGAAAACTGACAAGTCCCAAGATCTGGAGTTGGCAAGCTGGAGACCCAGGAAAACTGATGTTTTAATTCCAGCTCCAGTATGAAGGCCTAAGACCCAGGAGGGTCTTGAAGGTGTGAGCTCCCAGCTAAAGGCCAGAAAAGATGATGCCACAGCTCAAAGCAATAAAGGAGGAAAAGTTCCTTCCTACTCAAGGGAGGGTGAACCCTTTTGTTCTATTCAGGCCTTCACCTGATTGGATGAGGCCCACCCATATTAGTGAACACGATTTGCTGTGCCCCGTCTACCAATTCAAATGTGAATCTCATCCAGAAACACCCTCACAGACACACCCAGAACAATGTTTGGTCAACTATCTGGGTATCCTGTGGCTCAGTGAAGTTGACACATAAAATTAACCATCACAGACATGTGAAGTGGTTAGCACAATACTTGACAGATAATTACTGTTAATTGCTATTATTAATAATTATTATCACTTGAAGACAGCACTCTAATTTCCTGCCTGATCTTGCAAGTGGAGAAAGCCCTAGGATCATTCAAGGCACTTGTCTAATGGATTCTGCAAATTATCATACAAATAGTACCACCCTGGATATTTCTTTTCTCTCCCCTTTATTCAGTCCTCCCAGGCAGGCCTTTTTAAACCTCAGTGGACAAAAGTGGTGACAGCAATTTTGCCCCATCATATACTGTTTCCAAAGCATGTTCTAGGAGTTTATCTCATTTAACACTGGCCTCTGCCTTCACAAACATTCCTCAGCTACTTCTCAGCCTGTGTGACAAACTGAGCCATGTCCCTGGGCACAACCAAGTTAGACAAGCCAGAAAGGCAGACAAGTTGGGTGCCAGCTCTTGCCTTATGAGATATAAATCTCAGCCACATGTGAATGTGCTGTACAATCACTCTTGTACCTGAGCAGTAATTGGGCTTTAAAAAGCAACTCTCATTTCTTCTCGGAGAAGAATGCAGTGCCTTGGCTACCACCTGCCTCCTGCCCCAACCCGGAGGCTGAAACTGTCATGTGGCTGTGGACCTGTGCTCACCAGCGCTCTTCCAGACACCTGCCCCTGCAAAGGAAGGGATGGGGCTGAGGAGCCTGGGTTCCAAGAGATACCTGGAAACAGGGCACATGGAGGCTCCAGGTGTGGGCATGCAGGGGTGATGACAGCAGCCGGGGAAACCCAGAGCTACTCCCTGCCTAAGGCTGCATCTCTTCCCTAGGGCCACTTTTCCCTGGATGTCTCTACCTGGTGAGCAGCCAGATCCTAACAGCAGGGTGCTGACTGGACAGCTCTCCCTGGGTTCTGGAGAGATGGTCACAAAGGGACACACGTGATGGGGTGGGAACCAGGAACAGTCAGAGGTCATTTCTTAAGGAAGCGAACTATGACCTGTCAGAATAAGGCTGTTTAGGCCTTGACTAGGTGGAGGGAAGTGCAACAGAGCAAGTTCCTGAGTGCAAGTGTCTTGAGACAAGAAGAGGCCCTTGAAGAACTGAAGGAAGTACTTTCCTTCTGGCTGGCACAGGTGAGCAGCAGCAGGAGCGGAGGCCAGGAGGTCGATGGGGTGACTGTGTGGGTTTTCAAGCTCTGGTAGGGGGCCCTTTGCTCCTGAGACCATGGTAAGCCACCAAGGGCCCTGGCAGCAGGAGAGGCTGTGACCAGATGTTTTATGCTTATGATTCTTTATTCTTTCCAATAAAAGCTGCCCCTCTTAACACCCAGCACCACAGGCCAGCATGCACTGAGCACTCATCTGTGCCAGGCAGTGTGCTAAGTACTCCACTTGCATCAGTCCCTGATTCCACGGGGCTCTGCCGCATGTCCAGGAAGGTGCCAGGGCCCCATTTTGTCCTGGTCCTTTCCGGTCTCCTCCCGCTCCTGTGCAAGGAAGCGAGGGGCGATTTTTAGTTCCCCAGATGTTAGGGTGGGTGAGACAGACGCACCCCCTTATGGTCTCTCATCTAACAGACTTAGAATCCAGGATTTTCAGACCCAGAGGACCCCTGACATTCACCCTAAACAAGCTCTCACCTGCTGCCTGGACCCACCTCTCTAAAGCCACTATGGGGGCTGGAGACCAATAGAAAGCATCCCCCTGGATTCAGTGCTTAGACGCAGTGGCCACAAGAGACGCCCTAATCCTCCTGCCCTCAATGGCAGATTGGATTCTTCCCCTCGTGGGGACTGAGGCTGCCTGGACAGCTGACCCCAAGGACGCAGGTGTCTAAATAAGATGGTAGGGGGGACTCAGCCAAGGATGTGCAAACTCATCAGTTAGTCAAATTGCCCCCTGACTCAGGGGGCAGTGAGTGAGGTGTGAGGAGAGGGTCATGAGCTACTCCTCCCTTGCTTCACAGAGTGTAGAAGCACCTACTTCCAAGTCAGGTGGGAAGGCTGGAAGAGCTGGTGAAGGGTGTCCCCTAACAACTAACAATTATTGAGAAATTACACAGCACTTGGCACTTGATAGACACAGGCCTTATCCTAATGATGATCCACCCTACAGATGAGGACACTGAGGCTCAGAGTGGGCCTCTAGTCCCAGTCACATGCCTCTTAAGTGGCAGAGCTGGGGTTTGAAACTAGAGTCGTCTGCGTTCCAGAGCCTCTGCTGTATGTGACAATATCATCCCTTCCAGAGATGCAGAGTGGCCTGGAATTCTCTAGGGAGAAGAAACTCGAGCAGAAGTATTGCTTCTATGATTTAGAGTCGTCTGGTTTCACAGATGACTAGCAGCCTGCCCCAAGTGGCTAAATACATGCCAACAATGGACTGCTGAGATAGCGCTGCGTGGTAATGTAATGGGTGCTCAGAGCATCCTCTGTTCTGTTCACACCCAACTGCAAATTCGTCCTAGCCACCCCCAAGTCCTACTGAGGCTGACAGGCAAGGCTTGCCAGTACCAACTTACAGGCAGGGCCCTAAATGGCGAGTGGTCACAAAAATGGCTTGAATAATTTTTTGACTTTCAAAATTATTGAGCATTCCTAATCTGAACATTGAAAATCCAAAATGCAAAACTTTTTGAGCGCCGACATGATGCTCAGAGGAAATTCTCATGGGAGCATTTCAAATTTCAGATTTTCCAATTAGGGCTGCTCAACCAGTAAGTATAATGCAAATACTCCCCAATCTGAAATCTGAAACATGTCTGATTGCAAGCATTTTGCATAAGGGATATTCAACCTGTATGACCCTGAAGTGGGTCATGTAAAGTAGTGAGCTGCATGTCATTTGGAAGTATCCAACAGATGATGGATGTTACCAGGGACGTGACAGAGGACCTTCCTGTGTATTCAGGTGGGGCAGACTAGATAGCATCTATGGTCTGCACAAAACAAACATAGGAACTGGCATATGTGTGTGTGTCTATGTGTGCCTATGTGTGTGTTGGACTAGGGGAAGGCTGAGGATCTGGGAGGGTCTTCAGCGCCCTTCCCTAACTTCAACTGTTAACGATTCTGCTTTATTTTATTTTATACCGGAGGTCTGATGCCAAAAGCCGCCTGAAAATCGCGGGTAGAGGGGAATGATGAGTTACTGAGGAATTCTAAGCAGAAAAATAACATGGTACGGTTTGCATTTAGAAATGTCCCTCTGCATGGTGGGGTGGAGAGTGGATGGGAGGGAAGCAAGAATGGAGGTGGTGAGGGCAACTGGGAGGCGACTGCAGCACCCACAGCAGCCAGAACTAAGGCAGTGGCGAGGAGAAGGGGCAGAGTTGACGGTTGTTTTGTAGGTGAAATCTGGGGGACTTGGTAGTTCCTGGTACATGCCGGATGAGGAGAAGGAGGCATCCTGCTAAGCCATAGGTGCTTGTCAGGAGGACGGTGGTGTGAGTCGCTGAGCTGGAGGACACAGGCAGGAGCAGTTTCTAAGGGAAAGGGGTGAGCTGAGGATTGGGCCTGTGTGTATGAGGCTCTGTGGGACACTCCCAGTCAAGACAGCAAACTGGCAGCTGCATTTTCAAGTCCAGATGTCAACAGAGAACTCTCGGATCTAGACATAAATTTGGGTTTTCAATATATAAATGGCACTGAAACATGTATGAACGGAAGAGGTCACCAGGGAGGGACAGTATAGCTAGAAAAGGGCAAAGCACCCAGGAATGAGCCCTGAGAAACCCCAGCATTAGGAGGGGGCTGGCAAAAGAAGCCACAAAGTGAGTATGTGTGAGCAGACCACTGGAGCAAAGGGGCTAAAGCCCAGGCAAAAGGAATGCTTGGTGAGATTCAGATTTGTGGGACATCAGCATCTAGGATAAGACGAAAACGAAGGGAGTGGACGGGAGTGAGAAGAACAGTGGACCCCAGAAACATCAATGTGTCAGGAGAGCAGGAAGAAGAGACCTAGAAACAGATGGTGAAGGATCAGCCAGAGAAGTCTGAGGAGGATAAGGACAGAGTACAGTCTCAGAAACTGGATCCATTAAGATATTTTGACTGCATATAATGGGATAGCTGACTAAAATTGGTTTATCTAATAGGAACATCTATTCTTCTGTAAGACATCTAGAAGGAGGCAATTCCAGGGCTGGGTCAGTTCTTTATAAGCCAGGCTTCACTTGGGATTTTTCTCGTGTTTGCAAGATGGCTGCAGCAGCACCCAACAGCACACTTTGACCAATAATGTGGCTTTCTCCTTGCGTCCCTCCTTCCCCTTTATCAGGAAAGAAAATATTTCCCAGAAGTTCTCTAAGGTAGACTCTCCCTTATATCTCATTACCCTGTCCTACTGCAAGGAGGCTGGGAAAGTGAATAATATTTCAGCCTCTGTAGTAGAAACTGAGCTCCCACTGACAGAAGGTAGGAAAAAGGCTGGCATTACGAGGGCAACTAACAGGACCTGTATTCAGAGCCCTTAGAGCAGAGAGGCTCCAGAAGGAAGGAGTGGTAAACAGCTCCACTAGGGCAGCAGGGGTCAGTGACATGAACACAAGTGATCTAATAATATGGGGTGGAGGGAATGTTTGCTAAAGCAGTTCCAGGAGATTGGAGAAGACATGGAAACTGAATTACAAGTGAATTGATGAATGGCTGGGGATAATGAAGTAGAATAGACAGTGTAGACCAATGGTTCTCAATGGTGGGAGATTTTGTCCTACAGGGGACATTTGGCAAGATCTGGAGACATTTTTGGTTGGTTGTCATAACTGGAAGTTGCCAACAACTATAGCAACTGGGTCGGGGGGACTATAACATCTTAACATCTGTCATCATTGGGGAATGATCACAACTGTCACTACTGGCATCTAGAGTCTTTTGGTCTTCTTCTAAATGGAAAGGGATGCATCTCCTCTGGGTAGAGGCCAGAAATGCTGCTAAACATCCTACAGTGCCCAGGACAGCCCCCACAGCAAAGAATCATCTGGTGCAAAGTGTCAGTAGTGCTGAGGTTGACAAACCCTGGTGCAGACTATCCTTTCAACAGGTTAGGCTGAATAGGAAAGCAGAGTAGGCAGGGAAGGCCAGACAGGTAACAGGGCATGTTCATGGGCGGGAAGGGGCTAGGGATGCTGGCGGATCATGGGTGAATGGGACCCTGGACAGCCAGGAGCAGGTGAGCTGACAGCTGCATTGAGGAGAGGCCTTGAACAGGAAGAGAATTCCTGTGGCACTGGGATGGAAGGAGAGAAGACAAGAGTGGGGAGTGTTTATATGCGTGGGGCTGAAACGTGCTCCGGGAACTCAATCATCTGGAAGAAGAGGAGGCAAGGCCGACTCACCAAGTGTCAGAGGAGATAGCAAAGGAGGGAGGAAACAGTGGGGAAGTGTGTCAAGGGGAATGAAGAGAGGGCAGGCCATGCATGGGAAAGAGGTGTGGAGCAAGTAGAGGGCTGAGGCTGGAGGCTGGAGTCTGTGCTGGTCACAGTCCTCATGGCCGCATGATTTTCTCAGAACTGCTCAGCATCCGGGGCCCAGTAAGGGGATGGTGCATCATGGGACTGCTGGGTAGGTCAGTGGCTGAGTGTGCAACCTGGAAAGGAGCTGAGAGAAGTGATGGGAAAATGGTTCAGGTGCTCAGCCCTGTGGCCTGGGCCCTTGGTAAGTCATTTAAACTCTCAAGACTTCACTTTCCTCATCTGAAAAGGGCTTAATGATACCATTTCTCTCTCTACCTAATGGGGTGGTCACAAGGTTCAAATGAGAGTTTTTGAGAGGAGTAAACTATGACCCCCTCCTTAAAGGCTAGTTATTATTATTAGTCCTTGGGAGAGTGAATGACCAGGACCTTCATGATCATTTTCATTAAGCACCTGTTGCCTCCGACCTCCTTCTCAGCTTCCATATGCTCAGAATGAAGAGTTTCTGTCCTAGTGTGGCAGATGGACAAACGGCATTATGCCGGGATACACAGCAAGTCTGCAAATCTTCACTCTGCACCTTCGGAGCACTGGCTGCACGAGGAGTTCTCCGACTGCCCCATCCTTGTCCCCAGGGGCCAGGCTTCTTTTTACCTCTTGTCCAAGTTTCTTGTGCACAACCCTTTGATGAGCACTTGCAGGAGAGAAGCTGTCTTCATTGCCACCTGCTGTGGAACTTAATTAGAGCTCAACCAAAGCCAAAGAGACCCATGGAATGATCAGAGAGAGAAGAGTGAGAAAAGGGGGTGGGGAGTGAAGAGAAGCTAGAGTGCCAAGAGTTGAAGCCAGAAAAAGAGGAGGACACTGGCAGAGGTGACTGTTTGGCAGAGGTGGCTGCTTAGCAGAGGTGGCTGCTTAGCAGGGCTCCTTCCAGCTGGCTTTATCATAGATGCTCTCAATCTCTCAGACTTGACTGAGTCCCGGTGACAGGCAGTGGGAACCCAGGCCAAGGCAGTGGCAAGAGAAGGGATGAAGACAACCAGGAAAGACACTGGGAGAAGAAGCTATTGCCCTTGGAGTATCATGACTGGAGTGTCCAGGAGACCAGAAATAGGGTCACCAGTGCAAGCATCACTTTAAGAAGGGGGCTCAGACTGGTGATCATTACTGACTTGAGTTTTTTGCCTATAATTTGTTTAATAACAATAGCAGCTACCATTTATTGACCATCTATCCTGTGCCAGATGCATTAACTACAATAGCTTATTTAACCATAAGCCATCAGGTAGGGACCAGCATTTCCCTGGCAGATGGGGCCACTGGAGCTCGGGGAGGCCGCATGACTCACCCCAGGCCCGAAAGCCAGTGAGAGACACACCCAGCTCAGAGGCTTCACAGTCTGTGTTCCTGTCCCTGTGCCACATCATTAATATAACTAGCAGGGTTCTCTGCAGAAACACCCAACTCCTTGTTTCTCCCTCCTCGGGTATTAGCTTAAGTTCTTCCCAGAGCTTGGGCCTCCCCTAGACATTCCGGGGGCCACAGAGCATGGCCAATAATTGCTATCACCCCAATTTCTTAGGAGCATTTTTGAAGAGAATAGCACATTAGTTAAAACTGAATGTGCATTTCAATAGTGCATTCACAGGCCCTGAAACTGTTAATAGAGGAAATACTTTTGAACAGAGAACTTTCATGTCATTCTCTCTACAAGCCGTTCATTCCTTTCTTCATATATTCATGTATTATTTACTTATTCAGTACAGTATAATGGCTAATAATTTGGGTTCTGGAGCCAGGCTGCCTGGATTCAATTCCCCATTTATGAGCTTTTTGAAGCTAATCTTTCTGTGTGTCAGTTTCTCTATCTGAAAAATGGGAGTAACACCTCCTAGGGTTGAGGTGAGGATTAAGTGGATTAGTTTACTTAAAACACTCAGAACAGTGCTTGGCCCCAGTAAATGCTAACATGTGCCAGGAGATAGCAAGTCCTATGGGGGACAGTTCCCGCCCTGGAGATGCTCACAGTTCAAGGAGGGAGTCAGGGACGCTCTATCCACTCCACCTACCAGCCAGGACAAGGACAGGACGAGGCCAGATCTGCTCGGCTTCTCCAGGGACTTTTCTTTCCCAGGTAGGTGCCACAGCCTTGGAGCTGGAGCCCAGAGGGGCAGAGCCCTGCTTTTACAGCTGGGCAGCCTGTACCTATTCTGCCCTGGGGAGTCGGCTCCAGTCCCCAAGCCTGAAGGCCTGTTTGAGGCCATGCAGCAGTATGCATTCCTCTGACTAGATTTTTCTCCCCTGAACCCAGAAACACCTGCCTGGTTGAGGTAGGAGAGGCTTTTAGGATGCTGAGGTTTGGCCCTAACAAGGGCTCATCTCCCCAGGGAGGCTGGCTGATGATCAAGTCCTGGCACTAGCAGTGCTGACCCCAGGCACCTCACAGCACAAGACACAGCCCAAGAAGAAAAGTCTCAGCCGTAAGTAGGGCATTGGCCTGGGCTTTGTCGTTCGCTAAAGACATCCGCTGCCCCCAGTGCTTTGTGCCTTTAGATCTGGCTGTTGCCCCATTGAGGCGACAGCCTGTGATCTCCTCCTTTTGCTGGAGCTCGAACAGAACAAGGCTGGAGTCTCATTTGTCTGTCTGAGACTTTTAGAACCAGGCAGCTTGAAAAAATGAAGGGATAAAAGAAGCCGGCCAGCAATTAGGTAATGCCAGCCTGCCTGCCAGGCTCCCCGCATGGAGCTACCCTGGAGTTCACTGGGGAGAGCAGACATGTGGATTCTGGGGCTGGAGGGGTCCCAGCATGCACTAGGGGGGCAGCCAGGGTGTGTTGGGGTGGAGGGATTCTAGGAAGTGGCCAGTGACCTAACTCTCCGAGCCCCACCTGTACAATGGGGTGGAAAATGACAATCACACCAGGGGGTATGAGGCCTTCACCCGATCCTACTGTGATCACAGGTGACATGACAGGTGGTCAGTGATGCACGGCCCCTTCCCTGTCTAGTGTGCCTCCAGGGCAGCTTGTGCGCAGAGCAGCTCTGACTCCCCTCCTCCTGCGCTGTGAGTTGGGGAGCCCTCTCTCCACGGCTCTCTGGGCTACAGAGAGCCCCTCTCCTGGCAGCAGTGTCCTCTGGAAATGACAAATGTTCCTCCCCCACAGCTGCTTCCTCCCTCTTAGCTTCCCTGTCAGGTTCTCTGTTGTGGACAAACAAAATACCTTGCTTATTCATCTCTGAATTTTCTCCTAGGCTGGTCCTCCTATCAAAAAGCATCTTCACTGGCAGGCGCAGTGGCTCATGTTTGTAATCCCAGCAGTTTGGGAGGCCTAGGCAGGAGGATTGCTTGAGCCCAGGAATTTGAGACCAGCCTGGGCAACACAGTGAGACCTCTATTAAAAAAAAATTAGTCAGGTATGTGGTGGCATGCGCCTGTGATCCCAGTTACTCAGGAGGCTGAGGTGGGAGGATTGGCTGAACCCAGGAGGTCGAGGCTGCAGTGAGCTGTGATGGTGCCACTGCACTCCAGCCTGGGTGATAGAGGGAGACCCTGTCTCAAAAAAAAAAAAAAAAAAAAAAAAACTTTACCAAAGGCCTAGCCCTTCCCTCCTGCAAAGTTCAACTCAACACACTCCCCATCAGATGTGCCTTGGGGGCTGACACAGCCTCAGGTCTGTTCTTCAAATATCTGCATCCCTTCTCTGCAACCACATATTATTTGAGTGTTTTGGGGTTTTGTTGTTGTTGTTGTTGTTTGTTCGTTTGTTTGTCTCACGCCCAGGAACTCTCTGGTCCCGAGTTTAAGTTTTGGCTTCACAATTTACTGATTGACTGTGGGCAAGTCACTTAACCCCTATAAACCTCAATTCCCTCATCAAAAAATAATTTATAGAAATGTTTCCCCCGTATGTTGTCTCAGCAGCTCTTCAGGATAGTCCTATAACCTAGCAATAGTGACAAAGTCCTGCTTTACAAATGAAGTGACAGAGGCTTTGAGAAGTTATGTTGCTGCTCTGGAACACATGGCTAGTGACAGCACCTTGAGGTGAGTCCAAACTTCCCTTTCTATTGGGTCAAGGGAGAGTCCTTTTTCATTTTGCTTCTCAAAACTGTTGTGAAGATCGAAGGACATCTTCATCTGTTTACTCGACAAACATTTATTGAGACCACGGTGTGCCAACCTCGTCTCTTGGAGCAAAGGGTTCCATCAGCTGTAAGGATCTGGGCAGACGTGAGCCGAGGGTCAGGGCACCATGCCCCAAGCAGGGAGCCTATAGGTCCTGGCAGAGTGACCCAGGCTGTAGCACAGCACCTAGCACAGGGTGGCTGCAGCCTCAGCCCAGCGATGAGCAGTCCTCTTCCCTCTTTCCAGGCCTCCCTTCCTAGGCCCCTCACACTTCATCCTTACAACCACCCTGTTTGGGAGACATCATTAGCCCCATCTTACAGATGAAGAGAATATGGATCCCGGAGGGCAACGGTCACCTGGGAACTTTAAAAGCCCAGTGCTTAGGCTGAATCTCAGACAGTTAAGTGAGGCACTGGGGGTGGGGAGAAGGGGTGGGCCCAGGCACTAGTAGTCCTTCTACAGCTGTCCACCCAGTTCCAAGTGCAGCCCGAGACGAGAGTACTGGCATAGTGGCCGGGCATCTGCAGGGACTTCTGACAAACGCGGTGGATGAGTCCAGAAGCTGAGCAGTCAGCTTGCAAATTGTCCAGGTCCTTCGATTTCTCTTTCTTGAAGGCAGTGTTGGGGAGGCAGTGGTGTGGGGGAGGCAGTGTGTTTGGGGTGGTTCTGGAGCTCCCCTCTCGCCCGCCTCTAGCCTTTTCTAGCTGGGTGACCTTGGGCAAGTTGCCTTACCAATCCCAGCCTGTGCGTCTCGTGGGTTTACTGGTGGCATTTGAGTAACTATCAGAGGCTTCATAAGTATTGGTTGCTCTCTTCTGGTTTTTTTTTTTTTTTTTTTTTTTTGAGATGGAGTCTCGCTCTGTCACCAAGGCTGGAGTGCAGTGGCATGATCTCAGCTCACTGCAAACTCCACCTCTCGGGTTCAAGAGATTCTCCTGCCTCAGCCTCCCAAGTAGCTATCATGCCTGGCTAATTTTTGTATTTTTTTAGTAGAGATGGGTTTCACCATGTTGGCCAGGTTGTTCTCAAACTCCTGACCTCAGGTGATCCGCCTGGGCCTCCCCAAATGCTGGGATTACAGGCGTGAGCCACCGCGCCTGGCCGGTTGCCTTTCTTCTTTCCCCACTTCTGCTGCCCAAGTTTGGGACAATTCTGTTTATTCACACCTGCTCCAAAGGAAGTGAAATCCAGCTCATTTCTCCTTCTTATTGGTAGTATTGCCCAAGGGCTGGAGGGACCATGGGAATGGGCAGGGAGGAGCTTTGAGATGTGAGTGGAGTCCTGCTATCCACAATATGCAGCCTCCAGGACTGGCTGGTTCTTTTCCAAGTGTGGTCCAAGTCTGGGTGTGGAGAGTGAAATGAAGTAGAGACAGTCTGCTCTGGGCCATAAGTGCTTGCTAAGTGCTGGGGCTTCTTTAGTGGGGTGAGGGCAGTGGTCATCTTTCTCTGTCCTTGGAAGTAAGTTTGAGAAGCAAGAATTAAGGGCTGCCTAGAGGGTCGGCTGGCCAAAACGCAGCCAGATATAGCAACTTCACCCCCAGAGGCAGGGTTACTCCAGGGTGAATCTTAGCACAGAGCCTGGTGCACGGTGGAAGGTCTGCCAATGCCTGCCTTGAAGGAGTATTCTATGTGCTTTTCTTCCCTTTTTTCCCCAGCTCTTTGTGCAGGATTTCTTCCCAAGTCTGTTAGAGGCATCCTCATTGTCTCAAGAAGTTCACGGTTTTATAGGTCTTTGATTATTGTCTTAGTGAGCTTAATCTGCCATAACAAAATATTATAAACATCAGGAAAGGAATTTATTTTTTCATGGATCTGGAGGCTAGAAAATCCAAAATCAAGATCAAGATGCCAGCAGGGTCAGAGTCTGGCAAGAGCTCTCTCCTTGGGTTGCAGATGGCTTCCTTCTCTGAGAGAGAGAATAGAAAGAAGAGAGACAGGAGACAGGAGAGGAAAAGGAAAGGAGAGGAGAGGAGGGGAGGGGAGGGGAAGGCAGGGGAGGGGAAAGAAGGGGAGGGGACAGAGAGAGAGAAAGAGTGCCCAATCTCTGTGATCTATTCTGATAAAGGCACTAATCCCATCATGAGGGCCCCACCCTCATGACCTCACCTACTCCTAACTACCTCCCAAAGACCCCATCTCCAAACACTATCACACCGAGGTTAGAACTCAAACATGAATTTGGAGGGAGTAAGGGCCACAATTCACTCCATAGCAAGAATCAAAAGGGAAGGCTTGAGGGATGCATGGTATGGAGTTGTTTTTTTTTTTTTTTTTTTTTTTAATCATAACAGTAGACTAGAATAGACTAGAAAGACAAGAGACAAGAACGAAACTTCACTGCCCTCCCCACCTCCCCACCCCACTACTGCTGCTGCCTCCACAAATATTCCAGCCCCAAAGACAAGGAGGGTTACCTGGAGGGGTGGAGTGGGGTTGGGTGGGGAGGAGACAGTTTGGAGAAGGTTAGAGACAAGAGACCAGAGTAGAAGGTGGAGGGGAGGACAGGAGAGGGGAGAGAGATGGGGCAAGGAGGAACAAGTCTGTGTGAGAAGAGTTGCCACACACGTGGGCCAGTGTCAGGCTCCCAGCCAGATACCAGGCCAGTGTGGAGACTAAACCCACGTCCTCCCGGAGGAGCCAATGCTTGCAAACCATTCCCCTGCCTCCAGGGGGCGCTGCTTAGCCCCAGGCTGGGGAGCCACATTGAATTAATTGAAGTAAAGCGTTTACACTAGTTCATGGCACTTCCCCGGCCCTGAACGTGCCTCTGTGCAAGGCTGCCTGCGTGTACCCTGTGGATCAGATACTTGCTTGCACCCAAGGCTTTTCCTAAGCCCCTCTGAACTGTCCCATATAAACACTAATTTTCAAGGGCTAGGAAAGCCATAAACTCCCTCAAAAATAAATAGGGCTGGAGGCAGTGGTTCATGCCTATAATCCCAGTACTTTGGGAGGTCAAGGTGAGTGGATTGCTTGAGCCCAGGAGTTCAAGGCCTGTCTGGGCAACATGGCAAAACCTCTTCTCTACATTTTTTTTTTTAATTAGCTGCATGGTGGTGCATGCCTGTAGTCTGAGCTACTTGGGAGGCTGAGGTAGGAGGATGGCTTGAGCCTGGGAGGCAGAGGTTGTAGTGCGCCGAGATCACACCACTGCACTCCAGCATGGGCGACAGAGTGATACCCTGTCTCAAAAAAGTAAAATTACATTAAATTAATAAATAGAAGAAAGCCTTTGCACCCAAAGGCAGAGTGCTAACAGGAAGGAAAAATCCCAGCCTTACTGCTCTGAGGGGTCAGGAGAGTAGGGAGCCCACCTCACTTGTTATATAACATTAATACATGTGATTATATAACATCAGCAGCACAGTGTAGCAGTTAGGTACCCAGGCCTTGGAGCCAGACTGCCACCGCATAGGTTGTGGCTTTGTCCCTTCCTAGCAGTGTGATCTTGGGTTTCTGAATATCTCTATGCCTCTGGCCGGGCATGGTGGCTCATGCCTCTAATCCCAGCACTTTGGGAGGCTGAGGCGGGCAGATCACGAGGTCAGGAATTCAAGACCAGCCTGTCCAACATAGTGAAACCCCATCTCTATTAAACATACAAAAACTAGCCGGGCGTGGTGGTGCACACCTGTAATCCCAGCTACTCGGGAGGCTGAGGCAGGAGAATCACTTGAACCCAGGAGGCGGAGGTTGCAGTGAGCCGAGATCACGCCACCGCCCTCCAGCCTGGGCAAAAAAGTGAGACTCCGTCTTGGAAAACAAACAAACAAAACACACACACACACACACACACACACACACACACACACACACACACATATATATACACACATATATGTGTATATATATACCCACGTATATATATACACATATATGTGTATATATATACCCACGTATATATACACATACACACACACATATACACACATATATGTACACACATATATATACACACGTGTGTGTGTATATATATGTGTGTATGTGTGTGTGTGTGTGAATGTATATATATATATATATATATATATATATATATATATATATATATGCTTCCGTTTCCTCCCCTGAGAGCTGGAGATGAAAATAATCATTCCCATCTCATGAGGTGATAGCAAAAATTAAATGAACGAATTCAAGTAAAGTGTTTAGCTCATAGCACACATAGTTATTGCTCAAAAGAATGTTAGCCATTCTGAGCGTCCATGGGGGTACTCACGACTCATGCCTGACAGCCAATCAGGAGAGAGGAGGCGTGGTCAAGGGCGAGTGGCTCGCCGGGAGCAGGCCTGGACCGAGATGGGGCAACCTTGGTACCTGCGCTGCAGTTTCCTCCTTTGTAAAGTGCGAATTACGTAAAATAACACTTGCAAATCTCTTCATATAATATCCAACACCTAGTAAGTATAAGACAAATATTTACGTTTACATTTTTTCAGACAGGAGAACTGAGGCACAGAGGTTACAAACTTGTCCAAGTTCACACAGCACAGGAAGTATAAATGCTGAGATTTGAGCTAAGGCAGTCTGCCCCCAGAGACATCTGTGCCTGCACTTCAAGCGCATTGTTGAAAATGTAATTTATTTTTTGTTAACTTTTTTCCTTGTGGGCTGTTAACAGGATAAGATGACATTTGCCAAGCAAAGGGATAAATCTGTCTTAAATCTAATTTTCAGTGTATTTTTTTCTCTATCCTCTGTTGATAGACTAGCAGCCTTTAAACTAGAGATTATGTAAAAATCCATTCGAGTTGGCATCCATCTAGACGTAATAGACCCTTCTGGGTGTTCATGTCTATTAGTGACTGATAGGCTTAAGTTACAACGTATCCAGATCCACATACCATAACAACATCCCTATACAATCAAAAGGTAGAAGAGTGTCAGCTGATGCTGCTTATTTCGGGTGGTACTGGATAACACAAAAGTACAAAGGAAGAGTTTAGAAGCTCCTAGGGGACTGCTGTAGAGGTTTGGCCTGTGCTTAGAAACACAGACTTGGGGGACTGGTGACTCTGGGTTGACTCCCACCTTTGCCAACTGCTAGCTGTGTCTTCTTGGGCAAATTCCTCAACTTACTGTCATTCAGTGGTACCCATATGTGGTTAACACTTCTGTGTTCATGCGATCTTCTACAAAATCAAAGTGAAGTGTACCAACCTCCTGCTGAAAAAAACCCCAGGGGCACTTATTAAATGTAGGTTTCATGGCTTTACCCAGTTCTGCTGAATCTCATCCTCTGGGAACAGCACTGCAGAATCTGCATTTCTGACAAGGCTTCCAGATGACTCCAGGTCAGCCGACTCAGCCTGAACCCCCGTACCTCAGGCAGGTATGGGACTGGGGCAGCAGAGGAACTTTTTGGGCCATGCTGCTACAGGTCTGTCTTGGAGCTTTGCCTCAAGCCCCTGGACGGGTGATTAGAGCAATGAGCCCTTTGGGGGCGGCATCCTCAGGGCTGGCGGCTGCAAGCTGGCTTTCTGCGTGAGTGCTCTGGGTGACCATCGTGACGGACCTGCACTGGGTGAGGGCGGCCTGACTCCCCCCTTCCCTAAAGGGCTTTGTAGAATAGAAGCCACCTTCCCCTGGCTTTTGTCCCTGCCACCGCATCGGACTCGCCAGCTTCAGGAAGGGGCCTCATCCTTCCGGGCGGGGCCGTATGGCCGCCCTCGGGCTCTGCAGCCGTGACTCAGCTCGGGAAGGTTGGCGCTCAGGCCTGGAGCCCGGGGCTGTGCGGGCACCAAACAAAGCAGCGCTCGCACGCGCCCTCCCAGGGCCGCGCCACACCTGCGGGGCCGCCTTGCTCGTTTCCCTCCAGGAGCCGCGCTGGCTGTTGCGGGGCAGGCTGGGCCCGCTGCTGCTGCAGTTGGCTCCGCGGCCGCCCCTAGCCGCCCCCAGCCGCCCCCGCCCGGTGAGTCACCCGCTCCCGGCCGCGCCGCCGCCCGGCCCGCTCTCACGCCTCCGAGCCTGCGCGCACCGCTCGCCGAGCCAGGTTCCCTCGGCAAGGGGCGCTCGATACGGGCGGGGATCCCCAGAGGCCGCGGCCTTCCTTGGCTGCCAGACAGACAGCGTTCCCAAGGAGGAAACCCCTGCCCCTCCGTCCCGTCGCGCGCACGGGCGGAAAGGACACCCAAACTGTCACCGTCCTGTCACTGTGTCTCCCCGCCTCCCTGATGCTGGTCACACCCTCCTGCGCTGGCTCTGTCTCGGGAGGGGGTGGCAAGTCGCTGGTGGCCACCTCCCCCCACTGCCTTCAGGATTTCCCCTTCTCGGGCTGCCTAACGCTTCTCAGAGGTGGCTGTCCATTAGAATCATTGGGAGCTGTAAAAATTCCTGATGCCCAGACCAATGAACTCAGAGCCACGGGGGTGGAGCCCGGGCACCACTTGCATTTTGTGAAGTTCCCCAGGTGACTCCACTGTTCAGCCAGAGTGGCGAACTACGGACCCAGACCTAGGCTTCCCAAACTCTGATGGGTTTGAAATCCCCTGGGATCTTGTTAAAATGCAGGCCTCCATTCAGTAGGTCTAGGGAGGGGCCTGAGAGTGCGTATTTCTAACAAGCTCCCCGGTGATGCTACCGCTGCTGGGCTGAAGGTGACATTTGGAGCCACTCAACACCCGCTGGCCCTTTACCTCTCCTCTTGTGTGGAAATAGAGAGGGCGTGGGCGCTGCAGCAGATGGACAGGGGTTTGAATCCCCCCTCTGCCACTCGCTAGTTAGGCGGAATTGGGCACAGCTCTTTGTGTATAAAATGGGGTGGGGGTGGGGAGCAACACTCACTGCACGTTTCTAGTGAGGAGGAGGCGAGATCTTGCCTGGAAGATTCCTGGTGCCCTGAGTCCTTGGTGAAGGTCAGCTGTATTGGATGCTTTCGCTCTCTAGTGGCCCTCTTGGCTGAGTTGGCCAGGGAATGACAGAAGCAGAGGAAGGAACCTTCCAGGCCCCCTCCTTTCCCCTCTCATAGGAAAACTAGGCTGAAAACCATCACACTCCACTGCCTCCCCGGGGGCTGGAAGGGAAGGGCAGTATTGCTGTGTGTGGGAGCAGAGGGATGGGGGACCAAGAGCCCTGAGCGTCCCTGAGGAGGTTAGTGGGATTCTGGGGGGGCCTGAAGCCTGGAGAAAACAGGTCTCCTGGGGCAGACGCTGAGGGTTACAGGGGGACCTGGCAGATGCTAAGAGCCACAGAAGGCCAGAGAGTAGGAGGCCACCTGGTCAGGACCACAGTGGACACAAGGAAAAGGGGTGGAAGTAGGAGAGGGGACTGACAGTGTGTGAGGAGTCTCAGTTCCTCCTCGGAAATGTTGTAGCAGAGCATTAATTGTACCGATTTCCTGGAAGCCATCTGAGGCTGAGTCTCACCCCTCCTGCTCACTAGTTGCGTGGCCTTGGGCAAGGAGACTTAAGCTCTCCGGTCCTCAATTTCTCCATCTGTAAAATAGAGTTATTATCACTGGTAACTCACAGGATGCTGTGAGGACTAAACAAGGCAATCTTGCAAAGCCCTCAAGTCAGCAGGTGACACACAGTGAGCCTCCTATAGGTGATGATGATGATGATTCCCATTGCACAGATGGGCAACCTAAGGCTCAGAGGGCTTAAGTAACACCCAGGTCTGTGCTCGCCTCTCTGTCACGAAGGTGGAAAAGTGCCTCTTAGGCTCTCATTAGATCTGGACACACCTTTTAACCAGTATTCTGAGTTGGCGTAGGGCCGATCGTGCATGCTGGTGGCGAAGCCCATTCTTGGTCTGGTTCTTCTGAGGCTCCAGCCAGAATATGTCTCATTTAGTGGCTCAGTGAAGGGGTTGGAAGTCAGAGGCTCTGGATGAAAGCTAGCTGCCTTCCTCAGGACTGGTACCGGGGCCACGTGTCATGAGATTGTGTGTGATATAAGATGTGCGAAGGTTCTGTTAGGATCTGTCCAAATACCAGGCACAGTTAGGATTTTTTCTTATTAATGCACATGAGATTGTAAGACCACACTTTCTTTTAAATCACAGTGTAGCTCTGATGAACAGCTCAGTAGGCAGGGTTTTTTGAAAAACAAACTTTCTTCCACTCGGAGCTCATGGACATGGAGCAAGGGACCTGGAGCTGAGAAGTGGAGCTCTGGTCCTAGGGCCACCTCTCTGGGTTCCCAAAGTCCCCTTGGAATGCTGTAACCCCGCATTGTTCTAGAATCATTGCTTTTCATGTCCTTCTCCCCACCCCTAGACAGTCAGCCCTTTGAAGGCAAGGACTATGTCCTATTCCACCTTGAATTCTCATCACCAAGCGGAACGCCTGACACCTAATCTAGTCAGTGCTTACTAAGTGCTCATTATCAATGCAAGAATAACAGAGCTATGGAACCTGGCAGCCACCTCTTTTCTTTGGGCCTCAGTCTTCTCATGCAGAACTTGGGATTGGACTAAATTGGATCTCCTAGGCTGCCTCTGACTCTAACAATTCTCTGATTTAAATTATTCTTCATCTGGATGTAATCCACCTTGCTTTTCCATCCCAGGTACACATTTTTACATTTGACCTTGAATTTGTGGTTTGCTCCTTGCTCAGGTGGGTGGACAAGCTTGATAAAATGATTATAAATGCTCTGCTAGTTGAGGCCGGAAATTCCTTTATCATTAAATTCTTCTTGACGAGGCCATTGGTCTGTTTTTCACTAGAGGTAGATTGGGCTGATCATTTTAGGTGGGTGGAACCAGTTTTCTCTTCCCCACTCACCTGGGCAGCCTCTATAACATCCTTGGGCTCATTGCCTCTGTGTCCTCAGTGGAGTGACCACCCTCTGCCCCCTTTTCTTTGCCTGGGCTTCTCTCTTGGCAAAGAGAATGTGCAGGCTGTTTAGATTAAGGGAAGGTGCCCCCTGCCCCCAACTGGACTCGACAGGTCACATAGGCCCACGAGACTGTCATCTCCCACAGGAAAAGATGAGTGATGCCAGCCCCCGTCCCTGCTAAAATACCTCCCTAATTGTTAGGCTAAGAGAGTCAAAACACAACATACTGTCTAAAGGGAATCTTTTCCCTTCCAGGAAAGCAGCCATAGTGGGATTTTCTGTAATATTAGCTTAACACTTGGCTATCTGCCACTACAAGTCACTATGTGTGATAGTCTGCAGAGATGGCCATCAACAGGCCATCCCTGTATTCACATGCTATTCCTCTCATCACAGGGTGGAGTCAGTGCCCCTCCCCTTGAAACTACGCTGCTCGTGACTGGCTTTGGCCCAAAGAATGAGACAGAGGGGTGCTGTTCCAGTTCTAGGCCTAGACTTACTGGCTTGGCAGCTTCTATTTTCCCTCTCTTGCCACCCTGTGCCACCATATAAAGTCCAGGTTGTCCTGCTCTGCAGAGGACCTGCAGCCAACCCCAGGGCCCCAAGTATGAGAGAGGCCCTAGTCATAGAGAGATGCCCTAGTCATAGTCAGGCCAGCCTGGCCCATGCCACATGGAATCATTCCCAAATGGTACTTCTGGGCTCTGCCCAAAGTCCTGCCCCACAGAACTGGGAGCAATACAGATGGTTTTGTCATTTAAGCCACCAAATTTTAGGGTGGTTTGCTAGATAGCAATCGTTAACAGAAACACCATACTCTAATTTCTTCATTTGCAAAATGGTGGGTCTACCTTGCATCTTTAAGGTCAGGCCAGTGCCTCGGTAACTCATGTCCAGCTCTCTTTCCATAAATGAGCGTTTTAACATCTGGCCCCAAACAAGAGTTTGAAATTAGGAAAAAACTCCCCTAAAGCCCAGAAACTACCACTAACACAACTAGAATTCATCAGGGAAAATAGAAGAATGTGCCATTTCAAAGCACTGGCTTTGGAGCGGAGCTCCCTGGCTTTGAGTTCCAGTTCTGCCTCACCCTGGCCATCTGATCTTGGACAACAAGTTTCTTTCTACAAGTCTCAGTCTCCTTATCTGTAAAATAGGGTAATAATAGTACCTACTTACAGCATTAATGTGAGGATTTAGTAAGATCATGTCAGTACATTGTTTAGCATGGTGCTTGCATGTTGAGGGCATTTAATGAATGGTAGCCCCTCTTTTTGTTGGAGCCTATAATATTTTTTGCTTTTATGTCTGTCTAGAGAGGGAGTAAAAAATAACCAAAACACAATAGCCCAACCCTGCCCCCCAGCCAATAAGAAAATGAAATCGCACATCACCAGGGCACTCATAGCAATGGTAAATATCATCTCTGTAGGTTCAGAGAAATTTAAAGGATTTTTTCAGTGTTAAAAAAAAATTGCGTGGGAGGGACAGAGGGAAGAGGCTGGATAATGACTTACTTTTGTTTCTAAAAGGTAATAATCCTCCTTGAATTTATGATTAAAAGAAGGTCAGATAAAAAGGATTAAAAATTAATTTCTGGCTTTGTCAAAATAAAGCACAAGAAAGCGGGATGTTGGTGAGCACATTTCTCAAGAAAAATAATAGTGGAATAAGAAAAATCAGAACCTATCCTTCTGCCATCTGCCACAGATGATTTTGTAGCTTTCTACAAGAATCTTATTACCATCTTCTAAGAGGCTGATTGTAGTCACCAGCACAACGATGAAGACAGGGGCACCACCACCCACACATGCCCACAGCGTCCGCCTGCTCTGGCAGCGAGGCGGCTGCATGGGAACTTGGTCCTCTCCCAATTTCCTCACTCCTATACAGGAATGCAATAGTCAGACGAAAGCTCTGCTTCAGCAAGGAGAGAGTTACTCTTTAGAAAATAGCTGTTTCAGGCAGTGAGAACAATGAGGAGAGACTGGCCTAGAGGAGACGAGAATAACACTTCAAACCCACATTTGCTTCTAGTTCTGGGCCTCCTGGGTCTCCTCTCTCCCAGCCTAATCAAGTGCTACATTTTCTAGAGCTTCTAAAACCTGGGACTGCCAGATCTGAGGTGCAGGAAAAATGTACCCTCCCCTCTTCCAACTCCTCAAATCACCTGCCCACCTTGTTTTCCAAAGGAAAGCAAGACAATACAAGACTGTTCTCAAGTGGCTGTCACCTACTCAGGGGCTATGAAAAGAATTTAGAGCTTTGAGATGAAAATGTCACAGGAGAAAATGAGATGAAGGCCAGGAGATGATTTTCGAAGAAGTTTTAAGAAATGCTGATTTTTTTTTTTTTACCACCTCTTTGAGTCAGTTTTCCTGAATAAGTGTGTGAGGCTGGAACATGTGCGTGTGTGTGTGTGTATGTGTGTGTGTGCATAGACATATGCTGCATACATATATACACACATGCATATATACACCATATGTATGCACACACACACACACATATATATATATATATGCACATACATGTGAATGAAACGAATGCCACCCAGTGATTTACTCTGTCCAGGAAGGCTTGAATCCATGAGAGTCTAGAAATGCACTAAACCCTTCAGGCACTCATGATTCAAGCAGACCTTTTCACTGGGTCTAGAATTGTAAAGACTCAAGCCCAAAGGGTAGCTTGATCTGGTCCAGCGTGATTTTAATTCGGAGTCTTTGGTCTCCTTGTCTAGAGATGTTCTAGCTCCCCAAGCAAAATGCTGCCCATCTGGTGTCTCCTTGACTCTAAACACTCTGGCTACATGAGCTGGCAGTTTTTCTTTGAAGGAGTCTTTAAAAGACACATGAGCCGATAGGTACCCTACAGGGAGGATGATCAAGTAAAAATAGACCACATAAGCTCGGGTGGTCAGTTCATTTAAATGCCACGAGACCTTGCATTGGAACTTTTTTTTTTTGTTTTTTTTTTTTGAGACTGAGTCTCGCTGTGTTGCCCAGACTGGAGTGCAGTGGCACAATCTCGGCTCACTGCAAGCTGCGCCTCCTGGGTCCAAGCAATTCTCCTGCCTCAGCCTCCCGAGTAGCTGGGACTGGAGGCGCCTGCCACCACGCCCAGCTAATTTTTTGTATTTTTAGTAGACGGGGTTTCACCGTGTTAGCCAGGATGGTCTCGATCTCCTGACCTCATGATCTGCCTGCCTTGGCCTCCCAAAGTGCTGGGATTACAGGTGTAAGCCACCGCCCCCGGCCGCATTGGAACTTTTAACCTGCTAGGTTCATTATTCGTAAAGCTAACTGACAATACTGAATTACTTTCAGGAGAGTCTTAGCTAAGGCTGTGACAATTGCCAGTAGTGGAAACTAATACGAATCTTTAAAAGTTTCATAATAGGTGGGCCCAGACAACAGTGAACAGTGAGCGAGGGGCTCAGATGAAGCCACCAGAGCTTTCCATCTCTTGGTTTTTACCTCTCTCTGCAGGCTCTGTTCTCACTCATGGCTGATGGGCAAAGGCGACTAAGGAGGCACGGCTCCGTGAGGATGTCCTTACAACTTTGCAACCCCCAAGGAAAAAGAGGTTGTTTTCCCAATATCTACTGTAAAACCTAAGAGGAAAATTTCACGTTGCTGCAGCTTGGATCATGCATTTATCATTTGGACCACCTCTGAGGACAGGGAGTTGCAGTCTGTGAGCCACACAGGGAGTGGGTCGGGCAGTAACTTTAAGGAAGTGGGGACAGAAGAAACTGTGCTCACAAAAAAACAAGTGTTTGCCTCATGTGCATAAACTACCTTCAACATTGACTAGATCTGTCTCTTCTCTTCTTTCAGATGTGGATTTTATGGAATAGATGCTATGTGGTGGAATCCTGAGTCACGGCCAAACAGCAAATGCCAGCAAGAGTAGAGTAGGAGGCATTTCTGTGTACACTTTGGGAAAAAGTCCATTCCTCACTTGGTTTCATTTCTGGCCTGAGCCGCTGTGTCCTCCACCTGAAGCCCTGACCTCTCCGTTACTGACTGGATCCCAATGTGCCACAGTTCACCTGCATAAGGAGGGGGTCGAAGGTATGTCCACACCCTGCGGCCAATTGTTGCCGTGGCCACAGGTGTAAGAGTTCCTGTCTGAGACAGACCTACTCTCTTCAGCCACCGGTTGATGCCACAGATCCCTGACTGTGACATCTGGAGCCAGCTCACCCGGTTGTGTAGATTCAGAAATGTTTATTCCTCTTCCCTCTGAGGCCTGCATGTTCTGACCCTGTGGCTCACGTAACAATACTAGCTGATATCACCGTGAGCCATGCATTGTTCTAAGCACTTAAATTATATTAATTTATTTTACTCACATTGCCTTATGTGGAATGTATAATTATTGTTATCCCCACTTTACAGACAAGAAAACTGTGAGAGGCTAAGTAATTTGCTGAGCTCATATGACATCTAAATGGCAGAGCTCAGAAACCTCAGGGATTAGAGTGAAGTAGGTAAGTATACAGACCCTGGAGTCAGACCAGCTTCATCATACTGCTTGACCTTGGGCGATGGTGTAATTTCTCTGAGCCTTGTCTCCTCATCTGCAAAATGGAACTTCACATTCGCAGTGTATTCCAGGCATTCTCTGTCCTCTTCTTGGCCTACTTTCTCCTCCTAGGTCATCTCCTTCCATCTTGTAGCTTTAAAAGCTGCCTATATACTGATGATTTGCAATGTTGGATCTTCAGGCTCGCTCTCCCCCATGAACCCCTAATTCTTTTAGCCACTTGATCATTTCTGCTGGAACATCCATTTGCATTGTACAGCTGGCAAAAGGGAACTACTGCTTTTCCTTACTTAAGTCTTTCCTCCCCATCATCCCAATCTCAGTGCGTGGTACCAGCATCTACCCAGTTGCTCAGGTGAAGAGCCTAGAATTATAATTGAATTTCTCTTTTTGCTCGCCCCATAATCAATCTTTTATTAAATCCTCTTGGCTAACCCCTAAAATATTCCTGAATGCAGATCACCTTCACTGTTTCCAGTCATAGCGGTCATCCCAGCCTACGATCTCCAGCCTTAATCACTACATGACCTTCTAATGGGTTTCCCTGCCTCCATCCTTGCTGTCAATTACATCATCTTCACATCTCTGCTTAAAACCCCTCCATGGCTTCCTGCTGCTCCAGGCAAAAATCCAAACTCCTTTCCATGGTCTACATGGTCCTACTTCACCTGGTCTCTTCTTCCTCCTCCATGCCCTCCTACCTGCTCTCTCCTTGTTCCCTGACGGCAGGATGTTTGTCTATTTTGTTCACTGCTGGATCCTCAGAGCCTAGAATGGTGCCTGACACCGTTTTAGACAGTGTTTTGCTCCTCTTGTTGCCCAGGCTGGAGTGCAGTGGCGTGATCTCAGCTCACTGCAACCTCCACCTCCTGGGTTCAAGTGATTCTCACACCTCAATCTCCCAAGTAGCTGGGATTACAGGCACGCGCCACCACACCTGGCTAATCTTTTGTATTTTTAGTAGAAATGGGGTTTCACCATGTTGGCCAGGCTGGTCTCAAACTCCTGACCTCAGGTGATCTACCTGCCTCGGCTTCCCAAAGTACTGGGATTACAGGTGTGAGCCACTGTGCCCGGCCACCACCACACTTTTTTCCTGTCCCAGGGCAGTTGCACCTACTGTTCCTTCTGCCTCTAGTCTCTTCCCGAAGCTCTGCAGGGCCACATCTTCCCTGTCTCTCAGGTCTTAACTCAGTTGTGAGCTCCTCAAAGAGACCATCCCTGAACATCGAAGCAGAATAGCACCCTTCCACAGTGCTCCAGCATATCACTCCATTTCCCATAGCACCACGTATGAGCACCTGAAATAATCTTCAGGTTTTCAGGTTTGTTTTTTTTTTTTTTTTTTGAGACAAGGGTCTCGTTTTGTCACCCAGGCTGGAGTGCAGTGGTGCAATCTCGGCTCACTGCAACCTCCGCCCCTCAGGCTCCCACCTCAGCTTCCTGAGTAGCTGGGACTACAGGGGGGCGCCACCGCACCTAACTCTTCATATTTTTGGTAGAGACGGAGTGCGATGTTGTCCAGGCTGGTCTCGAACTCCTGAGCTCTAGTGATCCACCTGCCTCGGCCTCCCAAAGTGCTGGGATTACAGGCGTGAACAAATGCGCCTGGCCTAATTGTCAGTGTTTATTTAGGTTGAATTGCCCATCTTGCCCCATGAGAATGTGACTTACTGACAGGGACCTTGCCTGTCTTATTCATTGCTCTATCCTAGCACCCAGAATAGTGCATGGCACTTAATAGGTGCTCAATAAGCAATTGTGAGCTGACTGATGTGCGCTTAAGGTTGTCGTTAAGATTAAATATATATTAAAACACTGCTTTAGAAAACTAGCTGTTTCCTTTTTTTTTTTTTTTTTTTTTTGAGATGAAGTCTTGCTGCCTTGCCCAGGCTGGAGTGTGGTGGCATAATCTCGGCTCACTGCAACCTCCACCTCCGAGTTCAAGCGATTCTCCTGCCTCAGCCTCCAAGGAGCTGGGACTGCAGGCGTGTAGCACCACGCCTGGCTAATTTTTGTATTTTTAGTTGAGACGGGGTTTCACCATGCTGGCCAGGCTGGTCTCAAACTCCTGACCTCAAGTGACCTGCCCACCTTGGTCTCACAAAGTACTGGGATTACAGACGTGAACCACCATGCCCAGTCAAAACTGGCTGTTTCTAATAAAGTGAAGCATACACTTACAGGGAAAGCATTCTACTCCTAGGAATATACACAAGATAAATGAACACACACATCCAGAGGAGGCTTTGCACAAGAATGGTCATAGCAGCCTGATTCAAAATAGTAAAAAACTGGAGGGCGGGCGCGGTGGCTTATGCCTGTAATCCCAGCACTCTGAGAGGCCGAGGCGGGCGGATCACAAGGTCAGGAGATCGAGACCATCCTGGCTAACATGGTGAAACCTCGTCTTTACTAAAAATACAAAAAATTAGCCAGGCGTGGTGGCGGGCGACTGTAGTCCCAGCTACTCGGGAGAGTGAGGCAGGAGAATGGCATGAACCCGGGAGGCGGAGACTGCAGTGAGCCAAGATCGCGCCACTGCACTCCAGCCTGGGCGACAGACAGACTCTGCCTCAAAAACAAACAAACAAACAAACAAACAAACAAACAAAAAACTGGAAATAACCCAAGCATTCATCAATAAGGAAATAAACGAACTGTGGTCTGTTCATAAGTGAAATATTGCTGACCATATTTAAGAATGACCACATTTAAGAATGACTTAAGTGATACACACAATCACATGGGCGAATTTCACAGACAATATGTTGGCCAAACACAGCCACACAGAAAAAGGACATCTTGTGTGATTCTATTTCTATGAAATTCCAGAATAGAGGAAGTTAACCTTTCCAGTGCTACCTGCGGGCTGAGAATGACGCACACAGCTTTTTTGATACCCGGAAGTGAGACAAACTCATAAGATGGGGTAAGGATTTGCATTCACAAATGGTGGAGGGGTCAGTGCGGATACTGCTGGTGGAAAGAATGTCTATAGCCTCAGTAATTTTGGGAAGCTATGTGCAAGGCAGCCCGGGCCAATAAAGGTTTGTGGAACAGCTGGAAAAACACAGAGCTTTCAAAGAACACCAAGGAGGATGCTGCGGCTTCACGCAGAAATCAGATCTGGAAATGTAATGCACACGAAGAGTATGACCCCAGCAGTGACCGTTGCTGTGGCAGGTGGCTTCCTGCCCAGCTGGAGGGAGGAGGGTTGCTGGGGGGAAGTGTGGTAAATCTTTTCCTGTGCTGCGGGCCCTTGTCCTCCAGGCGGCACGGGCCTGGGGTGTTCCTCCCTCTAGTGGTAAGCAAAGCTCCTTCGGGGGCCCTTTTTCGCTTTGTCTGAAACTATGCAAAGAGTGAACAAAACAGGAAGAGGCCTATCAGGTGTCTACGTAAGAACCAACCAAAAGATCAAGACTCCTTCCCACTCCAAGCTGCTGGCGGTAGTGCACAGAATGGCAAAGGCCCTCTGTGATCCTCTAGCGGCAGTGTCTCCCCAGCTTGCCCGTCGGCCCTCCATGGTGCTGCAGCAGTGGCTTTAGCCAGTTGGGAAACCCAGAGATCCAAATTAACTGCTCAGTGTGCAGCCAGAGTCTTGTGAAACCTACAGTAAGCTGAATTCAGAAAATGTGCGATGACATGACAAGGCCACAGAGACAGAGCGAAGGGAACAGGCTCCTTGGGGACACGGATATGCTCCACAGGGGCCACTTGCTTCCACTGGGAATTATGTTAATCCTGTGCGGGTATTTACTGTGGCTTCTCTCCTCAAATGCACTTCCCTCCAACTGATCAAAAAGTCCCCACTTTCTGGAGGGTTGGGAATGTGTTTTATTGTTCTCAATAATATCCAGTTTTGGATGTGAGGGCGATCTGGCTGAGACATCTGTCACCCCATTGATTGCCAGGGTTGATTCAGCTGCTCTGGCTGGCTAGGCGGGTGTCTCCTTCCTCCCTTGCTGCTCCATGTGCACCCTCCCGAAGCCGCACGCTCAGTGGAAGAGGACGACCATCTCCGATAGAGGACGACTGGTCTTCGGTTAAGGGTATAGACTAGCTGCGCTCCCCTGCTAGAACCTCCAGACAAGCTCTTGATAATATCCAGTCTTAAAGAAGGATCTGTTACATGTGCTTCAGAACAAGTGGATTAAGTACAATTGAAGATTCCATGTATAATTTCAATCATCTTTTAGTTAAAAAAAAATTTAACTGAAAGCATTTCCGTAAGAGCTACTCCAACCTGGAGATCACCAAGTAAAACGGAGGAGAAGGGCCAAAAGTTTGAGAAAATGGATTTCAGTTTGAGCTGAAATACTAAGTAAAGTCCTACCTAAAGTTGACTTTATCCCCAAGTGAAATGGAGAGAAATCAAGAGGGTAACATATGAGATCAGTCAACCGTGGGCATGACAGGGAGTCAGTGAGTAAGCAGTTTTAGAGAATCAACAGCCTGCAATTCCATCAAGATAGTTGAGAGACAGACCCAGGAATCATCCTAGCAAAGCGACAGCCTCCGTCACTTGCAGTGGCTAAAAGATGTGAAGACAAGACACCATCAAGCCCAAATCTTATTGGTTACAAAAATGGCTGAATCTAATAATGCTGACAACACATTATATCAACCAAGGTGAAGTCTAAGTAGTTTTACTTTATTTAGATGATGTATCTGGATTTTTCCTGTTCAATTTTCTTAGATCTTTGAAGGAATTGCCCTGTGTCCATTCCAAGTATTTCTGGTGAGTCATCAAGTTTCCTGGCTGCAGGAGTGGGTTCATTCCCCCATGCCCCAGCAACAGTGATCAGAATAAAAAGGGTGAATGCAAGATCTAATAGGCCAAATCCATTTATATACGGATGGTGGGATGAAAACACTTTTTTTTTGTTGTTTGTTTTTTCTATCGAGATTTTTATAATGGAAGGATATACATCTGAGGCTGTGGTGGGAAGAGCTTTCTGTAGCATGAAAGGAAGAAAAGAGAAGCAGAGAGGAGAGGCAGACAGAGATTCAACAGCAGTGGTTTCCAACCTTGGCTAAACATTGGAATCAACTGCGGAGCTTGAAAAAATACTGGTGCCTGGATCCCAGCCCCAGAAATTTTCATTTGGTTGGTTTTCGGTGCTGCCTAGGCCTTGGGACTTTTAAAAGCTTTCTTGGTGATTCTTACAAGCAGCTGAGGATAGAAACCACTTGTCTTGAAGCACCAGGTCACATTTGAGCCCGGGGCACAAATTCCAGCTGTTCTTTCTTGTTCTGTAACCCATCTTGGTATCCTCAGTTGTCAATAACTTCTCTCTCTCTCTCTTTTTTTTTTTTTTTTTTTTGCTTAATTTAGTTTGAGTTGAATTTCTGTTATATGCGGCCAAAAGAAGTCTAACTAAGAAACTAAAAATACTCTGTAATCATAGCTAACATTGATTCAGCCTCAGTGATGTGCAAGGCACTGTTTGAAGTGCTTACTTGCAGTAACTTGTTTAATTTAATTCTTACAGCATCCCTATAATTTGAAAGCCATTATTGTCCCTATTTTACAGGTGAGGAAATGAGACATCAAAAGATTAAGTGACTTGCTAAAATTTACACTGCCTACGAAAGCTGACCTGGAATGTGAACCAGAAATTGTCCTTAACCAAATCACCTCACTGTCTCTCAAGGTAAAACCAAGTAAGGAGGCAGATTCTCTGCATTAAACCCCAAAATGGAGTCTTCAAATAGCCATAATATAAGTGCTGTATAAAAATAATTTAAATTTTTTTCTCTTTTATAGAGATGGGGTCTCACTACATTGCCCAGGCTGGCTCTCAAATTCCTGGCCTCAAACGATCCTCTTGCCTTGGCCTCCCAATATGCTGGGATTACAGGCATGAGCCAACACACCCAGCTGTGAGTATTTTTTATCAGGAAGAAGCTTTTGGCTGTAAGAACAGAAAGTTCCAACTCTACCAACTTGCACGCTTATTTAATATCTGGAGGTGGGGCAGTTCCGGGACTGGCTGTTGCAGTAGCTCATTTGAAGCCATCTGGTCTCCAGCTTCCTTCCCCCTTTCTGCTCTGCCCTGCCCAGTGTGCTGGCCTCTTTCTCAGGCTGGTTGCCCCCAGCTAGCAAGGGGGCTGCAGACCCCAAACATCGCATTCTCATGCAACAACCATAGGCAGAGAAAGGTGCTGTTTATTCACCTGTGTCTCTTCTTACCAGGTATTAAAGAAACACCTTGTGCTAAAGGCCTCCAGTGGAATTCCCCTTGTGTTTCATTATGGGAAAGGGGGAATGGGAGCACCAGGATTCACTTGGGTCCATGGGGCATTGTGAAAATGTGAAGGGGGTCATTTTTGGCTGGCACAATAATTCAAGGAGGGCTATGACCATGCAGTGGGCAGAGGCTAGAGATGGTAGACAACCTGCGATGTGTGGGATGGTCATGGTCACACTCTGTGACCTGCATGATTTTTGAATGTCCCATTGAACATTTGCACAAATGAAAAATCTTCAAAGTGATCTGAGCTAAAACCAAACTCTCATATATAAACCCAAAGTATTTAAAAAACACACTGTATTTTCCAGGAAAGCAATTGCTGTGCACATCGAGAGAAGATCTTGCTTTGTTTTGTTTAGAACTTTTCCAGGAGTTGTTCACTGTTTTGGAAAATCACATTAGCAATGTCAACATTACTCATGGAATTCGAGCCTCCAGTACAATACACCCGATGGGCCTGCCCCAGTGGCTGCCACATTGACTGTGATTCTAGGTATGGATCCAGGCACCTGCAATGTTATTTCTTTTAGCACAGTTCTGCCAAGAATTTGCATGTTGAAATACATGTTGTTTTATTGTACATTATTTCTCTTTTAATTCCACTTCATAATAGTTATTTGATTTTTAAAATTATGTGTACAGATAGTTTATGTTGTATACAAATTTCATTTCAGTGTAGTAAAAGGGACATTATAAAATATTTGTAGGGCTGGGTGCAGTGGCTCATGCCTATAATCCCAACATTTTGGGAGGCTGAGGTGGTAGGATTACTTGAGCCCAGGAGTTCAAGACTAGCCTCGGCGACATAGAAAAAACCCTGTCCTTACAAAAAATTAAAAAAAGAAAATTAGCTGAGCCTGGCGGTGTGTGCCTATAGTCCCAGCTACTCAGGAGGCTGAGCTGGGAGGATCATTTGAGCCCAGGAGTTTGAGGCAAAAAAATATAAAAATATTTGTGATAAAAAGAGGGTACTGGGTCCAACAGGGAGGAGATCCACTGTTTGGACCAGTAAAGATTCATCTCCTGGGTCCTCAGATGGGACGCACCTCCCTGAAGCCTCTACCTAGGCCGAGGAGGATAAGTACCAGGAGAGGCAGGGTTCTTTGGGGAAGCAAGAAGTAAGAATTGGCCAGGGGGTAGCAAGAACATTGTCTGCTCCAGGCAGGTTCTATTCAGCGCCATCCAGGAGCTACCTGGATTCAGTAGCTGCAGCTTTCCAGGCAGGAGAGAGGAGTTTGTTGTTGAGAAAGACACGAATCATCAGGTCCACCATGGCCTGGATAAAATGCCATTGACTGAATCCACCTTCCTTGCTTTTTATTCTAGCTCCACAGAACAGTCTTCTGATTACTAATGTGGCATCCTGGCTACAATTTTTTTTTTTTTTTTGAGACAGAGTCTTGCTCTGCTGCCCAGGCTGGAGTGCAGTGGTGCAATCTCGGCTCACTGCAACCTCTGCCTCCCGGGTTCAAGATATTTTCCTGTCTCAGCCTCCCAAGTAGCTGAGAGTACAGGTGTGTGCCACCACACCCAGCTAATTTTTGTATTTGTTGTAGAGACAGGGTTTCACCATGCTGGCCAGGCTGGTCTCGAACTCCTGACCTGAAGTGATTTGCCAACCTTGGTCTCCCAAAGTGCTGGGATTACAGGTATGAGCCACTGCACCTGGCCCTGGCTGCTTTGATACTAGGAAGAATTAGCCAGGTGGCTCCCAATGCTGGTCATTAATGTTCTGATCCCTGAGAAGGGGCATTCTCAGTTGTGAACAGATGTACTGGTGCTCTGATCAATTCTTTATTCTCTGTGGATCTGGTTAAGTCAGTAGCTCAGAACTGACCTATTCTGGGTGTCCTGACAAAGTGGAGTTCTGGGACTTGCAAAGCTGAAGTAGAAAAAGACCACCTCCAGGTGCTGCCACCAGAAAAGGCCCTTCCTGGGTAACTGCTGGCTTCCCTGGATGGCAGGGGCTTTCAAACTTCTGGCTGTGTAACCTCCGAAAAGAAAATGAAATGTCATACAAATGCCCACTCTGCAGAGCCAGTTAAAGGGGAGCCGTGCTACCTGGGGGCTGGGGATGGGAGGCCGGGAGACAGCTCCCATGCATCCTGAAAGCCTCTCCCTGTGGTGGGCGCGGGCTTCTTGAAGATGGACAGGCTCTGACCGCTTTTGTCCTCTCTCTGAGTCACAGGATGAAGTCTTGGCCTCTGCCATCTCCCAGTTCCTCCCTGGGGGTGATAGAGGGAGCCACCCACACAGAAGCTCCTACCCAGGGACTTGATTCCTCTCAGTGCCACGCCTGGGGGTGCACCCAGGTGGGGCCCCTGTATTCACTGCGGCGGTAGAAGGGCTGTGAGCAGGCTTTCCTGGTTAGGCTCTGTATTAGTCCGTGTGCGTTGCTTTAAAAGAATGCCTGAGACTGGGTAATTTATAAAGAAAGGAGGCTTATTTGGCTCGTGGTTCTGCAGGCTGTGCACAAAGCATAGGCCCAGCACCTGCTTCTTTCTGGTGAGGCCTCAGGAAGTTTCCAATCATGGCAGAAGGCAAAGGGGAGCCAGAGTATTACGTGGAGAGACTGAAAGCAAGAGAGGGAGGAGGTGCCAGGCTCTTCTTAAACAACCAGATCTCCTGTGAACTCAGAGTGAGTGCTCACTCATCATCATGAGGACAGCACTAAGATATTCATAAGGGTTATGCCCCCGCAACCCTAACACCTCCCACTAGGCCCACCTCCACCGCTGGAGGTCACATTCCAACATGAGATTTGGAGGGGACAAACATCCAAACCATATCAGGCTCTTTCCTAATCATTTTTCTTTTGCATCTTAAAAGTGAAGAGGAAAGAAGTCAGGCTAAGCCACAGTTAAATGGTCCATGGGGGAACAGTTAAAGCAAGCATCAAAATATTAAAGACATAAAGAGCTTTCACTAATACCAGGTCATCAGTAGGTCAGGCCACCGGCTTTCCACCCTTCATAAAAAAGGGAGGGGGCGATTTCCTGTCCAGTTCTGAAGGGAGCATGCATGGAGAATGCTGGAAAACCAGGCCTCTTAAGCTCAGAAACAGTCTGTGGCCCCAGCAAGCCCCAGGGCCCGGGACCCCAAATGCAGAAGAAATGCCTAGTAGCCACAGGGCCCAGAGGGGTGTGCAGTACTGGGAGACAGAGATGGCACTAATTCCCAGGACAGTGGCGGCCACCAGGGCATGCCCAGGAGCTCAGGGGTCTTGGTGGTACCCGGGAAGCTCCTTCCCTCACCCAGCAAGCAGCTGAGGCTGCGGAGACCAGGTACCTGCTCAAGAACATTCATCTGACAAATACTCATTATTGAGTGCCTACGGTATGCTGAGCTGTTCCAAGTGCTCTAGATGGGGCTGGCTGTGATCAAAACAGAAAGCCCTGCCCTGAAGGACTGGGTAGACCTCAGAAATACCTCTTATAAGTGTGAGAGTTTGCTTTATGCTTTTCTGTGTATAAATGGGCTTGCATTGCTTTGAAAATTAGGAAAAAGGTTATTAAAGAATGTTATTAGAAATTGTTTTTGAATAAATATCCACGAGGAAATAGAAACATGATAAGGAAATACCAGCTAATTACACATCCGCAAGTGCAGTGGACTCTGTACTCTGATGAGGCCTCAGGAGGTGTGGTCAGAGAATCAACACCAGATGGTCCTAGAAGAACTGATTGTGAACTGTTATTGTCAAAGAAATCATCATAGGAGAACTGTAACTGTTGGTCAATCTGCTGATGTTTTATTCATGCACTTCATTATTCAGTCAAGAAACTTTTTTTGTATTAGATTCTGAGAACATAGAGATGGGCAAATTACCATCCTGCCCTCTAGGACCCCACATTTCTGTTGCAGGGCAGAAATGTTAATGGTTACAAACAGCAGAATGTTGTAGGTGGCATGGTAGAGTTGGGGACTGGGTGTGGAAGGGACCACAGGAGAGAGATGACCATTTTATCTTGGTCCACAACACAGAGTCTGTTACACAGTAGGCTCTTACTCCGTTACTGAACAAATAGTGTTCGGGCAAAGCTTCATGGATGTGAGAACCTGGTAATTACACATCTTTGATGAAAGTGTGAGAGTTTGCTTTATGCATCTATGATGAAAGATGACATCTTTGGTTCTTGCATCTGTTCCAACTGGCTTTGCTCTTTTCTTGGCAACATCAATAACTTTTAGATGTTGTGTGACCACAGCTGGTCTTCTTTTCATCACATCACCATGTGTCCTTGCATTCCTCACAATAGTTCTTTATTTCATTCTGCTCTCCCTCCATTGCTACCTGCTCTTTCTTCATAATTTTTCACTCCTACTTCATAAAAGCCATGTCTTCTTATGTCCTAACGAAGACGCAAAACAGTAGTTTAGAATTCTCTTCCGGTTCATGGAGTACATCACTTTCAGAAACAGGACCTTCCTCTAGACTTCTGAATGACATTCCATTTTCTTTAATCTGCAGTACTGCAGAGCTTATCCTGCAAGAAGGAAAATCTGTTCAGATCTACTGGCTGCTAAAAGACACATTGTGACTCTCTTGACTCCACTCACTGTCCATTTGGACGTTTGTGGAATCTCATTCTTAGATAGACAACTGTAAGATAGTGTAGTGTGCAGAGCTTGGTGCAATTTCCAGTGACTACAGAGCACGTATTCCTTTCATGTAGCTTTGTAGGATTGAGGCAAAATCTTCTCCTACAACTAATATCTGTCTAGTTGACACTCTGAATTAAAAAAAAGTGCATGTGCGTGCACACGCGCGCGCGCACACACACACACACATAAACATCTGGCCGCCAGAATATACTGTTCCCAGGGCTTTTCCTGGTTCTGTCATCGCCCAAAACCTTACTTTTGTTGGAACTATGCTTCCTCCAACAATTGACCTATTGCCAGCCTATGCCTGACCACCTCCACCACCATGCACATATGTACCCAACTTTCTGCACTTTTGTTTTCTTAGAATTTATTTATTAAATGGGGACTTGCAATTTCTAAATAAATGCAGAAAGAGGGGAATTGTTGGTAAGGTCAAGAAGAGGAGAATGGAGTGCTGCTTTGAAACACAGAACCCAAGCAATTGAGGGATGGATTCCCAATTTTTTTGGTTGATCCAGACCCTGGGCTTCTAAGCCAGAGGTAAAAAAAAATCTAGAGAGAAATAAGATGGCTTCCTTCTTGGCATGATAGGCCTCTTCTTTTGAGATGATGGAACATGTACTCTTTCTTAGTTTGATTTTGAAGTTTGCCTTATAGAACTTAGAATTTGTCTACATTTCTTCCATATTTGGGCAGTGGATTTTCCAATTGTTTTAACTTCTGGTGGGGTTACATGCTTTTACTCTTCACGCATTCTAAATAGGTATTTTAGTAGAAAGTTGACAAAGGTTATAGTAGGTACTGATAAGCAGATTCAATTTAAAACCAGAATCCCTGACCTATTACATACTTATTCATTCATTGATTCATCCAACTAATATATATACACACATATATAGATGTGTGTATATATATATATATATAGATGTGTGTGTATATATATATATATATATAGATGTGTTTATATATATATACATATGTATGTGTATATATGTATATATATATATATATTTTTTTGAAGGTCTCACTCTGTCAGCCAGACTAGGGTGCAGTGGCACGATCATAACTCACTGCAGCCTTGAAAATTCCTGGGCTCAACCTGTCCTCCCACCTCAGCCTCCTGAGTAGCTGGGACTACAGGCATATGCCTCCACACCCAGCTAATTATTTTATTTTGTAGAGTTAGGGCCTCGCTACTTTGACCAGGTGGCTCTTGAACTCCTGGCCTCAAGTGATCCTCCTGTGTTGGCCTCCTAAGGTGCTGTGATTATGGGTGTGAGCCACCAGTCCCAGCCTTCCAACTAACGTTTATTGAGTTCAAATTATTTGCCTGGTCCTATGGTAGACACCAGTAGTAAAAACCCCACCCTGTCTTCATGAAGCTTATTGTCTAGTGGGTGTTTCAGGTTCCAGGTAATTCCATACAATATGATAAATGCTTCCAGATTAAGTACAAGGAGTGCCTTCTCTGCCCTACAGTCTGGGCTATGAACCAGACGTCGTGGGAGAAAACACTTGGGATGATAGGTTAAAGGGCCGACAGTATTGAAGGTTCTTGATAACATGTTCATAGGTTTAGCCTTTGAACCTGTGAACCTTTAGATGGGGGAGCCCCTGAGGAATTTAGTGCAAGGAAGTGAGTGACTTATTGAAAGCTGTTATTTAGGAAATTACTGCAGTAGCCAAGTAAGGGGTGAACTGAGATGGGAAGAGAGGTGGGAAGTAGTAGGGCCAGTCAAGGAGGCTAACCCAGGAGGCCAGTGGGGATGCACTGAGAACTTGAATTAAGAAGGGTAGAAACAGAGAGGACAAGGCATTTAAAGGATCTGGTAATCAACCGCATGTGGGTGGCAAGGAGCAGGAACACTGGAGATGACACCAAGATTCCAGGTGGCTGGGGAGATGCTGGCACCATGTACCCAGAAGGGACAGCTCAGAGCAGATGCAGCACTGGGAAGAGATGGCGATGGTGGCTTTAGACATGTGGAGAAGGTAATCCCTACCTGTCTGCTCTTTCCTTCACTTATTTTTATTCAGCTTATTAACTCCAATCTTAGGTTCTAATACATGAGGCACTGAAAGTTTCTACAAAGAAAAATCCAAATAAACCCCCTTGGAGAAGATACCAAGGCTGAATCAACAGTAATTATGCTAACTCCTCACTTGATTCCATATGCTCTGGGGTCACATGTGGCTAGCTGGTGCTTTTCATCATCAATATGCCCACCCACCCCAAGCAATTAACTTACTTTGCATTCCCAAAGGATAGGTCTTAGTTGTAATTTTCCATATGGAGGCAGTGGGCCAGACATGTAGGGGCCTCTGCCCAAACCACAAAGAGTATCAACTGTCAGGACAGAAACAGTATTCCAGAAATCTGATCATTCAGTCTTAAATATTCAAAACCTCACTTATTTGAAGAGCCAGGGCAAGCACAAACTTGGCGCCGCTTTGAAGTTATTAAAATCTGGTTCTATTCTTCAGTATATGGATTCCCAGGAAAATTCCACTCTGATTTGCCAACCCCTTAGGTCTGTGGGTTATAGTAAAAGAGAAGCTGCAGATTAGTTCCGATTAATTTCCATCATAAGAGTCAATTCTTGCTTTTCAGGGAGAGATTAGGGAAGGAATGGTAATTAAAATCCACAGATAGCACAAACACCCAATGTAACCAGCAATTTCAAATCCTCCTCCACTGAATTTTTCTTATTAGAGGTGTCAAGTAGCAAGGCTCAGCCCACCTTTGGAGGCTGGATCTAACAAAATGTGAACACATCGGCAGGCAAGCAGGTGGGAGCAAGAAGATGAACAATGAGAAGCTGGGGGTTGTCAGCCTTCTGAGATTGAAAATCGGCCAATCTTGCCCACTCTCTGATGGTGTCATTTAGAAGAATCACATCAGTACTGTTAGTTTACATTGTGGGCTGCCAGGCAAGATTTTTAGAAAGGCCAGCTTACTCTTTGTTCATCATAGAAGAGCAGCTCACTGATCAGGAGCCCCACCCTTGTGGAGAATGGGTTTGCAGGAATTGCAGGCAGAAGGAGGTGACGTGGCAGAAGCAGACCTCCAAGAACACAGGCCTTTCTTATTTGCCTCTGGCCTTAAGCTTTGCCAGTTTCAGCTATTGATGTGACATGGGCCCAGCCCAGCTTGCAGCTGCTACCGCTTTAGATTTTCTTAGACACAGCCTTACACAGCCTTCATAGGGCCTCCCATTTGCCTGGCATTCGAGGCTGCACATTACCTAACCCAAATCACACCTTTCTTCTCACTACTCTCGAAACCATACACAGCCTTTGGCCAGGTTCACCCCCTGGTGGGTAACATATCTGTATTTCTCACCATCTTATCTTTGCTCCTGTCATTCCCTAACCAAATCCCCCCACCCCCCAATTCTCCACCCACTCCTCTTGCTGGAAATGGAACTACTCTTCAACGTCCAGCTCTTCCTTCAAACCTTCCCTGTTTCCCCCAACTCGAAGTGATCATTCCCTCCTATGACAGCACTTCAGTGGTACGTCTTTGATGACACCACATTATGCTTTCTATTATATCACAGTAGCTTATATACCTTATGACTTTAATGTTCTCTGAAATGTGGGTCATGACCCATTAGTGAGCTTTGAAATCACTTTAGTGGGTTGTGACCTGAATTTTAAAAAATGAAATAGAATAGAGTAGAATAGAACACTTTAGAGTACATTACACATAAACATATTTCCCTCTTTGGTTTATGATCAAAAAGCTTGAAAGTCACTGCTGCAAGTAGTAGTGATGTTTTCAGCTTTTATATAACAGAAAGCCTTGATCCAACCAGCTTAAATAACAAAGAATGTATTATCTTACATAATGCAAAGTCTGGAGATAAGGCAGCTCTAAGTTTGGTTTATTAGCAATTTTTTTTCTTAGATCTACCTCTTTTGTCCTATTAACAGTTTATCAACAGCATCAAGGACCCAGATTTTTGCCATCTCTGTTGTCTTTCTAGCTACCTCCTCTCCTGTTTGCCAAATGGCTGTAGGACTTCCTTGCATCATAACAACATCCATAGAAAAAAGAAGCTATATATTCTTTGAGTCTCTATTTATCAGCAAAGAAATCTTTCCCAGAACTCTCCCTACCCCCCAGATCTTCTATATTGTTCTTTGATACAAAGTGAAATCAAATGAATTACATGCCTAGTCAGGAGTGGCAAATCAAAATTAGTCTAAAGCAAAATTAGTTTAGACTATGCTAAGAGCACCTTCATGAGCATCTCTCTGATTCTACTGGTCAGGGAGAAGGGGAGATTGATGGATCTGGATTTGGGGTAGGCAAGCAAAAGTATCTTCCAGCCACACACAAGGTGCATCTCAGGAGGGCCAGGGTCCCTTTCTCTGCAATGCTTCTCACGTAGCAAGTCTAGACAGTCACCTCCACTTCCAGTGATAAATGAAATCAATCACTTTGCCTCAAAGTATGAATATTCATGGGAAGCAGGGTCCAAATATCCAATTTGAGATACTAGAGGCATTCTGCAGACATAGCTCACGATTTTTTGTTCCTATATAACTCACCAGAGGTTAGCATTTTTTCCAGGTCTTAATTTTTCTATTGAATTATCAAGTGTAAAGGGCTAGATTGACAACATTGTACATTGTAATACAATTTGAATAATAAGATACATATTTGTCACAATGCAGATGGCAACTGAAGGTTCACAGATGGAATTGTGGCTCTCTAGACGAGATGGTGAGCGTGTGGCGGTGGGTGTGGAGAGAGGCGGTATCAGAGGTGGGGAGACATTACATCATCCCAGATATGGAGTTTCTTTGGGAACTCTGGCAGGGTTATTGCTGAATCATTCCGTGAGGCAAATTATTGGTGTGTTAGCTGGACAAAGCTCACTGTAATTATGCCCTTGTGTGTTCCACCACTCCCCTTGGCATTTCTCTGCTTATGCTGCCGTTTAAGGCCAGACTTCACATGAACACATAAAATCATCATATCTGCAAGAGTCAGTGGCAGAGAGGATAAAGGCAGTGCTGTTTTTCCTCTCTTGAATACACGCATGTGTGTATGTGTACATGCGCATATACAGACACACACACATCCCTTATCAGAGAAACCGCAGGTTCAGATGACTTTGAACTGTGGAAAAGGTTTTGCCTCTTTCTGTTTTCTCCTTTAAAATGCAAGACCGTCCCATCTGCCCAGTAGATAAAACACGACTGTGAGTGCCTTGCAGTTCCTTGAAGGCTGCCTTGTGCTCGGGAGTACCAGACAGACCTCATCTCACTGCCAGACACTGGGTGCTGTCCATGCACCTTGTTGGCCAGTGAGGTCCAGGATTGGAAGGCAGCAGGCTCGGATTTTACTCTTGCTTAGGTTGCTAACTTATGACCCAGTTGTTAGGCTGTGTTGGGTCAGTGGGCCTTGGGCACAGTCCCAGCTCTGCTAGAGCTTGCTTAAGTTTCCATGTTCAGTTTCAGGGGCTTCATTTTAAGAAGGTCCTTGGCAAACTGGGCAGCATGCTGGCTAGAACGGGCGGCATGTGAGAGAGATGTCCAGAAACAATGAAGAAACAACAGGAGTAATAATTATAATTGTACAAGGCTTTCCATTGCATTATCCCATTGGATTTACTCAATCTTTTTTAATTTTTATTTTTAAACAGGGTCTCACTCTGTCACCCAGGCTGGAGTACAGTGGTGCAATCATAGCTTACTGCAGCCTTGACCTCCTAGGCTCAAGCGATTCTCCTGCCTCAGCTCCTGAGTAGCTGGAACTACAGGTGTGTGCCACCATGCCTGGCTTGATGTGCTAAATCATACAAGGTATTTACACTTATTCTAAAGAGATTCTAGAGACCTTAGATGGGAGAGACTGAGGTTGGTGCCTAAGATCCTTCTTCAGTGGATTATTTAACAGATGGCTTGGGACAGATTGGAGACGGAAGTGGTCATTACAGAGGGCTGCCATGGCTTCACTCTCATTTCCTTTCTCCAGCGTGACCCTGTAATTGATTATAAGAGCTAATATATATGAAGTGCTTTCTATGTGCCCGGCACTATGCTAAGTGTTTCCAAGCATTTAAGCTTCACAACAAACTGTGAGGTGGGTGCTGTTATTATTTCTATTTATAGATGAAGAAACTAAGCCTTGGAAACAGAAGCACCTGCGTTTCTGTTTGTCCCTGTTCTTTCTGTTCCTTAAAAGCCTGGCTTGTTCTCATTCTTCAGGACTCAGTTCAAGGTCGTTGGTGAGGCTTTCCCTGCCCACCTATCCAGTAGCCCACTGCTGACTCCATGGCCCTGGCAACACTCACCCATGTCCATCTCCTTCATAGGACATATTAGAATCTGCAGACATCTTAAAAGAAATTTTTTTTAAGATATGGGGTCTTGCTCTGTTGCTCAGGCTGGAATGCAGTGGCACGATCACAGCTTACTGCAGCCTCGAACTCTGGGGCTGAAGCAGTCCTCCCACCTCAGCATCCCAAGTAGCTAGGACCACAGGTGTGAGCCATAATGCCCTGCTAATTTAAAAAAAATTGTAGAGACAAGGTTTTACTATATTGCCTAGGCTGGTCTCAAACTCCTGAGCTCCAGTTTTCCCACCTTGACCTCCCAAGGTGCTGGGATTACAGGCATGAGCCAAGGTATTTTATTTACTTATTCACTGGCTTATTTTCAGTCTCTACTATTCAGACATAAGCTCGGTGAGGACAGGGACCTTGTGCCTCCTGTTTATCCTATGTTGGTGTCTAGCAGGGTGTCCAGAATATAATAGGAGCTCAATAAAATATTTGAATGGATGAATGCATGCAGGAAAGAATGTAATTCAATAATGGGATTTGGGCCCAAGTTTGTCTCATGTCAGAGAGCAAGGGCTCAATGCCCCTCTGTTCTGCTCCTGTGTTTTACTCACTCATCCATTCAACAAGCTTCGTTAAATTATCAACAAATGCCAGGCACTGAAGTAAGTGCTGGAGAATCCAATGAGTAAGACACAGTCTCTGGCCTTGAAAACCTCACTTCTGAAGGGTCGAGGTAGTGGTTGGAAGTAGAAAGTTGACACACCTTATAATAGAGTTAACTACAAAGTGACATAGCAACAAAAAGGGACTACCTAGCTGCCCCTGCCAGACTGGGAAGACTTCTGCAGAGCTGGTTACTTTGAACCTGACCTTTAAAGAGGATTCTGGGCTGTTGGGAAAGGTGCCCATGTATAGAGATAGGGAGAACACATGAATGTCTAAGGACCAGCGTGGGACTCTTCCCATCCTACACTGTTGAGTCACATTTTGATCTCTGTGCCCAGTTGTTAGGAGGGCCACTGACCAACTGATCATTTAGTGGGAACATCATGAAGGGGAATTTTGCCTGGGGTGGGGGTAGACTGCACTGGGAGTGGTATCTGTACAGCCCCTAACTATCCTCCAATTCTAAGAGTGGTGTGACTGGAAGAACTGTCTCATGGAGAAAGGCACCAAAAGACAGAACCAGACTACAGGGACATATTCTTCAGGACAGAATTCATGTGTGTGTGTGTGTGTGTGTGTGTGTGTGTGTGTGTGTGTATGAATATGAATATATATATCTATATATATTCATAGCACAGCCATATTCTTGCCCTAAATTTAGAGAATTTCCTAATGAGAAGGATAACTACAACCAAAGCGTACATATTGATTTGTAGTTTCCAAAAGATTTTCTCAAACATGATCTCATTTGATCCTCCACTAGCCTTCTGGATATTCTGAAACTCAGAAAGACCATTTATTATTCATTTATTTGGTCAATGTCTATCGAGAATGAAGCCCCAGCCCAGACCTGGGCCGTGCACAGGGGTATAGTCCCAAAAGTACTTAGGTACAAAGAGGAAATGAAGGGCCATGACTCCATCCAGCATGTAGGAAAGGAACTCCACCTAGGGACGCCTGAATCGTGCTGAATGTGGGGGCCAGCATCCTGGGTTCCTGAGTCAGTCTTGCCCTGTGCTCACTCTCCAGGCATTGGGTAATTAAATGAGATCATTACTTCATGTGTCCTGGTTAGGTTATAGGCTGGCTGCTAAGACAAAGACCCTTAAATAGGTAGGACTGCACCAAGATGAAAATTGATTTTTCTCTCTCATGCAGCCCTCCAGCCAGGTATTGTGGCTCTGCTCCAGGAAGTCATGCAATGCCAGGCTCTGTCCACTTCATTGCTCTGCCAGTTCTAGGGGGCTGACCCCATCCAGACGGTCCAAGATGACTCCTCATCACGACTCATGCTGTGTTCAGATGCAGCCTGATACGGACACTTAAACGATATCTCCAGGACCTGGTCCTCTCTCAGCGCGGCTCCCTCATCCTCTGAATGAGAATCTCCTCCGCACCCTCAGACAGGCTCTTCCACCATGATTGCAAGAAGGTTTGGGCAGCTCCCTCCTTCATGTGTTCTCAGCTTTATGTCCACCGTCTCCCCTGTAAGAGTCAAATGCAAGTCCTGTGCTGCCTCTCAGTGACCTGCACCAATCCCAGTGGTGGGACAGGAGAACTTGTTCACTAAGACTATTAGAAGCTCCCCCTCAGCCCACCCCTGCAACTATGTGGCTGAGAGTGAGGGAGGGATGAGTCCCTAGAGAAAATTCTCTATACTGTTTGACCAGGAGAAGGATGAATGACTGTAAGTTGGTTTAAAAAAACAACTCATATTTCTTCTCTCAATTATATGTTCTCCTAGAGTCTATGATCCATAGCAGCTGTCTTCAAACTCCCCAATTTTGACTATGCCCCCAATAAGCACGTTTATTTCTTTGTAAGTATGCACATGTGCTATTCTACTAATATATTTCCGTGCCACAGACTACTAGTTGTGCCCAGAGGTCCATCCTTTCCTACTTCCTTAGCATAGCATTCCCTGAAGGGCACGTGGCATCTTAGAATAGACTACATTTCCCAGGACCCCTTGCAGCTAGGTGTGGCCATGTGACTAGATTTTATCCAGTGAAATGTCAGAAGTGGGGGGCGGGGTGCATTTCCAGGAAGTGTGCTTAATGAGACAGCATGCAGTTCTTCCCTCCTTTTTTTCCTTCCTGCTGCCTAGAAAGTGAACGTGATGGCTGGATCATGAGCAACAACCCTGGATAATGAAGTGGAAGCCACATGTTGAACATCTTGGAGCAACCAGAGAAGACATCTTGCTAGCTCTGGGCAGCATACCACCAGACTCCTTTTATTTTATTTTATTTTTTGAGATGGAGTTTCGCTCTTGTTGTTCAGGCTGGAGTGCAATGGCACAATCTCGGCTCACCGCAACCTCTGCCTCCTGGGTTCAAGTGATTCTCCTGCCTCAGCCTCCCGAGTAGCTGGGATTACAGGCATGCGCCACCACACCCAGCTAATTTTGTATTTTTAGTAGAGATGGGGTTTCTCCATGTTGGCCAGGCTGGTCTCAAACTCCCAACCTCAGGTGATCTGCCCGCCTTGGCCTCCCAAAGTGCTGGGCTGGGTGTCAGCCCTTGCTCTGTGGTGCCCAATAGGGTTAATGACATTTGTGTGGCTGTGCGTCTCCTCTCCTCCGAATACACTGTGCTCTCTGAGGCAGGAGCCCTGAAGGAAGTTCTCTGAATCACCTAGCACATCTAGGGCAGAAGCCCCCTCAGTCCTTGTCTTTTGCTTACTCTTCTGGGTCTTTTTCTGTCATCCAGATCTTGCTTTTGCTGTGGAGGAAGAAGACAAGAAACTCTAAAGGAATTGAAAAGATGAGATACGATCTGAACCTGAAGAAGTGGGCAATTTGTAATTGTCAGAGAAACAGATGTGCACTTCCAGCCCGTGCTGCTGCTGCTAAGGTGCACCCACTCACAAACCCACTTCTCTGAGCACATGACTCTGCTAGCTCCATGGGGCTCTGCAGGGAAGGAGTGAGGGAGGGGGAAGAGGCAGAGAGCTGGGTTGTCTGAAAGCTTTCTCCAGGTCTTGCCTTTCTCTTCCCTGGAAGCCAATGCCCGTGAGGTCATATCCATCACATTACCTCAGAGATTGTCAGGATGGACCCAGTTCCATCACTCTGAGGCTGAGGGTCTGCCAAACCCCATTGAGGCTGTACCTGGGAAACCAGACCCTGCCTGTCTCTTTAGGATCTGGGCGAGTCCATCCTCCCTCCCTTCTCCCCCATGAGGCACCAGTGTCCTGATTGTATCACAGCTTCAAAATTCCCTGACTCATGCCATCCTCGATTTTAGAAAAGAGCTTATTCAAGTGGTGTAGGCTGCACACTCCACCCCCTCCCACTCAATTCAGCGATTGAATTACAGCACCTGTGTGTGGCAGAGGGGCCAGGGAAGGAAGGGGCTGGGGAGGCGGAGAGGGGCTCCTGGAACAAGAGGGAGAGGCCCTTGAGGCAAACTTGTGATGATCTCGTTATGAAAGGAATCTCTTGGTGCCCAAAGAATGGCTGGCCTTTAACCCCACGTGTGGGCTGGTTGGAAATGAGGAAGACCTCTGAGGTCATCCAAGTCTGCTAGGGAAATGCAGCCGAGCTGGGAAGGAAGGTATCCCCTACCCCCATCACATTCTGATCTGGGCTGTTCTCCCACACTTTTAGGTAGCCAGGCTATCATGTGATTTGCTAGTAACCATAGCAACAAACCTTGTTTCATGAAGTATATGGAGAGCAATCCCACAGAAAGAGATCCGTGTTGTGCTTTACCCAAGGGCAGCTTGCCTCCAACTCAGTCTGTTCTCCATTACTGCTGTGGCAATTGTTGTTGTTGAGGAAATGGCAGTGATTTGCTCTTTCTGAGCTGGAGACATTGTGGATATTGTTTTGTTCCCCTCCTGCTACTCGTCTCCCTATTTTGGAGCACAGTCTGTGAAGACGAAAGACAAAAATAGCTCTCTCCAAGGGAGGGGATGCTAATGCATTTTCTGTGCTTTCAAAGACTGGCTTTTTGATTGTAAAAACCTCCACCTCCAGTAACTTAAACCTGGTAGCAAGTTCTGCTCTCTGACCACAAGAGAAAGCACTCGTGACAGCCACTGGGGTTCACACACTGCTGTCTGCCATGAGAAGCCACAGAGAAGTGGTCTGTGCTAGGAAGACTGAACAGCAGTGAGCGGGGGTGCACGCCCACCCAACTGCAGGCACCGCCACTCTACGGCTCTCAGGCAGAGCTAGAGGAAGTGGCTCAGATATTCTTTGTTGCAAGCGAAGGGCATAATTATAATTTGGCGAAACACCCGTTGTTAAGTGATCCAGCAGCCAGCAGACAAATGACTGCTGCGGAATAATGTCTGAGCACGCACAGCGGGCCCTCCGAGCTGCCCATCAATCTGCCTTCACAGAGACAAGCCAGTCAGGTGCTGCCTTTGTAGGAGAATGCCATTCCTGACTCAGCCATGTGCCTTCTGTGTGACCTTGAACAAGTCACTTAGTCTCTTTGGGTGTCAGTTTCCCCATCTTTAAAATAGGCAGAGTGATTTTTGGGTAGCTGTTCTCTCTGGGTTTTGATAACAATCATATTTGATAATATGGAGAAAGTACTACCATATGGAAATTAAAAGGAAAGTACTTCAAAACTATAATCACTACAAAATATCATTATCCTTCTTTTAGCTGTGGAAATATCCATTTCTAAAGGATTCAAAAAGTCGGAACAAATAAGTAATTAGGTCAAAAAGTAGTGCCAAGCTACAGAAGTTACCACTATGTGGTTTTCAGCTAACATTTAATGAGTGCAAAGCCAATTGTGTATTTCATTTCATCTTCACAACACTTCCATGGGTGTCATTGATTTGCATTTCACAGATGACACTCAAGTTCACGTAGCCAGTGATAGAACCAGGATCCAGCTCCTGGCTAGTCTGATTCCCAAGTCTAGGTTGTTAACCTGCTGCTGGAACATTGTGCTGGGGCCATTTCATTGGAAACATTCTCTGTGCTGTTGGAGGGCGGTTACCAGGTGGTTTCCTGGGAGCTCATAGAGCAATATGGTGTGTGTGTGTGTGTGTGTGTGTGTGTGTGTGTGTGTGTGTATTTATGTTTATAAACAGGAGGCTGCCTTGCTTCCTTATTTTAGGGTCACTGATTTGTCCCATGCTAACACGACCATCTCTTAGGGTCTTCATGGAGAACTTCTAGCTCAGCCAAGAATTTTGTGCCTGACCTGGTTTTGATGGTGGGAACAGAAGTGCTGTTAGTGAGTGTGCAAAGCCAGAAAAACGGAGTCTTGTGACACCATTGTCGAGGCAGAGAAGCAGAGTCAGCAGGTGAAAAGTTGGGGCACCCTGGTTCCATCCCCTCGGATTGTCTAATCTCACTATACTGGTCACATGTGCCCTTGCAGAGTCACTCTAGACTCTTCTTGTCCTTTTATGGCCTGGTGGGCTCATCCCCTGGACCACATCAACGAGCCTCCTTGCCCTTTGTTTTCTGGTTGCATTTGGGTGATGGGGAGCCTTGGCAGGAGAAAAGTGAGGCCAGGGTATTATTCTCCCGGTTCCCTCTCTCCTGGGTGGCTAGGGTTGGCTGCCCTTCAGTGATAAGGACTTCCAGCTGTTGCTAGCCCTGGGGTATCATGTATCCCTTGCAAAGTTTCTTACCTTGCTTATACTTTTATAAATGTCCCCTTACTAAACTCTCCTCCATTACCTAGCTGAAGTGTGCTCATTGGCTACCTGATGGGACCCTGCCTGATACAGTAGGACATAGGACCTGCTTCCTAGGACTATTGTGACAATGAAATGAGTGAATACGTGTAAGGCAGGTGCTCCATGTAGCTAGCACATGGAAGGGGGATTAGCCCTCTTTCCCAGTGCATTTGCAAACGCCCTCTGCAGGGCTATAGTGTGGCCAGCAAACACTGTGTTTGGCGGGGTAGTTTGTCCAGTAGCCCCACCTCCATTCTCTCCCCAGTTTTGGCTGGCTTCCAAAGGGAAACGAGCACATTCAATAATGAAGTCGTGATTTGTATACTGGGAAAAAGAGAAAAAAATCCATTAAGTTCACTGAAGGTGCAAATGAAGGGTGAAGAAGCATACACAGAAGTATGTATATATTTATTTATCCTAAGAAAATATATTAAGCACCTGCCATGTGCAAATGATTTGGCAATGAATAATATAGATGTGGCCCCATGCTCTCATAGAGCTCCAAGAGGAAAGACTCACAGTGAAACAGAGGATACTGAGCAATCTTTTCCCTTGGGTAGATGAGGTGTCCACTGAGTTTGAAAGGTGAGTTGGTAACAGCCAGATTGGGGATAGGATGGTAGAGAGGCAGGGGAGCCTCTTGGGCTGAGGGGATCCCATAGCAAAGAAGAACGTAGCTGCAGAACAACCAGCAGAGCACGGAGTGTGACTGTGAGTTGCACACAGAGGCTGGACCCTGGCAGAATTTGTCTCTTGTATCAAGAAACCTGGACTGCAGTGAGGACTTTACACAGGGGAGAAACACAGTCAGATTTGGGTTTTAGATGGATTCCTCCAGCTATTATGTGAAGGACAAATTTAAAGTAGGCAAAACTCCCAACTTCTGGGGAGGCTTAATAGTCATCAAACTGTTGACAAGAAAGTCCCCAACAAGGTCAAGGGTCCAAGTGATAGGGAAGAGGCAACTGTTTGAAGAAATACTCTGAGGGGTAAAATCTCAGGACTTAATAACTGATTGGCTTTGGGATATGAAAGAAAGAGAATAATACTCCTTGCCCGCCCCCTGTGTATGCAGATGATGGATGGATGGTAGGCTACCAACTGAGATGGAGAACGTAGAAGAAAAAGCAGATTTGGGAGGTGTGGTGGCTCTTGTCTTGTCTATCTGGGACCTTGTGCACTTCTGGCCCCACTTTGATAATGGACCCCAAGAAGTGGGGTCATGATCCAAGCCAGGCCTGTCAAATTCACTCCTGGGAGCTTGAATCTATACAGTGACCTGGTTCTCACCCAACAGTCACCAGGTTATTCAGTGATCCCCTTGATTCTAGGAACCACCCTGCAGTCCTTCCAATTAATAAGCTAGTTGGGATCAGTGCCTGTTGCTTGCAACCAAAGACTCCTAGTGGACAGATGAAGAGTTCAGTTCTGGATCTGATGAGTTTCAGGCCCATGTGACATCCCTGTGATGACCAGCAGCTCCAGGAAGTATGAATCACAGAGGAAAGGTCTGGGCTGGAGTTATCAGCATATGAATCATGGTTGAAACTAGGAAAGCATCAGACCACCAAGAGAGAGAATAGCAGTGGGCAGAGGGTGGAGTCCAGGAGAACAAGTAAAAGCTGAGGGGAAGAAAACAGGAGAAACGGGAAATTAAATGGTCAGAGAGGCCAAGGAGAACCAGGAGAGCAGGATTTCCTAGAAACCAAGAAAGTAAGAGTTTGAAGAATGAATAGTTGAAGATTTTACATATAGCCGAGAGGCTAAAGTAAACTAGGGGCTGAACTTTGGACTTGAAAAGTAGTTTGTTGATGACTCATGGGGCAATCTCACCAAAGGGAGGAAGATGGAAGCCAGGCTGTGTGAGGTGGCAACGTGCATGGGAGGTGGGAGGCGAGGAATTGGAGGGAGTGGGTTTGGGCAGTTTTAAATGAGAGATGAAAGAGACAAGACAGTCCTGGGGGGAGGTGGGATCAAGGGAGGGCTTGTGTTAGTAACTGCAGTAAGGATTAGCCAGATGCAGAAGCCTTCCACCCAAAACCTACTACCGTGTGGTTTGAGTGAATCAGGACTTGAATGGTAATGATAACCCCAACCACACAGAGCACTCTTTCCCAGGTGGGAATTTTGCCTGCTGTCAGATGCATCATGACTAAGTGCTGGGGGGTGGGAGGGGCTGATGAGAATTTTGGAAGTATATCAGCTGGTAGATTTCTTGTGCTACTCATGCCTGACCTAGTTTCTAGACAGGACAAAAGCAAAACAATAACAATAACTAAGTGAAGAAAAAGAGGACAAATTGTGTTTGTTCTTTTGTATTCAAGTTAAAAATCCGCTCCCCACCCCAAAATTCAGGAAAAAACAAATGTCTCAGAAATTAGTATTAAAAAGGACAATAACTGCTCTTAGGTTAGAGTATGAGAATATATTCCTGGCCAGGCATGGTAGCTCACGCCTGTAATCCCAGCACTTTGGGATTATGGGCGGGGCAGATTGCTTGAGTCCATGAGTTTGAGACCAGCCTGGGCAACATGGCGAGACCCTGTCTTGACAAAAACATAAAAAATTAGCCGGGCATGGTGGCTCGTGGTTGTAGTCTCAGCTAATCGGGAGGCTGAGGTGGGAGGATCACCTGAGCCCAGGATGTTGAGGCTGCAGTGAGCCGTGAACGCACCACTGCACTCCAGCCTGGGCGATGGAGCAAGATCCTGTCTCCAAAAAAGGAAGGCTTAGCTTGGCTGCTTCCTTGTGCTGATTAATGTTTCATAGATATATTTATTGGCAAAGGATGGATGAAAATACAGTTGAACTAAGACAAGTTTTTAAAAAAATTATTAAACATTTATTGATATTATAAAATTTATATTTGCTCATTGCAGAAAGTTTGGAAAACACAGGAAGACATAAAAATAGCCTGAAGTCCCACTACTAGTAATAACATTTTGGAATATTTCCTTCTAGGCTTTTCGTCAAGTAGCACATCCAATTTTGACAGCTGTTTTCATGGCAGCACCACTAAGGTCAATTGCAAGGCTGGCCTCAGGAGATACTGTACAACAGGGGCCTCATATACTGTGCGAAGGGAAGGGCAGAGGGTGACACAAGAAGAAGAAAAATCAATCTGAATGGTCTAGTTTTATTTTATTTATTTATTTATTTATTTATTTATTTATTTATTTATTTATTTGAGACAGAGTCTTGCTCTGTCGCCCAGGCTGGAGTGCAGTGGCTCAATCTCGGCTCACTGCAACCTCTGCCTCTCGAGTTCAAGGAATTCTCCCTGCATCAGCCTCCCGAGTAACTGGGATTACAGGAGCCTGCCACCATGCCCGGCTAATTTTTTGTATTTTTTAGTAGAGATGGGGTTTTGCCGTGTTGGCCAGGCTGGTCTTGATCTCCTGACCTCAGGTGATCCGCCTGCTTCAGCCTCCCAAAGTGCTGATGGTCTAGTTTTAACATCTATGGCAGAAAATAGCAACAAGAGAAAGCCTGGGTATGCCCCAGAGTTAGATCTGGAACCCAGATCTCCTGATCCTAGGATCAGAACTCTTTGCATCGTCAGACAGGTGTCTGTCATATTACAGGTGTAGATGTTTAAGAAACCTGACATCCTAGTCCATTCCACTCTACATTTCCACGTCTAGGCTATCACTCTTATATGAGTTGCTGTGGTAGATTGGATTATTGTTCGCTATTCTTTACTCGTCCTTTATGTGATTTTGCAATGTCTTCTGGTAGAGTTGGCCAATACTTTTTTGCCCCTTTGTCTTTGGACTTAACCATGTGTGATATTGTGAAAGATACATATTTGGTATATTTGGTCTTGGTCCCATTTCCTGGCATACAACTCCTAAAATACTTCGAATTTTCAAAGTGATGTGTCTTGTGTGCTAATAAGCTGATTATGGCTGGCAGCCCCTAGGTAGCTTTGGGATGGGGGCTGGTCACTGGAGAGACCAAGGCAGGATTACAGGGGTGGAACTTTCAGCCCCAACCCTCAACCTCCTGGGAGAGAAGAGGAGCTGAAGGTTAAGTTGTCGCCAGTAGCCAATTAATTGTGCCTATGTAATAAAGCCTCCGTAACAACCCCATAGGACAGGGTTTCTCTCTCTCTGTCTCTCTCTCTCTTGCTCGCTCTCTCTCTCTCTCTCTTTCTGGAGTTTTGCTGTATCACCCAGGCTGGAGTGCAGTGGCGCGATCTTGGCTCAATGCAACCTCCGCCTCCTGGGTTCAAGTGATTCTCCTGCCTTAGCCTCCTGAGTAGCTGTGATTACAGGTGCCCGCCACCATGCCTGGCTAATTTTTTTTTTTTTTTTGAGATGGAGTCTCGCTCTGTTGCCCAGGCTGGAGTGCAGTGGCACGATCTTGGCTCACTGCAAGCTCTGCCTCCTGGGTTCACCCCATTCTCCTGCCTCTGCCTCCCAAGTAGCTGGGACTACAGGCGCCCACCACTATACCTAGCTCATTTTTTGTATTTTAATAGAGACGGAGTTTCACCATGTTAGCCAGGATGGTCTCGACCTCCTGACCTCGTGATCTGCCCACCTTGGCCTCCCAAAGTGCTGGGATTATAGGCATGAGCCACCACGCCTGGCCCAAATTTTTGTATTTTTAGTAAAGATGGGGTTTCACCATGTTGGCCAGGCTGGTCTCGAACTCCTGACCTCAGGTGATCCACTCGCCTTGACTTCCCAAAGTGCTGGGGTTACGGGTGTGAGCTACCGCACCCGGCCAGGACAGGGTTTCTGGGGAGCTTCCAGATAGCTGAACACGTGGAGGTTCGTGGAGGGTGGTACACCCAGAGAGGGCATGGAAGGTCCATGTCCCTTCCCACATACTTGCTTTATGTATCACTTCCATCTGGGTGTTCATCTGTATCTTTTGTAATATCTTTTATAATAAACCAGTGTTGACAAAAAGAGTCAAACTCTATGAAATATTTGAAGAGATTTATTCTGTGTCAGGCCTCTGAGCCCAAGCTAAGCCGTCATATCCCCTGTGACCTGCATGTATACATCCAGATCACCTGAAGCAACTGAAGATCCACAGAAGTGAAAATAGCCTTAACTATTCCACCATTGTAATTCGTTTCTGCCCCACCCTAACTGATCAATGTACTTTGTAATCTCTCCCATCCTTAAGAAGGTTCTTTGTAATTCTCCCCACCCTTGAGAATGTACTTTGTGAGATCCACCCCCTGCCCACAAAACATTGCTCCTAACTCCACCGCCTATCCCAAAACCTGTAAGAACTAATGACAATCCACCACCCTTTGCTGACTCTCTTTTTGGACTCAGCCCACCTGCACCCAGGTGAAATAAACAGCCTTGTTGCTCACACAAAGCCTGTTTGGTGGTCTCTTCACACGGACGCACGTGAGACATTCTGAGCCAAGCATGAGTGACCAATGGCCCACGACAAAGCCCTCTGGAGACTCTGAGAACCCATGTGTCCGTGGTGGTCAGGATGCAGCTTAATTTTTTATACATTTCAGGGAGACATGAAACATCAATCAGATACATTTAAGATATATATTGGTCCAGTTCAGAAAGGTGAGACAACCCAAAGGAGGTGGGGTTTGAGGTTATAGGTAGATTTAAAATTTTTCTGATTGGCAATTGGTTGAAAGAGTTATTACCAATAAAAAGGAATATCTGGCTTAAGATGAGAGGTCATAGAGACTAAAGTTTTATCATGGAGATGAAGGCTCCAGGTAGCAGGCTTTAAGAATAGACTGTAAATGTTTCTTGTCAGACTTAAGGTCTGTGTTGATGTTAAGCTGGTTGGCTTTTCCTGAATTCCAAAAGGGAGGAGGTCATAATGAGGCATGTTCGACCTCCCTCCAGTCATGGCTTGAACCAGTCTTTCAGGTTAAATTTGGAGTGCTCTGGCCTAGAGGAGGAGGCCCATTCAGATGGTTGAGGGGCCTTAGAATTTTGTTTTTGGTTTACAGCAGTAACTACAAGAATTTTTCCCAAGTTCTGTGAGCAATACTAACAAATTAATCAAGTGCAAGGAGGAGGTCATGGAAGCCTCAATTTACAGCCAATTGGAGAGAAGTATAGGAGACAACCTATTACTTGCGACTGGTCGTCTTGTGAGGCTGAACCCTCACCCTGTGGCATCTGATGCTATCTCCAGGTAGATAGGATCAGAATTGAATTGAATTAGAAAATTCTGCTGGTGTCTGCTGCAGAACTGATACATTGGTTGCTGGTGGGAAGAAATCCCCACATACTTCTTGGTGACCAGAGGTCACAGAAGTCTTCTGTGTTTATTGTTGAATGAGAGTATAGGAGCAACTGATTTTGTTGATCCCTATATTCTCAAACCATGTAACTCACTTCGACTCATAGAAACATTAGTAGAAGTGATGTGAGCAGAGGCTTTAAATGTGCTTTTGGGGCTTGGCTTTGCCTCTTGCACTTCTGCCATCTGCCACAAGATGAATCTACCTGAATAGCCTCTGGTCCCAGAATGAGGCGACACTTGGAATAAACCTAAACACAACTAGTAGCCTGGAGCCAAGTCTGTCTGGTTCCAGCCACCCAAGAGAGTCACAGCCAACCTGCACACCCATAAGCAATAAATATTTATTGTAGTAATGGACTGAGATTATGCGATTGTTTGTTACATAGCATTATAGTAGCGGACATCTGACTACGATAATTGCTCACATGTGAAACTGTAATCACTTTTTACATTTGCATTTCCTTTATCCCCATCGCTAATCCTTGTCAGGTCCTCTGAAGCTCCTTTGAATCATCTTCCGTATCTCTTCCCTGATTTCCATTGCACCATCATCACCCTTCATCACTTCATAGTTGGGTTCTTGCAATGGCTTCCTTAATGGAATCTTATTTCTTCCCCATCCAATCTTTTCTACACAGAAGTGCTAGCATGAACTGCCTTACAAAGTCCTTGCACAACAGGAAAACTCTGCTTGAAAGCCTGAAAATGCTTCCATCTTTTAGAGCCAAAACAGCCAAGCAATTCAGAGATATATATATATATATATATATATATATATTTTTTTTTTTTTTTTTTTTTTTTTTTTGAGATGGAGTTTCAAAAAAAGAGTTTCAGCTCTTGTTGCCCAGGCTGGAGTGCAATGGTGTTAGCTCACCACAACCTCTGCCTCCTGGGTTCAAGCAATTCTCTTGCCTCAGCCTCCCGAGTAGCTGGGATTACACGCATGCGCCACCACGCCTGGCTAATTTTGTATTTTTAGTAGAGACGGGGTTTCTCCATGTAGGTCAGGCTGGTCTTGACCTCCCAACCTCAGGGGATCTGCCCGCCTTGGCCTCCCAAAGTGCTGGGATTACAGGCGTGAGCCACTGCGCCCGGCCCAGAGCTATATTTTATGCACAATTGTAATAACTATTCTTAGCCTAGGGTCAGGTAAAATTATTTCCCCTGCTTTTCATAGCTCTTGCCTTTTATCTTTTTGGGATGGTCCTAGTGATTATGGGTCACTTTAATTTTTCTCAAATCATATTTTAGAAGCAACAGATAGAAGCTTCGCCTTGCATCAAGGGCAAACTTTTCTCCTTGATTTGCAAGCCCTTTCATAATTTGGCTTCACCTTATCCATTATTTGACACAAAATAACAACACTTATCCAACACTTACGGAATTGCTTATTGTGTGCCAGCCATCACTTTAAGTGTTCTGCACATGGTGTAGGTTAAGATTAGGTTCAACCATGAGTAATAAGGAGCCCAAATAACAGTGGCTTAAATAAGATAGCTATTTTCTCTCTCTCATGTAAAAGCACAGAAATAAGTAGCCAAGGACTGGTATAGTGGCTTTACTCATAAAGTCTTCAGGGACACAGGTTCCTTCTTCAGGGACACAGTTCCTCATTCTTAGGGTGTTGTCCTCATCCCCACAGGCCAAAAAAGCAACTAGAACATCAGACATCACATCCACCTTCCAGACAGCAGACTAGACGGTGCAAAGAAAAAAAGGGAGTAGAGTATATACCAAACTGGTGTGGCGGCTCACGCCTGTAATCCCAGCACTTTGAGAGGCCGAGGTGGGCAGATCACTTAAGGTCAGGAGTTTGAAACCAGCCTGGCCAAGATGGTGAAACCCTGTCTCTACTGAAAATACAAAAATTAGCAGGGCGTGGTGGCACATGTATGTAAGCCCAGCTATTCAGGAGACTGAGGCATAAGAATCGCTTGAACCCAGGAGGCAGAGGTTGCAGTGAGCTGAGACTGTGCCACTGCACTCTAGCCTGGGTGACAAGCAAGACTGTCTCAAAAAAAAAAAAAAAAAAAAAAGAGTACATGCCAGCTGCCCTTCCCAGGTAGCTGCCAGATAGCATCTGCTTATAATTCATTGGCCAGGCACAGTTATACAGCCACACATAGTTGCAAGGGAGGCTGGGAAGTAGAGTCTTTATCCTGGGCAGCCATTGGCACAGCTGAAAACTGGGAGTCTATTACTATAGAAAAAGAAGGAAGAGGGTAGTGTAGGATTACTGACAGCCTCTGTCTCAGATATATCCAGTCACTTAATCCTCCAGACAATGCCTGCAGATAGATACTATTCTTACGCTCATTTTGAATATAGGGAAACTGAGGCACAGAAAGGCTAACAACCTTGGCCAAGGTCATACAGCTAGAGTGAACTCAGGAGACTTGCCTCCAAAGCCTGTGTTCTTTGCTCCCCGTCACACAGCTTCCACGGGCGCGAGTCTGGCCCACTTGAGGCCCAAGGAAGTGCATGCGTATTCCCTAGCTGTGCCTTCAGCCTCTCCTCTCTTTCTAGAAAGCTGTATTCTGTTCCCTCCCCCTTCCTTCCGGGCTGGGGTTCAGGCTCTGCCTGCTCCTGGTTCTCACTGATGTCCTCAGCATCTTCCCCACTGTGACATCATTTTGTGGCTTACAAGCCCTGAGAGGAAGGGCCAAAGCCTTTATGCAGCATCCGGGCATTTAAGGAGTGCAACAGAGGGATGTGGGCGAGGGCGCCACCACTGGAGGACCTCCAGTCATGCCTCCTCCTGTTCGCCCCCCACCAAGGGATCTGCTTGACAAAGATGGCTGCCTATGACTCTGATTCTTTAGACAAGGCCCTGCATGGCTGTTAGGAGTTAGAAGCTTCAGCTCCCTTGGTCTGGAACACAAACTGGTCTCCTGTAGAATTTGCTTAGTGGGGGCAATGCTACTATGGAACAGACATGAAATATCATTCTTAAAACACAAAGCAACAACAGTATTCATCAAAGGAAATGATTTTTATTGTTACACAAAACATTTCTTGTCAGAGCACACATAAATCTAGACAGCAGCTGCATTTTCAGAACAAACAGATGAAATACCTTTGGTGAACTGTGAGTTGGGGAAAACAAGTCACCTTATTTTAAAATTTGGTAATGTGTTTACTGAGTTTAACAGAAATCAAAATCAGGACAGAGTGAGAAAAAACATTTCTGTGGAAACAAAATGCGTTCTCATGAGCACAGCCTATTGTGATGCTTATTATTTTACACAGAAAGAAGAAGAACTGGGTTCCATTTCCTGGGCTTGGGAAAATGCAGCAAACCCTGACCAATGCAAAGAAGGGCTTCCTGGGTCTGCCTCTTAGTCTCTGAGCTAACAGTGCTCCCCAGCTGCCTTCTGACAGACGCATATACCAGCTGACACATCCGGGAGCACACAGCTCACCTGTGTGTGCACAGGGCAGAGCCAAGCCGGGTTTATTCTCATCACGTTGTCGCTCCCACAGCCGCTCCTTCCAGTTCATTCTCACTGCTTCCATCGGGGCTACTGTGGTAGTCTGCCTGTCTTCGGGGCCTCCACCCCCACCCCACCTACAACCACACCGCCATTGAGGCTTAAAGGCTGACCTTTACCATCCACCCTTGAGGTGTACATTCTTACCATTTTTCTTGATCATTTTCAGAAGCGGAGGACACTCTCAAGTCCGCCCATTCCTTCTTGAAGGGTTCTAAGTTTTTCTATTAAACCCAAATCTGTGTTTCTCATAACATCCTCTCGGCTGAGATATAACTAATTAATCAGCTCCCTCTTCTAGAGCGTTTTCCTCACATAGAATTCTTTCTCTTTGTGGCAGACTGGTAATTCTCCTCCACATTGTCTGTTTCACCCTTCTTCAAAAGCAACAGTTTTAGCTGGGTTTGGGGTTACCTAGCATAAGACCATATTTCCTAGAGTTCTTTCTGCTGGGTGTGGCCATGTGACTAAGCTCAGGCCGATGTTATAGGAATAGAAGACATGTAAGCAACTTCCTGGTGATGTTTTTTTGTTTTGTTTTTTAAAGAGATGGGGTCTCACTATGTTGCCCAGGCTGGAGTGAGGTGGTGTGATCATGGCTCACTGTATCCTCCAACTCCTGTGCTCAAGTGATCCTTCCACCTCAGCCTCCTGAGTAGCTGGGACTATAGGTGCACACCACCACACATGGTTAATTTTTAAATTTTTTGTAGAGACAAGGTCTTGCTTTCTTATCCAAGCTGGTCTCAAACTCCTGGCTTCAAGCTATCCTCCAGCCTCGACCTCCCAAAGTGCTTGGATTACAGATGTGAGTCACTGCACCTGGCCTGGCTATGTCCTTAAAATGACTGGGTGGTACGTCTAGTTCTCTTTCTCCCGTTTTTCTGCCTGGGAGATGATGAGAACTGGAGCGGTCATCCTGAGCTTACAAGGGGAAGCCTTGTGTTGAGGAGGGCTGATTAACTGGACTTGGACCACCTGCCTACCTCGACCGTTGTGAGAAAAATTAACTGCATTGTGGTAAATCCTTTGCATTTTGGACTCTTTCTTACAGCAGCTTAGCCTGTACCTCACCTCCACTTATGAGCCTACTCATTCTGCAAATATTTCACCAGCCTAGAAAGAGCTTCTCCATCCTCTGAATCCAAAGCCCTTTGACCTGCCTCTTGTGTTTGGCCTCACTATTTACCTGGTACTACATTTGTCTGTGCATGAATCTTACCTGCTCTTTGCAGGCCAAAGAGGACAGGGGTAAAAGCTTAATCGCTTTCTATTACACAATGCCTAGCATATTGCCTTGGACAATGATTGGTTCCCAATAAATGTGTTGAATGAAGAAAGATGATTCTTCATTGTCTGTATACATGAATGAATTATAACAAAATTAGAAGCTAGTGATATTTGATTAAATAACCATATCTAAAAACTACTAGATAAGAGATTACTGTCAAGCTAGAGAATGAGGTGCCAAGTTGGCAAGCTACTGGTTTTTCTCCTGTTCAACATTTGTATCAACAACTTCAATGAACGATAGTCAATATACCCATTGTGCCTGTGGATAACACAACGGGAAGCCAAAAAAAAAAAAAAAAAACTAGATAAGAGAGTCAAAAATCAAAAAGATCTGTACAGACAAGAATAATGGATGAAAATTAAACATTAACAGAAAAGTTCTGAATATCAGTTCAAAAGTAGGCAAAGGGAAATAATGGAAGAGAAGTAGTTTAATTAAAGACTATGAAAAAGGCTTAAGGATTTTATTTGATTGGAAGTCTGGTATCAGTTAAGAATACAATGTGTTGGCCAAAAAATCCTAGTGCAATTCCAGGCTGAATACATTCATTCAGCAATGATTTATTGGGTGTCTACTAAGTGCTTGGTGTTGTGTGGAAAACAAGGATGAAGGTGTGGCCCCTGCTTTCGAGCAGCTTACAAAAGTGACATGTGTTCCTCCTAGACCACAAAGTAGAAAGCATTTGGTGCTGCAAAGTAAAAGAGACAGGAAAGGTCGGCACATGTATGATGAAGGGGAAGAGTGGGCTTGTGGAGAAGCACAAGGAATGATAAGGTAGGGAAGATATTTCAGTGCCAGTCTGTAGTAGGTCCTTAGTGCCAGGCCAAGAAGATTGGAAGTTATGTGAGGGGATGAGGAAATGAAAGATTTTGCAGCCAAAAAAAAAAAAAAAAAAGATGGTCAGTGTTTTAGGAAGATTTCTTTGGAAGCAGTCTGTTGGACAAATTGGAGTGGGGAGACACACACACAGAGGCTTATACTTGGCATCATTTCAAAGATTGATGTTCTTGTTCCTCATCTTCATTCTATAAGTGGAGAAAGTGAAGCTGAAGGTTTAAATGATGTCCCTAAAGACACAGAGCTGACAGGGGTATGCAGAAGCAGAATCCAGGATGGTGCTTCTGGGTCCAGTGGGTGATAAACCAATGGCAATTAGACCTTGCACAGTTGTTGGAGTTTAGAAAAACATTTCTGGAGGGACTTAAGGAAACCAGTTAAGAGATCATTTCCACAGGCAAAGTAAAAAATATTGAGCACTGAAAGTGGAAAGAGGGTCAGCTGGGGGAGAAACTGCTCTGATGCTGTGGGTTGAGAGGGAAGGAAGCAAGGCAAAGAGGACTTGGAGACAGAAGGACAGCAGTGGGATGAATGACCATGGGGAATACAAGGATGAAAAAGCAACTTGGAGGAGTACCATTTTGAGTGGGGCCAATTTTTTTTTTCTTTTTGAGACGGAGTTTCGCTCTTGTTGTCCAGGCTAGAGTGCAATGAAGCGATCTTGGCTCACCACAACCTCAGCTTCCCGGGCTCAAGCGATTCTCCTGCCTTAGCCTCCCAAGTAGGTGGGATTACAAGCACGTGCCACCATGTCTGCCTAATTTTGTATTTTTAGTAGAGATGGGGTTTCTTCATGTTGGTCAGGCTGGTCTTGAACTCCCCACCTCAGGTGATCCACCCGCCTCAGCCTCCCAAAGTGCCGGGATTACAGGCGTGAGCCACCGTGCCCAGCAACAGAGATTCTAGTGGGGCCCATTTTAACAGAAGGGGCACTGGAAATGAATGTGTCCAGAAGAAGGTAACTGGAAAGCAAATTGCAGGAATGAGAGAAGGAACTGCTTAGTCTGGGAAAGCCTAAGTTATTTGCAGAATTGAATTGAAAAGATTTCCGGGGAGAACAGATAGCTAGCATCCTACATCTGTAGAGCTTTTACAGAACAATGTTAAGTTGCCTCCTAACGAGCTTTAGCATGGCACCAGTGGAAGGCACTGTTAGATGGCAGCAATGCAGAGTTGTGGAAAGGCCAAGGGGCAGAAGATTTGAGGCAGATCAGCTCCTATCTGTGAAGCAGTATAGTGGGAGGAGCACAGACTTTGGAGTCACACAGACCTGGGTTCTAGTCCCAGCCTACCTCTACCAGCTATGTGACCTTGGGGAAGTTGCTGAACCTCTTTGTGCCTCAGTTTCCATATGTACAAAATAAAGAGGCTAGATTGGAAGACTTCCAAGATCTTGTCTAGCTATAAAATTCCTTGGTTCTAAAAAGGTGGCTTATGTGCATAAAATAAATAGATGGAAATACAGTATTATCTTCTTTGGATTTTGCTCTCAAATCTGTACTAATATTGGTTATCAAGTATGCACAGCCAGCCTGCTTCTGTTGCACTGCATGATGGCATGTAATGATGGAACAGAGCTGACATGTTCACAAAAGCACTTTTCTCTGTGGGTAGGAGTGGAAAATAGTTCCATTTAGCTGATATCACTAATTTTTAAAGAAAACCATATGAGCTAAAGAGAACTGAAGATGAATGTGGGAGCTATGAGTCAACCACTGAATCTCAGCTGCATTAATTTTACATTATAAATGACACAGTTTTAAAGTTTCTTAGATTTTATAATAGTTGAAATTTTTCTTTAAAAGAGTACACCCTATACATGCCGATACACGTTAAAAAGATTGAACATTTCTTCCCATTCTAAAGCATCTTGAAAACAATGACTGTGCTGTTAGCGATTTTTAATATAAAATACATTTCCTAGCAGTGTTATAAACCGCTAACAGCACTTTTTGTGAAAATTGGCTACTTCATACAAAAAAAACCTCACAGTTTTTGTTATCTTTGTAGGATTTTCTTCCCCCTTTTTGAATTGTTTTATAATGGATAATGTTGCTTAAAAACATCCAGCATTTCCATGAGAAATGAAATATTCAGAAGACTTCTGGATAAGTGATATTTATACATAGTTCCTTTAATCTTAAATACCTAACTCTTAAATAGCATATAAGAGAAATTGTTTTCCTTTACCGTCGTAGATTAAAAGTGGCATCACAAATTTTCAGGTAGGAAACTAAAATATAAGACCTAGAGATTATATAAGAAAGATCCACACTGGCCATCCTTACCTCAAAGCAAACTAAGACCCAGAGGCAGAGAAGAATTTCAAAGCCTGACTTAGAGGATTGTGGAAAATAATTATATCAAATCAAAGTTTAGGACAATCTTGGACCATGGAAAGAAGAAAAGAACATTTAGCACATTGTTAAAAATAGATACTCATTCTCTTTTAACCATAGACAGTTCTTTAACATCTTACATTAGCAACACAGACAGACTGGATCCAGTTTCAGTTCATTCTGTCACTTAACCATTCCACGACTCAATTTTTTCATCACCAAAATGGGGGCGATATTATTTCCTAGCAGGCTAAGTGTGCAGCTGACATGTGACGATGTGTGTGCAGTCCTTTGTAAATTATACAGCACTTCAAACACAGAGGTCTGCTGTTATGGGTCAAGACTGTCAGGAGAGCTCATGGTTAATGCGAATGACCCGGAAACGACTCGTAGCTGTTTAACACACATGTTTTTGGTATCAAAACTGCAAGCGGGATTGAGTTTGAAAGAGCATTATTAAGAGAAAACAATCTGCTCTGCAGATTCCAACTGTGATGTGGTGCCTGTTTCTTGGCACAGACCTCCCACTTAAACTAATTAAAGTTCCACACAGGTAGAAAATGAATGCTTGACTTGAGATCTGCCATGTGGACCTAAAAGATGGAATTGTCTATGGCTCTTTTATTTCGGTTAAAAGAAAGCAGCATTTGCTTTGTTTAAAAAAGAAAATGGGGGGAGGGGAATGTATGTGGGTTTGTTTAAATGCTGAAGAAAACTGTTCTAAGCAGCTGGATGAATAAAAGGGAGGAGCACTAAAGAAAGAATGCGCTAAATCTAAAGATACAAGAACAACACCCAGGAATTGATTGAAAATGCTTTGGTGACAAGTGAGGCATGTAATGACAAGAAAGCAGCATGTGTGCATATTGAGGAGTGCATGTGGAAAACAGGTTTCTCCTTTTAATTAGCTTTGCCGCTGGGAGGACCTTCTCTCTCCACTTTCTGTCCAGCTCTTCCATCCCAGAATTCCACTCTGGGTTCTTGTGATGTGCTAACGAGGCTGCAGGGCAGCTCTGATTGAGTGGGCCAATAATACTGGCTCAAGGCCACCTAGAGAAGTGTTCTCCCCAGCCTGACAGATGCCCTTTAAAGAAAAACCTGGAAGAGCACCAGCCTTTTTGATGGTGGCTTAGATACTTGAAGCCCGATGTCATTCTTTGGGTGAGATAATGATTCTTTCCTGCCTGGCCCACCTATAGCCCCTTCTGAAATTTAAAATTTTTCAGGAATATGTTGGAAAGTCTACTAGTTTTTCTCCAATGTCTGCCCTCCTTCTTTATTGATAGAATCTCAGTTTTTACTGATTGTACAAAATAAAGACATTTCCCAGCCTTCCTTGCAGCTGGAATGTGTGTGTGTGTGTGTGTGTGTGTGTGTGTGTGTATGTAAGGGGAAGTGCTGGGTGCAGCCTCTGGGGTGGGGTTATTCCTATCCTCCTCTTTCCTGCCTGGACCATGCAGATGAGGGCCATCCCCTAGAGATAATGAAGCAATAAGATGGGAGATACCTGGCAGTCCTTGACACCATGGACCCGCCATACTAGTCTTTGGCTGCAAACTCTCACGCTGTCATGGAAGATAAATAAACCTCAATACTGCTTAAGCCATTGAAACTTTAGGTCTCTGTTGCACACAGATGAACCCATAGTCCAACAAATGTATCTTCTTGACTAAATCTTACCTTCTTACTCTGATGATTTATATTCAGAGAATAAATTTAACTTTGTCTATATCTGGGGTAAAAAAGAACAGCTCTTCAATAAATCTGCTTCTCTCCAAAAATATTCCAGAAAATTCATGTGATTGGAAAACTGGGCTACTTAGTAGAAGTAAAAAAAAAATTTTTTTTTTCAGGGGATTCTTTGGGAAGCAAAGATCTCCAAAATTCAGTCTCCGTTATGTCTGCAGAATGCACTTAGTACATGTTTGGTCAATTCAACGTTCGTTGGTGAAATTGGCCAGCAAAGCTTGCAGAAACAGAGAATGTGAATGCACAGTGCATGACGGTGGGCTGAGCTTTGGACATCAACAGGGGAATAAAAATCAGTTCAGCTCTTGCTAAAATAGTTTTCCATTGTCTGAATCAGAACTGAGCACAAATGAGTCACCAAAGTTAAAGCTGAAAAACAACTAAGTTGGACTAAGAGTCCAATAAGCCAAAGCCAAGTCTGTTATATATTATTTTATGGAATTATGGGGATAAAGAGGCTTTAGAAAAGAGTAATGTGGAAGAATCTATGTTGGGCTTGTGTGTATATCTCAAGAAGTTTTCAAAAGTTCATGGAAAATATATATTATGAGAAAACTATGCATGTATTCAAATTTTTTTTTTTTTTTTGCCAGATAAACTCATACTAACTTTTTATAACATGTCTGAACAGAATCTAGTGTGAGGCTCCCAGAAGGGTAAGACATCAGCTTGAAAACAGCCCCTGTGAGAGGAACATGAATTTTGCTAAAATTGAAGCAAGAACAAATGTGTCAAGTTTACGGTGACACTTGAGTGAAAGAATGGTGAAACCACTGATGCTTTATGAAAACTTTAGGAGTATAATGTCCCAAAGAAATCAGCAATTTACAAATGGGTAACTCGTTTTAAGAAGGGATGAGATGATGTTGAAGATGAAGCCCATAGTGGCAAGCCATCCACATCAATTTGTGAGGAAAAAATTCATCTTTTTCATGCCCTAGTTAAAGAGGACTGATAATTAACAGCAGAAACAATAGTCAACACCACAGACAACTCAATTGATTCAGCTTACACAATTCTGACTGAAAAAATCAAAGTTGAGCAAACTTTCCCACAATGTATGCCAAAACCATTGCTTCTAGATCATCTGCAGACAAAAGCAGAGCTTTCAATGAAAATTGGAAACAAGTAACATCAAGATCCTGAAGCATTTCTTTGAAGTAACAAGAGATGAAATATGGCTTTACCAGTACAATCCTGAAGACAAAGCACAATCAAAGCAATGGCTACCAAGAGGTGTTAAGTGCTCCAGTCAAAGCAAAAGTATACTAGTCAAGAGCTAAGGTCATGGCAACAGTTTTTTGGGATGGTCAAGGCATTTTGCTTGTTGATTTTCCGTAGGGCCAACGAATGATAACATCTGCTTATTATGAGAGTGTTTTGAAAACATTAGCCAAAGACTTAGCAGAAAAACACCCAGGAAACCTTCACCTGAGAATCCTCCTCCACCATGACAATGCTCCTGTTCATTCCTCTCATCAAACAAGAGCAATTTTATGAGAGTTTTCATGTTAGGCATCCACCTTACAGTCCTGATTTGGCACCTTCTGACTTCTTTTTATTTCTTATCTTAACAAATCTTTACAGGGCACCCATTTTTCTTCAGTAATAATGCAAAAAAAAAAAAAAAAGAAAGAAAAAGAAAGAAATGGTTGCACTGACATTGTTAAATTCCCAGGTCCCTCAGTTCTTTAGGGATGGACTAAATGATGGCTAGTATCATTGCTCACAAGAGTGTCTTGAACTTGATGGAGCTTATGTTGAGAAATTTTTATTTCGTATTTTTATCTTTTATTTCAATTTTTCTACAAACTTTTTGAAGTCCCCTGTGTGTATGTATATGTACATTCCTGAGCTGGAGTATAACATTACTTTGGACAAAATTCTTTACATTAAAATTCACTTCTAGAATAAAGAGGTTCACAACTATAGGTTTCAAAGAATATCAGAACAAGAAAGAGAACAAGAGATCTCTCTCCAGGTTAAACATCATTCCACTATCGATGAGGTTTGAATGTAGTTGCTCAAGCAGCTGTATATTCACCTAAACAGAGTAACAACCCAGTCTACATTTCTCCACCATATCCATCATATAATGTGAGGATTTCGGAGTGATTTTGTCAGATGTAGGGTTAAACTCCATTGCCAGCACCCCTCAATGTACCCAAACAGGAATAGTCTACTTTTCCTGATTCCTTTTTAAAGTCTCACAAATTATCTTTTTAATTAAGCATTCTATAATTTTTTCCCAGGAAACAGCTTCGATTTTATCAGCTGGTATTTATTGTCCATGAGTCACCTTTTGGACTACTGGGTTGACATTTCCTCAATTCCTGTCTTTTGGCCACTCTCATTTATCATAAGCTTTAAGAACTTATGGCTACGCAATTTTATCTGCATATCTTTTCAGTGCCCCAAAAGCAAATTTTTAGGGCCTAGAGATATATTTTGTATAGCTACTATATTGTGTTCTCTTTTAACCATGTTTGTTTCATGCCTTCTAATTTTGAGAAATGAGAACACTATCTTTCATGAAGAAGAAATGGAAAGTAGGGGTTATTTGTTGATGTGAAAGGATAAGAGGTATCACATGGAATAGAACCTTTTAAAAGTGTTACGCTTTTCTAAAGTTTAAACAGCAGTAGTTCTCAACCCTGGCCACACATCAGAACCACCTGGAAAGCTTAAAACAAGACAAAAACAAACAAGCAAACAATCATGCCTGATCCCCACTCCAGAGTTCCTGATTTAATTGGTCTGGGGTGGGGCATGGACACGTGTGTTTTTAAAAGTTCTCCAGGAGATTCTAACATGCAGAGTTGAGAATTACTGCAAATCTAACCATTAGAAGAGTATAACATTTCTTTTTTTAAAGGCCTGATTTCCATAGGAAATCCTGTCTGTTGTTCCATGAGTTAGGATGCAGCAAAGCTTTGATAAAAAGGGATTTTCAGGCTGTAAGCCCATATACTCATGGAAGCTCTGAGCAACAAGAGGTGTTGGCTGACTTAGCTCAGTGGTTCTGAAAGTCTAATTTTGGATAGCATCACTTGAGGAATGTATTGAAAACGCTGATTTCTGAAGCTCCCTTGCTGTCCTCCTTAAGGTTCTAAATTGCTTGGGAACGGAGGTAATGGGAGGGGTACCAGCACCTGCATTTGTAACAGGCAGGCAGGCCAAGCAGTTCTAATGCTGCTGTCCCACTCTGAAGACCACAGCCTTACCCAATGGAACACACAGCCTTGAGAAGCATGGGGGACTACACCTTGAGCAAGATTTAGTATATTCAAAGTAAAGCTTTTCAGTCTTAGGCATGAATGGGCAAGAACCTCACAGACCAGGGCTGGCTTAGAGTTCAGCTCTGTCCCTTGACCAGCAGATCTAAAAGGAAGATCTTATCCTGGGTCAGAAAAACAGATGCTGACAAAGCTGTGTTTTCTGAGGTTCCCAGCATTTCTGAGGTCTTTCTTTACCAATCCCTCACAAATGCAGTGTTTTGTTCATTTCTTGTCAGCTGTCATCTTTACATTACTCCTTTTTAAATTTGTGATCTCCAAACATAACTTCTCTTTATCTTGACCAGTACTCATTTGAAAGCCTCAGCTTTTCAGGAGTTGGCCTTCCAGCCAATTCCCAGCAGCTGGTGCCGTTCAGGTACCCTGCGAGTGCCTCTTGTCTGTTGGAGAACTCAATGCAATCCCAGGCCTTGCTAGGTACCTGAGCTATTTCTTTCTCATGACAATTATATGTGATCGTGTGACAGAACTGTTTTTTAGGGCTCCATTCCTCTTGCACCATATTCCCTTCTGGTTTCTGGCCATAGAATCATACCTATAATTTTCTGAACTGTTCGCTATCTATCTCATTAAAGTTAAGTCTCCTGGACCCCAGTGCCTGACTCCATTCTACCTTGGAGTGAGTTGCCTGATTACCCAGGGTCTCCCTGCTAGAACCTGGGTATAGATTTGCTCTTTTTTGAGTTTTCACACCACTTTTTTACTAGTCACAATACCTCTTTTACATGTAATTGTAAACTCAACAACGATATAATTTTCCTTCTTGGTGAGAATTAGATAGTAGAGCCTCATTTTTTTTCATTCATTTTCTTAGATATGAAATTGTCACGTCAATAATTTACCGAATGCACTGAGCAGAATAAACATTCTAGTAAAGGCCTAGAGAGCTGAAAAACATTTTTACTACATCTTGCCTCTCGCAGTTTGAAACTGGGGTTAGGAAACATGGCCTATGGATGGTAGTGGCTTGTGGTCCCTGGTTTTAAACTGCTCCCATGGTGGAATCACTTGAGTCTCTCTCCTTTCATCTCCACACAAATATTCTCCATCCCACCTCTTCGTGCAGGCTTCTGGCTTTCTGTGCACTTTCAGACATTTTGGACATATAATGCTCCTCTGCTATCTGTTCTCTCAGGGCTTCCATATTCTAGTCCTGAGCCCTGTGTTTCAGGGGTATCTAGGAAATCTTGATTTCTTTCAGGTGTTAACATCTCAAGTTCCTTTGCTTCATATTCACACTTGAAATCAGATATAACATTCCTTACTTTTTCCTCCTGTTATTTTTGCATGCAAATTAAGAGATTCTCCAATTGCTCTGTGTCATACGTTTTCTTACGAATAACAGGGCTTATAGTTTCACTTGAGTAATTTTTCCACCCTCTTAAACTGCAGTTTAAGGTCTTGATGAGGTTACCAAATCTCTGACAAGCATATATTCTTTCCAGTCTTCACAGGGCACGCTTCGGCCCTTGCTAGGAGTCCATCGTTCTGCCATAACATTTGCTCCCAGGTCATCTGCTTGCAAGAGGCAATCGAGAGTTTGGGAAACCCTTACAAAAGAAATGACAATAGTTTATTTTTAGCTCCTGACATTTTGTGCTCCTAATACCCAGTAAGCCTTTCTGCCCCACAGTCAGGATGCTTTAATTGGCAGTAAATGGTGAGGCGGTAACCCAGAAACAGACATTGTTTCAGTGTTGGTCTTAATGTCCCTGAGGCCTAACTGCTGACCTTGTCTTCCCTGTAGCTGTGGCCATCATTGACTGAGGGGGGAGAAGTCCTCTTCCTCCTACTGTAATGGTTCTCTTATTGACCTCCTCAAAGGCTAGCCTTGTTTAGGTCAGGTTATCATTCAGCATTCTTACAGGAACTTTGGATTCATTACCTCCGATCTAGGTCAGAAGACATCTAAGTGACACCACCCAGGTCCAACCTCCAAGGGTTTCCATGTGCTGATGGAAAACCTGTCTCCCAGTCACTCAACGTCCTGACTGAGGAGGAAACCCTGCTGACCTGGGCTTTCTCCACTCCCGTGGCTGGGAATAGCTTTTGTTTTTCCTTTTTGTTTGAGAGTCTAATCCTGGCAAAGTGGGATAAAAATTATTAGTGCTAATGTTCTTTTTACAACAACTTCTTTCTTAAATGAATGAACAAATAAATGAAAATTTAAGATTCCCTTCCAGTGATCACTTCCGCCTCCAGCAATTAATCCATCTCTCAGTTGCCTTTCACAACAAAACTTTTTAAAAGAGAGGTCTATACATGCTGTTTCTACCTTCCCATCTTCCATGCCTTCTTTAACCCACTAATCTGGCATGCATCCTCCCCAGTCATTTGCAAATGTTCTCAGGTCCCCACTATGCCCTCAGGTTACCGAGAGTTTTCTCTCATCTCGCTTGCCCTCCTCTTGGGGTCATTTAACTGAGTGCTCCCCCAGAAACACCCTTCCCCTGCTTCTTCTCTCCTTTCTTGCCTCCTATTCCTCTACTCAACCTCTGAACGTAGGGGCTCCTCAGGGCTTGGTCTTGGGCCCTCAGTTTTCTATCTATAATCCTTTCCCAAGTGATCACACTCAATCCTAAAGCTTTAAATACTTTCTACATGTTGGCAACTCTGGAATTCATTATCTCCAGCCTAACCTCCCTCAGAATCATATATGCCTCTGGACATCTGTGTTTCAAGTACAATGCACCTGACACTGCCACTTGGCTAATGGGCATTCCAAACTTATATCCAAAACTGAGTTCTTAATTTCCTAGCACATTCCTCCCAAATCTGTTCCTTCTCCCATGTTCTCTATCATCTCAGTATATGGCCTTACCAGCTGATTAAGCCAGAGACCTGAGAGGCATCTTTGATTCCTTTTTCTTTCATCCCATACACAGAAGCCATCAGCAGGTCCAATTCTCCAACATCTTCCACTTGGATTACTGTTATTACAGATTACTCCTCATCTGTCTCCCACCGCACACACTCGCCACCTTCCAAATGATCCTCGCACAGCAGGGAGAGTGCTCTTCACAGAATGTAAATCTGACCACGCTGCTCCCTTGCTCAGGACATTTGCCGCTCTTCCCATCACATTTAAAATAGAGTCCAAAAGCCTCGCCATAACTGACAAAGCCTTGCCGCATTTGGCTCCTGCTCTGCTCCAAACCTCATCCCATGCCATCTGGTCCCCTGGAGTGTTCCCTTCACTCTGGCACTTGGGCCCTCTTTCCTGCCTCAAGGCCTCTGTCCTTGCTTTCCTAATGCCTACAGAGCTCAGGTTACCTGGCCTCCTAAGAGGAATGTGATGACCACCCTGTGTAGAGTAGGATACACCTGCTGGGCTCTTCCTTGATGCCCCGCGCCTGCCCTCGCAGACTATACACTGCATGAGGCAGGGCCCTTCTATCATGCTCAGGGTTGCATCCCCAGTACCTGGCACCTAGGTGATCAGTACTGAAAGAATATCTAGTTGTGGGTGTTTTTGTACATTGGATTCCTAAGGATCTACCTTCATATGCCACAGTTCCCAAAAATGGTATTCAAATTGGGGTCTGCACCACTCAGTATGCTGTTTAGCTCTCCTTCAATGTGATGGCCAGCTGTGGAGGCTGGCCCCTTCAGACCCACCACTGTCTTCATGTTAAGGCCACATTTTCCGTCCAGGTCCCTGCCCTCTCCCCAGCTGCTGACCTAGCACTGAGGGTATATTATTGGCCCATCCCTGCCCTGCAAGGATTCTTCTCTTGGGCAACTTTGGCATGGGGACACCATGGGCCCGTCAGTGGCTTTCTCAGAACTGTGCTGCAATCTGAGGCTTTTCCCACCCAGCCCCTCCTTCTTTCTCTCTTTCTCCCCTCACAGGTGTGAGAACTACAACAGGGTGTGAAGGCTGTCCTGGCCTACTCCTGCTGTCTTCCCCTTTATCTTTCAAAAGTGTCCCCTAATCTATCACATTTCTAATCCAGTTGAGGCAACAGCTTCCCAGGGGTGCTTTAGAACCTTGAAATATCAATACCATAAAACATGGTCCAGAAAAACTAACTTTTATTTGATAGTATGTATAAAACCATCTGTTCATTTCCCATACCTCTTCCAGACATGACCTTCAACTGGAAGGGATTAAAACAAACAAACAAACAAAAAAAAAAAACACAAAAAACACTTGTGCCCCAGAGCCTTTGGTTTACCACCCAGGGCTCTGATCACTCGAGATACATTCCAGAATTCATTTAACATGTGTTCCCACCGGAGTCAGCAGAATGGGTAACCACGGGCAGACAGCACATTCTGGCAATTCTCAGGCCCATGCTCCAGAAAGACAGCCTTAAGTTCATACTCAGGGTTTATAAATAGTGAGTCATCAACCACTACCAGTTGTCTTGGTACTAGTGACATAATCTTGTAACTCCTGGTGACTAGAGAGCTTCATTAATTTTGTGGAGAATAAAACCTGCTCTCTTCATCAGAGGGAGAACTGCATTCTAATTTGTAACTTGTACGATGTGGCACTTCTCCCCCTTCTCTGATTGAAAATCAGTATTTATTCCTGCTCTGCCTTACTGCCATGAATACCAAGGCCATTGTCTATTTTGTTCACCGTTATAACCCATGGAATGCACTCCATAATTATTTGTTGAGCAAATTATCAAATAGATGCTTTCATATTATCTCATTTTAGCCTCAAACAACCCTGGGAGGTATATGTATTATCTTCATTTTACTGGAACTCAGAAAGATCAAGTGACTTTTCCAAGGTCACTTGGTACTCTCCAATAATTCAGACACCAAATATTCCAGGAGCATGTCTGACAGGGTCAGAAAATTCAGTTGCTAACTGTTTGGCTAACATTTGTTGAATACTCTAAGCCAGTGGTCCCCAGTGTTTTTGGCAACAGGGATGGGTTTTGTGGAAGACAATTTTTCCATGGACAGGGTTGGGGGGTATGGTTTCAGGGTAATTCAAGCACATTACATTTATTGTGCACTTTATATTATTATTACATTGTAATATATAATGAAATAATTATAAAACTCACCATAATGTATTAACAGAATCAGTGGGAAACCTGAGCTTTTTTTCCTGCAACTAGACAGTCCCATCTACGGGTGATGGGAGACAGTGACAGATCATCAGGCATTAGATTCTCATAAGGAGTGCACCACCTAGATCCTTGCATGCACAGTGCACAACAGGATTTGCACTCCTATGACAATCTAATGCTGCCACTGGATTAATGGAGCTCAAGCAGTAACGCAAGCCATGGGGAGTGTCTGTAAATACAGATGAAGCTTCGCTTGCTCGCTCACCTGCCCACCCCTCACCTCCTGCTGTGCAGCCTGGTTCCTAACAGGCCAAGGACCAGTAGGGTGAACCCTGCTCTAAGCACTTAATATTTTTATCACATTTGAGAGAGAGTTAACTATTACTACCACCCCTACTTTACAGATGATGAAACAGATTTGGACAGGTAGAGTGACTTGCCTAAGGCCATACAGGTAAGGGGTAAGGCTGAAACTACAATATAGGACTCATTCAAAGTTCATGCTCTAAATTCTCACTCCGTTTGGCTTTTTTTCCAACAATAGGAAACAATCATTCCTCCTACAAACTTTTTTTTTTTTTTTTGACAGTGATGGAGTCTCATTTTGTTGCCCAGGCTGGAGTGCAGTGACGCAATCTCAGCTCACTGAGACCTCCATCTCCCAGGTTCAAGTGATCCTCCTGCTTCAGCCTCCTGAGTAGCTGGGATTACAGGTCTGCACTATGAGGCCCAGCTAATTTTTGTATTTTTAGTAGACACAGAGTTTTGCTATGAGGCTGGTCTCGAACTCATGACCTCAAGCCATCCGCTGGCCTTGGCCTCCCAAAGCGCTGGGATTGTAGGCGTGAGCCACCGTGACTGGCCCAAACATTTAACAAAGAAAAACAGTGTATCATCTTTGAGAGACTAATGAAAAGTCAATAAAACAAATCTGGTAGAAGTATAAATCACAGAGCAGAATTGTATTTTACCTTTCATTAAAAGAAAAAAAAAAGGATCTTAGTGTTCAGACAGTAGCTTGGGAAGGAGATCAACACTGACTGATATCCAGTCATTGTCAGTGTTCTGTTAAAACTGTTACCAAAGACTTGAGGCACCCACTTTAAGTCCCAATGACAAAAGAACAAAACAAAATGGGGCAGTGTCCTCTTGGGCTGCAATTAAGGAAAATCTATGTGTATAAGAAAGAGAAAGGGAAGGTAGTATAACACATAAGAGAATTAAACAGAAACATGGGATGTTCTTCCTGAGGCTTGGTGTCCCCATTAGTTTTACATTTGACCACTTAATTCATATGTCACATACCTGTGATTAAAAAAAAAAAAAAAAAAAAAGGCCAGCCACGATGGCCCATGCTTGCAATCCCAGCACTTTGGGAGGCCAAGGTGGGCGGATCACCCGAAGTCAGGAGTTTGAGACCAGCCTAGCCAGCATAGTGAAACCCCATATCTACTAAAAATACAAAAAAAATAGTCGGGTGTGGTGGCGGACGCCTGTAATTCCAGCTACTTGGGAAGCTGAGGTGGCAGAGTTGCTTGAACCCAGGAGGTGGAGGTTGCAGTGAGTCAAGACTGCGCCACTGCACTCCAGAATGGGCGACAGAGTAAGGCTCTGTCTCAAAAAAAAAAAAAAAAAAAGAAACAACAACAAAAAAGCCAAATGTGGGTTTTTGGATTATCCACTGAGGTGCCTTTAGCTAAGTTAACATGCATAGAGATGAACATTCAAAACACGGTATTTCACTATCAGCAGGGCGCAGGCCAATCAGAGTAGATCCTGCACCCTGTGCTGGTGCACAATCCAGCTAGCGTCCTGCTCTGCCAAGTGTCACCCCTTCAGTTGCTGGATTTCGAAGGGGTGAAATAGGGGACAGGGTGGCTGAGGGAGTACCCACTGGGGTCAGGCCTGTGATCTTATTCCCATCTGGGTAGAAGTATTTCCACATGGTCACTGGCACAATCATAGTGCTTTCTGTAGCTAAAAATCAGCTCTGGATACAGGTTAACTAGGCACTAATTTCAATGCTTTAAGTGAAAATGTTTGACAGTGAGCCTTCATTTTTCTTTATTTTTTGAGACGGATCTTCGCTCTTGTTGCCCAGGCTAGAGTGCAATGGTGCAATCTTGGCTCACTGCAACCTTCGCCTCCCAGGTTCAAGTAATTCTCCTGCCTCAGCTTCCTGAGTAGCTGGGATTACAGACATGTGCCACCATGCCTGGCTAAATTTTTTGTATATTTAGTAGAGACGGGGTTTCACCATGTTGATCAGGCTGATCTCAAACTCCTGACCTCAGGTGATCCACCCGCCTGGCCTCCTAAAGTGCTGGGATTACAGGCATGAACCACTGTGGCTGGCATTCATTTTTCTTTAGATAAAGTTATTTTAATGAAGAACCAGTTTAGAATACAAGAAAGGCAAACCTCTATATTTTGACATAAACTTCACTTCATTGTGTTGGTGCATTAAAGTATTTTCTTTGAAATTCAAATTTTTGCTTTTAATCTGTCTTCTCCCTGGAATCTGACAGTAGCCACAACAATCCTCTTCAAGTGGTAGATTTATTCCCTTAGGCCTATAATTAGACTTTCAAGAACTAAACAAGAAAATACCAGTAAACCTCACTTTATATAATCATGCAATCGAATACTCTTTATGCAAATGGCATTAGAAGGCTGGGCTATGACATCAGCTGTAGGCACGCCTCCCTTGCACAAGGAGCTTCTGCATATGCCAGTGGGCTATGGCATTTTCTTAAAGTGGCAGGCTCTATTATTAGAGCCTTTCATAACCCAAGTCAATTAAAACCTGGTTTTATATTGAGTTGGTAAGCTTTCTAGTTAGAGCTTTTAAGCTGTTTCAAATCACAGAAGCTTAGTTTAGTTGCGAAGCAATCTCTGTCAGTAGGATGGTCACTGGTCATAGGAATTTTTCCTTTTGGATGATGCAAGCAATCATTGAAAAAAAAAATGAAGGCAGTTTGAATTTGAAAACCAAAACTCAAACTAATCAACCCACCAGATAACAAACCAATCAAAATCAAAACAAACGGAAAACCAGGTTTACGGTATGAATGGAAACATAAGGGACTTTTACTTATTTGATAGTTGTCTGCATAGTTTGAATTGTTAACCATGAAGCACGTATTACTTTTTTTTTTTTTTTTTTTTTTGAGACGGAGTCTCGCTCTGTCGCCCAGGCTGGAGTGCAGGCATGTATTACTTTTATAAGTAAAAACTACCCCCAACATGACTACTCAAGAATGAGATACTATGAAGAAAAGTTCCAGAGCATTTACAAGCTAAGAGAGGCATTTCCCATAGCTATTAATTCAAAATATAAGAAACCTCAAGTATTTTGAACACTTATACCTCTCCAGACTGGACACCCCGATGCAGCAATGTATTTTCATAACCACCCCTTCCAGAGAGTATTACCTTTTAGATAACTAATGAGCTTTTTTTAAAATAAAAAGTTTCTATTATGTGCAGCTATAGAGCTAAATGCTCACAACTACTCAGTAAAGCAGTTCATTTCAGAGATGAGAACAATGTGATTTGGAGACATGAAGTGAGTTTACTCCTCCAGGTCACTCAAATTCTAAATGCCAGAGATGAATTTGAACCTAAGTGTACCTGGCTGAGAAAGTCCATGCTATTTTCTCTACCTCCGTGACTCTAAAATACCTTCTTCCTGCTATTGACACACAGGAAGGTGTATCTAGGGTCACACATAGGATTCTCAACTTGCTGGCTGCAACTCAAACTCTGTTTTCCCCTCTCAAGAAAGTACACTGAAATGCTACTGAATTAATTCTTATAGAGATAACCTTGAACCCATTCTTATAAGTCTATACACTTCAGTAATTTAAAATGATCATTAGGTAACTTCTTTCCTTGGGAGGCTAAGGCGGGCGGATCACGAGTTCAGGAGATCAAGACCATCTGGCTAACACAGTGAAACCCCGTCTCTATTAAAAATACAAAAAAATTAGCCAGGCGTGGGCCGGGCGCGGTGGCTCATGCCTGTAATCCCAGCACTTTGGGAGGCTGAGGCGGGTGGATTACGAGGTCAGGAGATTGAGACCATCCTGGCTAACACGGTGAAACCCCGTCTCTACTAAATGTACAAAAAATAAGCCAGGCGTGATGGCGGGTGCCTGTAGTCCCAGCTACTTGGGAGGCTGAGGCAGGAGAATGGTGTGAACCCGGGAGACGGAGCTTGCAGCGAGCCAAGATTGCGTCACTGCACTCCAGCCTGGGCGACAGAGCGAGACTCCGTCTCAAAAAAAAAAAAAAAAAAAAAAAAAAAATTTGCCAGGCGTGGTGGCAGGTGCCTGTAGTCCCAGCTACTCAGGAGGCTGAGGCAGGAGAATGATGTGAACCTGGGAGGCAGAGCTTGCAGTGAGCCGAGATCGAGCCACTGCACTGCAGCCCGGGTGACAGAAAGAGACTCCGTCTCAAAAAAAAGAAAAAAAAAAAGATAACTTCTTTCCATAGCTAGAAGCCACACATCAGTGCATGGCACACCTCCTTGAAGAACTACTGCACCACACCTCAAAGGGTTTTACACTTTACAAAAGTACTTTTCCAAACTTAAAAAAAAAAAAGTCCTCCTCACAGTGCTGTGAGATGGGAGAAGATACTGCTTTAAAGCTAAGAAACCTAGGCCTCGGAGGCTTTAGCCACTTGCCGACAAACTGAATGACAGCTTCTGAATGGCTCCTCTATCACTTCCCCATACAAAAACCTTTCCCACAGACACCTGGCCTTCCAACCTACTTCTACCAGTGTAGAAGCTTTTGTGCATACTTTTAACCCAGACAGTTCATGTCTAGGAATTCTCCCAAGAAAATAACCACGATCACTTTTTTTGACTGAAAAGAATAAAATGGATCTCGGGGTTTAAACTGTTGATCAGAAAGGTTATCACAAGTTCAGTATTATTTTCCTGTTCAACCAACAGTGCGTAAGTGGCTCAAGGTGAGTTCTATTTTCATGCTACCAATAAAATCCAGTGCATTTATATATATTAACATAATTTATAACTTTATTTTGTAATTTTATAAATTATTTTTTAAATATTACTTCATGTTTACGTGCATTTTATAAAATTTATATATAAAGTTACATTTTATACATAATGAGTCATAAACTGCATAATGATATTTTGGTCAATGATAGACTACATACAGAATGGTAGTCCCATAAGATTATAATGGAGCTGAAAAATTCCTATAATCTAGTGATATTGCAGTCTTTGTAATATTGTAGTGCAATGTGTTACTGGCGTTTGTGGTGATGCAGGTATTAACAAATCTATTCAGCTGCCAGTCATAAAAGCACAGCACGTGCAGTTATATACAGTATGTAATACTTGATAATGACAATAAACAATTGTTACTGGTTTATGTACTTACTATACTATATACTTTTCATTATTTTAGAGTGTACTCATCTCCTTATTAAAAAAAGTGTTAACTGTAAAATAGCCTCAGGGAGGTTCTTCAGAAGGTATTACGAAAGAAGGCATCATTTAAGTTATCACAGATGACAGCTCTGTGTTTGTTATTTCCCCTGGAGTCCCTCCAGTGGGACACGAAGACAGTGATACTGATGATCCTGACTCTCTGTACGTCTATGCTAATGTGTGCTTGTGTCTTAGTTTTAACAAAAAAGTTTAAAAATAAATAAAAAATGTTAAAAATAGAAAAAAAACAGAGAATAAAGATATAAATATTTTTGTATAGCTGTCTGTACAATGTGTTTGTGTTTTATTACAAGAGTCAAAAAGTAAAAATAAAAAGTTTATTAAGTAAAAAAGTTAAGCCTGGGCATTGTGGCTCATGCTTGAAATCCCAGCATTTTGGGAGGCCAAGGGAATTGATCACTGAGGTCAGTTCAAGACTAGCCTGGCTAACATGGTAAAACTCCATCTCTACTAAAAATACAACAATTAGCCAGGCATGGTGGTGAGCACCTGCAAGCCCAGCTACTGGGGAGGCTGAGGCAGGAGAATCGCTTGAACCCGGGAGATGGAGGTTGCAGTGAGTTGAGATCGTACCACTGTACTCCAGCCTGGCCAACACAGCGAGACTCTGCCTCAAAAAAAAAAAAAAAAAACCAGCAAAAAAAACACACACAAAAAAACCCAAACTTACACAACTTCAAGAAAAAGTTACAGTAAGCTAAGGTTAATTTACTATTAAAGAAAAATATTTGTACCCTAAGTGTACAGTGTTTATAAAGTCTACAGTGGTATACAGGAATGTCCTGGGCCTTCACATTCACTCACCACTCAGATTCACCCAGAGCAAATACCCAGTTCTGCAAGCTTCACTCATGGTATGTGCCCAATACAGGTCTAACATTTTGTATTTTTTACACTGCATTTTTTTTTTCTTGAGACAGAGTCCCGCTCTGTCACCCAGGCTGGAGTGCAGTGGTGCAATCTCAGCTCACTGCAACCTCCGACTCCTGGGTTCAAGCAATTCTCCCCGCTCAGACTCCCAAGTATTTGAGTCTACAGGCACCCGCCACCACACCCGGCTAATTTTTTTTGTATTTTTAGTAGAGATGGGGTTTCGCCATGTTGACCAGGCTGGTCACGAACCCCTGACCTAAGGTGATCCGCCTGCCTCGGCCTCCCAAAGTGTTAGGCTTACAGGGGTGAGCCACCGCTTCTGGTCTACACTGTATTTTTACTGTACCTGTTTTTGTATTTAGATACAAAAATACTTAGCATTGTGTTACAACTGCCTACAGCATTCAGTACAATAACAGTCTGTACAGGTTTGTGGCCCAAGAGCAATATAGCCTCAGTCTGCAGTAGGCTATACCATCTACGTTTATGTAAGACATTCTATGATGTTCATACAATGACAAAACTGCCTAAAAATGCATTTCTCAAAACATATCTCCATGGGTAAGCAAGGCATGACTGTATAATATGTAAACATGTAATAGAATCACTTAGGGTTACAACACTGATGATCATAGGTTAAGATGTTATATGTAAATATGGCATAATGATTTTTAAGTATCTTATGTCAATGTTTTAAATATAAATTGAGCTTATTGTGCCTAAAAAAAATTAACACCATCACAGTACATTTTAAGCTGTGAGCATGTCTGCTAAACAATAGGTTTATCGATTGGTAATCAGTGCCTTAGGCCTCTTGGAAGGAAGCGTTGACCCCATATATATGGCCATTCCCTGTGTGACACTACTTGATTCAAGTCAGGGGTCTGTATCTGCTCCTTCCTTGCCCCTCAGCTTCCACTCCTATTTTCCCCAAACCATACTCTCTTGACCTTAGGGAAGCATTTGGGATGCTGACTACCATTGTTGAGAATGTATTTAATCCACACACTGGTACAAAGCAGGCACTCAGTGAACGGATGGTAGTTCATGACCCTGACAACCCAGCCTCAAACCCAAACTCTTCTCATGTCTGAGAACCTATATGACCCTGGTGCTCCTACTACCTCTTCTGACTATTCTTTCAGTTACTTCTCCTAGCTCCTTCTCTACCTATCCCTTAGTGAGGGCTTTCCAATGTTTTAACTTTGGTTTGTTTATTCTTTTCACTACATACAGCCTTAAAGGTATGTTCCTAAGACTTCACCTTTATACAAATCACTCCAGTCCTGACTTCTCAGTCTCAGTATCATGTTCCAAACTACATATGCTGTGTTCAAAATATGTTGCCATGTGCCCTTTACCAGTGTGCTTTTTCAGTACTTTAAAGCTGGCAGGATATGAAACTCAACAGGTTAACACACATCTATTAACCATCTGAGTGCAGAAAGGGTACACTTTTTACATGCTGTGCAGAGTATTTTTTTACACAGCATGGACCCTTACTACATTTCATTTGCTTTAATTGACTTATAAAGATCTATGTATCTGTGAGCTGCTAAAAAACCTTTTAGCTTAAAAACAAGGTTTTTATGACAGGTTCTACGACAAAGAGCAATGGTTTAAAGTGAGGTGTGTGTGTCCCAGGTGGTAATGTAAGTTGATCCACTAGAATGCAAAAAGAAAATATTAGAATGTTTTTCATCTCATCCTGTGACTGCTTTATAATTACAATGGAAGTATGTGCATATAATTGATGGATATTTACATTGATAGTAAAGATTTTTTTTTTACTGACAGAACTTTATGATTTAAGTTGTAGAGTCCACTGATGAAGAATGATGCCGACCTAACCTATAGTAATATTGCAGTACCACTTTCCAGGTGATTAAAAAGAAGTATTTCTAAACTAAGTTTGACATCTAGGAGCCTATTAAAACATCGAATATAAGCATTCTCTATAGTCAGAAATGTATCTCAAATCCAAGTGTGATGAAGATATCCTGACACCTATTCTGACTCAATATTCTCTCCGTTTAAATTTATAAGCATCTGAGAAAGACAAAGACAAGTAGATCAAACAGTTTGTATGTTCAAATAAGTAAATATAACAGTAGGTTTTTTCCATTTGACAAAACATGCTCAAAGAACGTAACTATCTTACGGGCTCCCAGCACTGCATTACTTAATGCAAGAGGATTGCTGAATGAGAAGGATCTCAGAGCCTATCTGATCTCCTGTCAAATGATAGAAAACCCTGCTGCCCTTCCCAGACATAATCAGATACTCCCTTTACGATGAATTTTAGGGAAGGGGTGCTCATGCCATAAAGCAAGCCATTGTGATACTGGATAGATCTAGATGTTGTAATGAGGTTTCTTACAGTGAGATTAACTTCCATCCATGGCTTTCAGACGTGCTCTCAACAAGACATCACAGCAACTTTCCAAATGCCTCCTTAGTAAACGTGGTTTACAGTTTACAGTCGACTCACCGTCCCTGACCTCCTCCCTGCATTGTGTGGAATGTAGACAAGCAATGTTTCACTTATATACAGCAAAGACAGAGACATGCGGAACAAAACATCAACTTCACAAGAAAACTGGCTCTCAATAAATAAAAATGTGTGATTAACATGTGTTCTCCTAAACTAATAATTGCATTCCTATATTTTAAAGCAAAGAAGTCATGCTTGATTCATAATAAGACTTTAATAAACTAATACATTGGCTCTTAACCTGAAAAAATGCCAAGACAGGCTGCTGCCCGTATTTTGTACTTGTAAAATGTAATTTTTATAAGTTCTAAATGGATTTAACATTTATTGCATTTAAACTGCTTCTTGGTTTTACTTTAGCCTTTCAGCCTGAAATCTTTCTGAATTGTAATTCTGCATTAGCTTTCCCTCCCTACTTTGTGTTATCTGTAAACTGGTAACACACATATTACGCACACACTTAAAGTTGGCAGGATATGAAACTCAACAGGTTAACACACATCTATTAAACATCTGAGTGCAGAAATTCAAAATAAGTTAAAGGTCCACCAAAATGTACTACCGCCTGTAGACCATCCTGCTATCAAAATTACCATAAATTACTTTGCCTTGCTAAAATTGAGATGTATCATCAAGCTGTCTCTTGATTTCCTCAAGCATATTTTTATACGCAATTCAAAAAAGAAAAAATACTTTGTAAACTATAAAGGGTTCTACATATACAGCAATGCTTATACGAGCCCTCCTCTTACGGCTTCAGTAATCTAAAAAAGTAAATCCAAAAAACAGTTTATTAAAAAGTAATCTATAAAGCAATGAGAATAGTTTGTTGCAATTTGGGGAATGCTACATTTAAAGACAATAGTTTCATGCTGTCATAAACATTCAAGTAGACATAAAAATAAGACTACTCTTGTTCCCAAGGATAGTAGAACAGTAAAATGATAAAAAGATGAAAGGTCACGCCCAGTGACTTTGAGGGTTACAAGGAGTGATCCTATCAGATTGGCCAGCATTAGAGAGAGGGCACAAAAGAATAGAAGAAGAAAAAGAGGGCACCTCAGTTAAGATGCAGAAAGATTGTGTGAAGGCAAGAAAGGCATAGTGAGGGTTACTCAAAGAACAGCAAGTAATTCACTCAGCAAGAGGATGGGAACAAGTATGGCAGAAGGGGCTGGCTGGAAGCACATGCTGGGGTCAGACTGTGGAGGACCTGTCAATTACAACCCAGGAGTATGTGTTCATCTGGTGGGCCAGGGAGAGCACCTAAGTGCTTCAGAGGAGAGGGTTGTGACTTGAACTGTGTTTTAGAAGAATTTCTCTTGTCGCAAAGAAAACAAACGTGACAAGGGAAAAAGACTAGAAATAAAACTACACATGAAATTAGTCCAAGGCCTAATTGAGGAAAAAGGAGAGTCACAGTAAAAAGATAACGTACTTATTTACCTAGAGACCAAGGGTACACTTACAATTCTGCATTTTCAATATTGTCTTTTGTGCTTTTTAGAAAATCAAGACACAAATTACTTATCTCCAGTCTTCTGGATAGCTTCCTGTCCGTATCACTTTCCTAGACTGACACTGGTTCAGACTTAATGTCAAATTCTGCAAATTCCTATAGCCTTCTGAGTCATAATTCATCAAAGCCAAGTAAAAATCCAGTGAAATCATATGTCCTTTTAGTATTTCATCATATTGGGTTCATTTTCACAATGAGAGTTTTACAAAATACACAGCAAATGAATAGGAGTTGCTCAGGGAGTGCTAACACTCATTCCTTGTTATTACTACTTAACTGAAAACAAGTAAATAAACTTCCTTTACTATTTTTCAGGAACTTTTTGCCCTTCTAAAATTTAGTCTCCTGACACTATTTTTTTATAGTTTGTAGTCTTCTTTCATATTTATTACTGTATATTCCTTTTCCCACATTAGTACATTTAAGTGCTGAGGTTCATGGAAAAAAAAAAAAAAATCAGCATTCGAGTTGAGCCCTGAAGAGTAAGTAGCATTTCCACAGCAAGAGACCAGGGTTGAGTGGGGGAGAAGAGAGAGCATTTTAGTCCTACGAAAAAGCACAAGCAGAAATGGGCAAATGTGAGAAGGGTATGTGTAAAGACACACTGTGTTAATTTCAGTAGAGGGAGGAGGGATAGGAAGACAGTGGGAAGAAAGCTAACAGCTATTGAGCATTTATGATTGCACAGGTGGTGTTTATACTCATTATTTCATTTGCTTGTTAACTTAAAACAATCATTTGAGGGAGGTATTAGTTTCTGTATTTTTTTTTTTTTTTTTTTGAGACAGAGTCTCACTCTGTTGCCCAGGCTGGAGCGTAGTGGCACGATCTCAGCTCACTGCAACCTCTGCCTCCCAGGTTCAAGGAATTCTCTGCCTCAGCCTCCCAAGTAGCTGGGATTACAGGCGCCTGCCACCACACCTGGCTAATTTTTGTATTTTTAGTAGAGACTGGGTTTCACCATCTTGGCCAGGCTGGTCTTGAACTCCTGACCTCGTGATCCACCCGCCTCGGCCTCCCAAAGTGCTGGGATTACAGGTATGTGCCACCACACCTGGCCAGTTCCTGCATTTTATAAGGTGACTAAAGATAATGCAACTCAGAAAGGTGAAGTAACCTGTCCAAAATGAGAAAGGAAAAAGCAGAGCCAGATTTGAACTTAGGTGTTTTCCATTTTTCTCACTGGGTCATTCGACTACAGCTTTAAATTCTTATGTTTGGCCATTTTCTATCCTATTTAAGTAAGAAACTCTGTTGCTATCAGAAATGTTCCTGGCTATTCAAAGCAAGGCTTAAATACAGTCTATTTTGTTACTATGAAAATCCGCATACATAAATATTAAATAATAGAACCTAATAAAAGACAGATCCCAAACATGAAAGGTTATTTTGTTACTGTAACTTACTAAACTGACTTAATCTAATAAAAATACTATTTCTTCATAGTAGTCAGGTAACAATAAAAAACATATTTCAATAGTCTTGAATAAAAAATATGCCTTAAATGCAAACTGTGGATTTATACTTTATCTGATAGTTAAGGCTTCCAGCAAGTGGTTCAGACAGAGCCTACAATTTTGTTCTCTGTGTAAAATAAGTTACAGGTTTCATAACTCTAGTTATCTGGTGTTTCCTGGCAACTCTCAGTTGTTCCAAGTTTACTGTGGATAGCAGATTGAATATAGTCAGAAGGCCCCAACAAATAAATGGGCAATGGACAATTCACAAAATAGTAACTGTATCTGGCTAACAAATGCAGTTAAAATATTCCTGCTCCACTAGAAATCAAGGAAATATACAAGGGTTAACCTACCAAATTCAGGAAAAAGTGCTAGTATTCAAACAAAGGTAATGCAGTAACATGCAAAACATCATTGGTCAAGTATTGCCTGGTCCTATATACTATACGGTCTGCAACTCTGGTTCTCTCTCATTTGCTATTTTAATAAAGTATTGTACACTTTTCAGAAGAGCTTTAAAGTTTTATGATGTGTAATTCTAAATGTAGAAATGAAGCCTTCTGCACAAATAAGAGAAAACCTAAATGTCCTACAACAGGAAAATGGTTAAAAAAAACTACAGGTAATCTACCCAATGGATCATTATGCAGCCACAAAAATTCCACTTAGCACAGTTTATAACACGAAAAACCCACCTGTTATGTTGTTAAATGAAATGGCAGAGTACAAAGACATAATATGAAAAAAGTGACTACAAAATTCAAAAACATGCATTAATTTAAAAAAATCTATGTGGTAAGAATGAGAGAGAGAGAGAGAGACAGACATGGATACTATTCCTCAAAATGTTTTGTACTGGTCAATTTGTAAAATCCAACCTTACCACAGTCTTCACATTTTTATATATGAGATATATTTCAAAATGTGTTACTTTTATAGTGAAGTAGAAGACAAGAAATGTCGTGTATAGCCACACTATAGTCTGGGGTTATTTAGTGCAGGGACAAACATCCCTAAATACAGCTTTTTGGGCATTAGTAGTATCACTGCATTAGAGCACAGCAAAATTCTTGCCCATTAATCTATATTCATAATAACCTAGAATAACCAAAAGTTGTATTATGATAGTAAACTGTTAAATAGAGAAACATACAAGAGGTTGTAAGAAGATCTCCATCAAACCAGTATCGACACAGTATTTCATTAATATAAATCTTCCTGACATACTTTCATCATGTCACTCCCGTTCCCAAACCCTGAAAGAGTCCCCAGTGTCAGGAGTAATTTGAACAATTTTCTGCAGTGTGCACGCATTGCACAATCTGGTCCCATTCTAACGATTCTCCCCACTCTCATCCACGGGATCAAAGGCTCTCATTCACAAGCCTTGTGCTCGGGCTTGCCTACTCACTTTCTCTCAAAGAAACTTTATGTACTTTTGCTCAATCAGCCACCCACACCTTGATTTCCCTATTCCTTCCTACTCCTCCCTCAGCTGACTCCCCATACTTCCAGGCACAGACTGCCCTCTTCAACCCAAAGCCATCCTATATACACATAAACGCACACATGTACATATACCTCATTAAGTTATTGTCTATAAAACACACCAAGCACTTGGCCATATAGCCTAAAATTATGTAAATAAATATATGTATTATCTCCAGAATGCATCTGAATTTCCAAAGATTAGGGAACTTTGCTATATTTCTTTGTATAATACATTGCTTTTATATAATACTTTACAGCTCACAATGCAACTTCACATATATGATTTTCAATAAATACCTTAGTGACTTAAACTTCTCAAAGAGTTCATCCTAGAAAGATCTGGGATAAAGATATTCTTCCTCCCTACAACCCTCAAATAATATTAGTTAATGACAGAATTAACAATTACTTCATACTGAAGATATTCCCATGTGAATATAAAGAAATGACCAAAGTCTGTCTCCGAATGTGCAGATTTTAAATTTGGAGCCATACGGTATTCAAAGAATAGAAGCTAAAAAATGGCTATTCAAAAAAAAAAAAAAGAAGGATACCTCAGTAAAAAAAACTTATCAAAACAACATTTAAAATAAAAAATATTTTCAATTTAACATGGCAATCTACAATTAAAAATGACAGGTTGAACTTTTATTTAAAAAAGTCTATTTTCTTTGTTAAGTAGACAGATGTTTTCATTAAACCTACAAACTGAAGGCTCTTAAGATTTTTCTGAAACTTTTACAATAAATAAAATTAAGGTAGCCTAAACTATTTCAGAATGTGAAGTCACAGTAAACACAACTCCCTGGTGTTGATCTTCATTGCCATATACTGTTAAAAAGTACATGACCAAAAAAGTACTCTGACCAAAACTAAACCAAACACTTTCCAAAAAACCAGAAATCTAGTACAAATGAATTAATTCAGACTGGGTGGTTTAAATATAGTATTTCAGTTATAGTTTGGACTGTGTTTGATCACTGTGTTATAGAAAAAGGCCTTTATCCACATTTAAAAATAGGTACAGTATATTATATATATATATATATGGAGAGAGAGAGAGAGAGAGAGAGAGAGAGAGAGTGAGTCTCGCTCTGTTGCCCAGGCTGAAGTGCAATGGTAAGATCTTGGCTCACTGTAACCTCCGCCTCCCGGGTTCAAGCCATTCTCCTGCCTGAGCTTCCTGAGTAGCTGGGATTATAAGCATGTGCTACTAGGCCCCGCTAATTTTTGTATTTTTAGTAGAGATGGGGTCTTGCCATGTTGGCCAGGCTGGTCTCGAACTCCTGACCTCAAGTGATCCATCCACCTCAGCCTCCCAAAGTGCTGCGATTACAGGCGTGAGCCACTGCACCTGGCCACATTACATATATTAATGAAAATTAAAAACATGGGTTTTCCTAGGTAAAATAGTAATGTTGATAAATTCTATCTTATGCTGCATCTCAGGTTTGAATTATGATGTCATTAATTACCTATATAGTATCTTTAATATAAAACTAAAACTTCAAATCTTACAATATCATCAAGGACTTACCCATCCAATTCAATTAACTGACCTAAGTATTTTTCATAATTGTATTTTTATGTTAATAGCCAATCACTTCCCCCTTTCCAACAATTCACACTTATTCTATACAGTAAGGTTTCAAAATGACAAGTTTTTTTCCACCCAAGTATTCTACAGACCTCAAAAAGGGAAAGACTGCAGGGAAAACGAGAAATGAAAGAAATCTCTTGCTACCCTCAAATCTACCAACCTATACTTAAGAGCCAATTCTAAGCTCAGAAAGGAGAAAAAAAAAAGTGGGAATATAAAAACCTCTTAAAATGTAGAAGAAATTAGACTAGTTTAGTTTTCTTTAATATCTTCTTTAATAAGACATTACAGCACACAACTGAGCCCCCAGTGTGTCAGTTAAACATGGGGATGAATATCCATGTGAAGAGAATGGAAACAAGTTTAATCTTAACCCCATTCCTTTTGGCAAGTAATAGAAATACAGCATACAAATGGACCAATTCTCTCTCAGTGTTATTTTATCAAGTCTTTGAAGACACCATAACAGTTTTATAATGAACTTTGCTGCAATCTGTTAAAGAATCTTCAAATTAAATTACAGGGATGTTTGGTTTTTAACTCAAACACAGTAAAATGGGGATTGTACTAATAATCCCCTCATGAAGTATAAGGATGATTATGCTCATGTAAGATCAATGCAGCTATTTCCCTATCACTGAGATATAGTGTTAAATATGGTGTCTTCAGCTGCTTATAAAAAAGGGTTAAATACAAGAACAAAAAAACTTTCATCCTGAATTAGTCACTAAAACAAACGAAAAAAAAAAAACCAAAACTTGTGAATGGTTTTATATGATTTGTCACTAAACATATACATATGCTCAAAGCACTTTTAAAAACTTTTAAGTTGTGATTTAACCAGAACTTCTGCAATATCCACAAGAAATTAGGTAAAATTCTAACGTTCTGGTAATCGACATGTTAGGAAACAACAGATATTACATCTGAAACTTAGGAAATAAAATACACAAAATAAAAGGACTATTTTAAAGTAAGGGCATAAGAATAGGAATTGCTAAGAAACTATCAGCCCTGAAGCTTTTCCTTGGAAACGTCTTAAACTTACAGGGAAGACAAGGTGGGCAAAATATGCAGAGCTACAAAACAAAGCAATGATAAGCTACAGCAGAAGAGGGAATGCATTCTGTAATCCACAGGATCAGATAAATGGCTCTAAGCAGTTACCAGTAAGTATTTTAGTGTTCTTTCTATTATATTAATTTAAAAATTTAAACCGAGTTAACAGCAGTTTTACAAGTTAAGAGTTGACACAAGCAAATTAGAAGAACTCTAAAATTAGCCTTCCTTAATTGGGTAAGATTTACCATATCCATCTGAACAAACCCATTTTCCCATCCTGAGATCTAAAAGAATGTGAATATTGACCCATTTTAATACTTTTCAAGTTCAGATGGAAGTCATACTGTACACCAGTCTCTGATTTTAGGTAACAGCACAAAGCAAACTCCTAAAATCAACAACTCACTTAGAAAAGAAAGGAGGGAGAGGGTTCTGGGAATTAATCCAGCCACAAGTCATTCCAATCTTCCTGTTAATGCAAAATCCATTTGTAAAAATGGCCAAATAGTAACTTCCAAAAACCTCAAAAATTAATGTTTCAATTTCAAATTAAAGAACTTCAAGAATTTTCAAAGAATATAGTATCAAGATCGACCTTTACCAGTTCACATTTGTTCCATATTTTGCATTAAACAATAGGCTTAATGATTATTTCATTACGGCATATACATTAGAACCTAACCTTTCACAAGGGCTCACTGACAATCCAACCGCTTTTAGGAAGCTATCAGTTATCTACAGGGTACACCTGACTGGCAGTTAGAGCCAGGTCATACTGCAATTTTAAATATTCCAACTCAAACACAGGAAATGATCAGAGGGGTACAATGACACATAACCGCAATATACTAAGGCAGCAGATAAGTCATTTTTCACCTAGATCATCAGCTGCCCATAAAATCGTATGCACAATTTTAATGAATCAGTCTGCTCTAGTTTAACTGAGGAACCTGCCACTGAGCAGAGAAAGGGATATAAGAATTGCACTTGCAATTCTAGCTGATGAATTCATTAGATTTTTATAAGGCAAATAATGTGGAAAGTTAGAACAGAATTTCTAAAACCATTTATCCTGTGATGTCGTAAATCAAAGTACTATTTTATTAAATGAGTTATTTTACACAATATGAACATCAATATAATTACAATTGTAAAAAAATTTTTTATAACAAGGATGGACTGATTTTCATATTTCCAAATCAGAGTCAACTGTACATTTACACAGAATTGTCTTTGCATGAAGCCCAAGAGGGAACAGCATAAAAATGAGTGTTTCTGTAGCCCCTTTATTTTTGCTGATCAACAGTTTGTTAGAAAAGCAGCTGCAGGTATGTTACCTAAGGTCTGAGACAGTAGAAGAGTCAAAGGTGTCATGAATTCACCTATAAAACATAAGCAAAATTTTCAATGAATGTTACCATTGCACAAATGCAACTTACATGCATTTCAAATAACTAAGAAGAAACACTATGAAGATAATATCTGGTAAACTTGTCAACTCGACTTTATATACAGAACTCTGAAGAATTTATTTTAAAAAGAAAGAATTCTGAAACACACAACACACCCACCACCAACTCCACTATTTAGGGGGAAAAAATCCAACCAAATGTAATGTGTAAAGTGATAACTTTCAACCAACAAATTTATAAACAAATTTATATAGCACATATCTACATCTACATTTTGCCCTATATTTTAATACTCAGAAGCTTTGCTAAGGGGATAGGTTGGGGGAGAAAAAAAAGAACCTCTGCTAAGTACTATAAGTAAACTAATTGTAAAGAGGTGCTCAGGAACATTGGTGTACATTGTTTTTAGAGGGAAACTCTCAAATAACTTTGTAATCACTATTTTCTTTAAACTGATAAGTTCCTTCCATTCTTTGATCAGAGATGGCTAGCATGTACTCATCTCCCCATTTTTGGCTACAGTAGTAAAAATTTGGATGTTTCAAAGGCATTGAAAGGAAATAGTCTGAGAAAAAGGGACTTTTCAGTTACACATTAACTTAAAAAGGGGAAGCAATAAAATCTCAGAAGGCAGAAATTAATTTCACAATAAGTGAAGACAGTTTTGGTCTTGTATACAACCCTGTTATTAACAAACCAATAGAAAAAGAGGTGAGTTACCTGTAAACAACCTTATGCCTGAACATCAGCTAATTCTGGAGGAAGTGGAGTCTTAGGATGCTTGCTCTCAAAGTGCTGCTTGAAGGTCTTAGGGTCTGGCATTTGTGTCTAACAAAAAATTGTGCAAAAGAGAGCTAGACTTTATTTATAAAATAAAAATGTGTTACTTTTTAGAATCCTGAACCTTCTCAGTATAGACAATTATCCCAAAAACACCTTTAAATTCCTACAACTTAGTGACTGGCATATGAAGAGGGACTTTGTGGTAAAGAAATTCCTAACGTTCCCACATTTCACCTATAAAGAAAGGTAGGTCACATAGAATGTATTCTGCTTATCTGATTAACAGCAAACAATAGGTAACATTTACTGAACCCTTATTATATTAAGCATGTTACCTTAATTCCCACAGAACCTTCAAAGTAATCTTTAGCTCCTACTAGCATCATTTTACCTGATAAGGAAACTAAAACCCAGAGTTTAATTTGCCCAAGACCTTATTTTAACTTAGTACTAGATATGTGACCTCTCAAATACTATACTATACTGACTTCCCTTGGCAAGAACCTTCAATTATTTATTCTTAACCCATTAAATTACACAAAATATGAAATAAAAGTCTGTGGTTTTGAGTTTTTAAATATATGTAACTACTCTACCACATTTAGATTAAGGTATTTCTTCATTACTAGTTGATTAAAATTTGCACCCTGCCTCTTTCCAAACAATCACAAGCTGCTCAATTTCATTATTTTGAGTGTATATGTAGTGTACTAACTCCACTATGGTTTCCTTTGGTACTGCCACTCACTAACTTCAAGGGTAATGAGCTTAAACAAACAGGCAAGAGGCTCTGATTTGGAATTTCAGAAGTACTTCTTTGAGAGGCAGTACAGTAGTGGTCCAGAGGGTGGACTCTGGAGCTGAACTGCCTGAGTTCAGATTCCAGCTCTTCTACTAACCAGCTGGGAGACCCCACACAAATTGTTTAATTTCCATTAGTCAGTTTACTCTTCTGTAAAATGAGAACAATAAAAGTACTTTATCTTATAGGGTTGTTATGTGGATTAAATAGGTGAATACATGTAAAACACCTGGCTCTATGTGTGGCATATGGTAAGCACTCAAAAGTAGCTGTTATTATTACAGTTCTTCAAATCTAATACAACACATTAATTCTAGGAAAAGCTCTCAACGTGATTATACTCTATATGGTTTTACAGACATCCTAATTATAAATTTAGTGAAGAAAAAACCAATTATATAACTAGAGGTATACTTACTAGCATATTATATAGCTCTAAGAGTGTAGAGTTATATGATGTGCTAGTGAAGTGTATTATATGCCCTTATGAAGACATCTTTATTTTATATGAGGAAAGCAATTTTGTTTTGTTCACTCTGTTTTCCCAGCACCTAGAGATTTTTGCCTGGCCACAGGAGCCATTCAAAAAATATTTGTTTAAAGGGTGAATGAAAATAGATACCTAAAATAATCAGCTCTCAAACCTACTATTTCATGTAAAGCATCTATTTTGCCATGGTTTCAAAATTTTAATCTATTCAAGCCAAAACTGCCCACGGGAGAGCTGTATCTTTCAATTCAATTCCCCTTACCCTACAGACAGTGCAGGTATATATTAAGGCAGCTTTGGCAGCAGCCTTTTGGTCATGTCCTTGTTTCTTCTTTTGTCCAGCTTGCTTTTTGGCATTTTTCTGCTGAGACTGAATTTTCTGCTGTCCACGAGCCATATCTAAAAACAGAAGGTGAAGCATTAGAGTGGCTTATTTACTCTAATACAGAGTAATCAAAGCATAAGAACGTTCTTAGAATTGAAGCCTTAAGTTTTATAGAAATATCTGGCAAATAAAAATTTATAGGTATTAAAATTCCCACATATAAATGCTACAAAAGTATCAATTGACACAACCCTGTGGAAAACTAGTTGGTAGCTGTTTATTCTATGAGCCAGCAATTCCACTCTTGGTATATACCCAATAGAAATGCAAATGTTATGTACACCAAGACATGTACAAAATGTTCTGAGTGCCCATTCCAAAACTGGAAAAAATCTGAATGCCCATCAATAGTAACACGGATGCACAACTTGTATACATATTTTTATAGTATTTATACAACGGAATACTACCCAGCATTTAAAAAATTGTGGCCAGGCGCGGTGGCTCACGCCTGTAATCCCAGCACTTTGGAAAGCCAAGGCGGGTGGATCATGAGGTCAGGAGTTCAAGACCAGCCTGGCCAAGATGGTGAAACCCTGTCTCTACTAAAAATACAAAAAAAAAAAAAAAAAAAAAAAATTAGGCAGGCATGGTGGTAGGCACCTGTAATTCCAGCTACTTGGGAGGCTGAGGTGGAGAATTGCTTGAATCCGGGAGGCAGAGGTTGCAGTGACGCGTGATGGCACCACTGCACTGCAGCCTGGGCGACAGTGAGACTCTGGTCTCAAAAATAAATAAACAAACACACAAACAAAAAATTGTTACAAGTAACAACTTGGTTGTATCTCAATGTTAAAGGAAAGAAGCCAGTTGTGGGGAATATACATTATTTAAAGTTCAAAACAGGCAAAGCTAATCTATAGTGAAAGGGGTCACCTTGGGGGTTATGGGTAATGACTGGGAAGACAGGACATGAAGGGGACTTATGGGGTCCTGAAAATGTTCTTGAATCAAGTGTGTTTACTTATAAAAATTCATTGAATTGTACACTCAAGATTTATGCACTTTACTGTATGTAATCTTCACAAGTTTACTAAAAAAGTTTAGCCCCCGCTATCATTTACTTGATCACTCTGCAAAAGTAATTTCCCTTCCCAGTATTCATTGTGACTTGCGATTGTGATTTTTATAACTTTAAGAGAAATAAAAGCTGTCTGTTACTCCTTCTAAAGGAGACCTCAGAAATAGGTGGAAACTGTTTTCTTACTTAGTTTTCATAAAACTACTGTTATTAATTTTTTTAAAAAGTTGGTCTTGCTGGATTGCTGAACAAATTATAAAATGAGATTATCAGCAAGCCACTAATTCCAGAAGTTTCTTTGCTCTCTAGACGTTAGTTCCCATTTGAGGGAATGAACTTGGTTAAGAGGGTTCTTTTACAAAGCTGAAAGATACCACTTTTTGTTACCGATGATCTGACGTGAACCCAAATGGATTAAAACAAAAAAAAAAATCAAGTCACTGAAAAAAGTTACTTTTACTTTTCCATTTAAATTAAAGGCTTTTATTCGACCACACAAGTTAAACCTGCTCATAAAGTCTATCATGAGTCTCAATTGCTTTTTAAATATATCAAAATTGGATCCTAAGTAGAATTCATATATATATAGTTTTGACTAGTACTGTAACTGAATGTAAATCATTGCAGGACAGGAACATACAATGGATTTGTATCAACTTCACCAGGGAAGGGTGCTAGCTTCTTCTGACTAGGACCATAATTAGTTAATGGATATGAGGTCAAAGCATTTCATAAAAATTACTGAGCTCCTCCTGTTCCCCAAAAAAGGAAACTAAAAAAATACACTGATTGGAGAAGTTCCCACTAGCATTAAAAAAATGAACTGAAAGTCAGATAAAATATAAAAGAGGGTCAATGCTTTTCAGGATAGTCAGCTGACTATTTCAACTGAGGAAATATGGGGTTTTTATATTAGGGTAGCACACGAGCCTAATACATTTTCGTAATTGAAAATGTTTAGCGTGCTAGCCTAATATGAGAACCCCATTCCCACCAAACAATGGTAAATATTACCAGCTGTTATCAGTCCTTGAAGACTAAGCTTCCATTTTTGCTTTAAAAAAAATTATTAATTCTAAGCCAAATGGCACATTTTTTTTAAAAGTGTATTTAAGTCCGATGTTACCGCAAGCTTACAAACCTATTCCCATGGAAACAGGTTTGGATACTTATGTATTATTTGGACGACAGTAGTCACGTGATCAGCCTTTATGTATACCAATGTTTTGCAAGGTTTTTTGTCTCAATGTCTTACTATCAGGACCTTGTAACAAAATAGCCAGTCTTCTCACACATCTTAACTCTTCGACACAATGTATTTTATGTATCTTAATACACTGATTTTGTGGGAAATCTTGTTTTATGTTAAAAAAAATCTTCAAAAATGGTAAGCCACTAATTTCAGAAGTTCCTTTGCTTTCTAGAAGTTACTAGCTATTTTGATATTTCCATGTTGTGACTCGTACAAAGCAATGTCATTAGACACACAAAATTATTTTTAACTTTTGCACTTAGGACTTTCCCTAAAATATAACATTACACAATAGATTCAACCCATTTTCCATTGTCACCAAACAGCAACCAAAAAGACCGAAGAGACTTAATAAAGACAGTAGTCACTTGTTCTTATTCTGAAGACAGAAAACTTAACACCAGGTAAAGGAAATGGAATAAAATAAGCTAAATGCATGAGGTAGGCCCCTAACTTCTGACAACACGCCCCATCGATTTCCTTTCTGAAAGCAGAAATTCAAACGAACCAACCACCTGCTTTTGGACAGCTCAACTTAGGACTTGCTCTCAAGCCAACACAATTTTCTACAAAATCGTAGGCAGCTACAACCGCTCCTTGATTAAATGCGACAAACTGGAGGGAAAAAGTCACTTACAAATACCTACATGCTGGTTTTTAATGCAACTCTCAGTGTGGTTTTCCGAGGGGGCTGCAAAGAGGGAAGTAGTGGAAGAAACGAGTTCTAAAATGAGGCGCTCTCGTAGGAGGCAACAAGTAAGCTCTGCCCCAAAGCTCCTTTTAAAACCAACATAAATGAGTAACAGAAGAAAAGGATTTTGGGTCCAGGAAGTAGGCTCATTCTCCATAACCATCGGAAAGGAAGAGGCCCAGGCAGCGCTCCACATCCTGACCCTAGCTTTTAACACCATCGTTTTGGGGAGAGGAGAGGAGGAACGCACCCACAGTGAGGTCTCCACCCAACACTTCTCCGACCCCAGCTTCAGCCTGGCGCACCTTCCTTCCCAAACCCGCCTCTCCCGCCTCGGAGACCCCCTCCTCCTCCCTGCCACCAAAGGCCACGCAGCCCCCATCTAGCCAGTCCTCACGGACCCTGGACCAAGACGCGCCTCCTGGAGGCCGAGACTGCCCGAAACCCGGCCCCTGCGTCCACCGGGAGCGCCACACTCTGGCAGCTGACCGGCGGCTGTCGCCGGGGGTAAGGTTACCGCTCCGCTTCCGCGGCTGGCCTGCGACCCGGCCACCTGCAGGGCCTGGCAGGCGCCCGAACTCATCCCCTTCCCGCGGCCCGCCCCGGGCCGGGCCCTGCCGCCCCCCGCGACCCCTCGCGACCCGCGGCGAGTCCCACGGTCCCCACCGCCCCCCGCTGGCCGGCCCCCGCCCCGTTTCCCGGGCGTCCCGCGGCGTCAGCACCGCCCCCGCTGCCGCTCACCCGGGCCGGGACAGTCTTGCGTCGGAGAGACAGTGCAGCGCGAGAGGGCCGGGAGAGGACGCCGGAGGGAAAGGAAGGGGGAGCGCGCCCAGCACCGCTTGGGCCTCCTCCACCCGCTCAGGAGGGGAAACACGAGAGCCGGGAGCACAACAGCCTCGCACGCCCGCCGCCGCCGCGCGCCCGCCGCCGCCTCAGCCTTAGGGGAGACCACTACGCCTCGTGCCCGCGCACGCCGCGCCGCTCTCCTCGGCGCCCCCGCCCCGCCTGCTCCTCGCAGCCCCGCCCATGTGCCTTTCTGCGGCTGCCTCCTTCTGGCCCCCACCCCGCTCGCACGCCTGCGCCCTGGCTGGTCGCGCGGGCCAATGGCAGCGCGCCCCTATTACATAAGCGCGAGGGGGCGGGCCCTGGCTGACACAAACTTCAGGGGACGTCGCCTTCTGTCCCCAGGCGCCCCTCCTCTCCGGCGCGCTCGGTCCGGGCGGCTTCTTCACCCAGCCCTGGGAGCCACGTGATCCCGGTCCTGGTTGGTGACCGGGCCGCGGCGTGTTTCACAAGTCGCTCGCTCGCTCATCCACTCGGGCGGCGGCCGGGCCTCAGGCGCTGCGACCCTTTTCCCGCTCCTCCCAGGCTGACGCGCCCGTCTCGGCGCCGCCCTCCTCGGCACCGACTGAGGCGCTGGCCCGGGAGCGGATCGCGGGGCCGCGGTGGCTGAGTCACATTCCCGGAGCCCCGCCACCCAGGACACCGCGGCCCCGGCCCCCAGCGAGCCCGGCGGACCCAGCGGCTCTGAACGCGGACGCACAGCCTTTGTTCTTTCACAGCCGCCCTTTACCTCACTCCCATGGAAACCCCAGGTGTTTTCCCAAGCTGGGGGCTTTTAGTGAGTTCAAGATTCAAGCCTAAGTCGTATTAAAAATTGCTGGCTAGGCCGGGCGCGGTGGCTCACGCCTGTAATCTCAGCGCTTTGGGAGCCCAAGGCAGGAGGATCACTTGAGCCCAGGAGTTCCAGACCAGCCTGAGTACATAGCGAGACCCACGTCTCCACAAAAATAAAATAAAATAAAATAAATAGTGGAGCATGGTGGCCCGCGCCTGTAGTCCCAGCTACTCGGGAGGCTGAGGTGGGAGAATCGCTTGAGGCCGGGAGGTGAAGGTTGCGGTAAGCCGAGATCGCGCCATTGCACTCCATCCTGGGCGACTGAGTGAGACCCTGCCTAAAAAAAAAAAAAAACAAAAAAAGAAAAAAAAATTGCTGGCCAGGCTTCCCGGAGGGGTTTAGTTTGACTGCTAACAATATACGGTACTGAGTTGCTAATCCTTCGGGGAATGGTTAAAGTTCTTTGCGCGCGCTCTCTCTCCATTTACAGGCAGTGGCAGCAAACTTTCAATATCTGACAAGAGCAATGGCGATTATAACCATGATTAAAATTGCTGAATATCTGGAAACAGTACTTTAGACATCAGCTTTATTGTGCATACTTACCCCCGACCCCCGCCACATTCGTTTCTAATTAGAACTACTAGTGACAAAGGAGAAAAAAAAAAAGTGTTTGCATTGGCTGTTCTCACCTTGCCTGTAGTGCCGTTTCCCAAGTTTGCGTGGCAGTGCCCAGGAAATGTTGGCTGAATATTAGTATATCCCAAATGACTTGGACTGGGCTATAGATACCACAGAATTGTTTAAACTAGCCAGGAAGGAGTTAGCTGCCTATTGCATTTGAGTGGAGAAAAATACGAAATGAAACATGGCATGCAGTGATCCGGGTGTTCAGTTCTCCCTCTTCATCCTCATTTCAGCTTCTCTCACCTTCACTTTTTATGCTCTGACTTCCTTCTTGCAGTTTTAAATTACTCTCTAGTCCTAGATTGTAAGATTATTTTCATCAGGGAATACGCAGTATGTTAAACATAGTAGACGTTGAATAAATGGATATTGATCAAATGAACCGAGTATGTCTGAAGAAAGCAGCTTTTAAATTGACATAGCATGAAGCTCTAGCTTAGTCACTAATAGTCACTGTAACCTTAATGGTTGTGTTAATCTGGCTGATAGAGGGATGGGTACTTGTTGGCCCTAGAAATGGGAACTTCAAAGATCTGTGTTTATCTAGCCGTGAATGACAGTAGACAGTGGAAAGGGACAGTGAAATTTGTGTGGCAGAGATATGTCTTCTTAACTAAAGAGGTGACTCCTATTGTGAAGTAGGTTAATATGTCACTCTTTACCATGGCCTAGATGAAATATGTATTCAAGCTAGTGTTTCTTAAGTTTTTGAGTCATAACTCCTTTGAGAATTTGGTGAAAGCTATTGACTTTGCCCCCAGAAAGTTCATGTACTTATCATGTAACTTATCCTCATAGGTAGTGTTTCTTAATCTCAGCACCGTTGAAATTTGGGCTGGATGATTCTTTATTATGGGGCTCTGTGAGACCTGGGGATTGTAGGATGTTTAGCAACATCCCTGTCTCCTACCTGCTTATCCAAGTAGCACCTCATCTCCAGTTGTGACAACTAAAAATGTCTCCAGACATTGTGAAATGTTCTCAGGGGGTCAAAGTCTCCCCTGATTCAGAACCACTGCCTAGAGGATATGGCATAATGGTAACTTTATGTGATGGTTAGGGAATTTGAAAAAAAAAAAAAAAAAAAGAAACAAGGAATGGATAAGATTCAACATCTGTGAAGTGACACTCAGTAAATGAAAGGCGGATGAATTAGCATTACTACCAGCTGGTGTCCTACTTATGTTATAGAAATGTGACAGCAAATGTGATATGAACTCCTTAGAAGCATTTTTATACACATTGCTGGCTTTAATTGTGAATGCTACAGTAACTCTCCTGACTGTTTTTCTTCTTCTGCCTTTAGACAATTACCCAAGGTTAAGATGCAATAAACATGTGCCTATTTTCTATCCAAAATCTCAATCAGATTAAAATGCTTCTCTAAAGACCTGAAAGGCTTATTTGTTTATTTGTATTCATGTAGGATTTGGGGGGATGAAAGAATTGGTGATTAATCAACATATTATTTTCCCAATAAACAGACTATTCTGACAAATGTTTAGTGGCAAATAATAGCAACAGCAATAATGGCAACAATAAACTTAGAACAGAAATGGATTTATTTTTATTTATTTATTTTTTACCAGCTCTTTCTCTTTCACTCGCTTCTGCATGTTGAGATTTCTCACACATGCAACCTAGATCTTCTTGTCTTCTTTATATTCTTTCTCCAAAGGAATCTCATTCACTGTTGTGCCTTTAAATAGCAAGCTTCAGGTGACCCCCACATTTCTATCTCCAAATTGACATATCCAAATGCCTACTACTCATCTCCCCTCTGATGTCTTATAGACATTCACATTTAATAGCATATTGTATTGAGTCTAAGGAGCCATTAATTGTAAGTCACATTTATGTCCACTAAGATTAAAAAATACTGCCAACTGAACTATGACAAAATGCTGATATCCTTGATTCTAAGATACATCTTGATTTCAGAGACTTTAAAAATAGGCTTAAAAAATAATGTGATTTACTAGAATAGCACCAAAAAGAATAAAATACTTAGGAATTAACTTACCAAGAGAAGTGCAAAACTTGTATTCTAAACTCTAAATAACATTGTTGAAAGAAATTAAAGACCTAAATAAATGGAAAGGTATCTTATGTTCATGGATCAGAACACTTTGTAAAGATGGCAGTAATTCCCAAGTTGATCCACAGATTCGGTGCAACCCCTATCAAAATCCTGTCTGGTATCTTTACATAAGCTTATTCTAAAATTTATATGGAAATTCAAGGAGCCCAGAATAGCCAAAACAACCTTGAAAAAAGAATAAAATTGGAAGATTCACATTTCCCAATTTAAAAACTTATTACAAAGCTATAGTAATTAAAACAGTGTGGTACTGGAATAAGATTAGACATATAAATCAATGAGGTAGGATTGAGAGTCTAAAAATAAACCTTCATATGTATAGTCAATTGATTTTCAACACAGGCACCAAACAAATTCAATGGGGCAAGGAGTCTTCAGCAAATATTACTGGGATAGCTAGATATCCACATGTAAAAGAATAAAGTTGAATCCTATCCTCATACCATATACAAAAATTAACTCAAAATGGATAGAAGACCTAAATGTAAGTGCTAAAACATAAAAGTCCTAGGAGAAAACATAGGAGTAAATATGTATGACCACGGGTTAAAAAAGCTTTTTTTTTTTTTTTTTTTTTTTTTTGAGACAGAGCCTTGCTTTGTCGCCATGCTGGGGTGCAGTGGCGCAATCTTGGCTCACTGCAACCTCCACCTCCCGGGTTCAAGAGATTCTCCTGCCTCAGCCTCCCGAGTAGCTGGGACTACAGGCACACGCCACCATGCCCAGCTAATTTTTGTATTTTTAGTAGAGATGGGGTTTCACCATGTTGGCCAGGATGGTCTTGATCTGTTGACCTCGTGATTCACCTCAGGTGATCCACCTGCATCAGCCTCCCAAAGTGCTGGGATTATAGGCATGAGCCACTGTGCCAGGCCAAAAAAGGCTTTTTAAGGTATGACATCAAAAGCATTAGTGACAAAAGAAAAAAAACAGATAAATTGAACTTCATCAAAATTAAGATACTTTGTGCTTCAAAAGATGCCATTAAAAAAAAAAAAGACCACCTACAGAATGGGAGAATATGTTTGCAAATTATATATCTGATAAATGACTTCTATCTAGAATATATAAAGAATGCTTACAACTTCATACTAAGAAAGCAAATACCCAATTAAAAAATAGGTGACGGATCTGATTAGCTACTTCTCCAAACAAGATGCCCAAATGGCTAATAAGCACATGAAAAAATGCTCACCATTCTTAGTCATCAAAGAATGCAAATCAAAATATGAGATAGTATTATACTTCACACGCACTGGGATGGCTGTAATCGAAAAGACAGATGATAACAAGTATTGGAGAGGAGGTGAAGAATTTAGAAACAGTCTGGTGGTTTTCCAAAAGATAAACATAGAGTCATCATATAACCTAACAATTCCAATCCTAGATATATATCCAAGAGCAATGAGAACATACGTTCACACAAAAGTTTGTACATTTTAAGCAGCATTATTCATAATAGCCAAAAAGTAGAAACAACCCAAATATTCAGCAGGTGATGAACTGAGAAACTGTGGTATGGCCATAAAATGAAATATTATTTGGCCATAAAAAGGAATGAGGTTCTGATACATGCCTCAACTTGGATGAACCTTGAAAACGTTATGCTAAGTGAAAGGAGGTCCTTCCTTGAGCCCCCATCTGAATGAGGAGTCCTTGTACTTTTCATCCTTTGAATTTATCATGCAATATTATGTATTGTTTCATGAAATGTTTTACATATATATGTATATATAATGTATATGTGTATATATAATGTATATGTGTATATATATAAATTTGTAGAATTTCTCCTTTCCATTTGATTCCTAAAACAATAACCTGTAACACCTGTGCTGTACTTACTATCTACCAGGCACTGTTATATATGCTTTATATATTTTGATTCATTTAACCTTCTCAACAACTCTTATGTAGCTGAGGTACAAAATGGCTAAGTTATCTAAGATTACACAGCTAGTAAGTAGAAAAGCTAAGATTTGGCTCCTGGCAGTCTTTTTCCTGAGGCTGAGCCGTGGTCCTGTGTATACTATAAGGGTGGTTCTGTATCTGTTCTTTTTATCCCTGTGTAGCCTGTATTTAGCATAGCATCTGGCATGATGTAGGTACCCAATAAATATTTGTTGAATGAATGTAAGTCTGAATGATTCCTTTAAACTCGGTTAGGAGACCTCCTAGGTATCACAGATTATGATGTACTTCCCTAAAAATAGCACTTATCTCACTGTGTTGTACTTGCCTGTTTATCCATAGAAGATGAGCTCCCTCAGGTCCTGAGTTATGTCTTGTTAACCAGCATCTAGTACAGTGCCTGGCACCTAGCAGGTAGTTAATAAGTATCTGTAAATGGATGAAATAAGAGAGTGGATTGTGAATGAAATTACAAGTATCAGTGACAATCCGTGAGGCCAGTATTTGAAAATGATTACCCCTGCCATCCAGTTAAAGATAGAGGCTTGAACACATGCATTTACCTCTACCCTTTGTTGGAATCCCACTAAAAATAATGGTAAAGGAGTTTATAAGAAAGCATAAACTCCTTTACCATTGAAGAAAAGAAAACAGAAGAGAAGAATGTAGCAGAATTTTGGAAGCTGCAAAGTAAGTAAACAAGTGGTAACTGATTTAGGAGAGAAGAGGGTTTCTGGACTGAAGGGGCAGCAAGCATGAGTGGGGGTAGCAAAACAGAGGACTAAATGAAAATTTAAGTTGAATGTTGAGAGACACTTCACCATCTCAGCTCTGAGAATGGAAACAGACAATCTTATACCTCCAGCCAGAAAACTGAAAGAGTTTTCTTGGGGATTAGAACCCAACTCAATGGAAATACCTAAAGATACTGATACTTGGGATTGCCCAATAAGACAGCACAGCCAGGTAATCCTGCAACAAATCCCATGTTTGAAAAGTGGCACCTGCATGTATCAGTCTTCCAATCAGATGTCTAGTGCCCTGTTCTTAAATGTGAGCACACAGCCAAGGATAACCAAACATTTGAGGAAAACCTCTTATATGAAACACAGAGTCCCCAAAGTTGCAGAGAAAAAAGCAAGAGAAAACAAACTATGCTGGGAGAAGAAAACTTCAAGAGAACCATCAGAGGGACACGAACTCACAGAGATGATAACATGGTGTGTCCTGGAAGCTATTTTAAAATAAAGGAACAATGAGAGAAAACAACTACAAAAAAGATACTGGAAAAGTTTATCTCATCTGTCTGTCTGTCTGTCTGTCTATCTAACTACCTACCTACCTATCTGCTAGTAGAAATGGAAACTCAAGAAAGGGTGGAAGGTAAAATTAAGAAAATATCCTAGAAAGTTGGCTCTTGAACAACATGGGTTTGAACTGTGTGGGTGCACTTATACGTGGATTTCCTACTGCGTCTGCCATCCCTCAGACAACAAGATCAATCCCTGCTCTTTTTCCTCCATCTCAGCCTACTTAATATGAAGATCATGAGGATAAAAACCTTTATGATGATCCACTTTCACTTAATGAATATTAAATATATTTTCTCTTGCTTACGATTTTATTAATAATATTCTTTTCTCTAGTTTGCTGTATTGTAAAAAATAGTTGTATAACACATATACAAGATATATGTTCATTGAGTATGTACATTATTAGTAAGGCTTCAGGTCAATGGTAGGCTATTAGTAGTTAAGTTTCTGGGGAGTCAAAAGTTACATGTAGGTTTTTGACTTTGTGGGGAGATTGGTGCCCCTAATCCTTGTATCATTGATGGTTCAACTGTAGAATGAAAAGACAAAGAGTTAGAAAATATGAAAGAAAAGACAATAGAATTAAAGGGTAATTTCAGGAGACCCAATATTCAACTAATAGAAATTCCAGAACAGAAAAACTAAGAGGAAATTATTTTTTAAAGAGCTATTAATAACCGAATTGCCAGCTGAAGGCCCCCAAAGAGTGCTAGTACACTGGATGGGTAAAACCCACACCAAGGCACATCTAAATGAAATTTCAGAACACTAGCAATAAAGGGGATAGCCTATAAGCTTCCAGAGAGGAAAAAATAAATTAGTTTCATTGAAGAATTAAAAACCAGAATGTTACTGGTTTTCTCAACAGCAATATTGAAAATTAGAAAACAGTAGAGAAAGATATACAAGGTATCACACTATTTACCTCCTGGTCACCCTTCCTCACTGAACTTATTGAAGGATATGGGCCACCAAAGTGAGGGAGTAAAGGAAGTGGATGATGTGGGCTCCATCGCAAGAGAGAGATGAAGGAAATATGCAAGAAGAGAATGAAGGTCCCAAGATGGCAGCCCAGAGAAGCCTAAAGACTAACCAGTATAGTTTTTGCTGAAGAAATTTCAAGTAAATGAAATTTATAGGATACCTCCTGAGTATGAATTTATGGAGAGCTTTTATAACTTGGATCGAATTTGTAATAAGAACCTTTAAAAAAGCAAAGCATAAACAAAACAATTATCAGCTACTGGGAAGATTAAATGTTGTGAAAGAAATACAAGTTAATGATAGTGTATTACATGGCTCAGCAGTGACTAGCATTTACATAATGATGTAAATATGAATCAAACCACAGTTCTAAATGCCAATATAACTTTATTGGGAGGATAGGGAAATGAGAGGTTTTATGTGTGGTGGGGACAAGTGGTGGGGGTTGGGGAAGTGAAAGAAAGGTAAATTCTATCTGCCATAGTGGAAAGTCCACAGACAATGCCTAAGACTGGGGGAAAATTTCAAGAAATAGTAGTGTGAGAATGTTATTTAGAAGTATGTAGATAAAGATCAAAAGACTTAACTAAAAGGAATTTTAAGTAGCTGTTGCTGAGAAGAGGGAATTTGGCAAGAAACAAACTGTTTTTCATAACTAGTGCTATAGGACTAGTTGAATTTTTAAACTGTGCATTTTTACTGTGATAACACAAACTAAATTAAACAAAATGATTTTTTTATTTCTAATAATGTTCTAACCATGTTTGTTTCTAGGCAATATGTGTGACTTCACAGTCCTCTGTACTTCAGAAAGGTGGATGATTAAGTCCAGGTATTATAATAAGTGCAGATATTGTTAGCACCCTTGGCGTCTCTTTGCAATTAGAGTCTCTACTTTTCATTCCAGGTAAGGACATGCCTTTATGTTTAACCATTCCATTTTTTGAGTTCTCTACATACCATTCTAATAGTTAGGCACTCAGGCAGCTGAACAAACTACGGAGGAAGGAGCATCCAAATTAAATGTGCCCATCCTTTCTGTCTTTCCATCATTACTCTTGAGCAGGGGGCAAAAACAAACACGCAAATCAAGAATGGAGTGATTCATTCTTCTTCAGGTAGGAATTCATACAGGTGTCTTTTGGGTGAGGGCTTTTGCCTTGATCTTAAGCATAACACTCTCTTGATTTGATGGATGGCTTTGATTTTTTCTGAAATCTATTGACTGCATTGGTGATAACAGGATGACCTCACACAGAGAAATCTGTCCTGAGAATGGCTTCTGTAGTTTTTCCTAACTTCTGATGATTCGTATAGATATTTTTATAATGTCTCCACTTTGAACCATTACTTTGAAGGAGAGAAGACAATAAAAAAGAGAGAAAGTTTAGTTAGACTCTAAAATGTAACCACTTTTTGGCCAATTAATACTTTTTGTCTATTAATACTTTTAATTACATGCTTAATTATATTCTATATTTGATTTCAATAGTAGTTAAGCCATTCAGGCTCAGAAGAATTTTTAATGACAGATTACTCAGATATAAAATAAAAGAGTTAATCTGAGTGACTTCCAAGACCCCTTCTAGTGCTTGAACTTCTATGATTGATGGCTCAACAGGAACTTCAGGTTTTTTAAAAAAGAACTTTATTTATGAAAGGCAGAATCAAAATCATTCAAAACTCCATCTGTATGAAAATTTGAAACCAAGGCAGTTTACTATTTACATAGAAAATAAAAATGAAATTTCTATGTTTTATAAAGGAAGACTAAGTGATTGAGGAATAAATAGAAAATAGCATGAACTAAGGGGAAATACTTGTTGAAACTTCTGTGACTGTGTTAATCATGTTTTTTATTTTCTGTATCTTATGATGTTTTGACATTTGGGCAGGTCATACAGCCTTGGGGACAGACTGCTCCTCCCAGGGCTAGCTAATTCCTGAAGGAAATAACAACTTACCTAGGAATATACATTTCATATGCAATCTCAAGTCTATATCCAAAACTGCCTGCTCTGTCTAACTCTCACACACCAAGCCAATATTTTACCCTGCCCTAATGCATTCCCAGACCAGATACCAGGCAACTAGAGACCACCCATGTAGGCCAAAGCCCACTGAAGTTATTTAAACTTGCTAGCTCTAAGCTGTTTACTCCATCCTGCCTTGAAATTCTCCTGGAACCTCCCAAAAAGGCTCTGGCCTAGGCTTTCCTCTTGCTCCTGCTTATGCCTCCTAACCAAACTTAGTGCTTCCCATGTGGCTCTGTGTGGCATGGCATGCCCCCTTCTCCCAGGACTTGTAAGTAATAAATTATTCTTTCGATGGCATTGGTCTTTCTATGTCATCACTCAGTCACCTCTATAAATTAAAATCCATGGGTAAAATGAGATAGTGACCTACACTTAGTTTTTGTTGTCTGTGTAAACTGGGGGGGAATTCCCTGTTTTTCATGATCCTTACAGCCATAGTTGGTTGTTTCACTTGCTTGGGACACTTTATAAATCATAATTCTGACCTTTTAACTCAGTTCCTGTGCAGGCCATGTAATTTTGCATGATTACACATCAAACCCCTAGATGGCCTGATGTCTTGGAGTAAATGACTTGTATCCTAACGTTCAAGGTGATAAAGTCATCAGGTGATAAGAAAGTCAATGAATTTCCAGAGAAGGAACTTAAAATGATGATCTTAAAGAAACTCAATGAAATATAAGGAAATACAGATACACAATTCAATGAAATCAGGAAAGGAGTTCACAATATGAATGAGACATTTTAAAAAGAGATAGAAATCATTAAAAAAACCCCAGAAATACTGCAGTTGAAGAATTCAATCAATGAAATAGAAAAATACAATAGATAACTCCAACAGCTGACTTCATGAAGCAAAGGGAAGAATCTCTATGCTTGAAGACAGGTCATTTGAAATTACCCAGTCAGAGAAAAGAAAGAAAAATTAAAAAGAATAAAAAAAGCCTACAAGACTTATAGGACACCATTAAGCAAACAAATATTTGTATTGTAAAAATTTCAGAAGAATAAGAGAAGGGAAAAGGCATATAAAACCTATTTAATGAAATAATAGCTGAAAACTTACCCAGACTGGAGAGAGAGATTGATACCCAGAGCCAGCAGGAAGCTCAAAAATCCCCAGATAGATACACTCAAAAAAGTCCTTCCTGAGGCACATTATAGTCAAATTGTCTAAAGTCAAAGACAAAGGGAGAATTCTAAAACAGCAAGAGAAAAGTGTCAAATCACATGTAAGGGAATCCCCATTAGACTAACAGTAGGTTTATTCACAGAAACCTTATAGAACAGGAGAGAATGAGATGATATATTCAAAAGTGCTGAAAGAAAAAAAAAAGGCAGCCAGGAATACTATACCCAGCAAAGCTATCATCCAGAGATGAAGGAGAAATAGCCTTTTCCAGACAAGCGAAAACTGAGGAAATTCATCACCAGGAGACTGGTCTTTCAAGAAATGCCCAAGAGAGTCCTACATCTGGAAGCAAAAAGATAGTCATCACTATCATGGAAATATACAAAAGTTATAAAACTCACTGGTAAAACATATACACAAAGGAAAAAGAGAAAAGAATCAAACCTTGTAACCATAGAAAACCACAATGACAAACAATAGGGAAGAAAGGAACAAAATAATTAGAAAATAATTAACAAAATGACAGGAATAAATCCTTTCCTATCTAGAATAATCTTGAATGTAAATGGATTAAATTACCCAGGTAAAGGTATAGACTGGCCAAATGGATTTTTTTAAATGAACTATTATTTGCTGCCTACAAGAAACTCGCTTTTTCTGCAAAGACACATATAGACTGAATGTGAAGGGATGTAAAAATGTATTCTACACAACTAGAAACCAAAAGTGATCAGGAGTAGTTATATGAGATAGAATAGACTTTAAGTCAAAAACTGTGAAAAGAGACAATGGTCATTATATAATGATAAAGGGATCAATTCAGCAAGATGATATAACAATCCTAAACATGTATATACCCAGATATATAAAGCAAATATTATTAGATCTGAAGAGAGAGATAGACTTTAATATGCTAATAGTTAGGGACTTTAACACCTCATTCTCAGCATTGGACAGATCATCTAAACAGAAAATTAATAAAGAAACTTTGGATTTAAATTTCACTTTAGACCAAATGGACCTAACAGACATTTCCAGAACATTTCATCCAATAGCTGCAGATTATGAGCTTCTTCTCATTAACATAGGGCACATTCTCCAAGATAGACCACGTGTTAGGCCAAAAACCAAGTCTCAACAAATTTAACATAATTTAAATAATGTAAAGTATCTTTTCTGGCCACAGTGGGACAAAACTAGAAATCAATAACAAGGGAATCTTTCAAAATTATAAAAATACCTGGAAATTAAGCAATATGCTCCTGAAATACCTATGGGTCAATGAAGAAAATAGAAGACAATTGAAAAAATTTCTTGAAGCAAATTAAAATAGAAACACAACATACCAAAACCTTTGGGATACAGCAAAAGCAATATTAACAGTGAAGTTTATGGCAATAAATGCCTACATCAAAAAATCTTAGAAAAATCTTAGAATGATTTCAAACCAGCAACCTAACAGTGCATCTCAAAGAGCTAGAAGAGCAAAAACAAGCCAAACCCAAAATTAATAGAGGGAAGAATAAGGATTAGAGCAGGAATAAGCAAAATTATTATTTAAAAATATAAAAGATCGACAAAATAGAAGTTAGTTTGTTGAAAAGACAAACAAAATAGAAAAACCATTAGCTAGACTAACCAAGAAAAAGGAAGAAATATCCAAATAAATACAATCAGAAGTGAAAAACGACACATTACAAATACACATAAACACAAAGGGTCACTTAATCTATTATGAATAACTATACACTAACAAATTAGAAAATGTCACAGAAATGGATAAATTCCTAGATACATATACTAAGATTGAACCAAGAAGAAATAGAAAACCTGAACAGATGAATTATAACAAGACTGAATCTGTAATATATAGACTCCCATCAAACAGAATTCCAAGACCCAATGGCTTCACTGTGAAATTCTACCAAACATTTAAAGCAAAACTCATACAAATTATTCTCAAACCTTTCCAGAAATTTGAAGGCATGGGAATTCTTTCAAACCCATGCCATGAGGCCATCATTACTCTGATACCAAAACAAGATAAGGACAAAAAAAAAATAGGCCAATATCCCTGATGCACATAGACACAAAAATCCTCAACAAAATACTAGCAAACCAAATCCAGCAGCACATTAAAAAGATCATTCATTATGATGAAGTAAGATCTCAGGAAGGCAAGGATGATTCAATATATGCAAATTAATAAATATGATATGTCACATGAACAGAATTCAGTACAAAATCCATATAATCATCTCAACAGTCACAGACAAAGCATTTGATAAAATTCAACATCTCTTCATGATAAAAACTCTCAACAAGTATACAAGAAATGTATCTCAACACAATAAAGGCTATATATGACAAACCCATAAACAATGTCATAGTCAATCAAGGATGATTCAATATATGTGAATTAATAAATATGATATGTCACATGAACAGAACTAAGTACAAAACCCATATAATCATCTCAATAGTTACAGAAAAAGCATTTGATAAAATTGAACATCTCTTCATGATAAAAATTCTCAGCAAGTTAAGTATAGAAGAAATGTATCTCAACACAATAAAGGCTATATACAACGAACCCATAAACAATGTCATAGTGAATGAGGCACAGTTCACAGGTTTTCCTCTAAGATCTGGAACAAGACAAGAATGCCCACTTTCACCACTTTTATTCAACATAATACTAGAAATCCTAGCCAGATCAATTAGCCAAGAGAAAGAAATAAAGGGCATCCAAATTGGAAAGGAGGAAGTTGTCTGTTTGCAGACAATATGATCTTATATATTAAAAAAAAACTTTAAAACTTCACCAACAAAACCTTTCTTAGAACTGATAAACAAATTTAAAAAAGCTAAAGCATACAAAATCAACATAGAAAAATCAGTAGTCAGCAGTGTTTCCATACACTAACAACAAACTAGAGGAAAACAATCAAGAAAGCAATCCTATTTGCAATAGCTATAAAAAATTTAAAATACCCAGGAATAAATGTAACCAAGGAGGTGAAAGACCTCTACAAGGAAAACTACAAAACACTGATGAAAGAAATTGAAAGGGACACAAAAATATGAAAGACATCCCATGTCATGGACTGAAAGAATTAAGATTGAGGAAATGGCCATAATACCAAAAGCAATCTACAGATTCAAAGCAATCTTTATCAAAATACCAATGACATTCTTCACAGAAATAGAAATAATCCTAAAATTCATATGCAACCACAAAAGACTCTGAACAGCTAAGGCAATCTTGATTAAAAAAAAACGAAAAACAAAAACAAAGCTGGAGGCATCACACTACCTGATGTCAAAATATACTACAAAGCTATAGTAACCAAAACAGCATGGTACTGACATAAATAGACTCATAGACCAACAGAACAGAATAGAGAACCCAGAAATAAATTCACGTATTTACAACCAACAGATTTTCAACAAAGGCACTAAGAAGATTCACTGGGTAAGGGACAGTCTTTTCAGTAAATGGTGATGGGAAAACTGGATATCCATATGCAAAAAAATGAATCTAGACTCCTATCCCTCACCATATACAAAAAATCTATTCAAAGTGGATTAAAGACTTAAAAGTAAGACCCCAGAATTATCAAACTACTAGAAAAAAACACAGGGAAAATGCTTTAGGAAATTGGTCTGGGCAAAGACTTTATGGAGAAGACTGGCAACAAAATAAAAAATAGACAGTTGGGATTATATCAAGCTAAAAACGTTCTGCACAGTAAAGGAAACAATCAAGAGAGTGAAGAGACAACCTGCAAAATGAGGGAAAATATTTGCAAACTGTTCATCCAACAATGGATGAATGTCCAGAATACACAGGGAACTCAAACAACTCAATAGCAAATGATGATGATGATGATGATGATGATGATGATGATAATTCAATCAAATAGTGGGCAAATGAGCTGAAGAGACATCTCTTAAAGGGAGGCGTACAAATGGCCAACAAGAATATTTAAAAATGCTCAATATCACTAATCATCAGGGAAATACAAATCAAAACCACAGTGAGATATCTTCTCACCCCAGTGAGAATGGCTGGGGTGAGATTATCAAAAAGACAAAAAAAAATGCTGATGAAGATGAAACAAAAAGTGGAGTGATCTCTTATACACTGTTGGTTGAATTGTAAATTAGTACAGCCATTATGGAAAACAGAAAGGAGGTTTCTCAAAAAACTAAAAATAGAACCACCAATGTATATATCCAAAGGAAAGGAAATCAGCAGGTCAAAGAGATATCTGCATTCCCATGTTTATTGCAGATAGCCACAATATGGCATCAACCTAAATGTCCATCAACACATGAATGAATAAAGAAAATGTGATATATATAGATCACATATATATAATGTGAAATAATGGAATATTATTTAGCCATATAAAAGAATGAAATTCTGTCACCCACAGCAATATGAATAAGCTTGGAGGACATTATGTTAAGTGAAATCAGAAAAATAAATACTACATATTCTCACTTGCATGTGGAGGCTAAAAACACTGGTCTGCTAGAAGCAGAGTGTAGAATAGTGGTTACCAGAGGTGGGAAATGGCAGGAGGGAGAGGGAGATAGCCAAAGTTGGTTAATAGATACGAAATACAGCTAGAGAGGACAAATGAGTTCTGGTGTTCTATAGCAATAAAGAGTGACTATAATCAACAACAATTTTCTGTATACATTCAAATCACTAGAAGAGTAGATCTTGAACGTACCCAACACAAAGAAATGATAAATATTTGAGGTGATGTATATGCTAACTACCCTGATTTGATTATTACACATGGTATAGATTTATTGAAATGACACACTGTACCCCACAAATATGTACAATATTATATGTCAATTAAAAATAATAGAAACAAAAAAGCAAAAAACAAAAAATAACAAAAACAAAAAATATTACAACTTTGCTAAGTATCATATATAAAAAATGTATTGTTTATACTCGTCTTATTTCCAAAGTAGATTTGGAGTACCCAATTACTCAAGTGTAAGTTTTATTTGGCTGACATTTTAACTTTTTTTCTTTCATATAATTTCAGAAAGTCAATAAAGAATGTGAATTGGTTAACCTTAAAGAGAGCTATCTTTAGCAGCTTGGAATTTAAAGTACAAATAAATGAAGGATGTCTTTCATAAGCAAATGACGTGTCATTTGGGACAAATGCGATATGATGTGTGGGTTCATCCAACATATGCATCCAACATCAGGATACTGGAGCATACCTGGTGTAGTTATAATTTCCAAGATGGGTGTGTGTGTGTACATATCAACCTTAGTAGTTAATTTCATCACTGACTGGCCTCAGCTGTTCTTATATGTTCATCTTGGCTTTCTGTCAGTGGGGATGAATGGATGGATATATTCAGATCCTTCCTTTGCCTGATCCATCTTCTCACCCATGGCTTACATGTGTCAGATGTTTGGCTTACTTGAATCTGTGATCATGTTAGTGCATTATTATCTGTTCCACTAGAGAGGGAAGAGGTCTCAAGGCCTTGTCTCATTAGCCCTACAGTCGACTCAACTGTCCTAACAAACCACTCAATTCAGGAGATGTGAAATGTTTGCATCAACTGGGCAAATTATGCTAACTCACTGTGGCTCAGTTTCTACATTTGTTCATAGGGAGAATCTAAGCCAACATTTTGTCCACTAGCATATGTTGACCATATATAGGGCTGCCTGCAAGTAGTTGGCTTGTTTCTAAAATAACCCAATGACACTAAAAGCCCAGACTTCACCACTACACAATATATCCATGTAACAAACCTACACTTGTACCCCTATATCTATAAAATAAGTAAATAAAATAACCCAGTTAACTGGAGGGAAAGACAGCATACAATGTTAAAAACAGTTGCGTAGATGAAAAACTATAACTTAGTTGAAAATTGGCTTTTTTAAAAACAACTTTTTCAGTTTGGGGATATTTCAATATTTAATATATCAGTGGCAGATGTACAGATATACTCAGTTCCTTCTGTTGCCTGATTCATCTTTTGACCTATGGCTTACATGTGTCAGATGTTTGGCTCACTAGAAAGAGAAGTAAGTTGAGAGAAATAGGAAAGTGAACTTTTCCTATTTTTGAGTCCAGAGTTTTTGGGGTACATTTTAATCTCTGATTTTTCTTGGTATTTAGTAAAATTCACATTTGTTATAATATGATGAATCCTGAGTACTGTAATTTTCAGACAAACTTCTCTTTTGCAGTTACATTATTGTTGCAATTATGAGAGTAAGTGTATTTTTCATCTGGCACAGCATTTCTTTTTTTCATAATATAAAATGCTTAGCCTGAATTGTGATCCAGAAGTGGCAGAGTTAAAACTTCAGGCCATAAATATGTATTGAAATGCGAATGAAGGTAGCAGATCCAAAATATTGGAAATGCAGCTGAATAAGCATTTAAGGGAGGGTGTGTTCCTGAAAGATACCAATATATCTCGTTGCTGCCTAGCTAGGAAAGGAATGAGTCAACTTGCTGGACGAGTCCAACAGAGACTAACATGAAGCTCTGAAATTGTGAGAGAGTTCTCATGTCCTGTTCCCACAGGATTGCCAAGGAATTTACTTTTCAACGAAACATAAAACGATGCATGAGACCTTAATGTTAGAGCTGGCTTTTGGTCTTAGCACAGTTAGCTTCTGAGAGCAGTTGGCTGCTGTTTTGCATATTCTGGCTGAATATGCTACATGTCCCAGCCCTGACTCCTTTATTGAAAAATCTGTAGAGTGTCCCAGTGCAAGGTCCCATGATGCACCTTGCAGAATTACTATATGGACAGTCATTTCCAACCATCCAAAGATATGATCAGTCTGTTTGCGAAAGGAATTCTGGCTTCACAGATTTTATTTTTTCCCCATTTTTTCCCCATAAACACTGAGTTACAAGTTGTGCATTTCCAGAAATAAAGGCAGAGAAGGGTGCGGGGAAGAGTTTTGTGATGTGTGTGTGGGAGGCGTGAGCAAGGAAGAGTTGGGAACCTGTGGTCGGCCCCCTACCCAGCCCTGGACAGGGCTCCGGCCCCTGCAGTGGGGCCTCTGAGGAAGAGGTGGGCAAGGGTCCAGGGTAGCTGAGGGTTGGAAGAAGCCTCTAAATCCAGCGCTCACCCCCAAAGACCCTCCAATGCATGGTAGCGGTAGAATGGGGAAGCTGAGGAGGCTCAAAAATGGAGCAGCAAAACGTAAAATCAAGTTAGTGGATACAGGAGAAGTGGATCATCATGATAAGGGGATTAAAGAAGGAAAAAGTAGGTTAAGGGAGCAGTGAAAGGTTCTGCCTGAGGCCCTTAGGGAGAGGTGGGGGCCAGCTTGCCTATTAATTTAATATTAAATTGGGGATGGGAGTTAGAGAGGAAAAAGTTATTTCCGGGTATGATTTCTCAGCCTCTTGGCCAGTACAAGAGAGGCCGAGGCCTGGGGAAGGCGGCGGGACCTTCGGGAGCGGGAGTCCTGGGGTCCCTGTAAGTCCAGGCGGAGAGGCTCCTGAGTCCTTCGTCCCCACCACCCCATGCCTCTGACGGTGGAAATGCCAGAGGGCGCTGCTGCTGCGGGAGCAGGAAGCCAGCCTCCGTCCCCCAGCGGCAAACGCCGCGGCCTCACTCGCACCCGGATTGTTGTGGCCCTGCCGCTCCTCCAGTCCCAGTCCTCTCCAGGCCACCGCCCGAATCCCTGTCAGTCCCCCGCGTGGCCTGGGCCCCGCCGGTGCGACTGCGTCTCTGATGTCCCTTGGTAGACCGTGGGGACACCCTCTCCCGCGCTGGAGTAGGAGATGGCAGCGGAGGATGAAACGGTCTGGCAAGAGCCTCCAGCTGTCATGTGTTCCATCAGTCATGTCGTTCATCATCCCAAGCATGTCCACGAAGCCACCCGACGTTTCCAGCATCCCCAAGGGGGAGACAGCCCCAGCCTGCACCCTGCAGCTGTGATGCCATCTGCGATGCCGAGGAAGGGGCTCCAGCCAAAGCCACCTGACAGCAAATGCTGACGGCGAGTAGCAGAGGGGCCCACCAGGAACGCGGGATCTTCGGACTCCATGTCCCTCATGAGACGGGACATCCTGATCCTTGCTCCAGGGGGCTCTACACCGCCCCGGATTCAGGCTCAGTGGCCCATCCGCGGGGTTCGCTTCTTCGCGTGCTGCAGGATCAGGGTCGCGGCCTGGGAAGCAGGGTTGGTCCAGGCTTGGGCTCCTCCGCGTCCCCCGACCCCCAACCCCTGCCCCGTTCCCTTCAGCCTCCTCCCACAGTTGCTTTTCCCGAAGATCCCAACCCCTACTCCTGGACCCCGAGCCCGACTGATTTATTTTTATTTATTTATTTATTTATTTATTTATTTATTTATTTATTTTTAATCATTATCTTTCTCCTTCCAAACAAACAAACGCCAGACAACTGCTGACATTTTCTTAAATCATCCCTGCTTCGTTGCCATCCCAAAGCATCATCATAGAGGGGAACTGTAGAGAGATTGGCGTCGTTCAGTGTGTGGACTAACACGGAATCCCTTTGGAAAATTATAGGAGACAAATAAAGGCCTGCTCAAATGGAATAATCGTGAGATCGATCTTATGTATAAAACATGTTGATTTCTGTGAATAACTCAGTCTAGTCTGCTCATTAGCCTCTTGGTAATGACATTGCAGGGAATTTGTTTTTTCTTTTTCTCATTACGTCATTTACTTCTACTGCTACTTTGAAATTTTCATCATAGCAAGTAAAGCATTTGCTTAAGGTTGAAAGGAAGAGTGTGCCAGGATCTGTTAACAGTGGTGAAGTAAGTGCATTGACCAAGAATTTAGAGGGTTCTGGCTTCTGGGTTCCCTGTGACAGTGGGGGAGGCTGGGATCACTGGAAGACCAATGGGGTAGGAGAGGGGGAAGAAGGATGTACATGATCCATTATGTGAGTGAGAAGCGTTAACTGAAATAATCTCTCACGCAAAAATAAAAGATAACCTCTAAAAGAGAGGAGAATTGTGCAAATGAGCATGGCGAATCATCATCATTTTTTATATAAGCAAATAACTTCAGGCAAAAGTGGGAGTTTAGATTTAGATTACAAGTTTAGTTCTGTGTGCTGTATAGTACATTTCACAAAGTCTGCAAATCTTTTCTATTAATAGAAGCAATAAAATATTTTCCATTATTCACTTAAATCAGAAATGTGAGCATCTTCTGTGATTCCTTTTCTCTGCCACCCTGTGGATTTTACTTAAAACTGCAGTAGTAATGTTCAGAGTTGAATATATCAACTGATGTTTACATTTTTTTATTTATTTTCATTTGAATTTTTTCAAAAGATTGACAGACACAATTAATAAATATTTTTAAAAACCCACCATAGGTTAATAATAAAAATTCCAAGTACATATAGGTATCTTTTAAGACTTTTTTAAAAAATAGTTTTTATCATTAAATTATGTTTTACTTAGGCTCATTTCTTTTTTTTTTCTTTCCTTTTTTTTTTTTTTTTTGAGATGGAGTCTCACTCTGTTGCCCAGGCTGGAGTGCAGTGGTGCCATCTCAGCTCACTGCAACCTCTGCCTCTGGGGTTCAAGTGATTCTCTTGCCTCAGCCTCCCTAGTAGCTGGGACTACAGGTGCCCGCCACCAAGCCTGGCTAATTTTTACATTTTTAGTAGAGACAGAGTTTCACCATGTTGGCCAGGCTGGTCTCGAACTCCTGACCTCAAGTGATCCGCCTGCCTCAGCCTCCCAAAGTGTTGGGATTACAGGCGTGAGCCATCATATCCAGCCTGGCCAATGTTTTAAAACACAAAAATGAAGTTGCAAGGACACAAGAAAGTTGAAAGAATTTTATAGTACATAACCATATACCCACCACCTAGGTTCTACCATTAACATTTTTCTTTGTTTGGTACCATTTGAGGAATTTTGGTCCTCTTTAACCTCCTATAAAATAGAGAACACTAGCATGACCCCAGAAAGTCTTGTCCTCCCCTTTCCCAGTTAATCTCTACCCTTGCCCCACCAGAGGTAACTGCTGTTCTGGTTTCATTCATCATAGGTTGGTTCGTTTGCTCTAGAACTTCACATGAAATAATTCATACAGTGTAAATTCTTTTAGTAAGGCTTCTTTTACTCAGCATGTTTTTTGGTAACAAAACAAAAAATTTATCACTTGATGCCCTCTTTAAGTCATATTTTCTCTGTGTTCTCCTCTTGCCAACCATTATCTTTTTTGACTAATGATGATACTGATCTTTGCCAAGTACTTTCAAATCAGTGTTAAACAAAAAGAAGCAAGTTACAGAAAGATACATATAATCTATATGTAACATTTTAAAGTACAAAATAAGGCCGGGCACTGTGGCTCAAGTCTGTAATCCCAGCACTTTGGGAGGCCGAGGCAGATCACCTGAGGTCAGGAGTTCGAGATCGGCCTGGCCAACATGGTAAAACCCTGTCTCTACTGAAAATACAAAAATTAGCCAGGCATGGTAGCGGGTACCTGTAGTCTCAGCTACTCAAGAGGCTGAGGCAAGGGTATCACTTGAACCCAGGAGGCAGAGGTTGCAGTGAGCTGAGATTGTGCAACTGTACTCCAGCCTAGGCGACAGAAAGAGACTCTGTTTCAAAAAACAAACAAACAAACAACCAAAAAACAACCAAAAAAATAAAATCACACAATGCTTATTTAATTTTCACTTTCAGAGATTATTACTCCCCTTTTCCCCATGACAAAACTGGGGCAATTTGTCTTGATCCATGGAACTGGACACAAATCTGCATTGCTTTTAAGTTTTCGCATTATTTCACTCTTCTACCAAATTTTTATTAGCATAGTGTTTTTGAAATTTGTCCATGCTGTTGTTTATATCAGCTGGTCTTTCCTTTTTATTGCTGAGTAGAATTTCATTCTATGAGCATCTCTGTTTGTTTATCCATTCTCCTACTGATGGACACCAGGCTTTTTCTAGTTTTTAATTATTATGACAAAGTTGCTATGAACATTCTTGTGCAAGTCCTTGTAAGAACATATGTTTTTATTTATCTTGGGTAAATACATAGGAGTGAAATTGCTAGGTCATGTGATAAGTGTGCATTTTATTATCTTATTTTATTTTATTTTTAGAGATGGTCTTGTTCTATTACCCAGGCTGGAGTGCAGTGGTGGGATAATAGCTTACTGCAAACTCAAACTCCTGGGCTCAAGCAATCCTCCCACCTTAGCCTCCCAAATAGCTAAGACTACAGGTGCATGCCACCAAGCCTGGCTAATTTTTTAATTTTAATTTTTGTAGAGATAAGGGTCGTGCTGTATTGCCCAGGCTGGTCTCAAACTCCTGGCCTCAAGTAGTCCTCCTACCTTGGCCTCCCAAAGTGCTGGGATTACATGTATAAGCCACTATGCTCAGCCATACTTCATTTTTAAGCAACTGCCTGACTTTTTCAAAGTGATTGTATCATTTTATATTCCCAACAACAACATGTGAGAATTCTGGTTGCTCCATGTCTTCCCCAGCATGTGATGTGGTCTAGGCCTTCTAATTTTGATAAAGGGATCCCAGGTCTATTTTCTGCTTAGAGAATTGTTTAGTATGTGAATTTTCTTTTACTCAATAGCATAGGCCAAGGGGTTCTAGGTTCTTCTCAGAAGATATGAAACTCTCTGCTACTAAACTCATCAAAAATTTAGTTGTAAGAAATAATTAAAAATAATTCCTTGAGAATATGCAGTTTACTCATTCCTGTTAAGGTCCAAATTTCATCCGTGGACAAAGAACTGAATATTTAGACAGCTTTCATTTACCGCCTCCTTTGTAACTGTTTTTCCTGAGTTCCCCCTTATGTTATACCTTTAGCTTCCTTTGAGCAGCAGTATAAAAAACAGCCACATAAAACTCTGTATTTGCTATAAGAAAGTTAAGAAAAACATAATCTGTTTTATCAAATGGTTCTTCTCTTGCAATTCAGTGTTGGGAACGTATGTGCTTCTTTCTCCTGAGCTACTCATAGTTTTTTGCTTGTTTGTTTGCTTATCTTAGAGACCCTATGACTGATGACTGATCTTTTCTCTCTGTATTTGGTCACTAAGAAGCTTAGAAATTGTGACCTATCAATTTTGCAAGAATTTCTGGCACATTATATATGTTTGTGGCCTCTGGCTTCATTTTATAATGTCATGCTTGGTTTTCTCTTCATCTTCCTCTATCTATCTATCTATCTATCTATCTATCTATCTATCTATCTATCTATCATCTATCTATCTACCTATCTATCTACCTATCTATCTAAGATAATGTCTTGTTATGTTGCCCGGGCTGGCCTCCAACTCCTGGCCCAAGTGATCTTCCTGCCTCAGCCTTTCAAGTTGCTGGGACTACAGATATGTGCCACTATGCCTGGCTTCTTTACTTATTTTGATCCTTATGTATTTTGTAAACTTCCTCAAATAATTCCCAGACTGAGGCTAGTTCGTAAATAAAATAAAATTGGACTGCTAGTTAGATATACTGTTTAAAACATTGATTATTCAGAGAGAATGTGGCTAGTGATACACACACACACACACACGCACACACACACACAAAAAATTGAACATGTTTGGAACAGAGATGAATCATAAAAACAGGTTAAATACCTCATTTCTTTTTTAAAAATTAGGGTAATTAGAATGCTAGGCATTTAATAATAGCAACACTATTCACAATAGTCAAAGGTGGAAATAATCTAAATGTCCATCAGTGGATGAATGAATAAACAAACCGTGGTATACACACATAATAGAATATTATTCAGCCATAAAGACGAATGAAATTTTGATGAATGCTACAACATCGATGAACCTTAAAAACACTATGCTAAATGAAAGAAGCCAGACTCCAAAAGACAATATAGTATGACTCCACTTATATGAGATAGCTAGAAAAGACAAATTCATAGAGACAGAAAGTAGAATAGAAGTTACCAGGTCTGGGAGAGTGTGGAACGGGAGAATTATTGCTTAATGGTTATAGAGTTTCTGTTTGAGATGATGAAGGAGTTTTGGAACTAGATAGTGGTGACAGTTGCGCAACATTGTGAATGTACTTAATGCCACTGAACTGTACACTTTCTTAAAATGGTAAACTTCGTGTTATATGTATATTTCCACAATAAAATTTTAAACAGTTTAAATACCATTCTTTTGTTACTAGGGTCATTAGAGATGCTAGTCTGTTAATGGGTTGTTATTGGTTGTCACCTACTTTTTCCATAAGACATCCTAGTGCTCATGCTAGCCAATTGATATTATCAAGAAGCTCCTATTCTGTTAAAGACCCAATCTTATAATTAAGAGTTACATTTAAGAGCACATGACTAAGGAAGCAGTATTATATAAACTGCAGAGATGACCAGAAATGTGCCACAAGAGCCAAGACACCACAATACTTGTCATGGCTTGGGACTATATGGGTGTCCCACAATGGTCACAGAAAGGAAGGCATAGGGAAAGGCAGGAGCTGACTCCGGTCATCCACTAGGCAGGGTTGATCCTGTGTAAGGGGTCTAGCAATGCCTAACATGGTTCAGAAAAATGGTCTGTCTCAGGAGTCAGAGCTGCGGGACAGGGAATCTAGAAAGAAAATCATGGGAAGAGGCAGACAGAAAGTAAGCATGGGAGGCTGATATATGAGGGGCAAGGTCCCACCCACTGGGCGGGGCACAGGGGTAGGCCTCCACTAGCAGGGCGGAGTTAAGGATCTATGCAGTTTCACAGGTAAAAACTCAGAAATAGGGTGTCTGGGGAAGCTATCAAATGCCTTAATAATATTTATATTCTTGAATCTAATAATTTATTGACAAGGAATTTATTCTATTAATCATTTAATACAAAGATGTAACTAGCCATTAATAGAAATATTTTTATAGCAACAGTGCTCAGAATAATGAAAAATTATGAGTAACTTAAATGCCCAACAATAAAGAAACTCCATACAGCAAAATAACATGTAGCTATTAAAAATGCTGTTGTGGGCCGGGCGCGGTGGCTCACGCCTGTAATCCCAGCACTTTGGAGGCCGAGGCGGATGGATCTCTAGGTCAGGAGTTCCAGACCAGCATGGCCAATATGGTGAAACCCCTTCTCTACTAAAAATACAAAAAAAATTAGCCGGGCATCTGGGCGTGAGCCTGTAATCCCAGCTACTCAGGAGGCTGAGGCAGAAGAATCACTTGAAACCGGGAGGCGGAGGTTGCAGTGAGCTGAGACCGCACCATTGCACTCCAGCCTGGGTTACAAACGCGAAACTCCGTCTAATAATAATAATAATAATAATAATAATAATAATAGTAGTAGTAGTAGTAATAATAAATACCACTAGTATTCATTCATTCAATCATCAAACACCTACCATGTGTCCAGCTTTGGTTTATGTGTTGGAGACTTAACACCACACAAGCCTCTGCTTACACATGGCTTACATTTTAAAGGGGTGGGGCAGACCACCAATAAATAAACCATATGTGATTATAGGTAGTCATAAGTGCTATTAAAAATTGGACAGGAGAGGCCGGGCACGGTGGCTCACGCCTGTAATCCCAGCACTTTGGGAGGCTGAGGCGGGTGGATCACGAGGTCAAGAGATCAAGACCATTCATTCAAGACCATTCAGGCCAACATGGTGAAACCCCTTCTCTACCAAAAATACAAAAATTAGCTGGGCCTGGTGGTGCACGCCTGTAGTCCCAGTTACTTGGGAGGCTGAGGCAGGAGAATCGGTTGAACCTGGGAAATCATATCATTTCATCTGTAAATTTTTAAAAGTCATTCCATGTTAATTTTATATTGCAGTGAGCTGAGATCCCACCACTGCACTCCAGCCTGGCAACAGAGCAAAACTCTGTCTCAAAAAAAAAAAAACAAAAAAAAACAAATTGGACAGGAGAGAGCAAGACTGGATGGGGGTAGAGGGTACACTATTATAGGCAGAATGGTCTGGAAAGGCCTCTCTCTGAGAAGCACGTATATGACCAGCCATGCATGTCAGCAAACTAGGAGGAGGTATGGCATTTGATGCCATACTTTACACTCCTGTTAAATAATAAACCATGCTATTTCATATAGTTTATAATTATCTATAATTATATAGAAGGATGCAGGTGGTGTATTATTGAGAAAATTTTTGAATAAATGCCACTCTTAACTCTGGTCATTTGCAAGTAGATCACTTTGTACTTCACTGAAAAGACAAGAAAAGTATTACCAGGCCATTAGCTTGGATTTTACAAAGTGAGCATCAACATTTCTATGTCCAGGAAAGTTCTAGGATTCTGCACTAAGTGGACTTAGCCCTGAAGGTGCTGGCCCAGGGTGGAAATGCCTGACAGTGGCAGAGGAGCAGGCAGTGACATCTGTTTGCACTCAGCCAGTGCCAAGAGTTCCACCCCTTCCTCACACGTACCACGCCAGACCATACAACAAGGCCAAGTTTGTGCCAGCTGCTCTGCTAGAGACCTCACAGTTCATTTTATTCAACCATGCAGCAGATATTTACTGAGCTGCTACCGTGTGTCAGGCTCTGGGGATAAAATAGGGAGCAGGACAAAAGCAATCCCTGTGCACTGAGAGCTTGTAGCCTGGTGGGAGAAACAGACAATTAAACAGGCAATTACAACAAACCATAGCAGTGTTATGACAAGGTGCTGTGGGGGCATAGGGCAGGGGTTCCTCCCTTGATTTGGAGGGGTCTTAAAAAGCTTCCCAGAGAAAGTGCTATTTGTTTGAGCTGGACTTAGAGGTTGAGTAGGCACCAGATGTGGCAATTAGGAAAGGATGGAGGAAATAGAGTTCCAAGCAGAAGAAGCATGGAAATGCCTGGAGGTGCAAACCTTGGATTACTTGAGGCCCTGAAAGGCTTAATATTCATGGAGAACTGTGAGAAAAGAAAATCCAGAGACATGTCTGTTCTGTTCGCCTGTTATTCACCTATCATTTTTTCAACAACAATTTTCAACCATATACTGCAATAAAGAGAATAATATAATGACTCCATCATACCCATCACCCAGCTTCAATAATTATCACCTATGGTCAGTCTTGTTTTGTCTGTGCCTCTCCCATTGCACCAACTCCTCTTCTCCCACTCTGTGGGTTATTTTGAAGAAAATCCCAGACATCATATCATTTCACCTGTAAATTTTTAAAAGTCATACCTTATTAATTTTATATGCAACTGCTGGTATAGTATATTCTCATGGAAAGCACTCAGTAAACAAATTCATTTGTTTGCTGAACCAATACACAATTGAGTAAAAGAGAAAAAAGCAGGCAGAAGCCACACGATGAAGGGCTTTGTCTGTCGTCTTGGAGTTTGGCCTCTATTCTGTGGGCCCCAGGGAGTCAGTGCAGGGTCTTGAGTCAGGGAATGACATACAGTGGCCATTCTACCTAAAGTGTTGGAAGGGAGAGTTTGAGGTGGAAGTTGCATCTGCAGAGAGGTTTTTAGGGGCTATATTACAAGTGTAGACCATCAAATTATAACTACATATGGGGGAGAAAGTAGAGGTGGAGGGGGATACAAAAGGCAGAAGAAAAAGCAGAAATAGAAAGAGGAAGAGGAAGAAAAGTGGATAGTAGAGAATGAAGGAAAACATAAGTCCAAGAAAGATGAAGGAAAGCGCTGAAGATGGGAGGCTGTGGAGAGGGCCTGGAGAAGAGGGTGAAGAACACAAGGAGACTGAAAGCTTTTCACCCTTGGTTCTTGTTGTGCCATGCCAGGCAAGTGTCTGCAGAGAGCAGAAATGCCATTTCCTGCCAGTTCTCTTTGCCTCAATGGGCAAAATGTCAGCAGCACTCAAGGGGAGAAGCCTGGTTTCAATATCTGATCCAAGGAGGAAGGGAGAGAGGAGGAAAGTGTGGTGACAGTGGTTCTCAGGGCCTTGCGTGTATCCAAGGAGTATCCAGCCAATGAAGGGGAGGTAAAATCTAGACAGGAAAAGAGCTGGCAGGAACCAGGCCAAGGGGAGAGAACCTCCAGCCAACTGGGAAGAGGTTGAGGGCCAGATCCTCCCCTAGAAGGAGCTGGAATAGGGACAAGCACCGAGGCTCTGGGCAGAAGACCTTTGTCCCTGGCACATCCGAGTGGTGTTTAATAGAATGCCAGCAGCTCAAGGCTCCCACAGACACTGGGGGTGGAGGAGGGGCAGCCACCCTGTCCCCAGGCACACACTACACTCCAGGTGTGGAAGCCACCTGTTGTTCCTGGCACCCCTGCAGGATTTTCAGCCTCGGGGTCTTGGCAAAGCAGATCTTGCAAGTGAACAGCCTTTAGAACTCAAAGCTTGACAGGCAGGGGATCAATATTTGAGATATTTCTATTTTCTAACCCAGCAAGGTTTAATAAGGTTTTATAACCATTGTTTGTTTTAGAGTTAGACAAACATGGGGCTGCCTCTCCTCTCTAAGCCAGATAGTGCTATAAAGGATTTCCCTAAATACAGCTGCCTCTCACCCCACCGCTTCCTCTACGACCAAGGAGGTGCGAGCCCTAAGATGGTGGGAATAGTCATTGTCCCTGCTTGTTTATTGCATAGAGTGTGTCTCCCACAGCACCTCTGTGTGAATGGGGTAGGATTTGGTCTTGTCTTTTTTCGTTTTTTATTTGGACTAGCAAAAGGCTGCCACCTGGAAGTGTTTGCTTTGCAGACTTCACCTTCCCCTGGGTGGTGGCTAACCTTAGACTGCAGTAAGCAGACCCATTTGAGCGATTACTCTGATCTGTGTTCTCTAACCCAGCATTTAGCAGCAGCAAAGGTAGATTTTGGTTAGCTATCTGCCACCTCTTCTGTCCAGAGCAGGAAGGCTTGCTCTTTTTTTAGTCTGTTATTTTGTTTGTTTGTTTTTTTGGTTTTTTTTGAGATGGAGTCTCGCTTGTTGCCCAGGCTGGAGTGCAGTGGTGCGATCTTGGCTCACTGCAACCTCCATCTCCCTGGTTCAAGCAATTCCCCTGCCTCAGCCTAATCCTGAGCAGCTGGGATTATAGGCACATGACACCACGGCTGTCTTTTTTTTTTTTTTTTTTGTATTTTTAGTAGAGACTGGGTTTCACCATGTTACCCAGACTGGTCTCGAACTCCTGACTTCAGGCACTCTGCCCACCTCGGCCTCCCAAAGTGCTGGGGTTACAGGCATGAGCCACCGTGCCTGGCCAAAGGCTTGCTCTTTATGAGGCCCTCTGGAGACCCAAATGATGCTCTGTGGGGCCAGGCCTCTGTAGACAAGGCTCAGCCAATAACAATGGAAAATGTCTTGATCTCTTTTGTTACTACCCCAGGGCCCATGGTGAGATCCACTGACAGTGTCTTTTGGTGTGTTTTTGACACCAATTGACAAGTTTCTCCCAAACTCTTTATGGAGACATTTGTATCAAGAGAAACTGGCCAGATGTGACAGGTTCCCTCCTGTAATCTTAATGCTTTGGGAGGCCGAGGTGGGATGATCGCTTGAGGCCATGAGTTCAAGACCATCCTCAGCAACATATCTCTACAAGAAAACAACAACAAAAACTAGCCAGGTGTGGTGGCACATACCTGAAGCCCTAGCTACTTTGGAAGTTGAGGCTTGAGCCCAGGAGTTCAAAGCTGCAGTGAGCTATGATCACACCACTGCACTCCAGCCTGGGCAACTTAGCAAGATCTTTACTCCTTACAAGAGAGAGAGAAACTGATGGGAACAGTAAACAAAGGGGACTGTAAGCAAGGAGTTGGTGGAGGTCATTGATATTCCCTCAGTGCAAAACTGTACACATCTTACCTAAAAGAAAGTAGCCACCCTTAGCCTATCTTGCTCAAGAATATTGGTCACAATTGACTGTGCACTCTGTTCCTGCATGAAGGACCAGCTATGACATGGCAGCTTCTCGGGGCTTCAGGTTCCATTTGAAGATTTTCTTATTTCTCTCCCTGTCCCTCCAGAAGCTGCTGGATTAATCAGACACTAACCTCTGCTCTCTAGTATGAATGTCTGTGCTTAAAACTGGTGCTCCTAATAGTACAATACAGTAATAGCTCATCATCTATTATCAGAGAATATAAGAACATTTTCAAAAAAAAAATCACAATTTAATTATTGATATGTATAGGTTGTAGCCATTTTGTAAAACAAAAAAGCACTACTCTGCTTTTATTAATAGGATGGGCTGGAACATAACTTAAACTTCTGATAATGATAATTTAGGATTGCTGTTGGACGCTTCTGATAGCACATTCTGCCCATGGAAGAAACAATCTTTCTTCTCCTGAATTGCACCAGATTGCCTCCCAGGCAGCCAGCTTTGCCTCTGCTCCCATATCTTAAAGTTTAATAGCTTTACTTTTGTACCAGTCTCCCTTTAGTAGGCTGTCTACAACCCCAGATATTCATAGAATGAGAATTTTTAGATCTAGAAAAAAATTGGCACCTCCACAGTCTTTGATTGTCACCTAGGGCAGAACCGCAGGTTACCAAGGAAACCAAATAATCCCGTATTGTTTGTGATACTAAGTCAAAGTTGCTCTCTGTGCATCTGAAGGAACAAAGTACCAAGACTTTGTCACAGTTGCCACTGTTAAGGTCAGAGTCTTTTAAACGTAGTCACTGTTAGTCTGGAACTGTACCCAGGGAAGGGAATACTACAGTACCCAGATTTTATTCTATCGATAGCAATAGTAGGTGTCCTAGTGATTGGAACTAAGTTCCACCTCAGAGTCACGTGTCTCTTGAGTCAGTGTTGTATTCACCTGTGGATAACTGTGGGCAGTTAAGAGTGGTATAAAATAGTCCAAATAAAAGGTGAGGGAATCTTGATGAGAATGGGAAAGAGTCCAAATCTGCTAGATGTTCCAAAGTCACAACTGGAAGTTTTGGTGACTGGTTTCTGGAACAGGAGGGGGTGAAGTAGAGGAGCCAGCTCTCTAACTTGGGTGGTGGCACAAGCCAAGATTTAGAGCACATGGGTAGGACACGTAGATGGCAGGTTTCTCTGTGCACATGTAGTCTAGCAGCCCAGAGGATACTCGGGGAAAATGTAGTCATCCTTGGCTTCACAAACATTCAGATGACAACTGTTCTGAGAGGTGCATATGGAATTGCCCTGACTATGAACATCATGTGGTGGAAAGAGGTGGGACATTGGTTCTTTTGGGTCAAGTTCTCCTACTAACTAGCTATGGAACCTTAAGCAAGTCGTAACTGTTCTTCGTAAGTCTCTAAAATGAGAATGAGAATATCTCTAAAATAAAATGAGAATATTTTCAAGGTCTGTTTCAAGTGTCACATTTAGAGCCAAATGTACTTTGATTCACTCTGTCACTTTTTCCAGGGAGGTATATTTGCTTATTTATTCAATTATATATTTGTGAATTGCCACAAGACATCCATGCCAGTTAAGTCTCACAGCTTTGTCAGTTGAATTAAGTATAATTATTGTCTCTCTGTCAGGATATCACTTGCCTGTTATGGTTTGAACCTAGTGCATTGTGTGATGGTTACTTTTTAAAATAGTTGCAGATCTTGGACTTTCATCATTGTCATAATTCATCTGCCAAAACATCCCCAGGCCTCACTTGCTGTCATGCAGCTTTTTGTTTTTAATTATGGTAAAAAAAAATCACACAACACAAAACTCACCATTTAAACCATTTTAAAGAGTACAGTTCAGTGGCCTTTAGTACACTCACAATGTACAACCATCACCACTATCTAGTTGGAGAAGAATATCATCTCAAACGGAAATGCTCTACCCATGAAGCAGTCACTCCCTTACCCCTTCTCCAGTCTATGACAACCACTAATCCACCTTCTGCCTCTATGGATTTGCCTATCCTGGACATTTCATACAATATGTGTCCCATTGTGTCTGGCTTGTTTCATTTAGCATAATGTTTTCAAAGTTCAGTATGCTGTGGTATGGTTCAGTACTTCATTCCTTTTGTGACTGACTAATATTCTATTGTATGGATATACTGCATTATATTTATCCATTCATCCATTGATGGACATTTGAGTTGTTTCCACCTTTTGGCTACTGTAAATATTTCTATGGTGAAAACATATATACAAGTTTTTTTTAAACATGTGTTTTCAATTCTTTTGGTTACATACCTAGAAGTGGAATTGTTGGGTCTTATGGTAATTCAACATTTAACTTTTTGAGGAACTGCCTAACTATTTTCTAAAGCAGCTGAACCATTTTACATTCCCACCAACAATATATGAGGATTCCAATTTTCCTACATCCTCACCAACACTTGTAATTTCTGTTTTTTTTTAAATTTTTTATTATAGCAAGCCCGGATGGGACTATAGAAAGCATGCTCCAGTGGGTGTGAAGTGGCATCTCATTGAGGTTTGGATTTTCATTTTTCCAGTGACTAAGGATGATGGGTATCTTTTCATGTTCTTTGCTGACCATTTGTATTGTGTCTATACAGGTATTTTGCTTATTTTTTCCATTGGATTATTTGTCTTTTTTGTTGTTGAGTTGTAGGAGTTTTTTGTATATTCAGCATTCTAGATCCTTATCAGATATATGATTTACATATGTTTCTCCCATTTTGAGGGGCTGTTTTTTCACTTACTTGTTAGTATCCCTTGATATAGGAAAGTTTTTTATTTTGATGAAGTCCCACTTATTTATTTTTTCTTTTGTTACTTGTGTTTTTGATGTCCTAACTAAAAAATCATTGCCAAATCCAAGGTCCTGAAAACGTGCTACTATATTTTCTTCTGATAGTTTTATAGTTTTAGTTCTTGCATTTAGGCCTTTGATCTAGTTTGAGTTAATTTTTGTATGTAGTGTGAGTTGGGGGTCTGACTTCATTATTTCGCATGTGGGCATCGGTTGTCTTGGTGATACTTAGGAAGGTGTTTATACCTATTGGTTAGTCCATGGCAGCTAACCACATAAACTATGCTATGGTTCCTTATATTGTGCCCATATGTAGTGGACACTACTGGTTGCCTACCAAAATCTATTACTCCTTATTTTTTCCTGAAATAATCCTAGTTTTGTTTCGGTATTCGCTTTTTTCCCCACATGATTCAGGGTAAAGTAACCCCACCCTAGGCTCTAGATCCTAATTACTTTAAGCCTGCTGTTCTCAGAATGTCATCTATAAACCCTTGAAGGTTTCCTAGACCCTTTCATTAATTCTGTGAGATCAAAACTGTTTTTAAAAGAATACTAAAGTGTTATTTGTCCTTTTCACTGTAGGTAACATTTGCACCAATGCTACAAAACCACTGGTGGGTAAAACTGCTGGTGCCACACACTATATACAAGATAGTAATAGTAGTTGTATTTTTGTATTCCATCATGCACTTGCAGAAAAAGAGAAAAAGCTAGTTTCACTTGATGCCCTTGAAGAAAAAGTCAATATTTTAAATTTAATTAACCTTTGACCTTTGAGTATACTTTTTAAAAATATTCTATATGAAAAAATACAAGTAACCTTCTGTTACATGTTGAAGTATGATTGTTATCTCAAAAGAAAGCACTTATGTGATTGTCTGGTCTGCAAGCTAAATTAGCTCATTTTTTTACTTGAAAGGATGATTGACAAACTATGTTTATTTAGACATAAGTATTTATAGACATTATTTCAAACTTGGACAAAGGGAGCCTCTTTGGGGAAACCAATTGACAGTATTTGACGCCAGGGATAAAGTTCAAGCTTTTGAGCAAAATTAGAATTTTGGAAAATGTGTATCCACTATTGTGAGCTTGATAGATTTCCATATTTTATTAACAGCTTCTGAATATTTAGATTTTTCTGATATCAGTGGCAATATTAGTGAACATGATTGTTTTGACATTATATAATGAAAGTGTCAATATTTGGAAGATCTGCATAATTCAGTGAACCAGTATTTTCCAAATGACCAATGTTTGACTTTACAAAATTATGCACGTATAAAAGATTAATTCAAAGTGCAAGACAGATCAATACATATTAATGTAACAACATAAAAAGTTCATTACTATGGTTTCCGTGCACACAGTTTTCAGGGTTCTATTATTCAAGGTGCATCTCCATCACCTGCCAAAGTGGAGGCAGATGGCTCAAGCTCAGGCAATCAGGCTGTCTCCTCCACTGGAAATTGATCTTGGGTGAAAATAAAAAAGCATAGAAAACTGTTGAAATTGACACTGGGAAGAGATTTTTCACTTATTCTTGCTACCTGAATCCTGAGAATTGCCCTGATTCCTGCCCCTTCTGAGGTCTGGTCCCTCAACTTTTTCTTAGATTTGGGAGCCACCTGTATCCTTAAAAAAGTATTTTTTGCTCAAGGGAGCTACAGTCTGATTCTGTTGCTTTCCACCAAGAACTCTGATAGAGACGTAGAAACCTACTGTGAGTCCTCTCTTGCTGGGACACCGAAGCTCTCCCTGCCATGCTGTGCTTCCTGTGCCTCTCACCTATAGATCTGAGACCTTTGAATGACATTGTTGATGAATAATGAATGGAATTAATTAACTTGACTAGCTTTCCCCAGTGCTATGGGCTGACTGTCCCCCCAAATTAATGTGTCAGAAACTTAATCTCCAATGTGACAATGTTGGGAGGTGGGGCCTAATGGGAAGTTAGATAATGGGGCCCTCATGAATGGATTAATGCTGCTATAAAAAGGACTTGCAGGAGTGTATTTGCCTTCTTCTGCTCTTCTGCCATGTAAAGACACAGTGCTTGTCCATCTTTCACTTGCCCTTCCATCTGCTGTCATGTCAGGATGCAGTAAGAAGATCCTCACCGGATGCCAGCACCTTGATCTTGAACTTATAGCCTCCAGAACTGTGGGAAACAAATTTCTGTTCTTATTGAATTACCTAGTCTGTGGTATTCTGCTATAGCAGCACCAAATGGACTAAGACGCCTGGTTAACATTCATCATCTGTTCATCTGCTTACATCCCTGTGGATATGGACCACTTGTCTGAGCCAGGCCAGTAATCTGCATATCCATTCAGACAGTATAGAAGTGATAGCCTAGGTGCCTTCCTGAGGGCTAGACTGAGCCTGTCCTGATTCTTTTCCCTTTCCATTAGCTCTGTGCTTACGAGTTCCCAACATTCTTCAGATCCAAGGCTTTCATGAATTTATAGTGGAGAAAGAATCGTACCTATTTTATATACACTTTCATCATGAATTGGAAAGAACAGAGGACCTAGCATAAGAATACCTGAATTCAAATCTCAGCTTTACTACCTGCTATGTGGCCTTGGGCAACTCATTTAATTTCTCTTGAGTCTCAGTTTCCTCATTTGTGAAATGGGAGTTGTAACTATTCCTGCTTTACTTACCTTACAGAGAGGTTGTAAGGATCAAGTTACATAATGGATGTGACAGCAGCCTAATATCCACTAGTTTAACTTTCCCAAGGATCAGGATCTGTGTTTTATCTGCATTGCATCGACACGGCACGATACCTGGGTCACAGTAAATACTTACAACATGTTGGTTGAAGTAACCTCCTTGGGAGGGAGTTGTTACAAAGCTCAACTAGAACTGGGACTAAACTAGCAATGGGAAAAAAGAGGAGCAAACTCAGAGCATGTGGCCTCATTATTCTATAGTCTTGTTCACTGGCTCCTCTTTTAGGTTCTTTTATACTGGACTGTTTTTTCACAACACTAAAAACCTGGGGTTTTTCCTTCCCCAGTTGCCATTGAAACTGGAACTGCTTGAAAGAGCAGCTGAGCAATTCATCAGGCTCTGTGGCTTAGAAGGAGATGCGAGCTCACTCTAAATGAGATTTCCAGTGACACAGGCTCCAGCGGGGATGTTACAATTTCACAGTCACACGTTACTGGCATTGTTTTAAGCTTGCATGAAAGCTTTTGCTAAACCCAACTGCTTCAAGGTTTGCACCAACCACTTGGGCAAACTGCCAGTCGCTATGCCACATTCTTTCCACATCTGAAGGATTATTGAATATCCCTCACAGATTCTTGCTTTCTTTCTTTCATGAGACAGGATCTTGCTCTTTTGCCAAGCTGGAGTGCAGTGGTGTGATCATGGCTCACTGCAGCCTTGACTTCCTGGGCTTAAGCAATCCTCCCACCTCCGCCTCTCAAGCAGCTGGGACTACAAGTGCATGCACCATGCCTGGCTAATTTTTAAATATTTTTTGTAGAGACAGAGTCTCACTATGTTGCCCAGGCTGGTCTCAAACTCCTGGGCTCAAGCAATCCTCCCATCTTGGCCTCCCAAAGTGTGAGCCACTGCACCCGGCCTCTCACAGATTTTTCTAGGGTGAAACAACCCAGCAGATATGGACTGTACCCTTGGAATGAGGCAAAGACTGAAGGGATTTTCTTATTGTTGTAATTAAAATTTTATTTATATTGAAGGAAAATTTATATCTAATAATACTCATAGATTGTAGTTGTGCATTGGATTAGTTCTTTCAAATGTAAACACCTAAGTAATCACCTCCTCAATTGAAATGTAGAACATTTCTGTCACTCCAGGAGGTTACCTTCTCTCTTCTTTCTTTCAGCTCCTGCCCCAGACAACAGGCAATAATATCCTAGCCTTCCATTAACACAGATTATTTTTGGCTTGTCTAGAATTTCTTATAAATGCAATCATATGATACATACTCTTAGTTTTCTATTTTTTTGTATCTGAGTTCTTGTTTTTGAGATTTATCCTTGTTGTTACATGTATCCATTGTTCACTAATTTTAAATTGCTGAATAACATTTCATTATGTGAATAGACCACAGTTTGTTTATCCATAATCTTTTTGAGATTTATCCTTGTGTCATGCATATGTGCTTGTTCTTTTTTATTACTGAGCATATCCTACTATACAAATACACCACAATTTATCTATTTTCTTGTTGAGAAACATTTGAGTTGTTTCTAGTTTTGTCTTCTGTGAATAAAGCTGCTATAAAGAGACTTGTAAAAGTCTTTTTTTTTTTTTTTGAGAGTCTTGCTCTTATCACCCAGGCTGGAGTGCAGTGACGTGACCTCAGCTCACTGCAACCTCCGCCTCCTGGGTTCATGTGATCCTCCTGTCTCAGCCTCCTGAGGAGCTGGGACTACAGGCACCTGCTACCAAGCCCAGATAATTTTTTGTATTTTCAGTAGAGACACGGTTTCACCATGTTGGCCGGGCTGGTCTTGAACTCCTGACCTCAGGTGATCCACCCACTTTGGCCTTCCAAAGTTCTGGGATTACAGGCATGAGCCACTGTGCCTGGCCAAGTCTCTTCATGGGGATTTGTTTTGCCTAGGAGTAGAATTACTGGGTCATATGGTAGGTGTATGTTTAACTTCATAAAAGACTCTCAAAACTTTTCCATAATGGTTGTACAATTTTACATTCTCACCAACAATGTATGAAGTTCTAATTGTTTCACATTTTCACTTACACATGTCTTTCGTTTTAATCATTTTAGTGGGAGTGACATGGTTGGTATCTCATAGGGTCAGGGGACTTTTAATGGAATTTCTGTATTTGCTACTCACAACCCTAGGCAGGAGAGATGACAGCAACAGGAGGACCCTGGCAGCAATTAGGGGTTCTGGTACTCCACTCTCTCCCTCCCCCCATCCTTCACCAAGCTATATTTTTTCTTCACAATACCCCCTAAATCTGACACTTTTTCACTTTCAGAATTTTACTTTAGTTAATTCTTTCACAGTTTCTGTTTGGAGTTGAATTCCTGAACCTGGATCCAACTTCAGCCCCTGTTCCAGGAGACAAAGCAAATGGTATCAAGAAAGGTGCCTCCCTCTCACCTCCACCTCATCTTTGCTTTCTGACCTCCTTAGGATTATAATTTCACTAGAGTATGCAAATCATAGCAGACATCATGGCCATTCTATCGTGTGGAACAGAAAACTCTTTGAGTAATGAAGATGATTCATAGGAACCATAGAACTTAATCTAGTGATCATCAGAGCTTTCCCAGAAGGATGACTTTAAGTGTTTGAGGCTAAGTGGCATCTCTCTTCTGTAGATTCGTTTTCTTTTTTTTCTTTTTTCTTTTCCTTTCTTTCTTTCTTTTTTATTTATTTATTTATTTATTTTTGACGGAGTTTTGCTCTTGTTGCCCAGGCTGGAGTGCAATGGCATGATCTCGGCTCACTGCAACCTCTGCCTCCTGGGTTAAAGCAATTCTCCTGCCTCAGCCCTCCGAGTAGCTGAGATTACAGTGCATGTCACCACGCCCAGCTAAGTTTTGTATTTTAGTAGAGACGGGGTTTCCCCATGTTGGTCAGGCTGGTCTCGAACTCCTGACCGCAGGTGATCCACCCGCCTTGGCCTCCCAAAGTGCTGGGATTACAGGCGTGAGCCACCACGCCTGGCCTCTCTGTAGATTGTTAGATTTTCATCTTCATACAACCCTTGCTTTATGGGAGCTCTCCAGGGTCCTGGACTTCTGCTTGAAATAATCTCTTGACACTGGAAACTAGTGTTCCATGCCTGCATTCAGCCACTGTCTCCATGTGTCTTAAACACTGGCCCTCTGATACCTGCTTTTAATTCCAACCCAAGTCCTCATGCCTGTGACTGTCTTTAAGACATGAATTCCCTCTACGTTTCCTTCTCCTCAGCTACTACCTTTGGCCAAGCTAGCAGCGTCTTCCAACTTAGTGCTTCTCAGATTTAAATGTGCAAATGAGTCACCTGAGGATCTTGTTAAAATTAAGATTCTGATTCTAGGTTTGTGGAAGGGCTCAAGATTCTGCATTTGTGACAAGCTCCCATGTGATTCTGAAGCTGCTGCTCTGTGGAACACACTGAGTAGCAAGGCTCTAACTAGTCTTCCCACTTCCACTCTTGCCCTTCAACACTGGGGTTACCATTGTGAAGGCACACCACCTTTCAGTGATTTCTAGTTACCCTTAGAATGAAATCTAGACTTTTTACTGTGGCCAGAAAAGCTCTGCTGCATGGGCTGGTATCTGTTTATCTTCCTTGCCTCATTAGGTTCACCCTTCTCCTCATTCTCTACACTCTAGCCCACTGGACTTTTGATTGCACTTACAGAAAACCACATACTTTCCAATGCCAGTTATTTATGTATGCCATTACCTCTGCTTGGAACTACCTCATTTCAGTAGGGCTATCTCCTTGTAAATTTGGGGGGGCTCAGCTTAAATGTTCCCTTTTTAGAAACACCTAGCTAGAAGGTAAACCCCATGGTGAAAGAAACCTGTCTATTTTGGTCATTGTTGCAGTCCCAACATATAGCACACATTCAGTAAATACTTGAGGGAGGCCAGGCGCGGTGGCTCACTCCTATAATCCCAGCACTTTGGGAGGCCGAGGCGGGTGGATCAGTCGAGGTCAGGAATTCGAGACCAGCCTGACCAACATGGTGAAACCCCGTCTCTACTAAAAATAAAAAATTAGCTGTGCGTGGTGGCTCACACCTGTAGTCCCAGCTACTTGGGAAGCTGAGGTAGGAAAGTCTCTTGAACCTTGGAAGCGGAGGTTGCAGTGAGCCGATATTTTGCCACTGCACTCCAGCCTGGGTGACAGAGTGAGACTATGTCTCAAAAAAAAAAAAATTTTGAGAGAAAAAGTATGAATATTACAAGCTCTACCCAAACTGGTCTTGATTAACATAGTTTTCTTCCATTTTCAAATAGATAACTTGGTTTTCTGGCTGGTGTTCCAATCACTGATGAGTGCATTCCAGCAGCTTTCTAACTGCTTTGTCTCTACGGCTTCCTGCTTGTTAATCCATCTTACTCTCACCATCAGTTAATGAACCAGAAGTGCTGCTTTTGTTATCTTATTTTCCTGTTATAAAAACAGTAATTCTCATTCCCCATTACTACTGAAGAGTGTCCAAGCTCTTAACAGGATATAGTAGATGGACTGAATTGATGTTGCCAGCTAAAAACCTCACTGTATCCATACCCATTGCAGTGAGATTTTTGAAAATCTCTCATCATAAGGTAGAATCTACTTCTCCCTCCCTTGAATATCAGCTTGCCTTGTGCCTCAAGAGGCCTTGCAGCTGCCACTGTGTTTCAGAACCCTCTCATGAGAATGCAAGCCTGGACTAGCCTGCTGGAGGAAGAGAAATCATGAGAGGGGAGCCTCATTGTCCCAATTGAGTCTAATCTTAGATCAGCCTTGTCTGGGGGAGGGGGAGGAGTCCTCTGGCCACCCACATGTTTGATGACTCACTAGAAGGACTCCCAGGACTCAGAGTCAGTTGTGCTCATGGTTATAGGTGATCAAAGGATACAAGACAGCATCAACAAGGGAAAAAGTCACATCAGTCTGGAGGAGTTTAAGTGCAGGCTTCCAAAGCTTTGTGTCTGGTGCAGGAGGTGGATTACACAGAACACACTTTTTCTTCCAGCAATAAAATTAAGTAACACATACACAATATTTCTGACTAGGGAAGCTGACTGGAGGCTCAGAGTCCTGGGATTTTATTGCAGAAATAGGCAGAGGATGCCTATGTGATCAGCCACAATTACTGAAATTCCAGTCCAGTGTAAATCACAGTGTTTGGATAAACATTCTAGGCAAGCTGGTGTGGTAGGATTCAGTGCCGTGGGCATGCCAAACAGCCTTATCAGTTAGGTGGTAGATAGAAGGATAGAATAAAGGCCCTTTGAAGGTGGTTAAGTTTCTATACCCAGAACCTGTTCATATGTTACCTTACATGACAAAAGGGACATTGCACATATGATTACATTAAGGATCTTGAAATGGTAAGATTTTCCTGAATTATTCAGGATTAAAGTCAGCAAGGGCAAGATAAAGGAAGTAGAGCGCAGAGATCCGCTGAAGGAGGGAGAGATTTGAAAATGCTTTGGTGCTGGTTTTGAAGATAGAGGAAGTGGTCATGTCTTAGTCCTTTTGTGTTGCCATAAGGGAATAGCTGAGGCTGCGTAATTTGCAAAGAAAAGGGGTTTATTTGGCTCACAGTTCTGCCAGCTGTACAAGAAGCATGGCACCAACATCTGCTTTTGACGAAGGCCTCAAACTGCTTCCACTCATGTCAAAAGGCAAAAGGGATCCTCTGTGTGCAAAGACTGTGTGGCAAGAGAGTAAGCAAGAGAGGAAGGGAGGTGCCAGGCTCTTTTCAATAACCAGCTCTTTTAGGAACGAATAGTGTGAGAACTCACTCATTACTCCAAATCCTACACCAAGCCTTTCATGAGGGATCTGATCCTATGACCCAAACACTTCCCAGTAGGCCCCACCTCCAACATCGGGGATCAAATTCAACATGAGGTTTGGTCCAACATCCAAACCATAGTGTGTCATGGGCCAGGGAATGCAGATGGTCTTTAGAAGTTTGAAAAGGAAGAAAATGAATTATTCTCCAGAGCCTCCAGAAGGAATGCAGTCCTTCTGATCCATTTTAGACTTCTAATCTCCAGAGCCCTAATATATAAAATATTTGTGTTGTTTTAAGCTACTAAGTTTATAGTAATTTGTTATATCAGCAATAGAAAACTAATATAAATAGTAACATAGGAAGCATTCCAAAAGCAAAGGTCCTAGAAACCAGCCAAGGGTCAGCTCTATAAGCAGGTCCTTTGGAGGAGCAACATCATCAGAACTACAATATTTAACTCTTTCCTATAAAAGCCTACAGCCAGACAATCACCAAAAATGTGAGAGGGACCAGCCAAGATCAGCAGAACAGCCTGCCTGACTGCAGAAATATGAGTGAGCCCAGTCAGGACCAAAATAACTTCAATACTGTGGGAAATAATATATCATTGTGGGCAATAATAAATGCTTTTTGTTTTAAGCCACTGAGTTTTATTGCAGTTTGTTATACAGCAATATCTAACTAATACATGGAATTCAAGGCTTTTGAGTAAACATGTAAGAGCCCAATCCATATATCATATCTTATCTCTTCTTCACAAACTTTGCTTTATTTATACTGATCTATTTAATGTCATCCAAACAATCTGTGTTCCTTCCTATCACTGTCCTTTTCTCCATGTCATCCTTGTATCTCAAGGCCTTTTCCATCCACATCTCTGCCTACTATTTCAGAATGTAATTGACAAGCATTTAGCATGCAATTTTTGTGAGCATCCAAGTTTTCAAGTCTAGTCAACTGATGCCATTTGGAATTTGGTTAGGATCATGAAGTGTGTTACTAGAATTAAACAGGCTTGTAAGTCATTGCCATCTGTAAGCTCTCAAAAGAACAAATACTTCAGAAAATACTTTCTGCACAGATGAGAAACTAGAGTTTGTGAGAGAGCTGCCAAAGTAATTTTTTATATTAGTGAGAAGGAGGCTTATTGATTATTTGAGTGCTTATAGAACTCTTATTTGTTCAGTCCCAGAGCTAAGCTGTCTGGTATACTCATTGGCACTTTGATTGTTTCTGTATTTATAAATGCTAAGAGCTTATCTGGCCCAGTGTTAGGAAGCTTGTTGTATATTTCATTGCTGTCTAAGAGTTAAAGCTAGCTGCAAAGTCTTGAAACCAGCCAGTGTTCTTAGGCAAGAACCACAAGTTGTGCTGACAATCACTAAATGGCGGGGTGGCAAATGGTCTTACTGGGTTGTAAAAATGAAATGCAACAACCTGTATTCATGGAGTGCTTACTATGTACTAAGCCTTGGGCCCAGCCATGGGCATACAGAAGTAAACAACACAGAAATAAATAACCTTTTGGAATTTATAATACAGTGTAAAAATAATAAAGTCTGGAGTAAATAATTTCTGTAAGTCAGCAATGAGATACAATGAGATACACAAGCATTTAAAGACGAAAAAAAATCTGACAATCATGATGTCATCCCAAGAATATCCCAGAATTCTTTGTGTAATGTAATGTATTCATTCCTAATTTTTGTGCCAATATTTATAATAATCTCATAGTCAACAGATATTTGTTGAGTGCTAACTATATCCTAAGCACTTTGACACCAAGGGAAACATGAAAAAATTTAACATATTCCCTGCCCTTGTGACTTTGTACATTCCAGCTAAACATTAATAGCAACAAGAACAAAATATCTGGGCTGCAAAAGTGTGGTTCTTATTGCATTAAATCAATTTAATTTGTATGCCTGGGTAAATCATCAAACACACTCCTAAAAATTATGTTTTTGTTTTCTGGCCAGATTCTTTGATATAGAGATGTGTAGATTAAATGGACAGTCAGGGATAAATATGAATAAACTGCAGGAATGAAAGAGCTGACCCTGGGGCTTCTATTGATGTTTTCAGTGGACCCCCAAGTGTCTCATCTGTATAGTGAGTGTTGTGAAAAGGGAACTAGACTTGAAATCATGAGTTCTAGTTTCCACTCTGCCATGAACCAGCCACAGGGTCTTGGGCAAATCATGTAGCCATTAGTCTCCTGTAAAAACAGGAATTTTACATCAGCTGTGCTTAGCTCCAAAGATGTTTAGCCCTCTGATCTATTTTTCCATATAGGTATTGTTTATATTCCTATGTGTGGCTTAAATTTGTTAGAGAGAACCAGCTATCTAGTGATAGAACTGTCCTATAAGACAACATCTTGTGGCCCCACCAATAACTTCAGCAGCAAGAATATGAAGCAGCAAAGAGCATTTGCTTATCAGAAAAGGCTTCTTTGTATTTAGGTAGAGAGGATCTGGGGCATTAGTGCTGTAGGATCAGTGATTGTGAAAGCCTGTTTTTTCCAAGTGTTTCAGAAAGAACATGAGGCTTCAATTTCAGGATGTTAGCCTTGAGTGGAGCCAGGGTGGGTGTGGCTTTTGCAATTCTGCCCACCCACAGACCCATGGACTGAAAATAGTGCATAGGCTTGCCTTTTAGTTTTTCTTTCTTTTTTTTTTTCTCTGTTAAAGCATGGCTGTTTCTGCCTTAGCAAACCTCCAAGGATGCAGGCTTTGCAACCCTTAAAAGCCAAGGAGCAGGATAGGGAGATTTTTTAGCTTATGATTTAAAGAAGAATCCAACAAAATTTAAAAATATGGTATTATTATTAAAATGCCCCAAGCAAATATTGGTGCTTTAAGAATTTCAGGATGCTGTGGGAGGTGAGCCCATCCAATTGCTTCTCACTACGGAGTCTTGCACATAAAACCCCTGATGGCACCGAATTGATGGCTCAGTCCTTAAACCCTAGGTGGAGAATGATGAATGAGTAAGTAAATATTCATGAGGCCATCTAGGTCATCAAATTTATAAAGAACCACTAATGCATTAAAAGGCAGAGGGCACGGGTAATAGAGTGCACACTAAACTACATGCTGCTACCTGGCTGCAAAGAAACATTTGCACTTCACAGAATGGCATCTGCCCAGATGTCTCATTCTCCCTGCTCTCCTCACTCCAATTATGGCCTCCTTATTTAGAGAGCCAACTCTTTGTTTTTATGAAACGTGCATTTTTCTCACCCATGGTTGAATATCTCTTCCTTACATCTTCATAGCAAATATTTAATTCCGGTGTGATATCTCCTGTGCCCCAGCTGATTTGGGAGTCTCCAGGTATCTGTCAATGACTGCTCAGAAAGTGCAGCAAATACTTTTTTTTGAGACAGGCTCTCACTCTGTCACCCAGGCTGGAGTGCAGTGAAATGATCTCAGCTCACTGCAACCTCCGCCTCCTGGGTTCAAGTGATTCTCCCACCTCAGCCTCCGGAGTAGCTAGGACTACAGGTTTGCACCACCACACCCAGCTAATTTTTATATTTTTAGTAGTGAAAAGGTGTCACCATGTTGGCCAGGCTCATCTTGTACTCCAGACCTCAAGTGATCACCTGCCTCGGCCTCCCAAAATGCTAGGATTACAGGCAGGAGCCCCCATGCCCGGCCGCAAGTACTTTTTAATATTAGCCTGAGTAAAACACAATGTCAAGGTGAGTTTGCCCTGTGCAAAGCCTTTTAGACAGCAAGACATTAAAGTGGTGACATCAGGATGTCTAGACTCCAGAGTAAGAGGGACCAGGTGTGTGTGATAGCTCAACTATCTGCTGTTTTCTCAAATGAACGTTGCAGCATCTGTCTTTCCATCTTTAAAGTAGGAACAGAAATTCTACTTATCTCATACAGTTGTTATTAGGATTCAATGAGCTAATGCATATAAAGTTCTTAGCACGGTTTTGGGCATATGGGAAACAAAATTTACCAGCGTAGTCATACACCTTGCTTCTGGGCTTTTGAAGAAGCCAGACAACAACTCAAACTGGGTAGTCTGAGGAGGGTTTACTAAACTGTTTACCGGTGTTTACAAAGCTGTGGGCAGGGTTTTAGGTTTAAAGGTTGAGGACAAGGGATACTACAGTGCTGTAAGCTACTGACAGTATAAACACTAAAGGGGTGAGGGGAGCGAGCGATGCACAGAACCCAGAAAGGACAGAGAGGGGAGCTGTGTGGAGCAGCCACTCCCACAGGAGCTGTTGTCTTCTTGGAAGAATGCAGCCAGCTCACAGTGACCTGCAGCAGGGAGTCTCATACCCCAGGGAATAAGTCCCGCTCCTCCACTCTCCTCCTCCCTCCCTCCCTCCCTCAATTTCTGCCAGTACCTCCTTCCCGCTGAACCCAAGAAGCAGGAAATCTATTTTTGCAGTCCACGTGGGTCAACGTTCCCGGGGTCAGAGTAGAACAGAAGAGGCCAGCAGGAACTACCCAGCAGATCTAGTATTGAAATCTCACCTGTTCCAACTAACTAAAGAGACAGCTTGTCACTCTAAGCCAGAGAGAAGCCTGCACTGAGACTAGATTATGTGTAAGTGTAGCATCAGAAACAAGGGAGTTCCCTGGGGGCTCACCTCAATAAGTCAATAAGAACCACTTTTAATTGCATATAAGGAGTACTTCTAAACCAAATGAGAGTCTGAAAACAATGTTTCCTCTTAAATAGGTTATGCATTCTCTGGCTGGACACAGTGGCTCATGCCTGTAATCCCAGCACTTTGAGAAGGTGAGGCGAGTGGATCACTTGAGGTCAGGAGTTCGAGACCATCCTGGCCAACATTGCGAAACCCCGTCTCTACTAAAAATACAAAAATTAGCCAGGCATGGTAGCACATGCCTGTAATCCCAGCTACTAGGGAGGCTGAGGCAGGAGGATTGCTTGAACCCAGGAGGCAAAGGTTGCAGTGAGCTGAGATCCTGCCACTGCACTGCAGCCTCAAACTTTTGGGTTCAAGTGATTGTCCCACCTCAGCCTCCAGAGTAGTTGCGACCACAGGCATGTGCCACCACATACAGCTGGTTTTTTTTTTTTTTTAACATTTGTGGGCATGAAGTCTCACTATGTTGCCCAGGCTGGTCTTGGACTCCTGACCTAAAGCAATCCTCCAACCTCGGCCTCCCAAAGTGCTGGGATTACAGGCCTGAGAGACTGCGCCTGACTGCTTTCTCGTGTATATGATTTATTCAGGAAACACAAAGATAATACAGTGGCAAAAATTTATCCAGTGTTCTTCTGAATTCATCATAATTCTTGACACAGATGAATCCCAATCAATAAAAAATCTGTTCTGATACATTTCAAAGATTCAATCAAATGATTCTGGGATATTCAAATTCGCAATTTGTATTAGTTTTCTAAGGCTATCATACCAAAGTACCAAAAACAGAGTGACTTAAACAACAGAAATTTATTCTCTCATGGTCTTGGAGGCCAAAAGTCCAAGATTAAGATGTCATTAGAGCCATAATCTCTCTGAAAGTGCCGGGAAAAGTCTGTTCCAGATCTTTCTCCTAGCTTCTGGCAGCTCCTTGGCTTGTGGCAATATAACTCCAATCTTCACCTAGTGTTCTCTCTCTCTCTGTGTCTGTCTCAGTGCCCACATTTCCTTTTTTAAAATAGGGACACCAGTTATATTTGGTTAGAACCCACCCTAATGACCTCATTTTAGCTTGATTACCTCTGTAAAGACCCTCCTCTCTCCAAATAAGAGGGTTAAAACTCCAACATATCTTTTTTGGGGCAAGTGGGAAGAGGGGGCACAATTCGACCTAGAACAGGATTATTTGGGGCAGTGTTTCCTCCTTAGGGCAGATTGTGAGAGCCAGCAGAGGGCTCACCTCTCTGTGTCCTGCTTTCATTAACCTACAAAAGCACTACCTGCGTGGAACACGAGGCTCTAGCTGGGGAGAGCTTACTGAAACATTGGGCCCCAAGTGAGATGGCCCCATCATATCTAAGAAGCAAAGAATAAAGGCAAAATTAATATAAATCAGCCAGTTTAAAGGAAATCCAGGGTTATGCTTGAGAAAACAAAGCACCAGGCATTACAGCGGCAGCAGGAAGCAGAGCTCCTTAGGGACTTGCTGAAAGGATATCCCTCCTGTGTACTCTGGGAGGCAGATTTCCCCCAGAGCAGCCTTCAAGCACCCTCTGTGGACTGCCTGGGAGTCCACAACACATCTCAGGCCAAGCCACACACTGCCTAAGCAGCCTAGACTGTTTCAGCTCCAAATCAACTTGAACATGGTTAGCTTGCTACCTCCTCACTAGTCTCCTGCCCCTGTAATCACTGGTCAAAGATACAAGGCAACTCATCTTCTCTCCCTCTCCCTTGCTCTCCCTTTTTTCATGTCCCCCCTCCTCCCCAGTGTCTCTACCCTTTCTTCTATGCTTATCCCCTTACTGTTAAGCACCCCATTGAATTTCTCATAGGCTTTTGTCCTTGGCCCACCAACTTTTTTCTTTGTACATTTCAAGGACAACCTTATTTGGTGTCATGGTTTCAGCCACCACCTATATCCAACTTCTCCAAGCTGGTGTCAGGCAGAGCCTTGCATTTTTTTTCTGTTTAACAACTTGCCACATAAATGTTTTGTCTCCTCCACGACACCATAAGTTTCATGAAACGATCAATCATATATGTCTTGTTTGTCATTGTATTTCCTGGGTGTCGCATGTCTTGTTTGTCATTGTATATCCTGGGTGTCTCAGAATGATTAGTATGTGATTGTCACTCAATAAATATTTGCTGAACTGTACAGGACAGAATTGCTTCAAAATATTTATCCTGAGCATCCCTTCTGAGTGTCAGACGCCTACTTACACCTGCCACCTCTTGCTCCATAGGTACTCATGAGTCCAAAACTGACCAACTCTCAGTCTGGTCTGCCTATGTCTGGATTGCCCTAGTCTCCCACACTGAAAGCCTGAGAATCCATTCTTTCCTCCTCTCTCCCCCACCCTCCATATCCAATCAGTCCTTCCAAATACATCTCCTAAATCTTTCTCAAATTCTTCCTCTCTCTCCAGTCCATTCCTTCACTAGAATATAAGCTACAAGGGCAGGGATGTTAGCCTGTTTTGTTCACTGCCATATTCCCAGCGCCTAGAATAGAGCCTGTCACATAACAGGTGCTCAAAAATGTTTGTTGAATGAATGAATCCTACCAACACTCTAGTTCTATTTATATCAGTCATCTGTGCTGCATAACAAACCTCTCCCAAACTTAATGACTTAAAACAGCAGAAATTTGTTATTTCTGATGGGTGGTTCTTGGGCTGGCTTTGCCTGGGCTCACTTACATGATTGCAGTCAGAGAGCTGCCTTGGAATGGCTGGCTGAGCGGGGTGCCTCAGTTCTCCTTGGTGCCGCCTCTTACCATGACTGACTTCTTCACAGTGAGGTGGTCTCAGAGTTCCAAGAGGCAGAATGTGAAAGGTGTACAGTCTCTTAAAGCCTTGTCTTGGAAATCACATAGAGTACCATCTGCTGTGATAAAATCATGTCACAAGGCTAGGGAAGATTCAAAGGTGTGAAGAAATAGACTCAACCTCTTGAAAGAAGGAGTGGCAATGCCACATATGGCTTAAATGTACACGGATGTTAGGGCTCAGAAAATGGTACCCCAAAATGAAGGCCTCATCAGGAGCCTCAGAAGCAAAAGTTTCTCGCTGATCATCTCCTGAACTTCTGTCTCTGGCCCCTCATTTTTCCCAAAGCTACCGATACAAACTAGAAGCCCTCTCCCTCAAGATGGGTCTTAGAAACCAGAACCCCTTTTCCCCAAAGCCAGCCATAAAGACTCAGTCTATCACTTTAACCCCAGCCCTTCACCTTTCTGTGTAAAAACTGGCCATAAAAAAACTATCTGACCTACCTTGTTTGATTGCAGATCATAAGACTCCCATTCCAGAGAGGGCCCTGCCCCATACCTAGTAGGAAGGAATGCTGCACAGAGAGGCCAAGAAGAATCTAGACAGACCTTGCTGGGCTTCCCCACTCAGTCTATTAGCATTAGGTCATACCCTTTCTGTCCAATCACGTTTCTACACAGCTGTCCATACTTTGTTGAACCTAAGCATAAAAATGGAAAGTGTCCTCTGCATCTTTGGGTCTTCATTCTGAAGGTTTCTGTGTCAAGGAAAACTATGATCAAATAAATGTGTATGCCTTTTCTCCTATTCTTCTTTTGTCAGTGATTTTCAGTGAATCTTCAGAGAGTAATGGGGAAGTTTTCCCTTGGCATCTATATGGCCCTCCAAAGTTTGTATGTTGAAGCCTAATCACCAAGGTGATTGTATTGCAAGGTGGGACTTCTGGGAGGTAATTGTGTCATGAGGGCTTGTTTCTCATGGATGGGATTAGCACCCTTAAAATGGGCTTGAGGGAGTAGGTACCTTCCTCTTTCCTTCCCACTCTTCTGCCATGTGAGAGCTAAGCATTTATCCCTTTTGTCCTTTCTGCCCCTTGTATTAGGTCATTGTTTGATTGCCGTAAAGGAATACCTGAGACTGGGTTATTTATAAAGAAAAGAAGTTTAATTCACTCATGGTTCAGCAGGCTGTTCAGGAAGCATAGAGGCATCTGCTCAGCTTCTGAGGAAGCCTTGGGAAACTTACAATTATGGCAGAAGGCAAAGGGGGTGCAGGCATTTCACATGGTGAAAGCAGGAGCAAGAGAGAGATGGGAAAGGTGCCACACACCTTTAAACAACCAGATCTCATGAGAACTCACTCACTATAATGAGGACAGTACCAAGAGGATGGCAGTAAACATCATGAGAAATCCACCCCCATGATTCAATCACCTCCCACCAGGCCCCACCTCCAACATTGGGGATTGCATTTCAACATGAGATTTGGGCAGGGACACAGTTCCAAACCACATCACCCCTTTTGCCATGTGAAGATGCAGCAAGAAGACCCTCACCAGACTCCATGCCAGTGCCTTGACCTAGGGCTTCCCAACCTCCAGAACTGTGAGAAATAAATTTTTGTTTTTATAAATTACCCAGTCTTAGGTATTTTGTTCTATCAAACAAATAGACTAATACACATGGCAAAAGAATGTAAACAGGCAGACATGGTTCATTGGGAGCCATTATGATAACAACTAACCACACCATCTCTCTCCCAGGTCACTGCAGCAGCCTCAAACTGTGGAGGCTGTGCATGTTTCAAAGCCATTTCCCACATTGCTGGCAGGATGATCTTCCTGAAGCACAAATCTGACCTACTGCCATTTGCCAAAACAATATCCTTTGAATAGCAAATGATTAGCTATAATTGTAGCTCCATCTACCTTTCACTGACAGTATTTTGTTGCCATGCAGAAGGAAGTAAATAGATACATGCATCCACAGGTTAGCTCAGGTGATGACCTACAAGGATGCTTGACTCATCCATGGATGGCACAGAGACACCCTCCACAGAGTGTGGCGTCAGCAGCCTGCAATTGACTTCCAACTTGGCCACCTCCTCGTTTTGACTGTGAACTGAAATCTTACAAAAGAAGGGATGGCAAAGGAAAAACTAAACAGAAGGAAGATTTAGAAACAAAAGACAGGTGGTTTGGAAAAAGTGAAACTTATAAAAAGAGTAGTCAAGCAGAGGAATAAAACCAAGATCTTTGCTTCCTTCAGTTCTCTTTTGGTAACTAAGACTTAAAATATGAAGTCTTGAAAATTAGGGGGAATGTGCATATTCTTCATCTTTCTATTATTTTTAAATTTCAATATATGGATTTTTAAATGTTTAAACAATATGTCAGGAATTACAAATGCTTTTGCTAACAAGCTTTGTAGAGCTAAGCTGCCATTATTAGCATCTTGGGGAAGTACTTCCAGTGTGCCCACCATATGTTCCTCTGGAGTGTTTTCTGGTTTTGTTTCTGCACAAGTTGTGTTCTCAGAGCATCCTGCAAGAGATGATATAGAGAATCCCAAGACGATAGAAATGTAGAGATAGGCTAAGATGCCCCAAAATAAATCTTTGCCTGTTCTGTTTGCCCAGTACATGGTGAAAGGCTGTGAGATTGAGATGGAATGGTAGACAGAGCTCAGTTAATAGGAAAAGTTCTGGAGTATGCTGGCAGAAGTGTAATTCAGCTCAAAATGCACCTCCCTCTCCCTTCATTCACGGGCCCTACACCAGTGAAGCAGCTTGAGGTTCTTATCATTCTGACTGGAAGCTCATAGAATAACAGAGGGAAGGGTGTTAGCAGCTTAAATAAAGAATTAGCTGTAGATCCAAGACAGTAGGAAACCAGAAAATAAGAAGTATACTGGGACATCAGGATGGGCACCTGGAGCCGGGCGTCATATGTTTAAAGCCTAGTTGCTTCCTTACCTTGCCTGAACAGGTGGTGGGAGCAAGAATGCTCATGTGTTGGTTACCAAGACAAATAACCCTGAGGCTTCAGGAGTCTGGGAGTTTGAAACTTGAAGATACTAGAAGACAACAGGCATCCAAGCTCAAAATAATGAAACTGGAGTGGAAGCCTCAGACACACCTACCAGCTGACACTGCCTTCACCCTTGCTTGCAATTTGACCCTGAAAATTCAGGGAAATGGGAGTGACAGTTCACCCCTACAGGACAAGAATAGTTTTCTTTATTTTTTAAATAATATTTTTATTTATTTTATTTTTTTAGATGGAGTTTTGCTCTTGTCACCCAGGCTGGAGTGCAATAGTGCGACTCGGCTCCCTGCAACCTCTGCCTCCCAGGTTCAAGTGATTCTCCTGCTTCAGCCTCCCGAGTAGCTGGGATTACAGGCGCCTGCCACCATGCCCAGCTAATTTTTGTATTTTTAGTAGAGACAGGGTTTCACCACATTGGCCAGGCTGGTCTGAAACTCCTGACCTCAGGTGATCCACCCGCCTCAGCCTCCCAAAGTGCTGGGATTATAGGCGTGAGCCACTGCACCCAGCCAAGAATAGTTTCCTAGTGTAACCAACGACTCTTACTCTTTCTGGTTGGGTACAATGAACTCCCTGAGTGGTATCCTAAGATCCACCACCTGAGGCCCCTCATGCCTCCATTAGCAGGAAGACCAAATTTTGTCCCACCAGCTCATCTTTCATGATATTCCAGAGCCCCAGAGGGCTTCCCCCGTACAATGGGTCAGTCCTGTCACTGTTCCCTCTTAGGAAGATACCAGAAGTGTGGACATTCCATCAAAGAGACCTCTTCTCTGCTGTTGTTACCACTGCATGCTGTAACTAGAAGTCAAGCATCTCTGCGCAGTCCTGCTTACTTAAGAAAAACCCCATGTCTTCTTTAGCAACTTCAAGATTCATGTATCAGTGATTATTGGGAAGAACTGACCTCCTCCAGCTTTCCTGGAGCTGCAGCTCCTTCCTCTGTGTTTCTATAGTATGCTTTTAAGCCACACCTCTTTGGCAGCACTTTCCACATAGTCTTGTTCTTTACATTTATCTGCCCATCTTTGTGAGCGCTCAGAACATGTATAGTGCCTAGTTGGTAGAGGGGGTAAATATGGGTTGAATAAATGAATGACTGAATGCTACCTTAAGAAATATCTAGAAACCTTGCTTATATTCATACAGACCTGGAAGTGAGTAAAGGAGAAATCTGGGGAGTAAAAGCAGGCTAAAATCTTCAAGTTGCATAAAAAGCGTCAAAAGATGCTATTTAAGGCCTGGCGCAGTGGCTCACACCTGTAATCCCAGCACTTTGGGAGGCCGAGGCAGGCAGATCACTAGGTCAGGAGATCAAGACCATCCTGGCTAACATAGTGAAACCCTGTCTCTACTAAAAATACAAAAAAAAAAAAAAAAAAAAAAAAAGCCAGTCGCGGTGGCAGACGCCTGTAGTCCCAGTCTTAGCTACTGAGGAGGCTGAGGCAGGAGAATGGCCTGAACCTGGGAGGTGAAGCTTGCAGTGAACGGAGATCATGCACTCCAGCCTGGGTGACAGAGCGAGACTCCATCTCCAAAAAAAAAAAAAAAAGGTGCAATTTAATTATTACTTTGATAATTAGAAAGATATATCAGTATTTTTTAAATTAAAGATAAGTGGTTTCTTCAATCCTCTGCAGTTATTGGAAAAGGTGGCTACCATGACTATCATTTTACAAAGCAGAACCTGAGGCTCAGGTTGGTTGAGTGACTTTCCTAAGGTAACCACAGCTAGTAAGCAGTAAAGGTAGGTTCTGCACTGAGGACTACCTGCCTCCACATCTGTTTCCACTAGACCACATTGCTTCCTTCTGGCCTCTCACATAAAGTTATTGATTCATTGGCTGATTCATTCATTCATTTGCTAAGCTCCTAGCTTGGACTAGACACTGCTCTAGGCATTGGGGATAGAAAGATACATAAAGGTCATACTCTGGCAGCACAGAGGAGTAATTTATCCTGCCTGGTGGGTCAGAGAAGGGTTTACAGAACAGGGGCATCTGAGCTAGGTCTACCTCTCTTGATTAAGTCAATTATTCCCTCTTGTGGCTTAAGCTACATCCGATATGATACTGTTACTTGCAACAAGAAGAGTCCTCATACATACTGTGTGGATGTACCCATATTTATAAACTAATCTCATATTGTTGGACATTTAGGTTGTTTCCAAAATTTCAATATTATGAACAAGATTATGATGAACTTTTACATATGCATCTTTGTGTACATGTCCTGCAGGGTCAAAAGTTATGTCTTTGATTTCTGTTACCCTATTGCCTTCCTAAAAGATTTCTCAATTACTATTCCACCATCATTGTAACAGAATGCCAAGTTTTCCCAAGCAGCCTGACTTCTAGTTGCTGAGCTCTGTATTAGGATCAAGATAATTTGCATGAAACTACTTTACAAATAGTTAACTTTTTCTTCATTACAAAGCACAGCCTTTTCCTTAAGAATGGAACAAGTATCATTAAGTGCTTCCTATGTGCCGGGCATTGCACTAAGAACTATATATACATCATGCTTATTAAACTTCACAAGCCTTTGAGGAATGGACTGTTATAATCCCCATTTTACAGAAGAGAAAACTGAGGCTCATAGAATTGAACTAATTTATCCAAGGTCATATGCAGTCAGCATTTGAACTCAGGTCAGATTTCAGATCCTCACTTTTATCATTACTGGTTTAAGTTGAAATGTGGAAGTATGAAATAGTGGGGGTGTCAGATATGTACCTAGTTAACAATACTAGCAGGCAAAGTTAGATAATAGACGCTCTAAATATATAAGTATGGAAGGTAAATGTGTGCCCTTTCTAGAATGACTCAGTCCCAGCTCCATGATAGCAGCTGAAGGTGAAGAAATAAGTAACTGAGAAACAATGATATCCCAATATGTTACCCCTCAATTTCCTTTCTCCCCTCTATGCATATCCTAACTCATCACAAGCGATCCTCACTAAAGAAAGGACTAGAGATGGGGTTCATCACCTCATCCCCATCAAAATTCCTTGGTTTATAAAAACTGAAAAGATATTAAGATTCCTACTTGATTCTTAATAGTAGTTAATTATTACCTAGTTGTTTGCCCAGTAAAGACCAATTTTTCTCCTTTTTGCCCCTTGTTTTTTAAATCCAAATACCAAAAAACCCCTCATTTAATTATAAATATAATCCATTTTTATGCTACTAAAAATTCAAAATGTGAGTCATACACACCAGAGTCAAATAGTTTTCTCTCTTTCTAGCATCTATTAGGGTACTTTGAAAACTGCTCATAAGTCTTCCTCAACTACCAGCTGGTTTCCTGTCTCCTCCCAGACTGGGGCTCAGGTGACCAAGTCCCAAGGCTGTCAGTCAACACAAGAACAGCCTGACTGGGCTGTGGGCCTGTGGCTCTGAACACACCTGCCACACTCTCATGTCACTCCTGTGGGACAAAGCAGGATGTGCTGGTGGGACACTGCCCAGGTGATGTGAGACCTTGTAGCTTCCTGGTGAAGGGATCTGGGAACCATGCCAGTTTAGTGGATTTATGACTGTGGGTCAGCTTCTAAACCTCAGTTTCCTCATCTACAAAATGGTGATAAATGACATTCTCAAAACCATTGTGGGGACTTAATAATGAGATAATGATATTAAACTCTCAGCCCTGCACCTGGCACATACAGTGTTCAAACATGGCCATTGTGAGTGGCTTTACACTGGGAACCAGGAAGGACAATACATCCATCGTGACCCTGTCTTGGATGCTGGAACTGCTATGTCTTCTCTCTGTTCCCTTGGCTCTGCATGCCTCTGTCCTCCAGGAGATGAGCATAAAAACGGGGGAGCACACAGCACCTCTATTAGCAGCCTCAGTGGCATTGCTGGAGAGTCAACCACTGTCTCCTAGGTACATTCTGTCCTCAGTTGCATATTTTCAACCATTACCCCTGTTTCTGCTCATACCATATTTCCTTACAGCAAATTCTTAGTCCTCATCTCACTTGGACTCCTGCATGGTGATGGCATGAGCACTAGAGCTGCAGGATTTAAGAAACGGAGGGAAAATGATGGATTCACATTCACTTGGACATAACAGGCATCTACTTTCATCAAAGCAGAAGGTAAAAGAACATTCCTAGTCTGTTTCAAATTATTTAAAGTGACGTTCTTGTAATAGTAGAATTAATAAAATATTTGCTTATAATTTACTGATCATAAACTATGCTCTTAAATTGGTATCTCTCAAAGCATACTCCATGGAATACCTGCTCTGAAGAATGTTAACACAACGTTAAAAATCATTTCTTGCCCATAAAATGTGAGAAAAGGCTCTCCAAGCCTTGGAAATGAAAGCGTGCACTGTGAATCTCTAAAGGGAGTTACGGCATGCAATATTTTCCAAACTGGCCTTCAAGCTCTGTTTGTGAGAAACATCTCCCAGGACTCGTGTTCTTCTGAATACACTTTGGAGAATGGTTGTGAACTCAAGGAAGGTGAAACCACATTTATTGGTTGTTCTATAAAATCAAACTTGGAGGTGAGGCTGAGAATGACATCCTTGGAAACAGTCAGAGAATCTCTCTTGTTGCCATCAGGAATTGAAGACAGGGGAGAACAGTGGTCAGGGATGGGCCAGTCTGTCCAAAGGGGACAGCAGGTTTTGGAGACAAGGTGGCACATATGTAGAGAGCTCTTCTGCCCTGGCTGCTTGTCATGGATAGGAATATAATGTGTGCCCAAAAGAGACTATGGCATAGTGAGGCAGGGAGGGTGGTCTAGCACATTCCTCTCTTTAGCTTTTTGGAAATAGGGTAGAACTGTGCAAAGAAATTAAGCCAGTGTCAGTAAGTTATGAAATAAAAGACCTGATTCTGTATTTCTGCAGTAGTATACAAAAATCACAGAATTTTTAGCCACATGGAAAACAAAAACATAGAAAACCCTGAGGACTTCAGTTTGCCTCACTTAGGCTTATCACCGCTATATGCAAGTAACTTGTGCCTCTCCCTGCAGCCCCCTCAGCATTTCAGTCTTGCTCTCATTTATGTCCAGCCCATGTACTTGACTGTGGACTTTTTCTTCCCACCTCTGTGCCTCATCCCAACCTCAGATAGGATATATAATTTTGTTCAGGACTATTTCACTTCCCCGTGGCACCGAAGAAAATGACATTTTAGGCCGGGCGCGGTGTCTCATGTCTGTAATCTCAGCTACTCAGGAGGCTGAAGCAGGAGAATCGCTTGAATCCGGGAGGCGGAGGTTGCAGTGAGCCGAGATCGCGCCATTGCACTCCACCTTGAGCAAAAAGAGTGAAACTTCCGTCTAAAAAAAAAAAAAAAAGACATTTTAAAACAAAGCCTGGCTTGAACTAAAATTGACTTTATCAGATCATATCACTGAAAGGTTTAAGAGACGTTTGGTTTCGGGCACAGCTTGAGAAGGCCTCAAACAAGGTCATCGGGATCAGGGTTCTGGTCCTCATCTTTTTTTATTGTTGTTCAAGTCTCGGTCTGTTGTGCAGGCTGGAGTGCAGTGGTGCAATCTCGGCTCACTGCAACCTCCGCCTTCCAGTTCAAGTGGTTCTCCTGCCTCAGCCTCCGAAGTAGCTGGGATTACAGGTGTGTGCCACCACGCCCAGCTAATTTTTGTATTTTTAATAGAGACAGGGTTTCACCACGTTTGCCAGGCTGGTCTCGAACTCCTGACCTCGTGATCTGCCCGCCTCAGTCTCCCAGAGTGCTGGGATTACAGACGTGAGCCACTGCGCCTGGTCTCTAGTCTCAACTTTCGGCTCCACTTCCGGCCTGATGGCTTCATGCTCAGTGCCACAGCATGGCAAGATGGCTGCCGCTGCTCCTCAGTCTTCAACTCCAAGTCCAGCAGATAGAGTGGTTTCTTTCCCAGAAATCCCTGCAGTGGTCAAGTTGAATCTCATTGGCTCTGATTGGGTCCAATCACTGGGTATAGGAAATGGGTTGTTCTGATTGGTACCAGCCTAGGTCCGGGTCACATGCTCCAGCACTCCAACCAGAGCACAAGGATAAGAAGAAAATCTATGCTATTTAGTTACCAGAAAAAGATGAATGGCTGCTGGGGAGCATAAGGGAGAGATCTCCACTATACTAGACTCGATACTAGGTCATTTAGTATAGAGGATAAAGGCTCAAATGCTGCAGCTAGATTACCTGTGTTTAAATCCTGGCTATGGCCTCGTTATCTGAGTGACAAGTTCTTTGTTTGTAGAGACAGGGACTTGCTATGTTGCCCAGGCTGCACTTGAACTTCTGGACTCAAGCAATCCTACTGCTTTGGCCTCCCAAAATAGTGGGATTACAGTCATGAGCCCCCATGCCTGGCCTGAGGGATAAGTTCTATTAACCTCATGGCGCCTCAGTTTTCTTCCCTGACAAATGGAAATGATGAAACTGTTTACCCCTTAGGATTGTTGTGAGGCTTCACTGACTCCCTGTACATACACCACTTAGAAACTGTCAGGCAGTTACAATGTCATACCTTGATGTTAGCTGTTACCCAGGAGATGACTTGACTCCAAGACTTCCCTCTGAAGTATTTGCACTTGCCTTTTCTGGGTATTTCCCCCTTCTTTTTAAATTGTAAAGAAGGAGTCAGGAGGTAGAGGCTGGTAGGTTTGTGGCCCTAGGGCCTCCTTTCCTTGCTCTGCAAGGCTGGGGGTGCCATCAGCATTGCCTTATTTGATGTGGGAACTCCAGCAACTTTGAGTCAATACATGTCAATAGAGTCATCCATAAAAATGATCATCAAGGATCATTTATTAACTTCACAGATGCGTATCGAGTAAACATCTATTGGCTGCTCCTATGTGTACTTAGGGCTGAGGTTGCCAAGTTGAATGAACATGTGACTGTTCTCTAGAACCTCGTAGACTAGAGGGAAAGACAGGCATGAAAACAGGCAACTAAAATAAAAAGGATTTATTACAGAAGTGTGTACCAGATGTCAACTCTATCTAGGATGGGGAATGGGTTCATTTTATACAAAAGAAGAGGTGGTTACACGGAATCTTTAAAAAGAAAAAAAAAGTGTGGAAAGGAAAGTGCGGAAGGGAGGGGAAGTCATTCAAGGCTGAAAGATGAGCATGCGCAAAGGCAGGGCAGCGTAAAGAGTGATCTCAGGTCTCTCAGTGGGGATTAGCTTGGGTGTTTAAGTTTGTGCATAAACTTCTAAGAGGAGGTTGAAGATGGAAGGAAACTCAGAAGTGATGGAAGGTCGCACAGCTCCTTTGCAGCAGACCCAAATACAAATATACACATTCTATATGAAGCTTTGATGCCTTAGACTTCGATGAGACCATCTAGAAATTTTAACTACTTCTTTGAAAACTAACTGTCCAGTTCTTCTACTGCTTCCCCACAGACCCTCCAAAGCTCAAACCAAAGAAAGGGTAAAGAACAGGTTATTGGAAACAAGAGGTGGCAGACTGAGATCTCCAGGGTGTTTATGTGGTTGGGAGAATAAAGGGTGCAAGGGAAGATTCAGTTAATCCACAAGGTTGTATTACTGGGAGCAGTGGCTCATGCCTGCCATCCCAGCATTTTGGGAGGCCAAAGTGGGAGGATCCCTGGAGCTCAGGAGTTCAAGACCAGCCTGGACAACACAGTGAGACCTTGTCTCTACTACAAATTAAAAAAATTAGCTGGGTGTGATGGTGCGCCCCTGTAGTTCCAGCTACTCAGCAGGCTGAGCAGGGAGGATCACTGAGCCCAGGAGGTTGGGGCTGCAGTGAGCAGTGGTCATGCCACTGCACTCCAGCCTGGGTGACAGAGTGAGACCCAGTGTCCAACAACAACAGCAACAAGGAGTTATCGAGTCCTACATGGACCTCATGTCAGGCACTAGGAGGTCCCTGGATATCAGACAGCTAAAGTGAGCAGGAACATGGTCTGCTGGGTGGGCCTGTCCAGGATGGGGTAGCAGGCAGTGCCACATGCTGGCGGGTGGAAAAATGAGGGGGACTTGGCAAGGCCTATCAAAAGTGTTACAATTTTACTTACTTTTTATTTCTAGAAATTTATTTTAAGAAAATAATCATAGATAAGTACAAAGATTCATCCACAAAGATGTCGTCTTAGCATTTTTAGAACAGCAAAAAATGGAACTAACACGATGCCCAGCATGGGGATTGAGTACACAAATCACAATTGATTTATTATAAATAGCCATATAATAGATATATAGTGGATATAAAAATGTTTCAGAAGTCCTAGTATTATAAGAAAATATGTATTGCAAATCAGTGCATTCACAATCACGTAATGATACCCTACAAGTAAGTAAGTCACACTCATGCATGCACAGATGCACACACTGGGTAGGGGGAAGCTAGATGGATATAGACTGAAATGATATCAAAAGTTTTATCTGAGTGTTGGGATTTTCAGTTATTTTGTTATGTAAAATTTGTATTTCTTCCTGATAAATACCAAAATTTCTACATTTCTACTACAAATAGTTACTTCTTTTAAAATTCAGGAAATATATATTAACACACATCCTATCTTGAACCAGTCTGGTTCAAATTGGAAATCATTCAGAAATAATTTATTTCTGAAATCAAATTAGAAATCTTCACCTCTTTCCCATATTCCTTCTCTAATTCCCTGTCCCCTTGTCCTCTTTCCTTGACTTCACTCTGTGGGATGTCCGGTCACTCCCCTTCTTCTCTATTTGCAGGGGCCACCGATATGGTCCTGGAGGGCCGCCCCTCCTCACTGCAGCCTGCCTGCTCCCCTTCTGCCTCTGTGTCCAGCTGGAGCCCAATGCCTGCTGTTCACTTCTCTAACTTCTGCCTCCTCAGCTGTTCTAGGTAATCCACTTGGGTGTTGGGGGAACCTACAGAAAATAAGTGGTAGAGTCTTTAACCTCATTATTTATGTTTTTTAAAATTTATTTTTATTATTATACTTTCAGTTCTGGGGTACACATGCAGAATGATTATTTACTTTTTTTGAAAAAACAAAAACACTTATTGAGGGCTGATAGCTGCTGGGCAGTTAGGGAAACCAGATTAACAAGTGATGATGGTGGGGCTGCCCAGCCATGCCTGAGGTCAGTAAGGGAGAGGCCATGCAGAGAGGACCAGAGAGGGCTGCAGGAAGGGGCAAGCCTACCAATGAGCCTGGCAGGTGGGGAGGGTTGAGATAGGTAGAGGTGAGCTGAGGGGCACAGCATGAGCAGGCCATGCCCCGGGTGTTTGTCAGGACTGTGGTGTCTGGTCTGCTAGAGCAGAAGGTGTATGGGGAAAGATCAGAATGAAGACAGGCTCTACAGGCCTCCAAATGGTTGCAGCTGTGAAGAACTGCGGGGGGAGGGGGGGTTATCACCATGGTTCCTTTGATTACCAGCAACAGAGACCCACTCAAACCTACTTACACTCAAACCTACTCAGGTAAAGGGGATATTTACTGCAAGTCTCGTGGAATCCAGAAAGCTTTTGGCAACAAGGCCACCTTTTTCCTAATTCCACCTGACCTGGGGCCTCCCTGAGCCTCTGCTCCAGGCTCCCCTCTGCAGACCAGCCTCCTGTGCAGGCTCACCTGCTTTCCCATGGCCCCAGTCACCTTCTTATTCCGTATGACCTCCCAGCTCCCCGGCTTTCTTACTCACTGCCCCAATTCTCAGTTTCCGAGAGAAGAATCTGATTGGTCCAGTTCATCTAATGTTTCTAGGAAGGGGAGTGATTTGCTTAGGGTTTTTCTTCTTTGTTGATCATGAACTTCCCATGGAAAGAGACTGTGACTCTTTTGTTCACCATTGTATACCCCATACTTGTTACAGAGCATGGCAAATTGTCAGTCCTCAAAAGATACTTGCTGCACAATGGATAGCTCGTTTTTGGATGGATTGCGTTCATCGAGCCAGCTGCCAGCATAGGTAAGGGCGGACCTAGAAGGGCAAGGGAGGCCATGGGCACAGGGAGTTTCCTCTGCAGGCCCAGTGGTCCACATCTATGCGGATAGGGACCGTGGTCCACATCTCTAGTGGGTCTCTAGTGCCTATAAGACCATTAGAAACTCATTGAGGTGCATAGAAAATGGTTGCCATAAAGCTCAGATCTAAATTTTCAGCTTAATTTTAGCAACTAGCTTTAGCTAGTTTCCGATACAAGCACTCTAGGCCACTCCTTGACTGGCCTTCCCTTACATCTGCAATTTGATGAAATTTTCAGTTAATGATTATTTTAATGGCCCATTGTCTCTGTGTCTTTGTGAACTTCCTTATATCTTCAAAAACTTATAAATCATAAAAACAAAATTAAAAAGTTATGATTCATGAATTGGGTGAACACAGGTGGCTCAGGGTCATGAAGCCCTGCCTGGATTGACGGCCCATGAGAGTGATTTCCCTCCAGGCTCAAGAAAGAGTAGGGAGCCTCTTACCTCTCTGGGGCCTGGAAGAGAACAAGATGTTGGCTTCCTCAGCATGGAGAGGGCACTGGCCCACTCTGCAGGTCAAATCTGATGAAAACAGAGTAAACACAGGGCCTCTGATCAGACTGGTGATGGAGTAGGAGCAGGGACTCTTGGGTTTTAATACCTCTGTCTCCTGATCTTTAGAATATTCTAAAACATTCAGCTTTACTTCCAACCATTCACAGGTGGATCACTACAGGACTAGCCAGGCTTACATGAATAACGCATTGGGGTGAATTGTGTGGTTGGAGCCAGAATATTCTGGATTCGACCTTCATCTGTGCAGGTAGCTGCTGTGTCCCACAACTCACACTCCTCAACTCTGGAGCATCCCTCTCCTTCACTTTATGTCTGCCTGCATCTGGTCCCCAATCCCCACCTCCAGGCAGTTCTGTTGGTCCTGCATCCCTCTAGGACTGCATCATAGGGTCCCACTTAGAGGTTCCTTGGTATTTGGTGACACAAGAATATTGCACTGTCCCTGCAGCCTTTGGAGTCCAGGCTTGGAGAGGTGGGCGGCCCAAAGCCCTCCCATTCTCCCCTCCCCATGTCCCCCTGCCAACAGCACAGCCTGTAGATAGCTATGCTGGGCTCCCCCGTACCCACCTCTGTCCTGTTGTCTTAGCAACTAGACCAAGGAAGTTGGTTTTCTTGGTATCCAAGGTTACCCCGTGTTCAGACAAATGCTGCACACTGCATGTGCATATGGATCTACAGTTGGTTCAGCGAGAGGAGGCTCACATTGTATATGAGTTATACAGGTTTGTGTAGGTGACATGCTGAATCTGGGTCTGATTTTGAGATACCCTTTCATTTGAATAACCAGAACTCAGGGTTATAACTAGGAACATTGGGTCCTCTTTGCAATGTTTAACATGATCTCTCCCAAATCGACAGAAAGAGCTCTGCTTCTATAGGGGAAGTGGGCTCTTAAAGGAGAGGATGTGAAAGAGGGGAGGGTGGGAAGGGAGGGTGAATGTTATTTATTTTTTGTTTAGGTAAGTGGATTTATGAAAGAAAAGAACAGGGCATCTTAATACTTTAGAGTTGATAGCTCTGGGTGCTATTTCCGGGAGTCTCACAGACCTCTTCCAAGACTGTCAGGGTCGAGCTTCTAGTTCAAGGGACACACATGGCCCACTCTGTATAGTCAGATCTGATTAGAGACAGCAGGCCTTCATGCTGGGAGTTCCTTGGTGTCTCCAACCTGCTCTATCTTGCAGTCTGTAGCTGCCTGGGGCCAAGACTCTTCTCTGGCGGTCACCTGTGAGCCCAGCTCAGCAACACAGGTTCCTCAGGCCCATGGGCCCAGTCCAGTGCTGCTTATTCCCACCTTGACTCATTAACATCCTTTTGTGTTTTCTAAAGCAGTTTCATAGATATCTCATGTGACCCTGCAAAAATCCAACAAGGAGGAAGGTATTATCAGGCCCATTTTGCAAAGTGAGCAAACAGGGACTTTGGGCAGCCCACTTTTTAGCCTGGAGCATTGGCTGAGCCTAGTGACACATGCTCTGAGGCCTGGGGTCCCCCTCTTCTCATTGCCTAACCCCACAACCTGAGAATGTGGTCATGCTGAAGGTCATTTACCATCTCTTGGGAAGAAGAGTTTGCATACCCTCCTTTACTTGGTCTTCTCTCAGAGAAATTGGAATAAATTAAAACAATTCCATCGACTCTAGTAGTATAGTTTTCAATAAAAAATTCATGGCTACAGCATAACCTGGTACAAAATGTAACTGGGTTGAATTGCATTTCAGCAACAGCTACTGGATTTGCTGAGATTCGACTCTGTTACACACACAACAAACCACAGTAAAAATGGGTCATAAACACAGCTTGCATTACAGACGCAACCAGATTTTGGGCACGGCACCAGGATCTTTCTTTTCCTCCCCACTTTATCTTTGGCCAGGCTTCACGTAGCACAACCAGACCTTTGTTCTGCCGCCCACCCTGTAAAGTCAGTAGGGCTTCTTATTCTTGTGTTCTTCCTCCATCTATACAAAAGGGGCTCCCCTCCTACCCTCTAAATCAAGATCCATGCTTGAACTTGAAGGATGAAAGAGAAAATAGAATTGAGTTGCCTTTTGGGGGTTAATTAAAATTAATCCTGGATGGAATTAATGGCTTGAATGTCACAGTATTCCCCTCTCACTTTCCTTCCCCAGTGCTCTCCTTCCCCACGCCCTACTCATATTGCTGTGACACCTGGTTTCCTGATGTGCTGTTGTAGCACTAGCTTCTCAATAGCCTTTGCTCAGTGCATCCATTCTTTCCAGTCTGTACTTCCCAACTCAGTTGGTCATTTGTTCATCAGTTTAACACATTTATTGATCTTTTGCCATGGGCCAGGCATCGTGCTTGGGATGCAAAGATCCACTCATGCAATCAATCAGTCAATTAATTATCAATATTTTTTGAGCAACTATTATGTGTTCTAGGCCTCAGTTTATAGCAGAGAACAAAACAGCCTTTAGAGTGCTTATAATCCACAGGGAGAGTGGTGGAAACAAATGAATAAATTATATACCTAAATTATATACTATTAATATGTTAGTTAAGTGCCTTGAAGAAAATAAACCAGGGAAGAGAGATGGGGAGTGTTAGGTGGGGCATGGCAATTTTAAATTTTGCAGTTACGGGTGGCCTCACTGTAATGATGGCATTGAGTAAAATGCCCTGAGTGAGGGGAGGGAGTGGACATGGATATCTGAGTGTGATAATTAATGTTATATGTCAACTTGACTGGGCTAGGGGAAACCCCAATAGCTGAGGAAGCATGACTTCTGGGTGCATCTGCAAGGGTTTTTCTGGAAAGGATGATCATTAGAATCAGCAGACTGAGTGAAGAAGCTCCACCCTCATCAATGTGGGCAGGCACCATCCATGCCATTGAGGCCCCCAATAGAACAGAAAGGCAGAGGAAGGGCAAATTAGCTCTCTGCTTGAGCTGGGAAACCCATCTTTTCCCATCTTCAGACAGCAGAGCTCCTGGCTCTTGGGAGATCAGATTCTGGGACTTACACAAGTGGCTACTCTGTCTCAGGCCTTTGTCCTTGAACTGGAACTTACTCCATCAGCTCCCTTGGTTGTCAGGCCCTCAGACTTGGACTGCATCACATCACCAGGTTCCCTGGTTCTCCAGACTGCAGTTGACAGGTGGCGGGATTTCTTGGCTTCTGTAATCTCATGAACCAATTCTCATAATAAATCTCTTCTTATATATCTCTATATATCTTGTTGGTTCTATTATATTTCTCTGGAGAATCCTGACTAATACATAGGGGTAGAACCATCTGTCCAGTAAAAGGAACAGCCATGCAAAGGCCCTGAGGCTGGAGCATGCTTGGTGTGGTTTAAGACCTGCAGGGAGGCCAGTGGGTATCTTGTCTTTAAGGGGGAAAGTGGTAGGAGAGGAAATCAGAGACGTAGGGGATGGAGGCAGATGATATAGGCTTTATAGGACATGTAAAGGACTTTGGCATTGACTCTGAGTGGAATGTGAGCCATCCGGGGGTTTAGAGCAGAGGAAGGACATGATCTGCTGTGATGGAAATTGACTGGATGGAGGTCAGGAAAGGGACGAGCAGGGAGGCAGTTGAAAGGGCACTGTAGCAAAGCGTGTGAGAGACAAGGTGGGTCAGGATGGTGGTAGAGCATCAGGAACCTGGTTATGTATGTTACATAGAGGATATGTGACAGGATTTACTATAGAGCAGACATGGGACGTGAAGAAAGAAAGGAGGTATGACTCTAGGATTTTAGGCCTGCACACTGAAAAAGTAAAAATGAGACATAACACCTGCCCTCAAAGAGCTCAGAGGCTAATGATGGGGCCCTCAGGTAAAGGAAAAATTTGCTCTCATAGAAGAGGTGCCATGGTGAAAGTTTGTGCAGGATGCCAGGGAGGAATCTGGGTAGCAGAGGAGGGGCCATGAGTTGAGTCTTGAAGGAGGAGTAAGGAATTGCCAGGCTGGCAAGGCTGGGGAGGATGTTGCAGACTGAGAACCCAAGGAACGAAATGGGGAGTCAGTCAGCAAGCCTGGCAAGAGAGGAAGTAGCCACTGGTGAGTTTGAAAGCCAATGTGGCTTCAGTGTTGCCAGACTCACCAAATAGCCACTCCCAACCCTCTCTCCTCTGACATCTTACCATGGCTGGAAAAGCTAACTCCACATTTTCTGCATCTTCTTTGCAGAGAGGAGTGACCATGTGACACAGTTCTAGACAAAGACAGTAAACTTATATGTACCTGGGGTTTGCAGCAGAAATGTGCTTTGCTCTCTGTGTTAGTCTGTTCTCATGCTGCTAATAAATACATACCTGAGACTGGGTAATTTATAAAGAAAAAGAGATTTAATGGATTCACAATCATGGTGGAAGGCAAAGGAGGAGCAAAGTCATGTTTTACATGGCAGCGGGTGAGACAGCGAGCATGTGCAGGGAAACTCCCCTTTATTAAACCATCAGATCTCATGAGACATATTCACTATCATGAGAACTGCATGGAAAAGACCCACTGCCATGATTCAATTACCTCCCACCAGGTCCCTCCCATGATATGTGGGAATTATGGGAGCTGTAATTCAAGATTTGGGTGGGGACACAGCCAAACCATATCACTCTCCTACTGAAGGAACCATCATTGTTGCCAGGCAGGAACTCTTCATCTTGCTTGGAATACACACATAATGTGGAGTTGCAACCAACACCTTGCAGCCCTGAGGTGGTAACCCACAGCTAAGGAACAGGATGTGGAAAATTAGGATGAGAAAGAGTCTTTGATGAGGGTGAGCTGCTGCTCCAGCTCTGAGTGCCTACTTGTAGACTTCTTGTTATGTGAAATAATTAAATGTCCGCTTGCTTAAGCCTCTGTTAGTTGGATGTTTTGTAAGTGCCCAAAGAAGAGCCAAGAATGGCTCTGACTTGTGGGCAGTTGGGAGACACAGAAGGGTTTTGGGAATGCCATGATCTGATTTTTACTTTAGCAAGATTTTTTGGGCAGTGGTGTGGAGACAGTTTGGAGATGGGAGGCAGGAGGCCCAGGTGGAGGCTGCTACTCCCCTCCAGCAGAGCTCAAGGTGGGCCCTGCCAGAGTGGGGCAGCAGTAGGCCCTTTCCACCACCCACTACCTTGCCTGCTCCTCAGGCCTCCAGCTCTGACCTTCTCCTTCCCACAGCTCCTCCTTTGGTGCTGGGCTTTCCATCAGCCTCCCTCAGGGGCCTCCAAGGGCAGCTGATGTAGCAGGCAGCCTTGCTTGCCTTTCCTTTGGCCTCTGAGACTCATGACTTCCCGGAATTCTGGCCATATCCATCCACATCAGCAACTGGAGGACTATGTGGGTTGGTAGGCCCTTCTCAGGGGCTAAAGGTCCTGATTTTAGACCAGGCCCTGCCTTTATTATGCTGAGGAGCCTTGGACAAATTGCTTTAACTTCTGCAGGCCCTGATTCCTTTCCTCTGAAGTCAGGAGTGTAGAAACAGGTCTCTTTCTGCTCTAACATTCTGCAATCCTGGGACCCCTGCCCTACCCAGGAATCAGAGGCACCACTGTTAACACAGTGGGCTGGTGGTATCTCCTGGAAGCAAACTGCTCCCAGACGGTTTCCTCCACTTGATGCCATGGTGCCTGAAAACCCACCATTGGTTAGTTCATTTTTTTGAGTCCTGAAGACCTTCAGATTTCCTATACTTTCCTACTGTGCATATACCTCTGGAGAGGACGCACTTTAATCTCTTTCTACTTCTTGGTAGAGAGAAAGAAAAGGGAGTGACTTAACAAGAATTTATAACAATTGCCTGTTGTGCCGACTAAGAATCCCTAAGTCTAGCTGGGAAGGTGACTGCATCCACTTTTAAACACGGGGCTTGCAACTTAGCTCACACCCCACCAACCAGGTAGTAAAGAGAACTCCCTAATATGCTAATTAGGCAAAAACAGGAGGTAAAGAAATAGCCAATCATCTATCACCTGAGAGCATAGTGGGAGGGACAGTGATTGGGATATAAACCCAGGCATTCGAGCTGGCAATGGCTACCCTCTTTGGGTTCCCTCCCTTTGTATGGGAGCTCTGTTTTCACTCTATTAAATCTTGCAACTGCAAAAAAAAAAAAAAAAAAAATTATGCCTACTGTGGGAAGAACATAGAGGCAAGATGTGGAGGGGGCATTAACTGGAAAAGTCCAGAACTAGACCACCTCATTTAGAAAACCACTGTCACTGAGTCATCCTCACATTTGGCCTTCTTTCCATTAGCCCCTGGGCCACCCACAAGCCTTCCCAGCTCACACCTTCATGGGTTCTTTTGTTTATTTTTCTTTGAGACAGAGTCTCGCTCTGTCACCCAGGCTGGAGTACAGTGGTGCAATCTTGGCTCACTGCAACCTCCATCTCCCGGGTTCAAGTGATTTTCCTGCCTTAGCCTCCTGAGTAGCTGGGACTACACGCATGCACCACCACACCTGGCTAATTTTTGTATTTTTAATAGAGATGAGGTTTTGCCATATTGACCAGGCTGGTCTTGAACTCCTGACCTCAAGTGATCCACCTGCCTCGGCTTCTCAAAGTGTTGGATTATAGGCGTGAGCCACCATGCCCGGCCCATCTTCACTGGTTCTTAACCTATCTTCTTATCATGACCTCCCTCCCTACTGCCCTCTCCCCACCTTAGATAAACGTTCAGGTGACAATGCTCTCATTTCTTTTCAAGGCCTTGGAAGCCTTGGCCAAACATTTATATTTGTTAAGAGGGAGGTTACATGAGATGCTGGAGAATTTTTCTCTAAAGAATTCCATCCCCTAATGCACATACTCCCTAGGCCTCCCGGATGCATCAGTTGTGTCATGTGACAGCATGGACTGGGGTAGACCATGGAAGAGCCAGCTGAGGTTTCAGTTCCCAGTGGAGCCTCTGAATGCAAGAGAAGAACAGCTAAGAATATGGAGGACCCTGAGTGCCCGAAGCTGGGGGAGTCTTCAGCTTGGGTGCCTCTTCCACACCTGCCCTAAGTACTGTCTTTATTTATGGGGAGGCAGGAAAAGGGGCAAGAAGAAATTCTCATCATTGCCCTTGCCCACTGTAGAGGCTTCTGTGTTGCATAACAAATGACCACAAACTTAGCAGCTTTAAACGACACCCATTCATCATCTTGGAATTTCTGTAGACCAGAAGTCCTGGCATGGCACAGCTAGGTTTTCTGCTTAGAGCTGAGATCAAGGGGTCAGCTGGGGCTGTGGTCTCATCTGGGGCTCTAGGTCCTCTTCCCAGCTCGCTCAGGTTATTGGCAGAGTTTACTTCTTCCAGTTTTCCTGCTGGCTGTCAGCGGAGTGGCTGTCAGCTCCTAGAGGCCTCCCTCCAGTCTGAGCCTGTGGCCCTCGTAGGCAGTTCACAGCATGACAGTGTGCTCCCTTCTTTGAGGCCATCAGGACAAATCCCTCTCTCCAGTGGGCTAAGATGGAGTCATGTATAACATAAAGTAATCCCAGGAGTGACTCTCTCGGCATATTCCCAAGTCCCATTCACATCAGGGGAGGGGATGACACGGGGCATGTCCACAGGGAGGGGGTGGGCGGGGGAGTCGGGGGAGATGGGAATGTTGGAGCCATCCCTTGATCCTGACCACCCTCCCAATGTCCCCTGTTCCCCTTCTCTCCCATCTGCTCTCCACACCCTTTGGGATTTAGTCTCTAGGTACATCTTACCTCTAGGAAAATGTAAGTCATATTCTAGAATGGGAATTTTATTGTCAAAAGGGAATTTGAACTGAATCAAAAGAATTTGAACAGAACTGAGCCTCCCTCTTTGGCTAATCTGAAGTGCACCTGATTTGTTTACCGAAATAGAGGACTCACTATGTTGTAACCAGTGCTACTAAATGCTTTATGTACATGATTTTATTTAATTTCCTGGACATCTCTATGAGAGGAGCATTGGCGGCCCCATTTTACAAATGAGGAATCTGAGATTCAAAATGGACTCACTTAGGCTCACAAAGGTAACTACAGAGGAGGCAGGTTTGTCCAAAGGCGCTGCTCTTCACTGGTGCCCATCTTACCTCTGGCTATGACATCATCTTGGGGTGGGCAGGGTGTGGAATGAGGAACAACACAGCCACCTCTCAGAACGACATTCCTCCATTGCATTAAATAGGAAACCACTGTCTTCTGAAACTATCTGTGTCTGGTGCACCAGCCAGCCCCTTTGGCTCTCTCTTCACAGCGAATGATGCCTGATATTTTCAAATCAGCTTTCAGTCATCTTCATTAGAAACACAACTTTGAATCAAAGAATAATTTTAAACCTCAGAAGTAAGAAAGAAAAGACTGTGCGTGGGTTAAACCTGAGGTGGAGCTTCTAGCATTTAGGACTTGCAAAAATTTTGGATAGGAATCAGTGGAGCATGAAACAGCAACACTGATGGGCTCTAAGCAAAGCACGCACCTTCCCTGGGTGATCTCCCAGGACTTTGCATGGGCCAGTGGCGGCCTGGCCTAGGTTCTTCAGAATCGAGCTCTTGATCTGCTGCTGCCAGGATTGTGTCCAAGGCTTACAAAGGAGGCAAGAAGTTGCTGGCATAAAATGGCCACACTGCTTTGTTTTAGAATCTTTGTCAACTTGTGTGGACTGAGAAAACACCCTAAAAGCCTGTTGGACATGTCAAGGGAAGTCACTTAACACCATGGTAAAAACATAGGCTTTAGCCCAAGTCTTGTGTTTAAACACCTGCTTTGCCATTTGATAGGTGTTTGACTCAGGACATTTTTTAATCCTCTCCAAGTCTCAGTTTCCTTATCTGTAAGTTGGGGGTATGAACACCTACCTCTGGGAGGATTCAAATGAGATATTAAATCCCTTAGTAGATAGTAAAGCCCCTGCCCACAGGACGCATGTGACAGAGACACTGCTGTCGTGTTGCATTTGCAGCTGTGCTCTCCTGCTCGACACTGTCTGCCACATTCCAGCAGAGGTGCCTCCATCAGCCAGGCAAGAAATGCCACATCTTCTAAGAAGTCTTCTTTTAGGAGAGGCTCCTAACCGTGCCTGGGATGCCAGGGAAGCTTCTAGGGTGAGAAGATGTTTCAGAGCGACACTGATGGAGGCACAGGAGTTGGCAAAAGAGGAGAAAGTGGGAAGGTGCTCCGGAAAGGGGGAGTGAGAAAGGGGGCGTTGCCAGGGCTCTGCAGTTTGTTTTTGCTGGAAATGAAGCCTCTTATGTTTTCCCTGCCCTGATGTCTAGAGGAACGCATGTAGGAGTTTAAAACATGTGAAGTGTCGCCATCTGTATCGCTTAGAGATGTAAGTGTTTTGAAAAGTTTGTATGTAAATGTGAGTGAGACAGACACACACACACACACACAGAGTTAAACACAATTACTTTAAGGCAACACTCTCCAAAAGTTCAATGATGCCTCCAGTTTTAGGAATCAGAACCTATTTTATAGACCGCGACTGAGAGCAGGACGCCCTCTGCTTCTTCGGTGCAGGCGCCCCTGAGAACAATACTTCCACTGCATTTTCCCAAGTGGCAAACCTTGTAGTTGAAGATCCAGGTACTGCGGTGAGCACATTACTGCGTTATGTCAGATGCGTTATTATCTTTATCCATCTTCCCTTAACTCATCTGCCTGCAGTTTCATTTCATGTAGACACAGAATGTTTGACAGGAAGACTGATGAAGTAGCAGCCCCTTCTGCGTAACTTGGCAACCGACCGGGGTTTCTGCTTGTTTGTTTGTTGCTCGTCTTGTTTTTGTTTGTTTGTTTTGTTTTGGTAGAGACAGGATCTCACTATGTTGCCCACGCTGATCTGGGACTCCTGGCCCTAAGTGATCCTTCCATCTTGGCCTTCCAAAGTGTTGGGATTATAGGCATGAGCCATTGTGCCCAGCCTTGTTGTTATTTTTGAAGCCTGAATGGAGGCTCTTTGTACCCTCCAACTTGTGACCTGGAAGGGACACAGAGCAAAGAACTGTCCTCACTGGCCAAGGGGGACAGAGTGCTTACAGCTTTGGGTCATTACAGCTGTTCCTTGCCAGCTCTTTGATTTCATCTCCCTATCGTTTTCTGCTTTGTTTGCATCCTTTCTCTTTCAAACTATGCCACATCGTGACACCATCTGAAAACAAAAGTATCTTCCCCCAGATCTCTTGAAAAAAGAAGGAAAAGAAAGAAATAGGTAGAAAGTTAACCCAGTGGAGACTAGGGCAGTGTCACTGTTCTTGGACCTCCAGATACTACAGTTCTGTAGGCAAAGACTGCAGCAAAAGAAATCACACACCAGCTTACTCGGCAGCCAGATCAGACTGGGTGGAGATTGCAGGCTGTCCCAGCAGGGTCAGGCCTACAGCTGACCAGCTCCACCTGCCTGCTTCTCTCTTCCAATATGCCATTCTGAAGCTTGGGTTCCTCTGCATTTTCATCCTCTTTGCCTTGCAGTCTGCTGTTCACATGCAGGGGTTACTATGGTAATAGGAAAACCCTGTCGTGTTAACAATTTTTTACGGAGAGAGTTTAGGCAGAAGCATCAAACTGGTGTGTTTATCTTTTTATGGGGATAGAAGCCTGTGTTCTGAGTTTCCAAGGGAGTCAGAGGAGTTCTGGTCTACCCACAACTGTCCAAACCACCTGGAAATGGGTCATTGCCTGGGCCACTGGGTGGGGATGGACTGCCAGCCCTGGGTGAATCAGAAACGTCTTTGCCAGGAGCAAGGAACAAATAGTCCTGGCCTTCATTCCTTTCAGATATGGTAAGACAAGGTGTGCTGATCACCTCTGCACTGAGAAATCTGCCAAGTGAGTAAATGAACACATGGCTTTGTTCTCTGTTTATTCTCTCTGTTCTCTTTTCTCCTTTAAGAGTTGTGTTGAAAATGGGATCTAATTAAACCTAAGAGCTTCTGTACAGCAAAAGAAACTATCAACAGAGTACACAGACAACCTACAGAATAGAAGAAAATATTCACAAACTATGCATCTGACAAAGGCCTAATGTTCACAATCTATAAGGAACGTAAACAAATCAACAAGGAAAAAACAAATAACCCCATAAAAAAGTGGGCAAAGGACATGAACAAACACTTCTCAAAAGAAGATGTATAAGTGGTCAACAAAGATATGAAAAAATGCTCATCATAGCTAATCATCGGAGAAATGCAAATCAAAATGGCAATGAGATGCTAGCTCACACCAGTCAGTATGGCTTTCATTGAAAAGTCAAGAAATAACATATGCTGGCAGGGCTGTGGAGAAAAGGGAACGCCTACATACTGTTAGTGGAAATGTAAATTAGTTCAGCCACTGTGGAAAACAATTTGGAGATTTCTCAAAGAACTAAAAATAGAACTACAGTTCGACCCAGCAGTCCTATTACTGGGTATGTACCGAGAGGAAAATAAATCGTTGTACCAAAAAGACACCGGCACCCACGTGTTCATCACAGCACTATTCACCATAACAAAGACATGGCATCCATCCGGATGCCCACCAACAGTGGACTGAATAAATAAAATGTGGCACATATACATCATGGAATACCATGCAGCCATTAAAAAGAATGAAATTATGTCCTTTGCTGGAACATGCATGCAGCTGGAGGCCATTATCCTAAGCGAACTAACTTAGGAACGGAAACCAAATATCACATATTCTTACTTATAAGTGGGAACTAAAACATTGAGTACTTGTGGACATAAAGATGGCAAAAATAGACACTGGGATGACTAGGGGGAGGAGGGAGGAAGGGAGGGGGGCAAGGGTTGAAAAACCAGCTGTCAGGTACTAAGCTCAGTACCTGGTGATGGAATCATTCATAGCCCAAGCCTCAGCATCATGTAATATGCCCATGTAACAAATCTGCACAGGTATCCCCTGAATCTAAAATAAAAGTTAAAAAAAAGTTGTGTCGAGTGGGTATGTAGACTGGACTGTGAGCTTCCTGAGAGCAGGGCTGAAGCTTACTTGTTTTTTGTCCCCTCTTCCCCTGCTCCCCATTGGGTACCAATTATAGACCTGTGGATGCTCCATAAATGCTTGTATTGACTTGACCTGACTAGTTGGTAACCCACAGCAATGGAGAAACAGAGAGACAGATTACATCAGTGGTTTGAAAGAAGGAAGGTACAGGGGAAGCCTTCTCTGGGGAGATCTATCAGGGCAGAGTTCCTGAATGACAGGAGCTGTGGGACGTCATGAGTCTTAAGACATCTCTATACTGGGGCTGGGAAAGTGGCACCTACCTCCTTTCTCAGATAGCCCAGAGCAACAGGTGACATGGAGTGTTCCAGATGACTATGGTGGAACACATTTACGTGGCTCATGACATGACCCACTGGCACATTCTATCTGTCCTCCAACCTCCCCTGTTTCTTCCATCTTTTAAAGACTAATTATCTCTTCCTTTGCTCTGCAGCATAAGTGATAAGGAGGTAACAGCTGTTCACACTGGCATTGTACAGAAATCATAGTCTCATAGAACATAAGCATTGCCGTGTGCCAAAGATCATCTGGAACAGTGAGTGATTCACAGTCTTTCTTTCCCCCGTGCAACACTCTAAAGGGTTGAGCCACCTTCCTATCAGCAGAAAGAGCCTTCTACAGTGGTGATCTGGACTGCGGTGGGGTAGGGTGGGGAGTGTCACATGGGGATCTCAGGGGGTCGTGATGGTAGCTGTCAGGTTTGTTTTCTGTCATCTAGAGGGCATAGCCCTGGGAGAAGGGGACATAGGACAGGTACATTGTGATAAAAGTGATTAGGAATAGCCTGGAGCACACAATGGGTAGTCCTGCCCTCTCTGTATCCCACAGTTCTGATACTCCCTTCTCTATGCTCCTTCTTAAGTTGAAAATCACTGATCAAGTTAACTTAATTTTTCAGACGTGGAAAGCCAGAGAGACCCAAAGAAGGGAGGCAGCCAGAAACACAGAGTAAAAGACAATGCTGTGTGTTAAACCCAGGTCCCACAACTCCTGGTCAAGATCAGCAGAGCATAGAACTCTCTGAAAAGGACAAACATGCTTTCTGCAGAAGAGCAAAGGATATTGATGTACTCATTTGTTAGTTTAAAATGAAAGAAGAAGGAGGGGGCCAGGGAGTTCTTGAAAAGCAGCTGAAGAAGTCAGGGACACCTGGACATCAGCTAGAGGCATGGAAGGGCAGGGGCTGGTGTTTGGAGGCAGGAGAAAATCCTGCTTTACCTGAGACTGCAGGCTGCTTTCCAGGCTGGACTGCGATGGCAGAGGTGGTGGGGGCCAGGGGCTGTGGGTGGAGATGCGCTGGAGCTGGGGCGTGCGGGATCTCAAGCCCACCGTGTGCATCCAACTCCGTATTCAGCAAGGCTGTGTCAGTCACGCACCAGCTCTGTCACACACCAGCTAAGTGACTTTGGCAAGCTGCCTAATCTCTTTATGCTTCAATTTCTTCATTTGTAAAAATGAAGATGGTAATGAAAGTACTTATCTGGCAGGTTACTATAAGGATTAAACAAGTTAATGTGTGTAGTTAGAAGAGTGTCAAGTAGAAAGTAATCAACTATATTAACCATTATAATTGTGTTTATTACCTTGGCTTGCTTATGGGTCCCCAGAAAGCCAAAGAAAGAATCTCAGGGTTGTTATACAATGTGAGCAGCTACTAGAGAGAAGATTTAACAAGGTAAATCATGGTTTAAGCCAGAACCACCAGATCCTGTCATGGGCGGATTAGTGAAGGACTCAGTGGTGAGGCCCCGGATGTACCTGCCAAGCTGGGCGTCAAACACTTTCCATTCATTTTCTCCAAGTCCCCCCTGCTTTTGGTGCCTTCCTCCCACCTCCCAGGGGTCTGCTCACATCACACTCCCTGGCGGTGAGTGTAACCCTCCTATTCCATGGGGGACAGCTCCCCCAGGCAGGGAGACTTGTGTTTTCAACTTTTCTGGGATATGCCATGAGACCTTCCCTGTGTTCAGGGCTCTGTGCCCTGCTAAGTGACACATAGCTGCTTTGATAAACAAACTCTAAACATTCATGGGATACTGTTTTCTATCAGAGTAGCCCTCATAACCATCTCAGGAAATGGTCATAATTTTTAAAATCAGTATTCCAGGGACATGGATGTTTCACTCATTAAGGAAAACGAATTCCTAGTCACAGTACATTATCCTGCGGCTTTCCAGGAATGATGTCGACCACTCTCACAGTTCCTTCTAACACCCAATAAATCCAAAATACTGCTCTTCATGACTGTCTATAAGTCCCAAAGATACTTCCAATTCTACTGTCCCAAACCGACTGCATCATCTTATCTTCAAGATCAGCTTCTTTTGTGTTCATTGTCCCAGGTGATGGCAACCCCTTCCCCCAATTACTTAAGCCTGAAATAGAAAATTAATTCCTTTAAAAATGTATATTTGTTTTAGGATAGGTTCTTGCTATGTTGCCCACGCTGGTCTCAAATTCCTGGGCTCAAAGAACCCTCCCACCTCTGCCTCCCAAAGTGCTGGTATTATAGGCGTGAGCCACTGCACCTGCCCTTCTTGATTCCTCCCTTTCCCTTCACCCCTTGCCACGATTTAGTCAAACCAGTCTATGGAATTTAGGGTGACCAATCATCCCAGTTTTCCTGGGACTGAGGAATTTCCCAGGATGTGGGACTTTCAGTGCAAAAGTCAGGAAAGTCCTGGGGAAACAGCGATGAGTTAGTCACCGCAGATGAACTTCACCTCCATTTCTTGACTCCATCTCCTCCATCTGCAGCCTACCTTGCTAGTTCAGGTTCTTTCTGGCACTTACCTGGACCACTGCAGTGGCCTCCTAATATATGTTGAAGCCCCCAGCCTTGCCCCCTCAAATTTACCCTCCAAACAGCTAGCAGAGCCATCTTTGGAGAAGGCACTCTGAGAAGGTCACTTCACTTCTTGGCTGCCCTCTGACCCCCTTGGCTTCTCAGTGGCTCCCGACAGCCTACAAGACAGAGCTAAGATCTCTACCTGGCACACAGTGGCCCTGTGATCTGGCCCCTCTGGCTACCAATCTGGACTCTCAACAACCTACTGGCACCTTTCCATACCAGTAAAACAAGCTGGCCTCTAGTATCTTCCATGCTCTCCTTCCAAAGTACACAGGCCCTTGACTTTGTATCTTTACCCCTGTTATTGTCTTAATTAGGACCCTCACAGAAGCAGAGCTGAGACAAAGATTTGGATGCAAACAGTTCATTTGAGGGGTGATCCTAGAGGCAGGTATAAGAGAGTGGGGACCGTGAGACAGGGAGGAGGAACAGCCAATCTGTGTGTGCATGGTCACTGCTGGAGGACAGGGTGAGGGATTCCACCAAGCCCTCAGAAGCAGACACAATGCCTCCAAATGATGGGAGGCTGGAGTGGTTATCTGCCAGCTCCTATCCCCTTTCACTGAGAGATGCCTCTGGATGTAACCTCCCCCAGCTTGCAGGCCTTGCTTGCAAGAAGCCCTAGAGGCAGAAATCAGAAGGCTGCATGGTGTAACCTGAGGTGGGTGCTGCACTGTTGGGTCTGAGCCCATCGTGGCTGAGGCTGAAGTCTGAAGCAGACCAAAGGGAGCTGCCTCTGCCTGGAATGACCTTCCTCATTTTTTCTGGCCTGAGTTGCAGGCAGGATCCAGGTTTGTTCCCATTCAACTTTAAGACACCCTGAATTATCATCTCCTCCCAGAATTCCTGCCCAAAAGACTTACTACCAAAGCAGGAGCTGTACCCCTAGTACCTAGGACCATTATAGAGCTGGGTCCTGGCTTTCCCTCTGTGGCCACAAATCCCCAAACTCATGTTGATCCAATCCAGGGCCTCAAAGCTGAGGCTTTATTTTAATTGTCACTTAAGTAGTGTTTATTATGTTGCTGGGTACTAGTCTAAGCACCTTACAAATTTCAACTCATTTAATTCTTAGAAAAACCCTATAGGCTAAGTATGATTATTTTCTCTCTGTTTTACTGTTGAGGAAATTAAAACACCAAGAGGTTTAGTAACTTGCCCAAGGTCACACAGCTAATAGTGTCAGAGCTAGGACGCAAACCCAGGCACGTGGCTCGGAATCCCAGCTCTTCCTCTCCACACACGGCTGCTCAGCTAGAGAGGGCTCCCTGGATACAGAACAAGAAGGAGCAGGAGTCTTAGAGGAGTGTATTGGCTTGCTAGGGCTGTTGTAAAAAAGTACTACAAACTGATGACATCAACAACAGACATTTTGGGGCTGGCAATCCGAGATCCAGGTGTCAGCAGGGGTGGTTTCTTCCAAGGGTGCTGAGAGAGAAACTGCTCCAGCCTCTCTGCCAACTTCTGGTAGCCTCTGGCACCCTTGGCTTGTAGATGGAATTCTCTGTGTCTTCACATCATCTCCCCTCTGTATATAGCTGCAACTGTGTCCTAATTTCCCTCTTTTTTAGGACACCAGTCATATTAGATTTGGGTCCATGCTAATGACCTTATCTTAACTCTATCATCTACAAATATCCTATTTCCAAATAAGGTCACATTCACAGGTACCTATAGGAGTTAGGACTTCAACATCTTTTTGGCAGGCTAATTCGAATCATAACAAGGGGTCTGCTCTGGGCTTCCACACCCCCCGCTCTTAGTAATGGGCAGAGAGCTTGAGCACTTGTGCTCCAGGACACGCCAATGCATGAACGGGACACTCAGGGCATCTCACAGTTTGATCAGGCTTGTAGCCTTCATGGTACATATATTAGTCCATTCTCATGCTGCTATAAGTACATACCCAAGACTAGGTCATTTATAAAGGAAAGAGGTTTAATGGACTCACAGTTCCTCGTGGCTGGGGAAGCCTCACAATCATGACAGAAGGCAAAGGAGGAGCAGAGGCACATCTTACGTGGTGGCAAGCAAGAGAGCATGTGGAGGGGAACTGCCCTTGATAAAACCATTAGATCTCATGAGACTTATTCACTGTCATGAGAACAGCATGGGAAACTACCCCTCCCCCAACACACACACCATGATTTAATTACCCACCACTGGGTCCTTCCATGACATGTGGGGAAGATGGGAGCTACAATTCATGATATTTGGGTGAGGACACAGACAAACTGTATCAGTACATCTCACAACACCTAGAATCCAGACACCAAGGATGATGCACAACATTTCCCTGTTTTCCCCACCAATTCACCCTTAAGTCTATGTAGAATCAGCCCTGCTGAACATCCTTGAGTTTCTTTTCTCTCTGTGCTCTCTCCTTCCCTCTCCCTTGACATCCCCTAAGCTTTTCCTGCCATAGGAGCTGGATTGCTCCTCTTAGAGTGACATAAATCAAGGTCATGGACATAATGTTCTAGGCAAAATTCTGGGAGGAAGGTGATTCTTAAGCATTTCTGTAGCCAGACGGTGTTATGCAGCATCTGCATCTCTCAGAACTTGCGGGGGTGCTCTGGTCAACTTCCTCTGCCAGTCTCTGCCTCTGAGCCTGATATTGATAATTTCTGCCCTCACTCCCAGCCCAATCTCTGAAATCTCTGCCTACCCACAGGTAGACCAGAAGTACTAGGAAACTCACAGCCTTAGAAGCAGTCCTCAGGGTTGGCGTACAAATACCCCAGCTCACTCCTGCTTGGATGGGATAATTCTGAGTTGAGTATTTTACACCATTTCTCAGTTTCCTACAGGTTTAAGTAGGTTTACTGGCTGCCTGGCCTTCCCCGTGCCACCTCCCCACTTGTATTCCCTGCAATTTTTGAATAAATTACTCACACTCAAATCTTTACCTTCAAATCTACTTTTGGGAAAACTGAAACTCAAACAGCAACCATAGGAGAAGCTCCAGGCCTTTCAGATTCCTGAGTGGAGTTTCTAGCTCAGCACTGCTCCCAAAGAACTGTCTATGATCATAGAAATATCCTAGATCTGTGCTGTCCATAGCCACTAGCCACAGGGACTGCCAAGCCCTTGAAATGTGGCTAGTGTGACTGACAAGCTGAATTTTAAATTTTAACTAACTTTAGTTCATTTCTATTTAAATAGCCACTTGTGGTTTGTGATTGCTGTATCAGAGAGCACATGTCTGAAGGACAATTACACCTTTCTTCTTGTCCATGCTTTGTAGCAGAATTAAAAAGTGATTTTGGCTGGGCATGGTGGCTCACACCTGTAATCCCAGCACTTTGGGAGGCCGAGGTGGGCAGATCACCTGAGGTCAGGAGTTCGAGATCAGCCTGGCCAACACGGTGAAATGCCATCTTTACTAAAAATACACACACATACACGAGATTTGATTTGTAAATACCATAGGTTGGGGGCTGATAAGGAGAAAAGTTGGGGGAGGGTGGGCAGGGAACGCTGGGTTTTGACAATTCCTATTTCACCTGTTTCTCTTGAAGAAAGTTGTGCTTTTGAAGGATCAGGATTTCACTTAAGGCAGATGCTGCCCACAAAAGAATCCCACTGGTAGCACTAAAAAATGACAGGCTTATCTGCACTAAAGGCAAGGCTTGTGCCACTTAGAAGGCTTGAAGTTCTTGTAATTACTTCAAATAAAACCACTCCAGTGTTCTCTTGGTAAAACCCTTCAAAATCCAAGCTAACTGAGTGCCTCTTCTTTCTCTTTTAGCCATATGTTCTTAGAGACAATGTTTTCCATGACCTTGAGTTTATTAGGTTTTCAAGAGAGGTTGAGAGTAGAGTCCTTCAGAGAATGTTAAACACATTTTCCTAGGAGGAAACGCTCTCTAAGAACCATTTGTAGTGCAGAGAAAGAAATCAAAATCTTTTCTGCATAAAGGGTGAAGCCAGGCTGTCCACGTGTACTTAGGACCCTTGAAATTACGAAGAGTTTCACGTTGAGAACGGTCATGTCTCCCTTGCTGCTGGGACACAAAGGATGCAGTGTGGTGACTGGGCAAGTGCCTGGGCTTTGGGGTCACCCTGACCAGGGACTTGATGCCTGATTCTTCCCCTATGTGACTATGAGACTTTGGGCTGGTTTCTTAATCTTTCCTTATCTGTAAAGTGGGCATAATAATAGTACCTGCCTCATAGCATTGGTGTGAAGATGAAATGAAGCAATGCACGTAAAAGGTCAGCACATTGCCTGGCATTTAGAAAACACTTAATCAGTGCTATTATCTTTACCATTGTCATGAGACAGACTCAAGTTCAAATCCCAACTCAGTCACTTATTGATTGTGTGAACTTGGCCAAGTTGCTTAACCTCTGTGTCTCAATTTCTTCACTTTTAAAATGGAGATTAAAATCTACCTTGAAGGATTTTAAGGAAGAAAGGTTATTTGTAGGCAGTACTTGGCATGCAAAAGGTATAACTTAATAATTATTATTATATCTTTTTCTCCTTGTAGTGACAGGCATGTGGTAGGAATGTAACATACTTTGGCTGGATTATTTTTCTCTATGCTGAAAGATATTAATATCAGGCCTCTTTGCAGTTACTTCAGTGGACTACTAAAATTACTTCTTAGTGGACTCTGAAATTTGTATAGTGTTTTATACTTTATCAAGATATGCCAGGGATATCCTCTCTTTTGACTTCTTGCATTTACTCACTGTAGTCAGGGATAAGCTCTATGTTTTATATGTTAATTTCAGTCATGCTTTTGTGCATATTAAAGTCCATTTCAGGGATGAGGAGGCTAGGAACAGGAAGAAGCTCACAGTAACTGAGAACTTTGTACCCTGCACTGTGCCCAGATTTACCCATACTATCTCATTTTGTCTCCATAGCAATCCTTTGCTATTCCTCGAATAGGCTATTATTATATCCATTTCACAGGTAGGAAAACTGAAGCAAAGAGAGGTTCAACACATCATCCAAGATGACACAAGGTGGAGCCAACTTTCAAAGCCAGGCTGTCTCCCTCTGGAGCCCTAGTTCTTCCTCACTCTGCTATCTTGCCACACCATGGCTTTTTTGGCTTTTTTTCTTCTCCCTCAAGGACCTCTGCTTTGGTGAATTCTTGCCAAAATGAACCTCAGAGACATACATCTAAGGACCTTGCGTGCACCAAAGAGGGTGGGTGGAGGGGGCAGAGCTTCCTGGGGGTCCACTCTAGGGCCTGCAGGAGGCCTGACCTTGGGCAGACAGCCCTAGCCTCAGCTCTTCTTATAGCTCCCCTGCTCTTTCCTCTTCTTGAACTGCTGGGTGCCAGCATCAGTTCAGCTCTTTCCCCCCACCCTCTGCTCAAGGCCTAGGAGGACAGCAGCTGTCCCTACTTGCTGCACTGTGGGGAGGCGCCTGTGCTCACTGCTCTGCTGTTGAAGAGCTCAGTGAAGCATATGATGTGACTGTGGATATCCAACTGCTTTAGCTGACATCTTGGTAAGTGGCTTCCCACTCCAGTTCCGTGGAGGCCTTTCCCCGTTCTGATGTAGACCCGTGGGGTGAAGACTGGTGGGTCAGTGGGCATGCGGGGTGTGCTGGCATGTATGCCGCAGGGGGTCCAAGCAAGTTTGCTAGGTAGGTCTCATTTCTCCCTCTCGTTCTCTGTTTCTCTGTCCAGCAAACTGGATGGATGTTATTTCACAGACACAAAAGTGTTACAAAATCCAGCCCCCCTCCTTTGTTTTTTAAGCAAGATGGCGTCTCCTTTTCAGGCTTGCTGTGGTGGGCTGAGCCGTAACCTTACATGGGCGGATCCAGGCTTCATTTCACATAATTCACATTCTTGGCTTCCTGAGTCACTGTCATCATCTAACCTTTCCTGACAGCCAGGAGTGTGTGGGCGTGGATGGACAGGGAATCAGATAAGCCCCATCCATCTGTGCACACATCTGCTCGGGACCCCTTTACCTGATTCTAGAGAAAGCCTTTCACATTTAAAATAACGTGACTAAAAAATTCTTGTGTGAATTTCTTAATCCCTTGCTGGAGTCAGTGGACATTTTTGGACCAGGAGACATATGGCTGCCAAGAAAGGCTGAATCAGAAGGCAGGCAGCATCTCTTTAAATCCAAAACCTCTTTAACTGTTGAGTAGAAAATCAGAGTTCAGCATAGTGGCAGATTGTCAAGTTGTTCTCACAGTGAGAATCGTTATCCAAACCTAGTCTTATTCTGCATGCTTTCCTATTTATTCTCTTTAATCTCATGTCTTCTGAGACAGATTCCTCTTCTGCAGTAGACCCAGCCTTATCAAAACAGGAAGCAACTGTGGAAGCTTTCTCTGGGAAAGTAATCCCTGAGTGGCAGATGACTTCCAGGCTTACATTTTACCCCTTTCTCATCTGCCACATGCCCACTCCCTACATCTCCATCCCCTGGTTTGTGTAGAAAGCCATAATAAAGGACAATCCCTGGGAGCTCTTCCAGGGGTCTGCAGTGAGGATGAAGCTGAGGGCGTGTGTTACAGTCCACAGTGGTCACTTGGTGAGGCTCATCTGTGCTTGTCAGGAACTGGCTGGCTTCTATCCCAGGGACCTTGTAAGCTGTCTAACTCGGGCACACTCTCAAAGGCCCAGGGCACAATGCAGGCAACAGGTAAGGCACGTGGAGAAGTGGGGAGCACAGGTAAGGTTTAGAGGGGCAGCTACTTTCGCCTGTCAGGTGGGAAAGAGGCCTAGTGCTGCTGCATCTTCTGATTTTTTTTAAACAAGAGAAGCCAGATGGTCAGGCATCATGGCTGTCTGTAATCCCAGCACTTTGGGGGCCGAGGTGGGCAGATCACCTGAGGTCAGGAGTTTGAGACCAGCCTGGCCAACATGGTGAAATCCTGTCTCTACTAAAAATACAAAAAATTAGCTGGGTGTGGTGGTGCATGCCTGTAATCCCAGCTACTCGGGAGGCTGAGGCAGGAGAATTGCTTGAACCCGGGAGGCGGAGGTTGCAGTGAGCAGAGATTGTGCCACTGCACTCCAGCCTGAGCAAAAGAATGGGAGTCCCTCTCAAAAAAACAAAAAAGCCAGAAATACATATTTTTAAAAAAATATAAAATATTCCAATTTTTTAAAGGCTGACAGCCAACCAATAACAAACAGACAATACTGCAAAAACCCAAATGGAATATATCTGGGGGCTGCATTTGGCCCACAAGTCACCCATTTGCAACCTCTGGAAAAGCCTTCCTGAATTGACGCCTAAAGCCATGTTTGTGGTCTCCCCTTAGCAAACTTAGAGGATGCATGGGGTGTATTTTTGATACTTGATCATATTTCAGGGTTCATTTTATGTAGCCTTGTGTTTCCTTTGCTTCTTCATCATCATTTAATTCTATTAAATGTTATCTCATCCAACTGCATGTATCACCAAAGATGCCTTTTTGGAATAAGAAAGATAAATGAATTTCTTAACTGCAACATACTTGACCTCCCTGTTCTCCCAGGTCCCCACACTGGGCTAGTCTTTAGCTGAGTGCTGATGAGTCTAAGACGATCATGGTAATTCCTTCCCAGGGATTGGTTTTGGCATGCTCATGTGACACAACTCTAACCAATGACATGTAAGAGAAAGTATGGGGGAGGAGTGTACGTTGGAAAAGTTTTTTTAATGAAAAAGCTCTTGGACTCTTTAAACCATTGTGAGTCCCAGAGCTGACAGCCCTGGGACTTCCTCCTTCTCCTGGTTAAGTGAGATAACTAGTTTTTCTTATTATTCAAGCGACTTTTATTCAGGTTTTTCTGTTTGTAGCCAAAGCATCTGAGTTGATATAAAAAGGAAATTTCTAGGTCGTTAGCCATGCTCAGCTCACAAGATCAGATAATTTACCTATTCAGAGGGGATAGGCTGACTGCTCCTCAAGGGCCACCCTATTGAGAAGACCAAACTGTAGATTTCCATCTCTGCTGCTATTGCGGGTGGGTTGCGGGAGGCTGCAGGCACATTCCCTCCATAGCATTTACTGATTGCCTGCGTGAAGAATCCTTAATTCCAGTAAGCATGGTGAATGTGAGCAGAAGGAACTAGGTGTATTTTTAAGGACAGCCTCATGGAGTTCTAGAGATGAAAGCTGAAGGAATTTTCCTGAAAAGGACTGGGTAAGTGCATTTTCTTCTCACAACTAGTTAGAGTTCCTAAACTGTTAGGATGATGCCAGGTTTTGTTGATTTTTTTTTCTTTTCTTTTTTCTTTTTTGAGATGGAGTTTCACTTTTGTCGTCCAGGCTGGAGTACAGTGGCATGATCTTGGCTCACTGCAACCTCTGTCTCCTGAGTTCAAGCCATTCTCCTGCCTCAGCCTCCCAAGTAGTGGGGATTACAGGTGTGTGCCACCACACCCAACAAATGTTTCTATTTTTAGTAGAGACGGGATTTCACCACGTTGGCCAGGCTGATCTTGAACTCCTGACCTTGAGGGATCCGCCTGCCTCTGCCTCCCAAAGTGCTGGGATTATAGGCGTGAGCCACTGCACCCAGCCGATTTTTTTTCTTATATCAAATATTTGAACCATGTTTAGCTCTCACTTTTCTGCAATAAGCTACGAAATGTGATTTGTGACACCTAGAGATGCACCAAGGGCTCAATAACCCACGAGCCCCCCTAAATGCATGGATAGGACCAGCCTGAGGCAAAGCTGTGATATGGGCCCTCCCATCCCACAGTGTCAGTGGACCCAGATGGGTCACCCTCTGGTCTGGGAGTCCTCTCCCTACCTCTGGAAGAAATGTTGGGTTTCTTCCAACATTTGCCATTTCCTGAGCCCATCAAAGCTACAGAAAGTCCTGCTAGTAATAAAGAGGATGGTGATAGTAGTATGAGCCACAGCAGTAGTAGTAAAGCCTAACCACACCGAGACCTTGTATGTGTTAGACACTTTAAGTACTCTATCTATAGTAACTCATTTAACTCACAAAAACCTGGAAGGTAAGTTATCCTCATTTGACAGATGAGAGAGCTGGAGCCAAAGTCACATAGCTAGTTGGTGGCAAAGTTGGGATTCAAAGCCAGGCAGTCTCATTCTGGGCCTTGTGCCAGATGAATGTGCCACTGTCCTCTCAAGTGTTAAGTGATTACTCCTGGGGATGGGGAGAGGGGTAGGGGGACTTTTTAAACATTTTTAAACATGCACTAATTTTAGCTGACTTAAAAATGTTAGACATGACAGCCAGCACACACTCTTGGAAGTTCGTGTCTAGAGACTGCACCTTAACATCTGCTATGATAGCACTCATAGCCCATCTTCCCACATGGCTTCTGAAAAACCACTACCATTGTTTCCATTGATGAGACCCAGGAAGAGAGGAAATCGAGGATGGATTTTATGGTTACAGTTTGGGGGCCTTTATGTGGTTCCTGGACAACCTTGGCTAGAACACCCCCGGCTTTAGGGGGATGGTAGTGGAGAATTAGTCAAGTAAAGACATATGAAATCTGGAATTATGCAATTTCTAATTCTTGGGCAGGGTGTTTATCTTGGCTCTTAGACTGCAGAGTTCATAACTCAAGAGTACAGCTACTGATATATTTTTACAAAGTGATTATCTGATTTTCTTGGTTTCGATGTCTTTCATCAGTTAGGTGTCAATGGCTACCTATGCTCTGGTTACTATGGTTGCATAACAATTACCTCCCCCCGCATCCCCATTCCCAAACATAGTGGCATAAAACAGCCATGTATTAGGCTCACACATTCTGTGGGTCAGGAATTTGATCAGGGCAGAGGAATTCTATGGAGCAGAGACAAGAGGATGGCTGGCTTGACTCTACTCCACAGTGTCTGGGGCCTCAGCTGAAAGCCCTGAAGACTGCAGGCTAGAATCTTCTGAAGGTTTGTCCATTCACATGTCTGGTGGTGGATGCTGGCTGTTGGCTGAGGTCATCAGTCCCTCCCCATGTGGCCTCTCCACTTGGACTTGTTTGGACTTTGTCGCTGCATGTTGGCTGGAAAGCGAGCACTGGGAGGGCTTGGAGGGGGAGGAGAGGTGGAAAGCAATGCAAGCAGTGGATGGAGGCTCTGACCTTTTTGGGATCTAGCCTCTGAAGTCACAGAGCATCAGTCACTTCCACCATTCTTCAGTGACTTGAGCAGCCATAGGCTTGTCCCTAGATTCAAGTGGAGGAAAAACAGATGCCACCTCTCAGTGGGTGGGCACCAGTCACATTATAGGAAGAGCTTGTGGAATGAAATAGTAATCTCCATCTTTGGAAAATGCAATCTACCCCTCATAGGATGGTGGCATCAGTGGCAATAATGGCAGCAGCTGCAGAATAAGCCTTAACTGTGCTTCCCACATGTACCAGAGAGACCCCCCACCCCCTCCATTATAGTTTAGAAAAGACTCCTCACGCTAGTTTCGACAGTTACCTACCCTATATCCCATTCCATACAGCCTTGTTTGGAGCCAGTTAATTGGAGAAACTCATCTCTGTTAATGGGTGCTAATGGGTTACTCATCCCATGAGGCCTAACTATAGGTAATGGGGATCTGCCTTCTGGAGACAGGATTACTTATCCTAGGTGACTTAACAATGGCCCTAGAAGAAGGGAGTGGGTACAAATGGCTCTCTTTTGGTGCCACTCAGCTCACATTGTGTGGGCAGACACCTGGCTCCAAACTGCAAGCCAGGATCCATATGACAGCTCAATTAATGCAAGATTGCTGGGTGCAGCTATCCACTACAAGATAAGCTTAGATGAGTCATTTATTTCCTGGTTCAAAAATGTCCCTTTTGACCTGGAAAACTGATGTTAAAAAATTGTGTTTAACTGGTAGAACTAAAATGATTTTTATTCTCTGCTTTTCTCTATTTTCTAATTTTTTCATGAGTAATATTATCCTTACAATACAAGTAAAATAATTGTTTTTTAAAATTTTTCATCAGGAAGGAAAGCAGGAGAGAGACCTGGGCCCTGACCTTCCTTCGTCACCATCAGCTTGTGACATCTTCTCAGGCCAGCCCTAGCCAACTCTGTGACTGTTTCCACAGGTGTCGATGTTGGCATCATGTCTAACTTCTGCTGCTTCCCAAGGTCGCCATGATCATCTCATTAGTGAGCAGATGTAAAGTATTTGTAAAAAGGCATCATACAAAAACAAAGTTCATTGTTATTCATCCTTTTCCTTCCCAAATACACTAGACTTCTTTAAAACATTAAAGCAAAGTGAGGCCAAGCTGTTTACTTGTTTAACCTAATATGAAGGGCCACTGCAAAGCCTGAGGCTCAAAGGTAAGATTCACAGCCAGGTGCAGTGCCTCCCGCCTGTAATCCCAGCACTTTGGGAGGCCAAGGCAGGAGGATTACTTGAGGCCAGGAGTTCGAGACTAGCCTGGGCAACATAGTGAGACCCTGTCTCTACAAAAATAAAAAAAATTAGCCAGGCATGGTGGTGAGCGCCTGTAGTTTCCAGCTACTCAGGAGGCAGAGGTGGGAGGATCACTTGAGCCCAAGAATTTAAGGTTGCAGTGAGCCATGATTGCACCACTGCATTCTAGCCTGGTGACAGAGTGAGACCTCATCTCAAAAAAGGTAGGATTCACAACATGTTTTGAAATCCTACAGAGTTCCTGAAGACACACACACACACACACACACACACACACACACACACACACTAGATGTGATATGTGGTTAATGGAAAAATAGCATCAGAGACACCGCATTCATTAACAGAAATGAATTTCGTTTGGCATTTTCTTCTTTGGTCTTCTTGATATCTATCTTATAGCTACATGCAGCACCTGTGGGCTGATAAATAATGTAGTCAAAGAATTCTGCAAATCCAGAAAGGTCACTGTTTATACATCATCTGTCTGTCAAGTAAAATTCTTGGTTCAAAGCAAAAAAGCAAGTTTATTTTGGGAATTGGTAACTTGGAATAACAGCTGCAAAAAGAAATGAGAAATAAAGACCCATCACTTAATTCTTTTTCTAAATATTCATCTGAAGCCAAATTTCATCAAATTTGATTGGTTTTAAGGAGAAAAATCTTGCCAGATGGAAACATGAAGATTGGAAAAGCAACAGAACTTGGATTTCAGAACTGTGGGGGATTTATAGAAGCATTTGTTAACAACTGAGGATATGCACAGCCTGGGTGGGTGTCAGCTCAACTGTGTGACCTGGTGTCCCCAGCCCAGCCATCCTTGTCTGCACAGCTGAGGAGGTTAATGATGATGGAGAGACTTAGGGGTACTCCCCGCACTCTCTCCTGAGATCCCAGAGCAATCCTGATTGTGGCCGTAAATATTTATGTAGAACCATCGCTTCTCGCCTCCAAGCTGGGAATGACTTCGCATTGAACTTCAGCCCTGCCTGCCCCAGATTGACCGTGGCTTCCTGAATCTTACATTGCAGCAGCTCCTTCCTGCCCACTTTCTCCCTGTGCTATCAGGGTGACCTGCAGCAAATGTTCTCACACAGAATCCTCAAACAACCTCCAGCACAAGGCAGGTGATACCCTCGTTCTCCCATGGGGAAACTCCAGCCTAGAGGTCAGGGGACTTGACAAAAGCACACATGAATGGTAGAGCCAAGCCTGCCTGTCTGCAAATTCCTACTTTTGGTCTCTCTGCTGCCCTTTCAGCCCTGCCCCCAGGCTTCAGTTTGGGAGGCCCCTCATCTGCACCTCACCCCCAGTGCCTCTGTCCTCACCTGTGCAGTGCTGGTTTGCAGGTTAACACCTGCAGGCTCCTCTGGGGCACATTACTCTTGCTTGCTGTGTTCTGTGGCCACCACACTACCTTGGTTCTGGGGCTTGGCCGTTTTGAGGGTAGAATCTCTGAATGTCAGGGAATTCAGTCTTGAAAAATTTCCGCTTTGCTGGTAAAAGGAACGCCTCCATTCTTTTCTCAGCTCAAGCAAACGTAGATCACTGTCAGGGAACACAGTATCAGCAATTTCCCCTTCTCTTCAGAGCATGGGACTGGACTGGAGATCCCATCTTTGGCTTCAATATTAATATCCAGGGAGTTACCACTTCCTTTCTAAACAAGGGATGCTGCCTTTGGAGGATGGTGCCCTGATCTTGGAAGAGCCAGGTTACCCACGTTTACAGGGACTCTGTCAAATGAAAAGGTGAAGACCTCAGGCACAGAAAAGCTCCTGCTCCAGGCTACACTGATCTTTCCTAACCTCCTCAAACACAGCAGTCCTGGAGGGAAGCTAAGCAAAGACAGGCCTGCCTCATAGTTTTTTTCAAACCCATTCGTTTGATTTGGTTTTGATTAGAGTAGGCTAGTCAACAATGAGCAAAGCCTTTCACAAAAGCCAAAAACATACGGAAATTCCAAATTGGTGTTTAAAATTCAAAATTTGGCCCAAGAATCTTACTCTACAAGAAAGAAATCTGCATTTGTATATTCTTTCTCAGTTACTCGAGAACAGACTTCCGTATATTCTAATCAAAGGCCTTGGGTCCCAGAGGCTGTGTTGGTCTGGTTCCTGACAGCCCTTGAATTCCAGCTTCTAATCTTTTGCAGATCTCACTATGTGCAGACTAAACTAGAGATGTCTTCAAAGGCAGCTCTCTAGACTTGTATGTGCTGGCTGTTTTCTGGGCTCAAGTTCATGCCATGATTGTCTGACCCATCTTCCCTGGAGAGGCAGATTTCTTCCATTCCAGTCTTTAATCATTATCTGTGTTAGGCTTGACCAACCTTTCTGAAGGACAATTGATTTTAAATAGTAGTCACAGGCTTAAGTATAGTCTACAAAGCAGATTTTTATTACACTGTAGTGAAAGGGCACACATAAAAGTGCATGTGAATCACAGAAGGCAGGCGAGAGAAGGGGGTCAGCTCAGGACAGGAAGAGAATAAATTTGTCCACAAATTACATAATCCACAAATTACATAATACATTAGCAAGTAACACATTCGATCCCAAACTCTCAGGGAGAAAAAAGTAATTCGTTTTCATGTTCCCTTGTTTTATTTTTTCTTCTTAAATATTGAAAATGAGTTGTGATGAAAAGTCAAATGGCTTTAAACCCATGATCAATATCCATACTTGGAGACAATATTAAAACAAGCGATTTTAAAACCAGACAATATTAAAACAAGACAATGTTAAAACAAGAATGACTATTCTCCATTTCATTTCTCCTGTGATACTGTGACTGTAACTGCCATTGCTAACTAAAACATTTGGGTTGGCTTTCTCACATTTTAAAGCTCTTCTTATTTCTTTTGTCACCCCAACAACTCTGTGACTCCCATTTCAATGATCCCTGCTCCAGAGATGAGTAAACTCATTAGTTTATCACTATGCAGAGAGAGGGGTCTGAAATCAGCACTATGTGATGTGGATACTGACTGGGATTTGCAGATCGATGCCCCCTACATTTCTATCCTCAGATCCTGTAGAAAATAACTAGCTCACAATGCACATGGCAGTCATCAAATTCTGTTGTGGATGCCTGTTGCTACATAACAAACTACCCCCAAATTTAGAGGACTAACACTACAATCACTTTCTTCTGTCTCAGTTTTATAGATCAGGAATTTAGGGAGGACTTGGCTGCAGCCTGTGATATAGATAGGGAACATTCAGTGGCTATCAGCTGGCAGCTGGTCTGTCTGGAGGGTCAGGCCACACACACACCTGGTGCCTTGGTAGGGACAGCTGGAAGGCAATGCTCAGCTGAGCCCTTCTTCTTCTCCCAGGAGAGCCTCTCCATGTTGTCTCTCCAGCAAAGCAGTTGAGCTTCTTTCATGGAGGGCTCCCAGAGCCCGTGCTCTGAGCAACAGGAAATGAAAGTTTCCTGACTCTTAAAGCCTGGACCTGATCGAAACACTCACAGAACCTGCCTAGATTTAAGGTGAATGGCAAATTTATATAATGTCTGCACAGCTTCATATAAACAGGGAAGGTCCAAAACTGATACCATTTGATGATGACTACATAGCTATTTGTGAATGGAGGCTCACAGTTTTGAGAAAGTTCCATATTCAAGGGAGAAAAGAGCAGCAATGTTATCTCATCTGAGGCCCCAAATTCCTACTTTCCATTGAATGACTAGCCCTGGATTTCCCAGAGCACAGTGTATGCGACTGTCAACTGTCCACACCCAGGAAGATCTAAAAAGAAGAGACAGTTCTGAGGTGATTTGTGAGGCCTAGATTTCCAACAGCTCTTTCTTCCCCTGTGGTAGGCAGGCTGGTGGTGGAGGCAGGGGGAAGAATGCTACTGTTGCATGACACACTACCCCAAAACTCAGAGGCTTAGACTTCATTCCCTAAACTTAGGAATATTACCATATTTAGCAAAAGGGGCTTTGCAGATGTGATTAAGTGAAGGATTTTGAGATGGAGAGATAACCCTGGATCATTGGGCATACCCAATGTAGTCACAAGGGCCCGTGTAATAGGGAGGCAGGAGAACAGAGTGGGTAGCAGGAGATGAGAGGCGGGGAGCAAGAGGTCTGAGTGAGAGGAGGAAGAGGCCAGGAGCCAAGGAACATGGGCAGCCTCTAGAAACTGGGAGGCAAAGAACAGAGTCTTCACTGGAGCCTCCAGAAGGAACTGCTGACACCTTGGTTTTAGCCCCGTGAGACTCACTACAGACTTCTGACTTCCAGAACTGTAAGATTAAAAGTGCGTGTGGCTTGAAGTCACTAACTTTTATGGTAATTTGTTACAGCAACAACAGGAAACCAATTTACTCTCCTAAAACACCGTGAATAAGTTACCTATATAGCATCTCATGGAATTTATATTGCACAGGGGTTGACCTAATAAAGTGCAACAGAGCCTCTTCCGCCCAGAGATAAACTAGGATTCCGCATCCCACCTCCGGCTAAATCCCCGTGAACACATGGTTCGATTTTTGTTCATCCTGCCTTTGTAAGTGAACGGCTTCCAGGGAAAAGAGTTAAAAGTAACCAGGAGTTAAAGGCCATCTTCTAATGACTGAGGGAGCTAGTAACAGTGAATTTTGCTTTTTTTAAACTTCTAAACTTGAAAGAGTGGTTTAACTAGGGAGGTCTCTTTTAAGGACAAGGCCACTAAACCTCGAGTAGATTTCTTTCTTTGCTTTTCTTAGAGGTGGGGTCTTGCTATGTTGCCCAGGCTGGAGTGCAGTGGCTATTCACAAGCACAATCACAACGCACCGCAGCCTTGAACTCCTGGCCCAAGTGATCCTCCCACTGCAGCCTTCCAAGTAGCTGGGGCTACAGGCACGCACTACCACTCCCAGTATGAATGGGTTTCTTAAGAGTTATCCAGATAATTCAGACTTAACGTCTCATATTAGAGAATAAAACTCAACTAATATCTTTTTTGACAGGGAAATAATGTAAAAATGTTTACATTATTACACACTACAATAATAATGTACTAATGTTTATCTACTTTTGTCAAGTACTTTCACAGACCACTCTCCATGAATGTTAAGCATCATGACAAGTAAGCTTGTCTTCCTTATAAGAGAGACTGGGAAGTGGAGACTCAGAAAAATTCAGCAACTCAGGGAACTCCCATACTAAGTTGTGAAGGGACTGATCTTGGATTTGAGTCTAAGCCTGAGTTCCAAGTGCCTCCCCTTAAACCTCTCAGGTCAAGACCAAAGGCAAATGTTCCTACCAAGCTCCCTGCTCCTCACCCAGCAAGAAGGGTTTAGATAACTGAAGAGGGTTAAATCAAAAATCAGTAAGACATTTGCCTATATCAGACACCAACCTGACCTCAGTTTAAAAGAAGTGTCCTTTGAAGGCCAGGTGCAGTGGCTCACGCCTGTAATCCCAGCACTTTGGGAGGCGGAGGAGGGTGGATCACCTGAGGTCAGGAGTTCGAGACCAGCCTGACAAACATGGTGAAACTCTGTCTCTACTAAAAATACAAAAATTAGCTGGGCGTGGTGGCAGGTTCCTGTAATCCCAGCTACTTGGGAGGCTGAGGCAGGAGAATGGCTTAAACCCAGGAGGCGGAGGTTGCAGTGAGCCAAGATCATGCCATTGCACTCCAGCATGGGTGACAAGAGTGAAACTCCATCTCAAACAAAACAAAACAAAAGGAACGGGCCTTTGGGACACACGGGACATATGAATATAAGCTAATATGATGGTAGATGGGAAAGGCACGATGGTGAAAAAAAAAAGCCCTTATCAGTTAAAGACATTCTTCTCATGTATTTATGGGTAAAATGACAAGTTTGAAACTCTCTAGTCCCATTTCCCAAAGTGATGAAGAGAGATGATGTAAGATTGGCAGCCTGTTGATACATTTCGAAGTTGGGTGATGGAGCGTGTGGGTTTTACTTTAGTATTCATTCTCCCTCTGTGTGTGTTTTAGATTTTTCATGATTAAAAGTAAAGAAGAAGTGCCGGGCATGGTGGCTCACTCCTGTAATCTCAGCACTTTGGGAGGCTGAGGCAGGCGGATCACCTGAGGTCGGGAGTTGGAGACCAACCTGACCAACATGGAGAAACCCCGCCTCTACTAAAAATACAAAAATTAGCTGGGCGTGGTGGCGCATGCTTGTAATCCCAGCTACTTGGAAGGCTGAGGCAGGAGAATCACTTGAACCTGGGAGGTGGAGGTTGTGGTGAGCCGAGATTGCCCTCTAGCCTGGGCTACGAGAGTGAAACTCCATCTAAAAAAAAAAAAAAAAAAAAAAAAAAAAGGAAGAGAGAGAACTGTGACCTCGGGTACCAGGACAAATACCAAGGAGATCTCACTAGAGAGGGTTCTCTCTCCTTAGCATGTCTGTCCTTGGTCTAGATCCTCAGACTGGCCTCCGTGAGCATTTCTGAGTCTGAGAGCAAACTGCCTGCAAGCACTGCCTGAGGAGGACGATGTGACCAGCTGCCCTGGTGAGCATTTCAGATGAGGAAAGACCATTTCCAGCTTGCTTGAAAGAGAAACAAGGAAATGCTCAGGGGACAGCCAAGCTGCATCTATCACCACCTCTCATTCTGGCACCCAAGGAGATGGGACCCAGGTGCCCCGAGAAAGACTGACAGAACAAGGCGTGGGAGCTGAAGGCCGAGGGCTGGAATCCATCGGGCTCTGAGATCATGGCTCTACTCCCTCATCAGCTTCAGAATCCAAGACCTCCCTTTCCTTTAAGATTCTTGATAAATGCCAGAGCAGAAATGGGAGAGGCAGGAAGTTCAGGTTCAAGGTCAGAAGAGGTGGTGGTGTGGGATTAGCAGCTCCTGGCCAGTCACCTGAATTTATCTGGAGAGAAAAACAGGGTTGCTCCCTTTCCTAACATGGCAGGATAGTAGGACAGCCCTTGCTCCCCAGGGGCCCCTGGAAATGAATTCCAGTGGGCCTAGGAGAGGGAAGTGGCCATGTTTCCCTCCACTCTTCAGAGAAGTAAGACAATTCGCCAGCCTAGAGCACTGTCAGAGCATAGGGTGATTCCTAGTTTGCTGGCTGATCTCTGCTGCCCAGCTGGATTGTTTTTCACTCAGCAACAGAGTCCCAGGCACTGTTTTGCTCTTCTGAATAGCAGAAACACTTTTCATGCAGCTACAGGATAATTTCCTAACAAGTGCATGATTTCCTGCTTAGATACTTAGAGTGAATAGCTCTCAACCCTGACCGCACATTCAGGTCACCCAGGACAGTTAAAAGCCCCCAGAGCCCGGAAATCACCCCTGATCAGTTAGGTCAGCATTCCTTGGGTGGGCCTCGGACACCAGGGTTAGAAAAGTTCCCCAGGTGATTCTAATGTGCGCCGAAGGTTGGAACCAGCTGTTTAGAATCATTCAGGCCTCTGCTGACATGTCACCTCCCGCAAAAATGCTTTCCCCAACCAGCCAGTTTCAAAGAGCCTGCTTATTTTTTTTCTGCTAACAGATATTACATGACAGAGTTATTTGTGTGTTTGTGTTGTCTGACTGCTCAATTAGAAAGTTCTGCATGGGCAGGGGCATCAGTGAACCATCTGTGTTGTTTGCCACCGTATCCCGGTACCCAGAACTGAGCCGGCAGAGAGGAAGCACGGTCTGAATCGTGGCTGAGCAAATGAATACATGACCAAGAGGCGGTTTTTATTCATTTTATGATCCATTCACAGGCTTGTGGTGGATGAATAATGTTTGTAAGATTGCAGGAGAGTGTGTCAGAATGGAGACTGTCCCTAACTCCAGGCTCTGGGGGGAGAGCACCCACCCTTCTGTTATGGGGTTGTAAAATCCCTCAAAAATCACACTAGATCGCCCCGCAGAGTGCGGTCCACAGCGCCATCTGCTGCTCAAAACATAGAACTGGGTTTATTTGTCTAAGATCTGGAAGGGGTGCTTCAAAGAGTCTCCCCTAGAAAAGGAGCCACAGGCAAGCCTCTTCCTGGACACAGTCAACAGTTTGGGTGTACACCATCTTGTGTGTGGGTGTGAGTGTGTGTCTGTTTGTTCATATGTGTGCGTGCTTGTAAACAGAGACAGTGATTGAGATTTACCTAAAGCACAAATGCAAAACCAAATTCAACCACTATTTTAGGATTGACCCAAGCAGTGAAGAATCTCTGGGTCAGGGCCAGAGAAGTCAAACCTAAGAATCTTGAAATAACTCCAACAAGTTAAAAATGCCCAGCGTGAAATGAGTGGGAGATTCCATTCTCTGTCTCTCCCAACATCTGCTGCTTTGGGACCATACCGAGGTGACCACATAAAGGGCTGTTTGGTGGTCTTTGATCAGTTCCTGGAGCTAAAATGACAAGAGGTCCCAGCTGTTAGAAGAGCTATTCCAAGTACTTAAGCAGGCTTCCAAATGCTTACCCTATGTTCATTAAGCTTTAGACTGGTTTGTTGTTTTTATACTGTAACCCAATCTTTAGAATGAAAGCCTCATACTCTCTGTCTGTCTGTGTCTCTCTCTCTCACACACCCTACACATGTACACATGCAAGATTTAATATATTTGGAAGCTTCTCCTTGACCCTTACAAAAATGATGTAGTCTATTTCAACTTGAAAATATTGGAGAAGTCCAGAGATAATCCCTGGGGGAGGTGAGGTTATTTAACCTGGAGAGGAGAAAGTTGATTTAATAAAATCTTCAAGTGAAGAGCAGGTGTTGATTAGGTGGGCATAGGACTAAAAGATGTGTGGGCTACTTACACCATAGGGGCTCCCCTTTATGGAGTTCTATGCAGAAGATACCATGATATCCTGTGATAAACATGCTGCCCTGAGTGACAGCCAGTCATGCTTAAGAGAGTTCTAAGGTCTCCCAAGGACCATTATGCCAAATATGGGCACCAGCTGTTCTCCAAAGTACAGAGGTGAAAACAAAGAAAACTGGCTTACACTATGGCTTGAGGAAATAAACCAAACATCAAGAATTTCTCAACAGTGAATTATTATGTTCTAGACCAAGCCATAGAGAAAACGTATAAATATTCTTTTTATTGGTGACTCGTTTCAAGATAGGACACATTCTTATCTGAGACTGCTGGTGTCTGAGATTTTTAGGAATTGGAGGCAGTGAATATAAGAAGTGATTTCTGTGGTCATTCAGCAAATATTTAATAAGAACCTGGTCTCTATCAGGCCCGGTCATGGTTCCTGGGGAGAATTCAGGCTTGTATACGACCTGGTCCTGCCCCTCTGGGAAGATGGGGTGAGGATGGGAGGAGCAGTGAGAAAGACACAAAGAGACACCAGACACCCTAGAGAGGTTGCTTCTCATGGGGCTGACCAGGCTGTGCTTGAGTTGAGCCTTGGAAGGATGGGTTGGATTTTGTTTAACGGGACAGCAGGGAGTGAGGCAAGGCTGGTGCAGCCAGGCCAAAGCGACTCTGAGAGTGAAAACCCAGTCTTAGGAATCCACAAGTCAAGTCTGAGGGATGGTGGGTCATTTGGGTTGGAGCAGATGTGTGTAGGGGGCAGTGGTGATAGATAAATAGAGAAAGGTAGTTGTGGGTGGCCTCAAATGCCAAACTAAGGAATTCAGACTGTGTTCTGTGAGCAACAGGATGTTAGTTAGGACCTTCAAGATGCCAGTGGCCTAAAGAAATTGTGTGTTCTGAGCCTATGGTTTATGCTGCTGGGAGTCACAGGGATCCCCCCTGAGTCCTAGAAAATCTGGGAACAGCTAAGGGGGAGATTGCTGGTTCCTTTTTCAGAAGAAAAGGTAGTTATTCCATGGAAGATGCCAAGTTCCACCAAACATGCTTGAAACGCCACTCAGGGGACGTAACCTAAACAGCATCACCTTACAGTAGCATCAGTAGACTTCCACCTTATCGTGTTTATAAGTCATAATCCTATCCAGACAATAGCCCTACTATTCTACAGACTAAGAGGTGTACAAACCTCTAGCTGTTTTTCCAGGAGGAATACCCTTCCTTGGTAATTTTGAGCATTCGTCTCAAAATAATTTGAGTGTGCTTTATCCCCTTTATTTTAGATTTTTACCTACACTGTATTCATTCCTTATGATTGGCTAAGAGGTGTACAAACCTCTAGCTGTTTTTCCAGGAGGAATACCCTTCCTTGGTAATTTTGAGCATTCGTCTCAAAATAATTTGAGTGTGCTTTATCTCCTTTATTTTAGATTTTTACCTACACTGTATTCATTCCTTATGATTGGCCTAGTGTTATTTGGAGGCCTTTTAAAAACTGAAATCCTTCTGGTATTTCTGGGATAAGAGAAGCAAAGTGATTAAAGTTGGACTCTTGAGTCAAACTTCCTGAAAACATATTGACCGTAGGCAAATTACTCACCCTCTCTAGGCCTCAATTTCCTCATCTGTAAAATGGGGATAGCAATGGTACTTACTACCTGATTGGGTTGTGAGGACCAAGTGGTGTGATACCTGTAAGATGATTAGAAGAGTGTCCAACACTAACGTATACTGGAAGCCAAGTACATGCTATTTCCATCACTTTACTTTCCGTACTTGGGTCAAAGTTGGCCTCTGTTAACACCACATCTGGCTCTCAGCTGGCTTAGCCTCTGATTCTTGTAACAACAGCCCTTTCTTTCCTGGCCCTGCCACCTCCTAGACCTCATGTCCTGGGAAGCAGTCTGCTTCCCAGACACACTGTGCCCCTTCATGTGTCAATGACTATGCACATGGCATTTCTGGGGCTTTTTACATCTCCTCTCCATTCTTTAAACCCAGCACAGGGGTCACCTGCCCCGAGAAGACTCCCCTGCTGTCCACACTGGCTCCCATCATGCCCCTGCCCACCCCAAGGAGAGCAAGCACCTGCCTTCTGTGACGGCTGGACCTGCTCATATTTCTGTCTCTGTGTCCACTGCCCTGATGGGTAGTTACTTGTTCTCAGGCTTTTCTCCCTCGCTGTGCTGCAGGCCCCTGAAGACCAAGACCTTGTCTTACTCATGTGTGTAACACCAGGCATTGTAACACCAGGCATGACGTGAACTAGAGCAGGGGCCGAGTGAGGGTTTGCTCGGTTGAACTAAGTGGGGCTGAGAAGATTCAAGAGCCTGCTTGGAAGTGCCAGATGTGTAACAGATGCTGTCTGGTGCTTTGTGGGAACACACTACCTCAATAAGTAGCATTCCATAGAGCTCAAGGTCTAGTTAGGGAGTCCATAGGCTGTAGGTGACAAAGGCCAAAGGGAGTCAAAGAACAAAATAATGGAGAGCTGGAAAATATCAAGTCCAAGTGCTGAGGATGGGATGGGGTGAATTTGAGTCTAGAAATAAGGGAAGCAAAAGACCCAGATTTGAGGAAGGAAGAGGGAGGGTGAGGCAGGGTGGGCAGGGAAAGGCAGGGGGCTCAGGCATTCCAGGCTGAGGGCAGGCCTTGGAGAGCCTTGCATATCTCAGAGATGCACCTTCATGCCCTAGGTGGGGCAATAGTCTGCGAGAAGGGCCTGATGAAGGAGGAGCTTCGAGGTAAGAACTAAGTGGGGAAAACCATAGATTCTTGGCCAAGGGACCTTCATAATACATGACTTATTCTGCTAGTTCTTTTAACATGAGCCTTTAATACTTTTTTGTGGAATGAATAAGCAAGGGAGGAAGCCAGATGTGGAAGAAGGAAGATGAGCTGTGGACTTAGTCACCTGGGTTTGAATCTTGGAGTCACTACCTGCTGGTTCTGTGATGCAAGCATGTTCCCAATCTTCTACAAGCCTCAGTGTCCTCATCTGTGAACTGGGGATGACATATGCTTCATTTTGGGGTGGGGTCAGCTTTATTTAGGTATAATTTACATACAGTAAATATTCACCAATTTTAAGTGTCCCCAATTAAGTGATTTTTTGAAATTATGTTGTTGTGTAACTACCATCACAGTAAAGATATTAAATTTTTACATCACCCTCAAAAAATGTCCTTATGTCCCTTGCAGTCAATCCCCTTCTCCCACTCCTGGCCCCTAGCAACCAAAGGTCTGCTTTCCATTACCATCATCTTGCAATTCCTAGACTTTCATACATATGGAACCATGCTGTTATAATCTTTATGCCAACCTTTTTTTTAACTTCGCATGATGCTTTTGAAATTCACCTAAGTTGTTGCTATTATTGAGTTCCTTTCTTTTTCGCTGAGTAGTTTTCTATTTTATGAATATCATACAATATATGCTTTTCTGTTCATCCATTGGTGGACATTTAGGTTGGTGTCAGTTTTTACCTACTATAAATAAAGCTACTATGAGTATTGGTGCATAAGTCTTTGGGCAGATTAATATTTTCATTTCTTTTGGATAAATACCTGGGAGTCAAAGTGCGGGGCATATGGCAGCCTTTGTTTAAAAGACTACCGATCTGTTTTTTAAAATGGCTACACCGTTTTGCATTCTTACCAGCACAGCCTGAGAGTGCCAGTTCTCCAGATCCTCGCTGACATTTGATATTATGTGTCTTCTAAAATTGTAGCTATTCTAGTGACTGTACAGTGGTAATTTATTGTAGTTTTAATTTTCAAGATTTTCTGATAACATTTTTTAATGTAGGTAGTGGCAATTCGTATCTTCTTTGGTGTAGTGTCTGTTCAAATAGTTTGCCAATTTTTTACCTAAATTGATTAGTTTATTTTCTTAATATTTTCGAGTGGTAAAGGTTTATTATATATGATTGATCCTTGAACAATGGGTTAGGGGCACCAACACCCCCCCACTCCTGCAGTTGAAATTCCACATATAACTTTTGACACCCCCAAAACTTAACTAATAGCCTACTGTTAACTGGAAGCCTTACCGCTAACATAAACAATTGATTTACACATATTTTGTATGTTATACGTATTATATACTGTATTCTTACAATAAAGCTAGCTAGAGAAAAGAAAGTGCTATTAGGAAAATCATAAAGAAGACAAAATACATTTACACTACTGTACCGTATTTATCGATACCGTAAGTTTCTATTGTCTGTTTATAAGATGAATCCTCTGTCTAAAATGGCAACTGCAGCTACAAGCCTCAGTCTATGGTACATCAAGAAACTCAATCTTTTCCTGTACTGACATGACTTTTCTGCTTCTTGGGAGCACTTCCAACATCACTGGTGGCACTTCCTACTTGTCCCATGGTGTTATTCAAGGATTACAGTATTACAATAAACACAATGAAAAATACCTGAGAACCAACAAAGATCACTTTTTATTTGGATGTGCAGCTTACTGGAGAGATGAACTGCCCACATGGAGATGAATAGCTTACATGACATGTTAAGTGGATATTCTTAAAACGAAAGCTTCATGACAATAACAACAGGAGGTGCCTATGAAGTTATTACGGTACCACAGGATGTACAGGTTAATTTTATGCAGTTCTGATGTAATACTGCATCTTTATGTTTGTTTCCATTTCTTTTGACTGCGAATGGTGCCATGTACAGTCCGTGTTTGTGTGTGTGTAAGTTTCGTTAACTTTTAACTTTATATGAAAGATTTGTGTATATTTTATGGTAGTCAATGATAAAATAGACTAGTGTCTACATACATTTTATGCATTCATGACATACCTTTTTCTTAATTTTGATATTTCTAGGCTGCACAGTTCATCTTTGAATGTTTTCAAATTATTGCAAATCTACAAAAAGTTTTTCAATATATGTATTGAAAAATATCCATGTAGTGTTACAGCTCTTTTAGAATTTGTCTAGCAGGTTTCCCAGTATTCACCGGAAAGCTCCAAAAAAAAATGAAAGAAAGAAAGGAAGATAGGAAGGAAGGAAGGAAAGAGAGAGAGAAAGAAAGAAGAAAAGAAGAAAAGAAAGAAAGAAAGAGAGAAAGAAAGAAAGAAAGAGAATGAAAGAAAGAAAGAAAGAAAGAGAAAAAGAAAGAAAGAAAAGAGAAAAAGATCCTCCAGCCTCAGCCTCCCAAGTAGCTAGGCTTACAGGTATGAGCTGCCATATCTGGCAAACTATTTTTAAAAAGTTTTAAAAAATACTTTTTAAAATTAAATTTCTCTCTGCATTTCATTTTGCATAATTTCTATTGTCTTGTCTTTTTTCTATTCTTTTGTCTCCTTTTTGTAGAGATGGGGTCTTGTTATGTTACCCAGGCTGGTCTCAAACTCCTGGCCTCAAGTGATCCTCCTTCCTTGGCCTCCCAAGGTTTTGGGATTACAGGCATGAGCCACCTTGCTTGGCCTCTTTCCATTTTTAAACAGTGTCTTTTGAAGAACTAAAGTTATTAATTTTAATGAAGTCCAGTTTATTAATTTTTTCTTTTGTACTTCAGGCTTCTTATGTTCGATTTGAGAAATCTTTCCCAAGCCTAAGTCACAGAGATTTTCTTGTGTTCTCTTCTGAAAGTTGTATAACGTTATGTCTTACCCTTAGCTCTATGGTTCATTCAGAGTTAGTCTTTCTGTATGGTCTGATATAAGGGTCAAGATTTATTTTCTTACATATGGATCACTTGGATAACTAACTGTTCCAGGACTATGTGTTGAAAAGATTATTCTTTCCTTAGTTAATTACCTTGGCCTTTTAATTACTTTGGCCTTTTATTTATTTATTTTGTCAAAAGCCAATTCACCACATATGAATGAGACTATCTCTGGACTCTCTGCTCTATTGACCTATATGATTGTCTTTACACAAATACCACTCTCTCCATTGTTATATAGTTCTATTGCATGTACTGAAATCAAATAATATAACTCATTCCACAGTAACCTTCTTTTTCAAAATTGCTTTACATGTTTTAGGTCCTTTGCATTTTCACATACATTCTAGACCTAGTTTGTCAATTTCTACAAAGAGCCTGGGGTTTTGATTGGAACTATATTGAACCTATGTATCAATTTGGGGAGAATGGACAGATAACAATATTGAGTTTTCTGACCCATGAATAGGACATATCTCTCTTTCTTTAATTTCCCTCAGCAATGCTTTTTGGTTTTTAATGTATGTCTTGTACATATTTTATAAAATTTAACCAAGGAATTTAATACCTCTCTCTGCTCTTCATATGGCATTCCATGTACATGTGTTTATTACATGTAAATGTAATTGTTATTACAAGTAACGACGTGTAAATGTAATTGTAGTTACAAGGTCATTTTATATTGTCTTACAGGTCACTGATACTCAGTTCTTATTTTTTTTGTTTGTTTGTTTTTTGAGACAGGGTCTTGTTCTGTCACCCAGGCTACAGCACAGTGGCCCAGTCAGGGCGTACTGCAGCCTTGACCTCCCGGACTCAATCAATCCACTTGCCTCAGCCTCCTGAGTAGCTGGGACTACAGGCACACATCACCACACCCAGCTAATTTTTGTATTTTATTTTTTGAAGAGATGAGGTTTTGCTATGTTGCCCAGGCTGGTTTCCAACTCCTGGGCTCAAGTGATCTGCCTGCCTTGGCCTCCAAAGTGCTGAGATTATAGGCCTGAGCCACTGTGCCCAGTTCTTACATACTTTTTAAAATCGTATTTCTCTCTGGGTTTCATTTTGTGTAATTTCTATTGTTCTGTCTTTAAAGACACTAGTATTTACTTCTCCAGTGTCTAATCTGCTATTAATCCAAGCCAGTGTTTTTTCTTTTCTGATAATGTATTTTTCATCTATAAGAAGTTCTATTTATGTCCTTTATGTGTATTTAATTTCTCTCCTTATGATGTTCAGATTTTCCTCTAACTTTTTGAACATATGAAGTATATTTATAATATCTCATTTAACACCCGTGTATGCTAATTTAATTCTATGTCTGTTTCATTTGATTGTTTTTTCCTTCTGTCTATGGGTTGTATTTTCCTGCTTCTTTTCATGCCTGATAATTTTTGGCTGGGTGCTAGACAATGATAATTTTACATTGTTAAATGCTCAGTATTTTTAAACTATTATTTAAATATTGCTGGGCTCTGTTCTGAGATGCAGTTACTTGGAAATAGTTTGAACGTTTCAAGTCTTGCTTTTAAGCTTTGTTAGGAAGGGGAGTTCAGAACAATCTTTAGGACTTCTTGATTTATTTGGTCCCACTATGAAGCAATACCCTTCTTATGGGTACAATGCTCTATGTATCTGGAGGTTTTTCCACTCAGGCTAGTGCATATAAACTATTCTAGTCTCTGTGAGCTGTTGGAATTGTTCCACCTACATCTTTTCAGTGATTCTTTCCCCATTCTCAGTGGTCTCCTTCCCTGCATATAGAGATCAGTACAGCACAACCATACATACAAGGGGATCCCTCTGAAGAACGTCGGCCTGTTCTTTCTCTCTCTCACTCCTTGTTTTGAGGGAAAACCCTGTTTTTTTCTTTCTACTCTCTTGCACAGTCACTCAACACTGTATTTCTGACATCAGATGTATGGGGATTTCTCCCCATACATCAAGCAATTATCCAGTAGACATCAACTAAGTGTCCAATAATTCAATTCAATTCTGACACTATGTACCTGGAGATAGTATCAAATCCCACAGGTGAAGAGCTTAGTCCCAGAAGACTGCTGGTCCCTGCCCCCACTTCAGATGCCAGTAGCAAACCCCAGGTTGTGACCTGTGCTTCCAACTGACTGGCTATAGATCAGGGTTCCCATGACCCCCTCTTTGGGTTCAATTAATTTGCTACAGTGGCTCAACAGAACTCAGAGAAACACTTCACTTACATTTACACATTTATTATAAAGAATATTACAAGGCCAGGCGTGGTGGCTCATGCCTGTAATCCCAGCACTTTGAGAGGCCAAGGCAGGCGGATCACGAGGTCAAGAGATCGAGACCATCCTGGCCAACATGGTGAAACCCCGTCTCTACTAAAACTACAAAAATTAGCTGGGCGTGGTGGCATGTGCCTGTAGTCCCAGCTACTCAGGAGGCTGAGGCAGGAGAATTGCTTGAACCTGGGAGGCAGAGGTTGCAGTGAGCCAAGATTGCGCCACTGCACTCCAGCCTGGGGACAGAGTGAGATTCCTCAAAAAAAACCCCCAAAAACAAAGAATATTACAAAGGATACAGACAAATGACAGATGGAAGAGATGCACGAGACAAAATATGGAGGAAGGGGAGTGCCACCCTCCGGGCACCTCCATGTGTTCAGCAATCCGGAAGCTCTCCAAATTCCATCATTGTGAGTTTTTATGGAGGTTTCATTACATAGGCATGATTGATTCCCTCATTGGCTATTGGTGATCAACTCAACCTCCAGCCTCTTCACTCTCCCCAGAGGTTGGGGGATGGAACTGAAAGTTTCAACCCTCTGTTTACATGGTTGGTTTCCCTAGCAACAAGCTTCCATCCTCAGGCTATCCAGGAGCCCACCAAGAATCGCCTAATCAGAACAAAAGTTGCTTCTACCACTCCGGAAATTCCAAGGGATTTAGGAGCTCTATGTCAGACATTCTTATCACTTAGGAAACTGCAAAGGTCGCAGGAGCTCTAGGTCGGGAACTGGGGTCAAAGACCAAATTTTAGAACAAAAGACTCTCCTAGCACCACCATCTACAAGGGTTTCAGCAGCACTATGTCAGGAACTGGAGGCAGAGATCAAATATATATATTTCTTGTTATCCCATAATGTCACACTGTTATTTTTCCTACAAATTTTAGTCACCTTTGTCTCTCTTTACTAGGAATTGAGTTTCTTCAACTCAGGGGACCACGGGGCTCTGTCTGGGGCCACCTTTCTTACCCTGTAGCCTGTAAACTTGCTCCAAGTCCTGAGCTAAGGCACTCATAGGACACACCTTGTTTGTTTTCCTTTTCTCAGTGATCACCTATATGGCCAGGTTTCAGTGTCTGAAGAACATTGTTTCATATCGTTCGTCCATTTTTTCAGTTGGTTAAGATAGGAAGGTAATTCTGGTCCCTAGCTGAAAGCAGAAATCCTGTATTTTGTCATTTGTATTAAACCTGGTAACGTGCTGGGTACCTGAAGTACACGGCCCAGCACCTGGCACTGGAATAGCGATCAGCTCCTTTACTCCTCCTCATTGTGAAATGGCACAGGAGCCCCGTCATTTGACATGGTACCAGAAATGATTAGTTAGAAGACCATTCAGGAACTGTGCATGAAATATATAACTCAATTACAAAATATATAACTAACTCAATCACAAAATATAAAACTCAGTGGGTGTATTGAGCACCCATTGATGGCAGGTGCTGTTCTAAAGCAAAATTTTTGCCAACAGCAGCGATTTCAGGGCTGTTGGCATTCTTTATCTCCTGAGACTCTCCTTAGATTTCCTTATGAGAAACCGAGGTTTGACGATGAAGTAGGGTACTTCCTGGTGAGATTTACTGCTAAAGACTTTGCCAGAGGAGATTTCTTCTAATGATCAGGCCCCTCAGTAAAATGTATCTTCTATATTTCTAATTATAATTGACCAAGGAAAAAAGTCCAAATCAATTTTTATGGACAGTGAAGCCTCCACTGTCCTAAGTTGGTGTCTGCCTTTTCTGTCTCCCTGAATTCTACCTCCCTCCCAGAATGCCTGGTTCAGTCTGTGTGCTCCCGGGGGGTGATGGATAACACTGTTAAACACTCTGTGCTTCAGTTTCCTGCTATATAAAGCGAGGACAGTGATAGGACGGATTTCATGGGGTCGTTGGGAGAATTCAGTGACTTACTAAGTGTGAAGAACTAAGGACTGCAGCTGGCACGCAGTAAGCCTTCAACTAATGTTGCTATGATTACTGTTATTGTCATTATTGCTGCATTGTTGTTTTGTTAATTGTTATTTTTATGTTATATAGTGAGAGCAGGATGCACTGAAATGGCTTCTTATTTTTACTAGGCTGTGATGTTCTCGAGGGCAGGGTCTGGACTTTATCACCGTCTCCACCCCATCCATGGAAGCAGTGTGGTGTGATAGTTAAAGGCCAGCTTTGCCTATAAAGAGCCAGATAGTAAATATTTTAGGCTTTGTGGGCCATATGGTCTCTCTGTCCTTATAGCACAAAGACAGCCATAGATAATATGAACAGGTATAGCTATATTCCAGTAAAGTTGTGTTTATAAAAACAGGTAGTGCAATGGAGTTGGTCCATGGGCCATACTTTGCAGACTGCTGCTTAAAAGTGCCGCTCTGGAACCGAACTACCTGGGTTTAAATCCCAGCTCTGTTGCTTTGTGACTTAGAGTTACTCAATCTCTCCATAATTCAGTTTCTTCATTTGTACATTGGGGGTGAAATGAAGTAAAGTATATAAAGCACTTGGGACTTCACCTGGTAGATAGATAATAATAAGCTCTGAATGTGTGTGTGTGTGTACACGTGTATGTGATTATAAATATTTTATATGTATATATATGAGATACATATTTTTCTTTTCTTTTTTTTTTTTTTTTTTGAGACACAGTCTCACTCTGTCGTCCAGTGCAGTGGCATGATCTCGGCTCACTGCAACCTCCGCCTCCTGGGTTCAAGCAATTCTCTTGCCTCAGCCTCCCGAGTAGCTGGGACTACAGGCGTATGCCACCATGCCCTGCTAATTTTTGTATTTTTAGTAGAGATGGGGTTTCACCATGTTGTCCAGGCTGGTCTCGAACCCCTGACCTCAGGTGATCCACCCACCTCGACTTCCCAAAGTGCTGGGATTACAAGCATGAGCCACCAAGCCTGGCCTATATACTTCACATATATATATATACACACACACATGAAATAAGCTAAGTTAACTTATTGAGCAACTATCTCTCTGTCAGGCATTCCAGTAATAATCGTTTACTGGACAAAGCCTAATTGTTACTGGAATTTCTAATGGACAGTAGTGCTCACTAAATATTGCCTAAGTGGTGAACAGATAAATGCACTCTTCTCATTTACATTTTACTCATCCTTCAAGTTCAAGGTTGAGTTCTCTTCCTTTAGGCGTCCTCCTTGGCAGCCCAGGCTCAGCCCATCTCTTCCTCTCTCCCTTCATGGCAGTTCACTGGGCATCACACTTGGCAGCCTTTGGTTCTCCAGAGCACTTTCCACCATCCCGCTTGTCACCACCTTCTTTCCGTGTTGATGTTGTTCACGGACTGTCTCCCTCAGTAGAATGTGAGCTCCTTACCATGGTTTGTCCAGTACCTAGGACAGTGCCTGTCAGGTGCTCAGTAATTGTTTATTGATTAATGAATGAATGAATGAACGAATGAATGAATCCTTTCTATTATTGCAACCTGTTGTTTTCATCATTTAACCTTTCTCTGTGTATGCTTTATCTCCCAAACTACAGACTAAGTTTTTTTAAAGTTACCTCTCTGATCAGCATTTCAGGATTACTATGAAGATCAAATTAAATTACATGTGGCAGTGTCTAGCTTGGAGTTTGGTGTATATTGATGTCAATTGCATATTCCTAATTCATACTTTCTTCTCTCCGTTTCATAAATATTTGTTTTCCAGGTATCACAGAAAGAATTGAAAGGCAAGGTTGTCAGACAGATATGGCAGCTAAGACACCAACTGAGGAATGTTATCAATGTAGCTCCGTGAAATTGCCATATTTTACATCCTGCAGTTCTGCAGTCAAGTGGTGGTATTTTTGTCACAGCCCACATCAAAGCCCAGATGGCATGAGGGAGGGATGGAAATGGGGCTCCATAACCCTCAGGAACTCTGAAGATTTCATCTCCTAAGTGGTATTGTCCATCTGTTTCTGCAACTTCCTTAGCAACTTGACAAGTAAATCCTTAAATAGTAACTGCCAGCAGTATTGCAGTTCTTTGTCTTTCTGACTAGGTATGAAAGCCAAGAAGGCAGCCCTTTGTAAATGGTGTCACTGTTTGAGATGTTTGCGGGCTGCTTGCTCTTCTAGATCCACATGGCCTTTCAGTTTGTCTCCACGGGAGGTCTATGCTTGGTCATGATCAGCTGACACTCATAAATCCTGTGTCTGGACATCTGTCACTCCTGCCAGTCCAGCATCCCTTTCTTGAAGTAGCAGCTACCTGATTTTCCTTGGGACCCCTCTGAGTCTCAGATTCAGAAGGCTAGGGTGGGCTCGGCACAGTAGCTCACGCTTGTAATCCTAGCACTTTGGGGAGGCCAAGGCTGGCAGATCACCAGGTCAGGAGTTCAAAACCAGCCTGGCCAACATGGTGAAACCCTGTCTCACCTAAAAGTACAAAAAAAATTAGCCGGGTGTGGTGATGGGCACCTGTAATCCCAGCTACTCAGAAGGCTGAGGCAGGAGAATTGCTTGAACCCAGGAGGTGGAGGTTGCAGTGAGCCAAGATCGTGCCATTGCACCCCAGCCTGGGCAACAGAGTGAGACTCTGTCTCAAAAAAAAAAAAAAAAAAAGAAGGCTAGGGTGAAGAAGGTGCCCTTTGGATAATTATTTATTTAGGGAACTATCCTGAGAAGTATGTCTCCTTTTAAAAGAAATATGTGAAAATAATGTTTGTTCTCACAACTTCGATCTCCTGGATAGTTCTGTCTCTGAAGAGATTTTTTTATTGTTGTTGTTTTTCTTAAAAACAGAGAAACATTTTGTTAGACATTGTAGTTTGATTGAAAGTCGGCTGGCCAGGCCTGCAGAGATGATGAGTATGTTCAGACATCGAATAGATTTCTTGTCTTAGATGATGTTTTTCAAATCAGAGCTTTGTGGTTTTACTTTATGATTTTTTTCAGATGACTCTGGTTACGGTCACCACCAGAGTGCTCAGTGCTGTTTACTATTCAACTCCGCAGGAGCCAGAATCCAGACGCTGGGAAATGTGAATGTTCCAATATGGCTGACCATCATGGAATGGGATCAACAGATGGAAATAGGAGGCTTCATCTTCTTCATCTTGGTCCTGAGGCTCCATCAGCCAGGTTTCCAGCACACATTAAACCCAGGTATAACAACGACATGGCCCAGATTTTTCAATCTTCATTTCAAAAGTGTCCCTTTGTCTCCCTCTATATCTGGTTGGTCAGCTGTCTTGATTTTTGCGTTGGGATCCAAAGTTACTACAAAACTAGCGCAATTGGTTTAATATCTTCATTAACTGAATTCTTGGGTCCTCTGCCCATCTCCTTTCTCCTTCATAAGTTCCTCTTGTTCTTCCTGCCTCTGGAATATGGGTCTTGGCTTTCAGCCATTCCCATGGCAAATTAACCCTTCAATCTTAATGACCACTGTAGTGGACAATGTTAGTGCTTTTTTTTTTTTTTTCTTTGAGACAGTATTTAGCTCTTGTTGCCCAGGCTGGAGTGCAATGGTTGCTCACTGCAACCTCTGCCTCCCGGGTTCAAGTGATTCTCCTGCCTCACTCAGCCTCTTGAGTAGTTGGGATTACAGGCACGCGCCACCATGCCCAGCTAATTTTGTATTTTTAGTAGAGACGGGGTTTCTCTGTGTTGGTCAGGCTGGTCTCAAACTCCCGACCTCAGGTGATCCGCCTGCCTTGGCCTCCCAAAGTGCTGGGATTACAGGCATGAGCCACCGTGCCCGGCCCTAAAAAGTCTTTTACTGTGTTTTTAACCACACAAAGATACACACAGTTCTAGAGGCGACTAGCAGTTTCCATTTCTCCCTCCACAGCCCTGAGACCATTAACTGCTGACTGTCAGCCCAGGAGCATGAAAGCCCAGCTCAAATCGGGGTGACTCTGAGGCATTTCTTACCAACCGTTTCCCAAGGGAGCAAGGCTGAGGCTTCCCCTTGCAAGCCTGTTCCTTAGATCTCACCTTGCTTCATGTTATGGGGTGCATTGTATCTAACCCAAATTTTCATGTTGAAGTCCTAACCTCCCCTACCTTAGAATGTGAACTCATTTGGAAATAGGGTTGTTGCAAATATAATTACTTAAATTAAGATGAGGTCATACTGGAGTAGATGGGTCTCTAATCCAATAGGGCTAGAGTCTTTATCAAAAGAAGACATTTGGACACAGACACATACACAGAGAGGACACTGTGTGAAGACGAAGACAGAGATTGGAGTGATGCATCTGCCAGCTGGGGAATACTGAAGTCTGCCAGCAGCCACCAGCAGCCAGGAGAGGGACAGGGTGCAAATTCTCCTTCACAGCCCTCAGAAGGAACCAACCCTGCTGACACCTTCGTCTTGGACTTTCAACAATATGATTCTGTTGTGTAAGCCATCCAATTTGTGCTACTTTGTCATGGCAGCTCTTGGAAACCAATACACTGAGCTCCCTCCATTTCCCTTCCGTGCTCCTCACTCCTTCACTGGTCTCCTCCAGGAGGACTTCTGTGATAAACCACTTGTACATGAATCCTCAACTTGGGGCCTTACTCCTGAGAACCTGAACTCAGAGAGGTGTCAGGTGTCCCTCACCAGCCCGGTCTCTCCTGTGCTACAGACCTCAGTACCCATTGCCGACTGGACACCTCTACCTGGATGTCCCACAGATACTTCAAACTTGATCTAACAAAACCAGGCTTGTCACTTCTGAAGTATCTGTGTTCCTAGTTCTGCTCCTCTAAGGTGTAATGGCACCATCAAGCTTCAGACGGCTCCTATTAGAAGCCCTGAAAGCTACCCTTGCCTCCTTTGCTTCCCTCACTCCCTTGGAGACCATCATTGTCTAAAGCCTGCCAGGTTTCCTCTAAGCTCCCAGATCTGTCCTCCCAACTCTGATCCTACCTGCTCCTGCCCTGGCCAGATGTTCCTTTGTGTCCCTTGAACAATTTCACTAGTTTTCTAGTCCCCAATCTTCCCTTTTCTATGCCTCATATGACTGCCAGAAGGTTTTCTTGACACAACCCAATGATGTTATTCTTCCTCTTAAAGCCCATCAGTGGCTGCCTATCACTAACAGATGAGATCCAAACTCCTTGGCATGGTGAGCCTAGCCCTTGCCCCACGTGGCACCTTCCTCACAGATCTCACTGAGCCATCTGGAGTTCCCCGGGTATGCCATACTCTCTCCTGCTTTTTGTCTTTGTTCAGGTCTGGGTCTCCTCCTTTCCTCATTACCTGGCTGGATAACTCTTGCTTGCCCTCTAAATCTCTCCTGAAGCTCTGCTCCGTGAAGCCTCCCAGCCACTCTGCACACCAACATCCCTGTGAGCCCTGGATGCCTTGGCCACACTCCAGGGTGTCGTCTGTCCATCACTCTGAATTGTAATTGTCTGTGCTTCCCATTGGACCAGGGGCTCTGTGAGGAGCAAAGGAAAGCACACCACAAGAGCCAGAGGGAGAGAGCTTGGCAGAACTCTGGAGGGAGCCTTTCCAAGACCTGCTTTTAGTGGAAGCTACAAAACCTCCTGGGAGGAGACTGAATTCCATGTTGGTGTTGCACTATTGCTTTAAAGGTGACTTAAGCTCTTTGTTAGGAAACCAATGGTGTTTTCTTTGATGCCATGTTCCTGAAAATTACTAGTCTAAGATTAACCTTATCACCCCTCTCTCCTTTCCCCTATTAGTGCCACCCTTTCCCTGGGACCAGCAGACAATTGTACCCATTATTTTCTGGTTCTAAGGAAGGATAAACTTCCTTCTAAGGCTTCAGGGATGACAGATGCCTTCTTGGGTAAGTAAGGAGACTGAAATTAAAACTCAAGAAGGTGGGATTACGCCTAACTTTAGGCCTATTAGTCTTTTCATTTTCTGCCTCTTGTCTGTTGTTTTAATGTAAAGCTTTCCCCTCTTTTAAAGAAATAAGAAGTCATCTGCATTTTGAGTACTAGATTAGGATACAAATAATGAGTATCTTCAATGCTTTACTTATTTAAAAGGCATTTTATTTTTATCCTCACAAAGTTTACACTAAAAATCTGTGCTCTGCAATTCTCTTACATGATAGTAATTTATTTGGCAGGCATTTACTAAGCACCTACTATGCGCCAAGCACTAGACTAGGTTCTGGGAATGCAAAAGTGATTTAGAATGAAGTACCTTCTCTGATGCCAAGACACTTAACAAGAGCATGATGTGATTGGCAGATGGCTAGTTATTCCTCAATCTCCCTTCTCTCATTCTTCATAATAGTGGAGTTTTCTCAGTCCCTTTGGACATCTGTGGCAGATAGTGAGAGAAGGATGAGACCTTGAGAGACCAGGAGAAAAGAGCAAGGATAGGGCATGGGAGTAGGAGTGGGGACAGTTGCCAGGAGTAGAGAGGAAGGAATCTTTGCAGCAACATGTGACCTACACTTCAGGTCTGCAGGGCCTGCCCTTTAGACCCACTCCATAAATGTTGATTTCAGTTTCTTTTACAATTCCAGATTTTATGCTTATGAAAAGTCATATGGCAAGGTTGCTTGCTCAAATACTCACGAGAATGACCCATAGACCGAATTTGTTCCAGCTGCAGCCCAGCTGGTGTTTATGACAGACTTGTTAGCAGCTTTGAAATAGAGAAATAGAAGTTGCAAAAAAATTCCAGTTCCATCCTCTCCATTTAATCTTCTCCATGTTGGAAAAAAAAGATAAGCTGCTCCCAATATTTAAAAGCTTTCTATAAAATAAATTGCAAGTAGCTACAAAATTCTGGTATCTGCATTTTCTGACTGCAGATCTTCTCATTCAACCCTAAGTCTCTTTAGTTTTTAATATATGTCATTCTTTATCTCTTCTAAAATAAATGAAAGGACAGTTGGATCTTTGGAGGCAGCTGTTGCTCCTCCAAGTTAAGGAATCTCTGTTCCAGAAATTTCTCCTTCCCTGCCTACATTGATTTCCCAACAAACAAGCTTTGACCAAGCTTGCCAAGCAAGCTTTCTTTTCCCCTTCCAACCTTGCTGTCAGGACAACATTCCTGCCACACTCCTCCCCAAGCTCAGACACTAGACCATGTACTCCCTCCTTCTATCATCACTTGAATTTCAGGAAGCAAATCCTTTGACTCAACCAGAAGAGGATTACTTAGTGCTTTCTTCATTCTTCATTTTAATTTTCATCTAAATGCATCAACACTCTACCATCTGAGGCTTTGATTTTCTTTTAACTACAATTCAAGTGTTTTTAAGATTTAAAGACTCATCTTTCTGTCTCCTGTTTTTATTTTGCCATTTGGATTAGTCAGACAAAGTCCTTTCTTTGCAAGGAAATTGTCTTTGCAAGTTGGGGTTTATTCATCTCCTAAAAATATTCTTGGGGCATGTATAAAGCTAGAAATGCATGTGTAATATGCCAAGCATGTAAGTACAAAGACAGAATTTTTGCACATAATTTCAGCCATTCAGTTATTTCCAGGTTCATAGTCTCTTGTAATATGTAAGCTTTCACTGGCCACACTATGGAAAACTTCCATTTCTTTCAATGGTTGAGATATGAGATTCTTTGTGAATTGTTTCTTCTGGCTAGATGAAAATTACTAAAATGGCATTAGTAATCACTATATTAGTCTGTTTTCTGTTGCTTATAAGAGAATACCTGAAACTGGGTAATTTATAAAGAAAAAAATTTATTTCTTACACTTACAGAGGCTGAGAAGTCCAAGGTCGAGGGCCTGCATCTGGTGATGGCCTTCTTACTGGTGGGGACTCTGAAGCATCCTGAGGTAGGCAGGGCATCACATGGTAAGTGGGCTGAGTGCGTTTGTGTACTAGCCCAGGCTCTCTTCCTCTTCTTATAAAGCCATCCATTCCACTCCCATGATAATTCATTAATCCATTAACCCTTTAATCAATTAATCCATGATGGATTTATCCATTCACTGGGGCAGAGCCCTCATGATCCAATCACCTCTCAATCCTGAAACATTTGTGTTCAAGTTTCAACATGAGTTTTGGAGGGGACAAATATTCCAATCATATAACAATGGCCCGTGTCCAAGTAAGCCCACAGCAGTGTGTACTTAACCTTAGAACCACCCAGAACATTCTTGAATCTTTCTCTCATGGTTCAGGAGGTCTTCTCGGTCTCTCAGTTTGTTACTTAGGGCATCACTAGACTATTGATTATCCATAGTGGCAGGAATATGTCAATTATTTGAGCTTCCCAGAAAGAATTTGACATTCTGAACAATTAGAAGTACACTTGAAAACATATCAATAAATATGTTGACATATAAATGGCCACATTTTCGAGCAGGCTAAATGTTAACAGATAAGAAATGATTTGGCCATAAAATAGATAAGCAGATACAGATGCTGAGATTCAGTTGCTTTATTTTTTTTTCAGGTTGGAGCAGAAGGAACAGCCAGGGAAATGCATCCATTTAACCTTCCAGACTCTGGAGTCCACCTTCTTTGTTTTAAGTAAATTTTAGATGCAGAGGCCATGAACTCAGCTTATAATCAGCCTTATTGCTCATTCACTTATTCCATATTCAAGATATTTAATGCTCATATTGCTCTGACAACATGCCAAGGATCTTCAGCTGACACCTCCCTGCATACTCTACTGGGTGATATCTCTTCTGATTTGTTTTTGTGACTGTTCTGATTAGTTGGACTCATGCTATACAGGTTATTCAATATTTTGAATAACATCCTTGACTTATAAAATTGTAATGGGATAATAGTTTATAGTATCAACCAAGGTTTGTTTGTTTGTTTTCTTTTTCCCTCAAGAATCTCATTATATTCCTGATACTTCCTCAATCAATGTGTAAGAGCATTCCAGCCTATGGTATTAGTCAGGATAGGCCAGACTGTGCTGCAATAATAAACAGCTGCAAAAATCTCAATGGTTAAACACACAATAGTTTATTTCTCATTCATGCTACATGTTCATTGTGGGTCAGTGAAGGACTTTGCGCCATATAGTCACTCAGGACTCAGGCTAAAGCAGGTGCCGTCACCTTGTAGCTGTATCATTTGAGTGCATGTCCTCCTTGATAGGCACAGCAGAAGAAAGCACATAAAATTGTACATGGATGTAGGTATGTGGCAGTCATTATTTTCACCCATATTTCATGGCCAGAACTGGTCAAGTGGCCCTGCCTAACTGCAAGTGCTGGGCAATGTAAGAGACCAAATGGAAGTTTTGCCTCATGGGAAAAAAGACTCAGCAAATGTGCTGAGAAAAGAAAAAAGTGTCAACTGAGTTTTAAAATAAACTATCAAAACATTTGGTAATGAGCATATCTTGGAGACAAAAAAATATGAAATTACAAGTACCAGGCTTTGAGCCTCAGAAACCATACCTAAAGAACTCAAGAGCAAAACATATATATTTATAAATATAAACAAGAGATAAAATACGTGAAGAGTTCTAATGATTGCTGGAAAAGAGAGATAAGTCCGAGAGAAGAGTAATGGGGTTAGAAACTCGTATACAACTCTGCAAAGGGTCCTCCTGGGTTGAGACCCAGGGTCAGGGTATGCATGTTAAAAATCCTGAGTAGGTTTGGTAATATTCAGGAGCAGGAGCAGAGCAGACCTGGACCTCTCTTCCCAGGAGAGTCTTGTGGATAAGTCTCTTATGAGAGTATGGGTATGACAAGCTAGAAATGGCAGCCTATGTGTCCAGGAGGAAATGGTCTGAGATAGGCTATATTAGTCCATTCTCACACTGCTATAAAGAATACCTGAGACTGGGTAATTTATGAAGGAAGGAGGTTTAATTGACTCACAGTTCCACATGGCTGGGGAGGCCTCAGGAAACTTACAATCATGGTGGAAGGTGAAGGGGAAGTAAGTGCCTTCTTCACAAGATGGCAGGAGAGAGAGAGTGCAAGGAAAACTGCCACTTTTAAACCATCAGATCGCGTGAGAACTCCCTCACTATCACAAGAACAGCATGGGGGAAACCACCCCCATGATCCAATCAGCTCCCACCGGGTCTCTCCCTCAACACGTGGGGATCACAATTGGAGATGAGATTTGGGTGGGGACACAGAGCCAAACCATATCATAGGCCTTTGCATTTCTCATTTCCTAAGAGAGCACAAACAAACATCCAAAAGTTTCTGGGATTCCCCAAGGAAGTGTCAGATGCCCAAGGGAGAGGGCTAGAGAACCTGAGAGGGCCTTGTGCTTAGGATAAGGGGGATGCAGGGTGTGGGAAAAGACAGATGACCAGGGAGCAGATGGAAAACTCAGATGCCACAGAGACACCAGCAGGGAAGACTAATGACTGGACCTGCAGGGCCATGAGGATCTTGAGGACAGATGACTAAGAACCAGATCTGCCCTCCTCTCAGATTCTTGGACACTCTTGACATCCTTGCTTTAATGTGCAGCCTCTTAACCTGTGATCAAACTCTCCTCCATCCCTGACCCCTATGTGCCTCAGTCCCAGGACTGGGTCCTGGTCTCAGTTCTTGCCCACATGCAGGACTCACTGGCATTTGTTGATGTATCAGACACACCTGGACTGCTTCAGACTCTCTCAACCTCATCTATCTTCGGGACCCTTGGGGACTAGAGCCCAGAGTCTCTGGGTCCATACATCACTTTTGGCCTCAGATGAAGTGCCACACCAAAGGGGGTGGAGTCTGGCTTCCTTGGTGACTACGTGATGAATCCCCAAAGTAGAAGGGAGGTAACTCTGAATCCCCAAAGTAGAAGGGAGGTAACTCCTCTTGGGGCACACTTTGACCAAGGCGAAGCATGTTACAGTGTAAACGGATGGACTAAATACTTCTGTATTCCTCTCAGTGAGGGACTGTTCTGAAGGGTAATGTTCTTCTACAGCTTACCTGGAGATGTCTCCCATGGCCAGGTGGCTGGCTGTATCTGTGAAGCAGTGGGCCTCTCAGTAGCACTACTCTATATTGGCTTCTTACTCTTCCCTGCCTTTCTTTCCTTTCCCCTCATTTTCCCAGCCCTAGGGTTTTCTTGCAATAAAGCATTGCACTTAAGCTTTGTCTCAGCCTGTTTTCTAGGGAAGGTAGGCTAAGACATTTGAAGATGTCCCATGTGTCGGGAAGTGTATGAGGTAATTTCACATATGTGATTCCATTTCACCTTTACAACAACCTTGGGCAGGGAGGGCATGACTTGACAAGGTCACCCATGAGCAAAGAGTGGAACTCAAATATTTTTCATTGAAAAAGCAGTTACTGACCATGTTCTAGGCATCGGGAATACTGTGGTGAACCATTCAGACACAGCTGCTACTCTTGTGAAACTTATGGTCTGCTGGAGGAGGGCACATAATAACAAGTAAACAAATCCATAAACAAGATAATTGCATAATGTGCCAAGTTCTAGGGAGACAAATAAGGCTATGTGATAGAGTGTGACTGGGAGAGGGGACACTTTTTTTCCATGTAGTATTGAGGGAAGGCCTCTCTGAGGATGTGACACAAGGGCTGAGGCCTAAATGATCAGGCAGCCATGGAAAGTTTTGGAGGAAATGTTTTCCAGGCAGAGAAAACAGCAAGTACAAACACCTTTAGGCAGGAACGAGCTTGGAGAGTTTGGGAAGGAAGACCAGTGATTTTTTTCATCATACTATGCTTGGCCTAGGGTCTGGCTTTGAACATTCCAGGCATGGCAGTGACAGTGATACTTGTATTCGTTATCTATTGCTGCATGACAAGGTATCCCAAAACTGAGTGGCTGAAAAAAGCAACAATCATTTTTTTCATGGTTTCTGTGGGTGAGGAACTTAGGAGCAGCTTAACTGGTCAGTTCTTGTGTAGGTTCTCTCATGAGGCTGCAGTCAGGATATAGGCTATGGCTATATCATCCGAAGACTTGACTGGGGCCAAAAAATTTGTTTCTAAGATGACTCAGTCACATGGTTGGTTAGTGTTAGCTGTTGGTGAACAGCCCCAGTTCCTCCCTAACTGGGCCCCTCCAGAGGACTCTAGTTTCCTCTTGACACGCGACTGGCTTTCCCCAGAGTAAGTGATCCAAGAGAGTAGGGCAGACACCACATTGTCTTTGATGGTCTATCTTTGGAAGCCATATACCATCATTTCTGTATTGTTCTTTTAGCCACGCAGACCTGCCCTGAAACAGTGTAGGAGGATACTACCCAAGATTGTAAACACCAGATGACAAGGATTGGGGCCATATTGAAGACTGCTTACCACAGTGCCCAAATGCTGTAACAATATCTAGTTTGATGTGCTCTCTTCCCTCTCTTGGTTTGCCTTCATTCACAAACTATCCCTATATAGGAAGATGGATCTCAAAAGCTCCAGGCTTCTACATTTCAAGTCTAAAATAAAGGGCCTTATTTTTCCCAATATCTCCAAGAAAATCCCTGGAATTGAATCCCATTGACTTTGAGTACATGCTATCATTTCTGCATTATTCTGTTGGCCACACAGATCAACTCTGAAACAGTGAAGGATACTGCCCAAGATCGTTGGGTGTGAAGATTGTTCATCAAGATAATTGGCTTGATCCATTTCTTGCTCAATGTCTATGACTGGGGGGAAGGGTGGGGTCAACCCCACCAAAGTCACATGGACTGAGAGTCGAGGAGATGCAGTGTCCTCAAAGGAAAACTAGGGTTTTATTATGAGAAGAAAGTAGAATGGATAGCGGGTGGGTGGAAATAGCAGGTGTGTGTACTACACCTATAATCAGGATCTCTCCTCCCCTTCATCCTTATCCAAGTTGGCCCTTAGAAAAATGGAAATAATTTGAAAAGTTCACTTTGATTGAGGTACTAAAACAACCAATGTCACATTAAGAGTTACTCTTCTTTGCATTTGAAAAGGGAATATGATTTTATTCCCAAAGAATGAAACTATGATGAGGTAATTTCAGGCATTCATAAAAACGACATGGTAGTCTTTTGGGATAGGGAAGTGAAAGTGTCCTGATGCCTCTCAAATCAGGCTATATCTACAGTCATATTGCCAACCACCCTGCATCTATCTTATGTCACTTTTTAAAAATAGTTTTACTGAGGTATGCTTGATGTACAATTACTCATATTTAAAGCATATGAGTTGATAAATTTTAAATATGCATACATCCAGAAACCAATCAATAAAATCTCTGTTGTTATTAGCTGTGTAAACATTTAGAATTGTTATGTCCTCTAGGTGAATTCACCACTTTATCATTAAAAAATGACCTTGTTTTTTCTTTTTTTTTAGAGACAGGGTTTCACTCTATCATGCAGGCTGGAATCCAGGTATGCCATCATTGCTTACTGCAGCCTTGACCTCCTGGGTTCAAGCGATCCTCCTGTCTCAGCCTCCTGAGTGGCTGGGACTATAGGTTTGCATCACCATGCCCAGCTATTTTTTTAAATTTTTGTTTGTATTTTGTAGAGACAGGGGTCTCTCTATGTTGCCCACGCTGGTCTTGAACTCCTGGCCTCAAGAGACCTTTCTGCCTCCCAAAGTGCTAGGAAATACAGGTGTGAACCACTGGACCTGGCCAGAAATGACTTTTTAAAATCCCTGGTAATATTCTTTGCTCTTAAATATACGCTATCTGATATGAATACAGCACTTACTTTATTCCCAGCATTGTTCCAACCACACGCCATTGCATGCATTGCTTCATCAAACTTCAGCAGTAACCTTACAAGCAAGGTGTAGGGAATTTAGGTAGTTTGTTCAAGATCAAGGTTTGAACCTGACTTTAGAATCCACCTTATTCACCAATACAACATTAAAAGGAACTGTATCGAGCCATGGAATTAAAATAAAACAATTATAATACTTTGAGAATGAGGCATTTCATGTCAGAATATCAGATAAAGATAGCCAGGCAAAGTTACCTCTGCTCTCTGAATGCAGTATTTTTCTTTTGAAAACTCACGCACAAGAACCCCCTTGGAGGCTTGCTTGCTTTGACAGCTCATAGAGGTTATTCACTCAGCTTTTAGTCCTCTACTTCCTCAGACAAAAGTTTTTGATTCACTTTAAAAATGAAATGTATGTTTGTAATAGCAGAACCTTATTGCACTAAATTCTTTTCCTTTGAAGCTATTCAGTGAAAGTTATTGTAATGAACCATAAAGTCAATAAACAAACACAAAATAAACTATTCTGCCATCTGAGTTCTGCTTTTGCTTTTAGAGTCTTGTATGAGATTTATGCTTTCAAATCATATTTCTCTTGTAGTAGTTTTAGAGGAAAGGTGGTGGGTGTGTCCATATTTAGTTAACAATATGATCATTTCTTTAATAAAAGGAGACTAAATCAGCATATCCTCAATCACATGTTCTAGGTACCAAATTTATGTTATTTGTTTTGCATGACTGCACTCTATGTTACGTATTCTTATTTCCATTTTACAAATAAAGAAACTGAGGCCCAGATTTACATAGCCAATAAGTGGGACAGCGGGATTATGCAACCAGGTCTCTCTTTGGCACACACTGTGCTTTCTGCCTACTATCAGACAACACACCTATTATAATATTTTTTTCATAATTTATATTTATTAAATGTAAAAGCTAAAGTAAATTAAGAACATAAAAGATTTAATATTGTAATTTCTGATTTTAAAAGAAAGCATATTTCTGGAGAAAAGCAGTGTAATTGGGGCTTGATACTTGGCTTCGTGAAGTTTAGAATTAGCGTGCTAAGTTGTGGATTGGAACACAGAGTGCTGTAATCTGTATTTCAAGGTTGACAGCTAATACACATTCTGAACAAACTATTGATGCACACAATTGCGCTGTGATGTTTTGGCCAGCAGGTGGCGATATTGTGTCACAAGGGACGAGGTAAAAGGTGGGATTTCGTTTCCCTATCAACTACTGTATTTTGGAGTAAAACGATGGGTTCAGATTTGATTTCTTTGAACTCTATTTCCTTATATGAACAAGGAGACACAAATATTTCAGGCGACTTTCTTAGGCGGCGATTAGATATCAGGTTGCTCTCCTTAGACCTCAGTGAAGAATGGATCAGCACTCCAGAATCCTTACCTGAGAGCCTCTGCACTCTGCCAGGGACTTCTTGGCTCCTGAAAGCAGGTGCTTGTCACTGGGTTCAGAACCACCTGATGGAAAGGTAGCTCCTTAACATGGCAATGGATATTATAGTACATCTCTAGATCTAATAATTTCAGCTATTAAAATCCCATTCATAAAGTGAAGCACAGGAGAAAAGAAAAACATTTAATAGAGATGAATTCACATAGCTTATTTGTGAGAGAGACACCAAGCTTCTTATGGAAGGTCTATTTGCTCTTATGTTAGACATAATTCTAATATAACAGGTTAAAAAATAACTATTTGGAAGAGGGAAATATTGTTAGAGGCAGGTACAAAGATAGACTCAAGTTCAGAAAGATGGTAGTAAGACTGGAACAGAAAAACCCAAAGAACAGAAAGAAAAACTTGAAGACTGGGACTAAATAGAGCAGGAACAGAGAGCCCCCAAGTGCGTCACCGTGTGAGAGCTCAGCCCAGTTGTCAAGAAGTCTGAGTCGTCAATCGGTGTGACTTAGGTTTAGAATGCTCAGTTTCATACAGCAAATCAGTATACAATGCAATAAGGGTAACAGAAGACATAGAAAAAAACTGCAAGGAACAGTTTCAGTGACTGGGCACTCCTCGCCCAGTGAGAGGCAGTTTGAGCTTTTGGGCTCTGGCCACAGACCCATCTGAATGCAAATCCTAGCTGACAGGGGGGTTACAGGAGCATAAGCAGGTTACTCAAACTTCCCAAGTCTCCATTTTCTCCTCTATAAAATCGGATTAGGCCAGGTGAGGTGGCTCATGCCTGTAATTACAGCACTTTGGGAGGCCGAGGCAGGTGTATCACCTGAGTTCAGGTGCTTGAACCTGGGGGGCGGGGGTTGCAGTGAGCCGAGACCATGCCACTGCACTCCAGCCTGGGCACCATCTCGAAAAATAAATAAATAATAAATAAATAAATAAATAGGATGGGATTAAAGGGTTTGGGTGAGAATTATAAGAGATAATGCATTCAAATTGCTTAGCCTAAGCCAGGCATACATCGATCCCCATCTTTTAATTCCAGGTAAGCCAAAATGTAAGTGTGTGGCTGTGACCTCCACCACTGTGGGGCTCCCCAAGACCTGGGGTTTCCTCTTTCCTGTGATAGGTGTGGGACTGGGTCCCACATCTGGGTCCAGGGTTCTGGCTCTAGCCAGCAGTATGATGTTCTCTGTGCTTGCTGCAAAGTGTCTCCAGTGCCTCTGCCCCCAGTTCCGTAGCTGGGCAGCCCTGGCTATGTGGCTGCTCTGACCCCGCATCCCTGGTCACTCTGCTTGGGGGAAGGAGTAGTAAGCATGGCTACAGCACTAAGCCGCTCTTAGTGCCGCTTCCACCGATGCCTGGACACTGCCACCAGGTGCTTGTCACAGGGTTCAAAGCCACTTAATGGAAAGGTAGCTTCTTAAAATGACAATGGATATTATAGTACATCTCTAGATCCAATAATTTCAGCTATTAAAATCCCATTCATAAAGTGAAGCCTGGGAGAAAATAAAAGCATTTAATAGAGATGCAGTCACGTAACTTATGTGTGAGAGAGACACTGAGCTTCTTTCTGTTCAATCCCACCAGCAAGGACCTTGCTGAGGCCCCACATTACAGAGTGGCCCACACTGGCAGTGTCCAGCAGAGGCTCGGCAAAGCCAGTGTCACAAGATCGAGCCCAGGCTCATGACAGCACTGACCTCAGGACCGGACCTCCCAGCCCAGGTGGCACCTGAAAGCCTGGGTCTGATCAGATTTCTTTCTGTGAAATCTTCAGTTTTAGTACCTTGTGGCTTTGATGACAGCTCAATGTTCTCATGCTGGGCTGCAGAGTAGAACGCTGCTGTAACAAAGTACCACAAACAAGGTGCTTAAAACCACAAATTTATTCTATCCCAGTTCTAGAGGCCAGGAGTCTGAAATCAAGATGTCGGCAGGGTCATGCTACCCCTGAAGGCTCTAGGGCAGAACTTTTCTTTGCCTTTTCTGGCTTCTGGGGCCTCCAGCCTTCCTTGTCTCGTGGCTACATCACTGTAATCTCTGCCTCTGTCTTCACACAGCCTCCTCCTCTTCTGTGTCTATGCCTTCTCCTCTTCTGTGTTTTGATAGGATTATGGGCCCACCCAGGTAATTCAGGATAATCTCATCTCAAGATCCTTAATAATATCCGCAAAGATCCTTTTTCCAAATAAGGTCACATGTGCAGATTCCAGGCCATGGACATATCTTTTAGGGGCCACCATTCAACTCACTTCGTATTCCACTGAATGTGGAGGATGGCTCTAAAGCCCCCGGTTTTGAATAATTTCCCTAGGCTCATGTAGTGAGCTATTCCAGGGGTCTACTCACCCTGGCCCTGTCCTGCCTCCCTCCTTCCCACTCCCCTGACCACTCAGGTCATTTTCATGCATGCTGAGCACTGACTGAGGAGATCTTCAGCATCTCGAGGCCTGCCCACGGGGGTGCTCTGCTGCCCACCCCATGCCAATTTTCCCAGACCAGTGGACTGTGAGTCCCCAGGAGTACCTGGCCCCCTCAATCTGCTCTCTATGAACCCGTCTGAGGCCTGAGGGCTCTGCCTTGGAAGTCAACCTCACACCATGAGGATCCAACTGCAGCCTCACTGGGGCTCTGAGATTCAACCAGCTCCACCAGTTTCAGTCCTTTTGAAAGTTCTTGACACCTAAGGTATACCCCTCACACATGTGCGTATACACACACACACTCACATACACATGCCCCTCAGTGCCTCTCCAGGTGGACAGCAGCACCCTTTGCCCTACAGGTATTCTGAAAAGATTACATTAGATTGAACTTTTAGAACTTAGCTCCTATTTTCCTATGAAGTTTCAATAGGTTAGAGATGACCTACTTTTCTTTTTTCATTACTTTCCTCATAATTTAAATGTTTTTGTGCAACCCTAAGCTGCAATTTGTAAATATTAAAGTGACCAACTACGATTAAAGGAAGCCTTATTAGAGAGTCAAGCGATTACTGGACCCCTTGCTTATTTATCTGTTTTACAGTATTGCCTATGAGCAGGGTTGCCTGCCTTCTAAGTATAAAAGAATGCTGGTTTTATTTTATCACGAGTAGTACACAGCGTCTAGAGGAAGCCAGTAAATACCCATATTTTGAATTTTCATTTTTAGCTAAGTTGCTATGGAAACTCCTCCTCTCCCCATTGCCCCCTCCTGGCTCCATCCCTCCCCTCGCCTGGGGTCCCCAAAGCACATCAGGTATGGGGAGCACTGAAACCCCAGCACTACCACTAGGGCTCTGTGACCTTGGACCAGACACACAGGACCAACTAACCCCTCAGGCACAGGAGGAACCATGCCTAGGGCCCACCATACTCTTAGAAGCCCATAAAAATGTTATTTTTTTAATTACAAAATATATATATATATAACTTTATGTCGAAGAAAATGTTTTAATACATATCAATGTATTTGTCTTTATACGAATGCAGTCATAAAATAGAATATTGTTAATATTTTTGATGGAGGAAGGGGCCCAGGAAGATCAGAATGCACGTAGACACACCTTCTTTCTGAGCCTGGTTCCTCAGGGGGATGATGAGTGTGATTGTTTTTAGTCCCTGAGGCTGTTGTAAGGATCCAAGGAGCAAAAAATTGGATGCACAGTAGGTGTTCAATAAATGCTGCTTCTCTCATATCCTCTGTCCCTTTCTGAGCTCCAAAGAGACACTCTCAGGCCCCACCCTATGAGTTAGGCATTCTTTCCATTTAAGGGATGAAGAAGCTGAGGCTGTGAGAGAGAAAGGCCAGATTCATCCCTCTGTATTCTACCCTGTCAGACATGGAGGCCGTTACATAAGAAATATTTTTGACTGGGCACAGTGGCTCATGCCTGTAATCCCAACACTTTGGGAGGCCAAGGTGGGTGGATCACCTGAGGTCAGGAGGGTGAGACCAGCCTGGCCAACATGGGGAAACCCTGTTTCTACTAAAAATACAAAAATTAGCCAGGCTTGGTGGTGGATGCCTGTAATCCCAGCTACCCGGAAGGCTGAGGCAGGAGAGTCGCTTGAACCCAAGAGGTGGAGGTTGCAGTGAACCCAGATCGCGCCATTGCACTGCAGCCTGGGCAACAAGAGCGAAACTCTGTCCTCCACCAAAACAAAACAAAAGAAAGAAAGAAAGAAAGGAAAGAAATAATTTCAGGCTTGAGGATTGCCTGAGCATGGAAGGTCAAGGTTGCAGTGAGTCGTGAACATGCATTGTGCTCTAGCCTGGGTGAGAGAGTGAGACCCTGGAAGGAAGGAAGGAAGGAAGGAAGGAAGGAAGGAAGGAAAGAAAGGAAGGGAGGGAAAGAAAGAGAAAGAAAGGAAAGAAAAGAAGAAAGAAAAAGAAAAGAAAGAAAGAAAGAAAAAGAAAGAAAGGGAAAGAAAGGAAGGAGAAAAGAAATATTCTGTACCCCTTCCTCCCCCATTTTACTAGGCTGAAACAAAATTAATGAATAATAACCTAACTATATGCCTAATTTCAAAAAATCAACACAATGCCTTAGAGAAGAAATAAAAAGATAGTAACTTACCGTAAAATAATACGTATTTCAGTAGACAGAGGTGGAGGCCCGATTTTGCTAGAAGCCAACAGGAAGTAGGCAAACACTTGGCCTCCTACATGGAACCCCACAAATGGAGCTGCTGCACATGTTAACCTCAAGTTTCTCTGACATAGTGAACAACTCCCAACAAAGCTCTGAATAAAACTAAGCCTAGTCTTTTCCCCAGTTTGCATAGTACTTGCATTGCTGAAAAATTCAGTGTGAATTAAACTGAATATTTTGTTTACATACCAAACTGAATTAGCTTTTATGCTCAGAAGTTTATCAGCAGGTTGTTCATGTACATAAAATTTCAGTGAGACATTCCAAAGTCATGCAGAAGAAGAGACAGTTTCACCTGGCAGGACTGTCCTGCACATTGCAGGGTGTCCAGCAGCCCTGTCCCTGTGAAAAGCCAGTAGTGCTCAACATCATTAAGCCAGCCACGAGCAGCCCTGAAGAGCACTGTGGACAGAGCCCACAGGGAAGTAGGCCCTGGGAACACCCCTTCCTGTACAGAGGATAGAGTGAGAAACTGTAGAGCTGCCCAAGGGGGCAGCTCTGAGGCTGCTATAAATGTCTCTAAATTTTTTTCTAAGCTGCATTTCTAAGACTATTTCTTACCATTAAACCAACTACAGATCTTGATCCTCTGATGCAAATCTTGATGCCTATTAGCTGGTTGCACTGGTGAATGCTAAATGAGTTTTAGATTTTAATCCTGTGACATTCAGTCCTCTGAAGACCTGCTTGATACTGAGACCTTACATGCGGAAATTTACCTACATGCAAATGGACACATCTGCTGAGGCCGCATGCAAAGCAACTCTTCAGACACTCAGAATCAGCAGATCCTTGCCCTGGGGAAATGCTGTCCCAGCGCTCTCTAAGCCAAGGCGTCTTCTGGTACTTTCTCGGGAGATCCCTGGTTTGTTTATTGTGCTTTCCTATGTGCAAATCACATTTGCATAGCTGATTAGCTACATTTCCAGTGGGCTTGTATTCCTCTGGGGTTTTGAAGAGCCCTTAGAATTTGTCCTCTTTGGAGCATGATTTTCAGGCCACGAGCAACCGGGAGCTCCCAAACTTGCCACTAGGGGACTGCTTTTCACCGGCCCTGCTGAGCGGCAGGTGCCGGAAGTTGTGTCTGGGGAGGCGCTGGCTCCTTCCTGCTGGGATTTGTATCAGGGCAATCAAGGTCTTTCCTGCCCTGGCCCTGCCACGCTCTGGACTCCCACTCCCTTCTGTACATTGCCTCCTAGCAGCCTATCTACACAGACCTGAAAAATAAAAGGCAGTAAAAAACTCTTTGTTTTTGTTCACTCTCATCTTTCTGCTGCTTTCCTGTCTGACTGAAGCTTTCTCCTGCTTCCAGGCCTCAGAGAAGCCGTGCTGGCCCCAACCAGGTAATACTCTATCCTATAGAGCAGCATTTAATACACAGCCGGAAGTGGGATCGGGTCTCCACTTCTGGCTGCCTTCCTTTGGGATCAGGATTAGCAGCTGCTCACAAGTGGTCCCTTAGCATCCTGGGCATGAGGTCCACCGATGCACTTACTTTGCTCCACCATAGTGGTGCCTTTGTTACTGGCAAGGCTAGGAGCTTCTGGAGAATGAGACCATGCATTTGTTTGTTTTTCTAGTTTTGTGGCTCCTATCTTTAGCAAATCACTGCACAGGTAATATGCACTCAACTACAGTTGATTGAATTAATAAATTACCACTTTCAGAGCTAAAAGAAAGATCACTTACTCTACGGATCATCACGGGCCCAGAGAAGCACAATAGCGTGGCTAAACTAAAACAGCAAGTTGTGGTTAGGACTAAATCAAGTTTCAAACCCTTGGTTTTTAAAAATCTAGCCCTATGCACAAGAACATTTTTTTCCCCATGAGAAACACTGCAATCCGGTAAGAACTGGTGCTCCAATGATGTTGCAGCCAAGTGATACAGTTTCGATATGCGTCCCCACTCCTCATCTCATACTGAAATGTAATCTCCAGTGTTGGAGGTGGGGTTCGGTGCGAGGTGATTGGATCATGCGGGCGGATTTCTCATGAAAAATTTATCACCATCCGCCTTGGTGCTATCCTCTCAATAGTGAGCGAGTTCTCTTGAGATCTGGTCTTTTAAAAGTGTGTAGCGCCTCCGGCCTTGCTTTCCTGCTCCCGCTTTCGCCATGTGAAGTGCCTGCTTCCGCTTTTGTCTTCTGCCGTGAAAAAGCTCCATGAGGCCTCCCAAGAAGCAGATGCCACCATGCTTCCTGTACAGGCTACAGAACCATGAGCCAACTAAACCTCTTTACTTATAAATTAACCAGTCTCAGGTATTTCTTTATAGCAATTCAAGAACAGACTAATACACCAACCCTCAGCAAAGGTTTACTGAATGAATCAATGAATTGACAGAACAATGAATGAATAAATGACTTATCTCTTTGTATTAAACTCTTTAATGTGAAGTAGACACACACACAGAAAAGCACACGAGTTATAAGTAAATAGCACAAAATTCCCACAAAATGAACACTCTTAAGTACCACAAAAAACTAACTACCAACCATGTCAATAAATGAAACAATACCAGCACCCCAAAGCCCACTTCATACCCTTGCCCAATTGCTGCCTATTTCATCCTCTCCACAAGCAACCACTTTCCCAACTTTTATCACCATAGATTTGTTTTGCCTGTTTTTGATCTTTATGTAAATGGCATAATACAGTATGATTTCTTTATGTTTGCCTTTTTTTTTTTGGCTTAACATCGTGTTTAGGATATTCATGTATATTATAGTATATTAACTGTGATTTGTTCATTTTCATTGCTAAGTAGAATTCTATTGTATGAGTACACCATGGTTTATCCATTCTTCTACTGATAGATATCTGGGTTCTTTCTGGTTTGGGGTTATTATAAATAATACTGCCTGTGAACATTCTTGTCCAAAGATTTGGACATGAACATATAATTTGCACATGAACATATATTTCCCCCAAGAATATTCATGGGAATAGATTTGCTGTCATAAGGTATGTATATGTCTAACTGTAGTAGATAATGCCAATCTATTTTCCAAAGTTGTTGTATCAGTTTGCATGCTCACCAGAAGTGTGTGAACATTCCCATTGGGTCACATCTTCACCAGCATTTGGTATTGCCAGTCATTTTAACTTCAATGATTCGAAGGGGTGTGTAGTCATAACCGTTGTGGTTTAACTGTTTTCCCTTGATTACTAATCAACCTGTTTACTGACCATTTGAATATCCTTATTTTTGGAAGTTCCTGTCCAAATCTCTTGCCTATTTTTCTATTGGGTTGTTTGTTTTTTGTTTTAATTGATTTATAGGAACTCTTTATATAATTTAGGCACTGTCTTTTTGTTGCTTACATATGTTGTATCTTTTGTTACTTAGTCATTTGCCATTTTCACTCTTTTATGTTGTCTTTATAAAAAAAATTCACGTACAAAAATAGAAGAAAGTAGCATAACAAACCCACATATTCCTATCACCCAGTTTCAACTCAGGCCAATCTTATTATTAACCCATTTCCTACCCTCTTTACCATCCCCACTCCCACAACCACAAAATGTTTTGTAGCAAATCCTAGATACCATATTCTTTCACATGTAAATATTTTAGTGTATACATCACAAGAATGTAAGGACTCTTAAAATATAACAACAATACCATTATCAAACCTAAAAGTATTAACAAGAATTCCGGCTGGGTGTGGTGGCTCACACCTGTAATCCCAGCACTTTGGGAGGCTGAGGAGGGTGGATCATCTGAGGTCAGGGGTTTGAGACCAGCCTGTCCAACATGGTGAAACCCCGTCTCTACTAAAAATACAAAAATTAGCCAGGTGGTGGTGGTGCATACCTGTAATTCCAGCTTCTTGGGAGGCTGAGGCATGAGAATCACTTGAGCTCAGGAGGTGGAGGTGCAGTGAGCTGGGATCGTGTCACTGCAGCCTGGGCGACAGAATAAGACTCTGTCTCAAAAAAAAAAAAAAAAAAATCATAGTATCTATCAATGAATGCCAGTTCGTTTTCATATTTACTTGATCACAGTTTTTTTCCCTCTGTACATGATTATTTTGCTTCAGAATAAAGAATTTTCCTTCCTTTTTTTATTGCACTGAATAGCTCTTCCAGTACAATGTTGAATAGAAGTGGTGAATGTGAGTAGCCTTTAGTATTCAGTTTTTATCTTCACTACTGGTTTTTTAAAAAGTGATTGCTTTAGGACTTACAACATGTATCTTGAACTTTGTTCTCTGTGCTTTAGTTTGGATAAGTTTACATTTTTATGTCTTCAAGTTCAGGATATTTTCTTCTACAATTTCTAATATGTTATTAATCCCATCCAATAAAAGTTTCATTTTAGATACTGTATTTTTATTTCTAGAGTTTCCATTTATTTTATAAATACCTTCCATTTTTTTCCTTATTATGTTATTCTTTATATCCTCAAGTATATAAAGCATATTTAAATAGCTATTTTAATATTCTTGTCTGCTAAATGTATCATCTCTCTCATTTCTGGGTTTGTTTCTATTCACTAGTTTACTTTTGATTGTGGGTCACATTGTTTGGCTTCTTTATAGGTCTACTAATTTATTATTGGATGATGGATACTGTGAATCATGTTGTGGATAGATAGATATTGTTATTTAAAGAGTGCTGAGCTTTGCTAGGGCAGGCAGTTACATTCATTGTGGATCTATTTGATATTTTAGTAAATTATGTTGAGCTCTGTTCTCGGGGATCAGTATCTAGAACAGTCTTCATAGCTATTTTAGCCCCACTTCTAAAGTAAGAATCTTCTTCAGTCTCTACAGAATGGTGCATATATTCAAGAAGGCTTTTCCACTCTGGTTGGCGAGAGCTTGAACATTCCCTGGCCCAAGGTGAGCTCTGGGAATTAGGCAAGTTATTACAAATATTTTCACTTAGTACTTCTCTAATTTCCTGAGATAAGATAATTCAGGGAAAAGTAGAGTAAGTTTTCCAAAAACCAGAATTTCTTGTTAATGAGATTTAACAAAAAAATCTGAAAATTATCCCTCCTCCTTTCCTCTTATTTATCCTTCACATTTAGGCCTGTAGATTCTGTACCCTAATATTTTTCAGATGTATTTCCTCATCTCCATTCCCACCACCACTAACTTAGTTTGAACCCATAACTGCTGGTTTTAAACACTAGCTTCACCACATAATACGTTTGCGATCTTGGGTAAATTGATACATTTCCTGTGCCTCAGTTTCTTCATCTGTAAAATGGGGATCATACTAGTATATAATATAAAAAGGATTATATTAGGCTCAAAGGTCTACACCTTGCTTTTTTTTCCCCCAAATACCCCAACTTCAAGGAGATGCACGTTGCTTTTTAAACTTAAAAAACTTGTTTTTGCTATTTTTACTGTATTTGTACAGATGTTGCACAGATCCACGTTATTTAACAAATGGGCTCTCTGTTCCTTTTTCCATCATCATGATGTGTGCTTAACTCCACTTCTTGTCATGTCTTCTCACAAGACTTTCAGGATTAAGCATTTCCTGGCCAAGTAACAATAGCAAAAAATCATCTCATTCCCCAGGGGATTTGGATGAAAACTGGTAATAAAATCAGGTACAACTCCAAAAGGAGGCATTGGAGAAGAAGCAAGCTGGGTCTATAAGGAATTGCACATGAGATGGCACACATTTATGCAGTGCCAAGGTCATGACTATCTTACCATAGCAAGCTGAAAATGTCACCACTATCTGGACAGTTGGACATGTTTTATTGGGAATATATTTTTTCTCTTTTTTCTTTGTGTATGTGTTGTGTGTGTGCTGGTAGGCTTGGTTTAGTAATAAATATGTGACACCTTTAGTTTCAAAAAAAAGAAAAGAAAAAGAAAGAAGTGGCTACACAGTATTCCATTGCATGCATAATTTATTTAACAGTCTCTTATTGAGAAGCATTTTAGGTTGCTGGCAAATTTTGGTATTATAAACAATGCAAGAAGTATTATAAATAGACTTTACTGTCCTTTTTCAAATATATTTTGTGTTAAATTTGTAGCAATATATTGCCAAATTAAAAGTCATGTGCATTTTAAATTTTGATCAAATTTTTCTCCGTAGAAGGGTACCAACTTACAATTTCAGCAACCACATGTGGGATAATCTGCATTTTGATCAACAATGCACACTATCAAACTTGATTTTTGCAAATTAGATGGGTGTAACATTTTGGTCTTAATGTTTACTTTTACATTTTTAAAATTAGAAGTTGAGTGTTTTTATGTGCTTACGAGCCATTTGTATCTCCTTGCTCTTATTTTTAATTTGTTTTTCTACTGGACTGTTTTTCAGTTTTATAAGAAACTTTTAAAACTCTTTGTAAATTACAAAAGCTTATAAATTAAGGAAATATATGTGTTGCATAAAGTTTCCTCCCAGCTTGTCATCTTATTATTTTAAACATACATAGTTTAACTTTTTTTTTTTTTTTTGAGACAGAGTCTTACTCTGTTGCCAGGCTGGAGTGCAGTGGCTCAATCTTGGCTCACTGCAGCCTCCGCCTCCCGGGTTCAAGCGATTCTTGTGCCTCAGCCTCCTGAGCAGATGGGACGACAGGCGTGCACCACCACGCCCAGCTAATTTTTGTATTTTTAGTAGAGACAGGGTTTCACCATATTGGCCAGGATGGTCCCGATCTCTTGACCTTGTGATCTGCCTGCCTTGGCCTCCCAAAGTGCTGGGATTACAGGCCTGAGCCACACGTCTGGCATATAGTTTAACTATTTTTTAAGACTATTTTTGTAGAGAACGTTAAGGTTCACATCAAAATTGAGAGGAAAGTATAGAGATTTCTCATAAGACCCTTACCCCTACACATGCACAGCCTCCACCATTGTCAACATCCCACACCAGAGTGGTACATTTTTTTCTTTTTTTTGAGACAGGGTCTCACTGTGTTGCCCAGGGTGGAGCGCAGTGGTGCGAAAGATCTCAGCTCACTGCAACCTCTGCCTCCTGGGTTCAAGTGATTCTTGTGCCTCAGCCTCCTGAGCAGATGGGACTACAGGCATGCACCACCATGTCTGTAATTTTTTGTGTTTTTATTAGAGACAAGGTTTCACCATGTTGGTCAGGCTGGTCTTGAACTCCTAGCCTCAAGTGATCCACCCACCTTGGCCTCCCAAAGTGTTGGGATTACAGGCATAAGGCACCATGCCCAGCCCAGAGTGGTACCTTTTT